>NC_000004.12:175171381-175796381 GCF_000001405.40 Homo sapiens | reverse complement strand
TAAATTAGAGATGATAAAAACAGATTTTTATTCATCTTTAAGATTATATTATTATCTTCATTGATCATGTTATATCGCCTCCTTGTCCATGCTAAAAGCCATTTACTTCCAATGTTTGTGATTATATGTAACATAAATATAACTCTTATTGATAAAAGATAAGTAGATAATAAGTTTAGAGTGACTAGTTGCTAGCCATTCTTCTAAGTGTCACTGTGCAAGGCAGACTACATTATAAAGCTTTTGATGTAGAAGTGGTGGAGACAGAGAGCAACTAAAACAGCATCCAAACATAGATAAATAGATATTTGAGAAAATATCAGTGATAGAGTTTGAGAAAAACAGGGTGGCCTGTTAGAAAGTGACAAGATTGCAATTAAGCTGTTAGTTACAGCTGCAGTCTCATATGAAGGTTCAGTTGGGGTGGGGGGAGTAATCTGCTTAGTGGCTCACTCAAGTGATGCTGCAGGCCTGGTCCTGTACCACATGAACCTCTCCACAGGGCTGCCTCATGCCATGGTGCCTGGCTTCTCCAGAGCAAAGGATCTAAGGTAGATGGGGAGAGAGATTCCATGTAAGTTGGAAGCCACGGTACTTTTACTTATTTTATTTTATCATATTTCATTTTATTTTGAGACAGGGTCTTGCTCTGTCACTCAAGCTGGAGTAAAGTAATGATTATGACTCACTGCAGCCTCAAACTCCTGGGCTCAAGTGATCCTCCCACCTCTGCCTCCTCCCAGCTGGGACCACAGGTGTGTCCCACCATGCCCAGCTAACTTTTAAAAAGTTTTTGTAGAGATAGGGTCTCAGTATGTTGTGCAGACTGTTCTCAAACTCCTGGTCTCAAGCAATCCTCCCTCCTTGGCCACCGAAAATGTTGAGATTATAGGCATGAACCACCATGCCCAGCCCACAGTGCTTTTATAATGTAATCTTGGAAGGAACATTTCCTTGCTTCTGCCATATTCTATTCATTAGAAGCAAGTCAAAAAGTGCAGCCCTTACTCAGGTGGAGCAGATTTCAGAAAGACATGAATGCTACTCGGAAGGGATTATTGAGTGCCTTCGAAGAGGCTGCCTGCCTCAGATAGCCATAGGTACCTCAAATGCAATATGTCCAAAATGGAATTTATCAACTGACTGTTGAATCAACTCTACATCCTTGGTTCTTGACTTCCATCACATCTGTCATCATTTATGTACACTGTGTCCCAAGCTAGAAGTTTACAGGTCATTACTAATGCCTTTCACACTTTCCTCTATATTTAATGGGTTATCAAATGCTTTCACTTCAGAAATGTCTCCTAATTCCAGATTCTCATCTTCAGGTACTCAGTAATGTAATCGACTATTTCCTTAAGCTATTGAGGTTGTCTTTATTATGCTTCTCTTCATCCAATTTCTATTCGCTTTAATTAGAATAATTTCTCTCAAACAAAATATATTCATGGATTCTGTTGCGTAAAGGCTTCCATTGTTTCTACTGCCTATAAAATTAAATCCATTAGCTTTATTTTGGCATATCAAGCCCTTATAATATGGCCCAAAGCAAAGTTTCTAGGCCTACTACCCAATCTTATCATTCAGCATTGAAATAGTCTCTCAGCATGCCCTCACGTGATGTGTACAGGCCCACCCTGATTTATTTTCCATCTTCTTTCTTACCGACCATGCCTCAATCAGTGCTTCATTAGGAAGCTTTTTCCAGGCTTCCATATTCATCATAAGTCATGCAATTCCCCAGGTTCCAGTACATTTCTATAATGACATGCAGCTCCTTGAATTATCAGCTTCATTTTTTCTATTTCTATGCTATGCTTTTAGAATAACTTCCGAGCAATATTAATCTTGAATTCAAAGTTGTGAACAGAATAGTATAATGATTGACAATAAATACTGAGTGAATAAACAATTCCTTGTTTAAGTTATTGTGTGTAATTGCACTGTATCTTTGAAAGGAAATATTTAAACTACAGAAGATCCAAAGAAGGGCTATGAACAAGTAAACATTTGATTATGGTTTCTATTAAGGACTCACATGTGTAAATCTAAAGAAATTATATGAATATTTAACACTTGTTGAGATAACATCATTTGCTAAGCACTGTTTCAAGTGCATTATATTTATTAATTTGCATAATCCTCACAATAACTATACAAATAAGATACTTTTATTACTCTTATTTTATGGATGAAGATGCTAAGACCCAGAGATTTTTGATAATTTTTCCAAGGTCACTCAGCAGTAAGTGGTGAAGTTGCTTCTTAGGCCTGTCAATGTAGATCCAGATACTCTGTATTACTCTAGAAGGAAAATGGTTTCCAAAGATGCATCCAAATCAAGATGACATAAATTGACAAAGGTTAAAAAGTAAAATGAATCCAAATCAAGATGACATAAATTGACAAAGGTTAAAAAGTAAAATGAGCAAAGACTAAAAGTCAAAAGACTAATTAGGATAAATGGATGAAATTATATTTGTGAACCAAGAGGATCAGAATTGACAATATCATAAAAAAGTATTTTAAAATATTTTCCCTCTAAATACCAGGAAGAATTTTGGCAGCTTACCAGAGTTTAAAGAGGAAAAGAACTCCTATTATCATAAACAATGGGAAATGCATTTCTGGAAGTCAAGACATCAGATGATCCAAGTAAAAAGTATAAGTAGTGTCTGATGTGCAGAAGAATTCATGGATCTTGGCCGGGTACAGTGGTTCACACTTGTAATCCCAGCAATTTGGGAGGCCGAGGCAGGCGAATCAACTGAGGTCAGGAGTTTGAGACCAGCCTGGCCAACATAGCGAAACCCTTTCTCTAATAGAAATACAAAATTAGCTGGTTGTGGTGGTGCATGCCTATATTCCCAGCTACTCAGGAGGCCGAGGCAGGAGAATCACTTGAACCTGGGAGGCAGAGGTTGCAGTGAGCCGAGATCGCGCCACTGCACTCCAGCCTGAGGGACAGAGCGAAACACCATCTCTAAATAAATAAATAAATAAATAAATAAATAGAATAGAATAGAATACATGGATCTCTTACAGACTATTCCAGAATGTTCTTAATTGCTGTGAGGTAGGGACGGTGGGTATCCAGGCAACCTCCACCAACAGGGTCCTGGATAGCTCAGAGTAAGAGCATTCATATTGTATGAAGCCATAGAACATCTTTCAGAAGGGCAGTTATTATTAATTTTTTGGAGGAGTTCTATCAAAAATACATAATATAGTCCATAATAGTAGGCTCATCTGTACTAGCTAAAGAATGTATTAGCATGGATAACTTTTTAAGATACAATGGTAAATGAAAAACCTGGGACCACAAGCACAGACCACCATGCCTGGCTGATTTTTGTATTGTTTATAGAAATGGGGTTTCACCATGTTGGCCAGGGTGGTCTGAAACTCCTGGCCTTAAGTGATCTGCCCGCCTCAGCCTCCTAAAGTGCTGGGATTACAGGCATGCGTCACCATGGTCGGCCACATTGTCAACTTTATCATTGCTTGTTATATTATTTGTTTTATGTTTGAAAGGTTTCTTAATATAAATATTTAAAAGTAAAAGCATTATGAATACAATAACATGAGAATCCCATATGTATTTCTGTCTTTAATTTCAATATTTCCTTGGAAATTGGCAAATAAACTTTCTGATCAGATGTCAAAGAATTATAAGTTAAATTCCAAAATAAAGAGTTTTACATTGTATTTTAAAATATAAACTTATTAAGCAAAATGGAATTTAACATCTCAAATTTTACTAATATTCATCAATTATAATTATCAGTGGATGTATTCTAAGTAAACTTAGTTGTTATTTTGAAAAATAACGCCATTCTCAATTTTATAGAGTATCTTTACAAGAAAGCATGCATTTCCCAAGTCCATTAAAAATAAATGTATTACCAGGGCAGTAAAAAAAATATAGGGTTGCCTCTTCTTTTTGGCTATTTTCTTCATTTAATTATTTTCTAGTTTTATTTTTTACTTTTAAAAGTACTTGGAAGAGTAGACACCAAATATCCACTGTAAAACTTTAGAATAAAATAAAAATGGTATAACCCATGCTGTGAGCTTAATACTTTCTACACATTTGACTTAACTTTTTATTGGCATGGCAGTTTCAATCCAATGCATAACCAGAAGAAATAAACACGATATGTTACTAGCAGTAAACAGAGGGATTAAACATATGAGCTTAAAATTTTTTAGCACATATGAGTTGGAAATTAAAGAGACTGAAATATATTTTTATAATGAGATCAAATTACTTAAACCAGAGTCAATAACTGTTATACTGTAAACAAATACAATCATTTATTTGTAGCTTTATAAATTCTTTTATGTCAATGCTAATTTTACTGATGACTGTTTAGGGCTTATGAGGACTGCTCAGGTTATATGATTAATAACTAAATATGACCACAGGTTGTGGTATCAAAGCATCAATTTGATTTAAAAAATAGGCTCCCCATAAATATTTTAATAAATGGAAGTATTTCTGGGAGTGTAGAAGGACAATATGTCAATTTTCAGAAGGCATAAAAGCCACAAAATATTTGGAAACTAGTTTGCTCATGTTACAGAAAAGTGTGTGTCTGTGTGTGCGTGTGTGTGTGAATAAATGGGTAAAATATGAATGTCTCTATTTTGTAATAAATATTGCTTCTGTATGTTTTAGATGAGTGCTTTCATTCTGATACAATCATTTTGTTAGTAGTCTCCATCTATTAAGTAAGAGAAAATTGAATCTCTTCTCTGTTATGTGGATGAAGATGATGACTGCAGTCAATTTCTGAGTTCAATTTTAAATATGCAAATTTAACCTTTTATAAATTGCTCTTACTTTACATATAGGGACATTTATAACAATACATCCAACAGTCTACAAATTAATGTCAAATAATGAAGCAAGCTCCAAATTGTGTGACTGCCACCAGTTGACTGGGTGGCATATGGCAAGTCACTTAACCTCTGAGACCTTAATTTTCCTATTTGCAATGCTAAGGAGTGGTGCTAGAGTTCCATGTCTATGCTTCTACTAATTTTAGATGCATTTCTTAAAACTGATATCTTCAAGAGTAATGTAAAAACATTATTAAATTCTTGTCATCTTGCTAGAACAAGAATATCTTTTCTATCTATACATTTTATTTATCTCTACTTGTTTTAATAAAGCCCATCTGCCATCTGATTTATTTATTAAATAAACTCATCTGAGAATCAATTTTATTTTACCTAATAGATAGAGCCTATGCATAACATGATTATAAATTGTGAAAAAAATGGAACTCTAGTCCAAAAGACATAGGAAAAGGATTGGCCAGAAAATAGGTACATTCATATTGTATTTATTATTTCTTTTTTTCTTTATTCTCTCTCTCTCATACACACAACCACTCCCCATTAAAGCAAACTTTAATTGTAAATATAGTAAATACCCAAGTGAAGCTAAAACATTTTGTATGTTATATATCTAAAGGATTAGTTTAAATATTTGTTTCAACCTAGTGCTAACATTTATGCTCTCTTTTTTTCCTCCCTAAAAGAACGAACAAAATATTTTTTAGGCAATGAATAGATAATTTCATCATGTTGCAAAGTCCTTTAATTCATGGCATTTGCCGTTCTTGGTTTTCAAATGAAGACTTTTTAAAACAATAACGAAAAGGATATACAACTTTCCCTATGCCTTCATAAATTTCCATTGTACAATATAAAATTAAAATCGTGTTGAGATAGAGTGACTTCCATTTTGGAGAATATGGTATCCTTATATCATGTACACCCCGGTGTCATTTGATTTTGTAGTGAAAGAGAAGCTAAAATATATTGACTTCAGGCATTTTTGATAGAAAATACACTCATAAAGATAACAGTAACTAAGGCAGAGGATAAAAAGAATCATACTTGTGATACTTAATAGCATTTTAGTATTTTAAAAACTGATGGTGATCTTACTGCAAGCATCTCTACAGGGCAGTCTCAGGAAATCTCATTAATGTGTTAGCCCCTTTATTTTGCTGGTGAATTTGTTGACAGAAAGTAATTGGGTCACTGTATTGAAATGCCCCATGTAAGCTCAGAATTCTCTGTGTTGGTTGGCATGACAACCATAGTGGTCGATTAAACATGCTCAGAAATTGGGAACCTGGGCTTCTCAGAAGCTGTTAACTAGATGGGGAATAAAAAACTGTGTAGATAATGGCAAATTGGGCAGAAATTTCTAAGAATTGCCTTGAATGTGCTATTACACATTTATTTATGTAGTGCTAACAAGATAAATGTATGTGTAAAAAGCTAGATATTTAAAAATTCACTTAGATGATTACGAAATACGGTTTTGATTTGATGTGTATTTCAATAAGAAAAGGTTGAAACAGCCTTACAGTATTAAGGATGTTATTAGAGATAATTCTGATATTACTCAGAACAAATATATTTGCTATCAATGGCAATTTCTATTTAGCTCTTTCTCCTTGTAAATGATTTTGTGAGGTGCCTGGCAGATGATATCCGCAGATGGCATACAAAGGCACATTGGCACACAGGAACAGCCTTTGCTGGCCAGTTCTGCCATAGCCAAATTTAGGGAGCAGGAAGATGGTAAAACGACAAATCATTAAGGAGAGAAATAGAGAGTTGGTTTGATGGTATCACTCACTAATATCTTTTTTCTTCTATATTTTAACTCCCTTCCTTTGGCCGGTAGATAACTGTTAACATAAAGACAAAATTTGGAGATAGAAAATTAAAGCAAGTTATCATGTCCTAGGACACAATTCATGTTTTTTTTGTTATTCATGTTCCCTGATTTCTCATACCTCAGAAGACATTTAGCCTAGGAGAAGGAATTGACTTTCTAGGAAGTATTATTTTTTAAAGTCAGCCTGCTTTTATCAGGATAATAAAATAATAAAAACAAGATAAATTGAACATAATGGATTTACAGCTTCTGCAATGAGTTTAGTTGCCAAGACAATCAACATGTGAGATCAATGAAGGGGACATGTTTTAATTTTATTATTTCTTATTAGTGTGCTGATATTAAAATTCAAACATGGATGTTTTGATTAATCAAGAAGCTGAATATGGATATCAACTATAAAAATAAATATTTTAAATAGAACACATTTATTCCAAAAGTCTATTGTTGAAATAAATTTTAAAAATCATTATTCATTATAGCACTTTTAAAAAGAAGACGTATTAAATATCATCTTTGTTCTGCAAAAGTAAATTAACTTTGTAAGATTAGGAACTAATTAGTGATAGAACTGGGCCTAAAACCCTGCTGGCCTCATTCAAATGCAGACTCTTTTTACAGCACCATGGTGTCTTCTAATCCCACTACCAAGTACACTGTGGTCAAAACACGTTAACTTCCTACTTCCAGGAGATGTTCATTTAGTGTAAATGAAACCAGCAGTGTTTCATTTTCATATTCCTCATTTTCTTTCTTTATCATAATTCCTTGTATGGAGCTATGGCTCTAATTTATTACATTATGAACCAGTTTTTGTTTGCTTAAATTTTTAGATAGCCTTATTAATGTCTTCATTCTATTTATATGTCTGATTTGTTCATTAAGAACTATTAAAGGGTGGATAGGTTTAAGTATTTGCCCATCATTGGCTGGTATTTTAAAATTTACTTCCGAAACAAAATCCACTTCTGAAATTCCCCTGTAACACTATAGATGCATGATTCTGTAAAATTTTCATTTTCTGCTATGCAAATAATTAACAGTAATAAAATCTAGTTTCAGTTTAGTTTATAACTGTCTCTTACATTAAATTTTCTAGGTTTGGGGATAAGGGTTTTGTCTGTGTTGTATTTGCATCTGTATGATGCTTTGATTGCTTTGATTAAAGCTTTTCAAGTATTGGGATTCAAAACTGTTATTTAAAAAAAATCAGTAGTCTGTATATTTCTACTTTTATTTCTATTAATAAAACAGACTGAATATACCTTGCCAATTTAAAGAAATTTCTTTGAGAAACAACTGACTGTTTTCCTTGATTTCAGGATTGAAAATACATGTATCTCTTACTGTTCCTTTTGTTTTTCTTGACATATCAGTTAAAAATCTTTGCTTTCATCCTCCTTTGTTTATTCTTTAAATCTATTTTCAGACGTTTCTCCTTTTCCTTTCTGTTGTTTGGTCTCTTCTCTGTCTTGCTCTTCCCTATTCAGACACATCCTCTCTCTCCCCTTTCCATTTGCCTTGACTAGACTAACACATATTAATGAATATCCACAAAGGGACAAAAAGAGGCTGGAGGAGCAGGGTGAGGTGGAGAAGCGAGGTGCTAGCAAAATCAAATCTGAAATAAAGGATGAGAAGAGTGTAGATGGAAAAAATGGGGAAGAAAAGATGAAACAATGGAAAAGTGTAATTTTCATAACTTAAAACTTCAAAGTATATATGTATGACTTTTTTCGTCTTCATGAGATTGATTTGTTCATTCATTCAACATTTAATAAATATATAACAAGCACCCAGTGTGGGCCAGCTGTAGTCAAATTGCTGGGAAGATAGCAATTAAAAACAAGCTAACAAGCCAAAACCAGCCTTCATGGAGCCTATATTCTGTAAGGTAAAGCTGTCATTTTAAAATGGTGCTTTATATTGCTTGTGAATATTCTTGTTTCAGAAGTGAGAGCAAAAGGAACAGATTTTTCAAAGAAAATTATGTCTTGCATATATTAAATTTGTCTGACTAGGAAGAGTTATGTCAGTAAAGCAATTAGATACATGGGTTGTGATTTGGGGAAAAAAGCTGAATTAGAAATCTGTACTTGTAAATCATCAACAAGTATGTAATCATTGGTGATGTTGATACTGATGAAATCAACCTAAAGGTGGAACAAAAAGGACCAAAAATAGTGACTTAAAAAAACAATTTAGAAAAAATCTCAGAACACGAAACAGAATGTTAAATTGTCACAGGAGAGAGCTTATGCCCTTGAATCAAGGGAAAATAGAGTTCACAAGGAGCCAGCGGCCGGCAGCATCACACTTTTATGACAGACCTGGAAGGTAAGGTCAAGGGTGACTTTGGTGGGAGTATTATCAGTGAAACTATTGAGGAAATCATTTCTGCTTTATCTCTGTAGTGCATGCCTCATTAAATACATTATTAAAGCTTTAAGATGAATTTTATTAATTGGCATGTCACATCCAATGAAAAGGATGCTAGTTTTTTGTGTTGTTTGATCTTTCATAAGGATTTGAACAGTCATATGTATCAAGGGTAAAAAACAAAAACAACAACAAAAAAAAGAACAGAGGGAGAAATAGAAAAACAAAGGAAAACAAACAAACACCGAGATTATAGGCTAAAGGAAAATTCACAGAGGGAGGTCAATTGGGGGAGGGAATGCCGTCCAGCAAGTGGCTGGAAAGGTTAATAAACACTTTCAAAGAAGACCACAGATATTTTTCTTTCTCTTTAAAGAATAAAGTTTAGCCTTGTTCCTCGAACTCAAAGAAAGAAAGTTTGGGTAAGTCTCATTTTGTGTGTGCTCGGTTTTACACTTCTGTTGGAGAAAGAATTGTGGTGAAATTAGTCTGGAGGTTTTGTGCAGAATGGATTAGAGAGTGAGACTGGAGGTGGATGATGATAGAGGCCAGACCAAGGGAAAAGCCATAGAATGAAAGGGTGCAACTGACTCAAGGGAACATGGACAAGAAGAACTGATAAGGCACACATATCATATTAGTTCTGAGGGAGAAGGGAACGTCTAGACTCAAGCTGCTTTCATGTGCTTGAGTGATAAAGAGAATAGAGAAACAGGAATGGCAGGAGAAGGTGCTGGGTAAAGGAAAAAATGTCTTATTTTAGACATTTTGAGTTTGAAGTGACATTAAGACACCATATGGGGATGAAAATAGACAATCAGAAGTGAGGGACTGAAATAAGTAGAGAGGGCAAAGGTTCAGCACGGGAGCTTTGTAGATGCCCAAATTGATGTAATTGGAGGGAGGAGAGTCAGGAAAAGGGAGAGAAGAAGGGTAATTTGGATCAAATGCTACCTGCCAACTGAATACTGCTATTCATTTTTCAAAAAAAAAAAAACAAAACAAAAAACCTTTCCTGACCTTCAAAAAAGATGGTGTTATTTGTAAGTGTCTCTACCTGAGATTTTAAACATTCTCAATTCATGGTGTTTGTAGTGTCCCAGTAATTTCTCCTCATGGTGTCTCCAAGTCAAAAGAAACACCTAGCACTTTTAAGTTAATGGATGTCACTGTGTTTTCTGTTGAAAGTTTAAAATATCCAGCAATATCCTGTGAGTTTGCTGCCACTCTGTGAGATGCCTTGGGTCACAGCTTGGAAACTATAGGTTTATGCGATGCTCTCTCATATTTTTTTTTCTTTTTTCTCTATCGAAGTGTTTATGGCACTCTATTATAATTGCTTCTGTAATTATCTGTCTTTCTGATTGGACTGAGTCTGCAAACTACACAAGGAAAGAACCATTTCCATCTTGTTCCTCATTGAATCCGCCTTGCCCAGCCATGGTGATTGGCTTGTGGCACGTGTTCTGTAACTAGCTGTTGAATTAATCCCAGTTATGAGGGGAGTAATCTTATTTGTCTTTATATACAGTGCTGATTTATCTGCATCTATTTTTCAAACCCTAGATTATTTTCTGGCATATGTCTTTTAGTAGAATTATTCTAATGATCTATGTGAAATCTGTTGACAACATATGAGTAGTATGAATGCAAATGCTAAAAAAGGGGTTTCTTCTTTAGTTCTGCCTAAGAGGGGAAAGGGTTTAAAAGAATAATCAGTTTGGGTAACTGTTAAGGGTGATTTAGAGGAGATGAGAATAATAACTATAACAATAGTTAATGTTAATATAATGTGGTTACTAATTCTATTCTCCCAACAGCTGTAGGAGGCATGATGCATAACAAAATACCACAAAGTTAGTAGCTTAAGACATTAATTTATTATTTTTCACAGTTATGTGGGTTGTCTGATTCATTCTTCTGTTCTATGTGATGCTGGCTGCAAGATGCTGGGACATCTGCAGTCTCCTCAGAGCTTGATTGGGCTGGAATGTCTAAGAGGGCTCAATTGATGCTGGGTGATGGCTGTGAGCTTAGCTGAGACTCCGCGCCAGAATTCCCAGGTGTGGCCTCTGCGTGGAATTTGAACTTTTCATAGCATGGCGATTGGACTTGGTCAGGGGACATCCCCAGAGCAAGTGATCTTAGAGATTAAGGCAACAGTCGCAAGGTTTCTTATGATCTAGCTTCGGAAATGGGAGAAATTCACTTCTGTTACATTGTACTTGCAAAGCCAAGTCACTCAAGCTAGCCCAGCTTCAAGGAGGGGGAATTAGATTCTATGTTTCCATGTAATAGGCAGCATGCACATACAGAAAGGGGATGAATTGAGATCTTTGACTATTACCAAATGTAGGTACTATTACTTTTCTTACTAGGATTGAGGCAATTGATTTATACAGAGGCTATTAACTTAATTTGATAGTGGATAAGTGCAATGGCCAGTACTAGTACTTAGAGAATTTGCTCCCAAGAGTTTGTGTCTTTAATCACAACCAAGTATTGCCTCAGCCTCTAGCAATACTGTTCATTCTCATATATGATTACACAAACACACACACACACATACACACACACACTTAGCATATTTAGAGGTCATGATGCTAATGATGATATTGACTATAATCATCATAATTTGTTTTTGACGAGTTCATTATAATTCACATTCATTATTTTATTTACTCATGAGATGAATTTCTCCTTCAATTGTTTAATTTTGAAATAATTTTACATTTACAAAAGCATTGCAAAGATAGTACAGAAACTTGGATTATACACTTAAACCAGCTTCCTCTGAATGTTTACATAACCATCATACATTAATCAAAATTAATACATTAACATAGATATAATAATCTCCAATTAACTACAGACTTTACTTGGATTTGCTAATGTTACCTACTAATTATCTGCTAATGTCACTTAATGTTCTAGGATACAATCCAAGAAACTATTGTTGCGTTAGTTTCCTACAAGCTGTGACAGTGTTTCCATATTTCTTTGTTTTACATGACCTGACACTTTTGAAGAATACTAGTCATGTATTTTGTAGAATTGCCCTCATTTTGTGTTTGTCTGATATTCTCTCATGATTAGAATGGGATTATAGATTTGGGGGAAGACTAGGACAAAAGTGATGTGCCTCTCTCATCACTTCATATCCAGAAGCACATATTATCCACCTTATTTATTACTGGGAATATTAATATTGATCACTTGGCTAAGGTGTTTTCTACTAGGTTACTTCACTTTGAAGTTACTATTTTTCCCGTTTCAAACTATGTATGTTAAAAAAGTGAGACATTCTGTCTATACTATACTTTTAAAGAGAGGTGATAAGCTCCACTTCCTAGAAGAAGGGATATCAAAAAATTTGTGGACATATGTTAATACTACCATTGTAATTGGTAGATATTTCAGAGAGATACTCTGAGGCTATGCAAATAGAATGATTCTCATAAAATGAATTTGAGTCTTTATTTTTCTCCTCTGATTTGAAGTTTTTGTTGCAAAATTTATTTTTCTATTTTTTTGTCTGTAAATATTGTGATATAATGTGACAAAATTGAAATCCATAAAATATTGCCAATAATTCTTATCAATCTATATAAATTCAAATACAATCCATTTCCCAATTAAAGTATAAAACATTTAAATGAGACAATTCATTTATTCCATTTACTAGCTCTGCCTTAAGGAATTGAATCAAAGTATGCATTCATTTTATTTAATTATATCAAAGCATATAATTTGGCACAAATAAATAATAGGCTTTAATATTATGCTTTGAAAATTTTGCATTGTTTTAAGTTGTATGTTAAGCTCCTTTCATATTATTTAACTTGGTATTCCACAAATACTGAATTTCCTCACTAATTTAATTTATGAAATATTGAAGTCAAAAGGATTAAAAGAATTTCTGATGAAAATGGAGAAAAATATAACATCATGAATAATTCACAATTGTTCTATTCCTTTATCCATTATTTTTAAAAAAATTATTGGCAAAATTAATGTGACTTAATAGGAAACAAATTCTATTAGAGTTAAGTTTCTTATGTAGATGAAAATAGGGTGACAAGGCAGTGCCTGATTATTTAATAATTTATGTTTATGTTTAGAATCCTTACTATTATGACAAAGGCAAAAAATTTTTTAAATTACTTTTTTAAAAAAGTTAATTCAAAACATTTCTCATTTTGATAAATAAAACAAGGTCACAAGCAAATTAAATAAACTGTCATTAAACTAGAACATTTTGAAAATAATTTAATAGCATTACTTTATGAGTTTTGCTCCATCATTGCTAATAACTTACAACAATAAATTTTTTTTCAGATTTCTAGTACAGATATGGATATTACCATGTCTGTGTTAATTTTACTCAGTGTATTGACAACAAAATCTTAAATATTTATTTTAAAATGATGGTATATAAAGAGTATTTTAGTAGTTCAAACGGTAACATCGTGTATTAAAGAAAGAAATGAGAATAATTATTTTCACTACTTAATTTTGACATTTATTTATTAATAAGTTCTATTTCTTAAGCTATGTCCAATAAATAAGGTAATTTATACTACTTATGGAATGTAAGTAGTTTAAATGTATAAGGTAGTAACAACTTATCTGTAATTTCCATGACTTGTGTTTCTACTAGTTAATCGGATGTAATAAACTGACATAAACTGGAGAGTATAGCTGCATTTGAGTTTTATTAATTTGCCGCATTGTATTAAAAAGGACCATCAAGAAAACAATGATGAACAAAGTATTATTTCCATCTTTGAAAAACATATTAGAGATATGTAAGGGGAGGAAGACATGACATAGCACCTTTACCTTACAGGGCTGGGTATAATTTCCTTTGTATTCTTTCAGTTGAGATTTTAGAGAGATTCTGCATAAGGGTGACTTTTTTGTAGGAACCTTCAAGGATGATTAAGATTTTGAAGGGTGAAAGTAGATGACGTGATATTCCATAATGAAAAATAGCCCCAGCAAAAGCCTAGGTGGGTGAGGGAAAAAAATCGTTGAGAAACACAGAGATATTCTCCTTGTTTATCCTAGAGTATATGGAAGAATGGTCTGTGAAATAAAATTGGGGTTAGATAATGGGAAAATTTTAGCCTAAACTTTTTAGAGTTTAGCAGAAAACTGATAATAATAACAATGCTGTGATTATTATAGCCAGCACTTACAGAGCCTTACCATGATTCAGTCTTGCAAGAATCCAATGAGATAGACACCATTATTATTTTTACATTTTATGGTTGAGAAACCTGAGGTTTCAAGATATTTTAGGACTCACCCTTTCTGCTCATGATCACTGTGCTAGATGACCTTTGAATCTTTATGAAAATGTGTTATATTATAAAACCACGCTTTAAAAAGGGATCCAGAAATGTATACTGGAGGAAATATTTGTGGTAACTGAATATTATAATGAAGGTCTCATGAGTATACATTCAAAGGTAAACTTTTAGACAGGACATTTGCACAGGACATTGGCACAGGAGAGTCATCCCAATGGCCATGTTATATAGCACACCCAAAGTTCCACAGCCTTTAGAAATGTGAAATAAATCTCAAATGAATGATCAAGATTGTGAACTTTTAAAATGTGAATAATCTGCATAGAGACACTAGTTAAAGGTTTCAAGTGCAGGAAATCAGAGGCAAAAAGAAAGCATTGAGGTAATGACCGAATGAAGTGAATGCCCATAGTTAGAAGGCAAAGGAAGGAAAAGAGCAAAAGTATCAGAGAACTGTATGGAAGATCACTTGGTGCTGTGAAGTAGAAGTTCAAAAAGGAAGGGGTTTTAGGAAGCTTGACATGGTTGAAGTTGAGAGGGAATTTCAGATCCAGAAGTAGGGATGTCATTAATGATACATGAAATCTGTTTCCTTCTCTGGCTGCCTCTTTTTTGGTCAATGCTACAACAGAAGAGCTCTGGGCGCCCCTCCCTGACACCCCCTTCCCTTCATTTCTTCAGGGCATCCAAACAGACCACCTGGGATTCCTCAGTCCGCTTGGGCCTCTGATAGAAGCATTTGTGTGCTTGTATGATCTTATTTTCGCACGGTGGGTGTTGTTTGAGTCGTGTTATTAAAACCAAAGAAATTAATGTGAACGTTATCTTTTTTGTTCTATTTTTTTTTTATTACTGTGCCTGAGGCCCTTTGCTGCATTTATAGGCTGCTTTTATTCATCTCTGAGTTATTTGGTCTTGTTGGTGATGAACTATGTATTTCATTTCCTGCCTCTCCTGATACCTTGCCCTTCTAATTGATGGATCATATACTTTCTAAGGCTCCTAAATTCCTCCACCACAAGTTTATCTTTTCTACACCTTTTATCATTTAACCTGACTAATCTGAGTAGACAGAATTCAGGATTTGGCTTAATCCTACCATTAGGAAGTTTCTATATTCATCCAATAAAATATAATATTATTATAGATGGGTGATCACAAATTCACTTATTTTGGAGATAGAGAACACACTGGGGACTGATTGTTAAATTAGTTTTCTTGCTTCTCTAAAGCACTGTAGTGTCCAGATATTTTAGGTATTATTCAGAAAACACTGGCTAATTTGTGTAGTGGAAATTCAAATTGTCATAAACATTAAGATACATTTTAAAATAAGTTACATGGTTATTGAGACACATGAAATCATTAAGCGAAAACTATAAAATAGGTAAATATAGGTTTGAATATGCATGTGTTGAATGTGACGCACTGTGTTATGCTATTTAAGTCTCTCCATAACTGCATGATAGCCGTTCATGAATTCCACAGATATTTATTGAGTGTCTACTCTGTGCCAAGCACTTGGGATGAACAGAAGAGACAGAAAACTGTGCTCTTGTACAGATGCACTTCCTTTTGCAGAGCAAGAAATCAGAAGTTCATGCAAGTGATTTATTAAAAGTTGATGCCTGGGCCTGGCATAGTGGCTCATGCCTGTAATCCCAGCACTTTGAGAGGCCGAGGCAGGTGGATCACCTGAGGTCAGGAGTTCCAGACCAGCCTGGCCAATATGGAAAAACCCCATCTGTACTAAAAATACAAAAATCAGCTGGGCGTGGGGGCAGGCACATGTAATCCCAGCTACTTGGGAGGCTGAGGCAAGAGAATCCCTTGAACCTGGGAGGCGGAGGTTGCAGTGAGCCGAGATCACGCCACGCCACTTCACTCCAGCCTGGGCAACAGAGCAAGACTCCATTTCAAAAAAAAAAAAAAGTTAACACATGAATTAAAATACTAATTTTTTCTGACTTTAAACTATTTTTTTTTCACTGAGCATACTGCTACCTCCGAGTTACTGTAAATTATTATAGTTATATTACCCTTTTCAAAATGAATACATGTGTATTATCTTCTCTGGACAAAGTCATTCTTTTCATAAAGCACATTAATTTTGAACTTATAGTTATTATTCTCTTATCTCCTTTTAAAATTTTACCCTCATATTTCCTTACTCAGGATATATGTAGTGCTAACCTTTTAGCTAACAATCACGCTACCAACAGGTGGGTGTATCTGTTGCCAAAGGGAAAAACTAAGTGCAGATATGTTAATTTTTATTGTGCTTCATAGAAAAGTTTTTTGTTATTATTATTTTTAATTTGTTAACTGACCTTCAGTGTTTGCCTCTAGGGATGCGTGGAGCAGACTGTCCCTAATTTTGCTTGGTGATAGTAGAACATATTCTTGAGAGCCATGAGACCTGAAAAGCTGTGGTAGAACAGTACCAAGAAGGCAAACACATGTTCATGTTGCCCCATACGAAACCCGCTTACTGAACTGGAAACCACATGAATGCTATTCATTACACTCAATATTCAATATTGACAATATAGCCTAAGTTCTTCTGTGAAATATAACGTGCTTTGGAAAAGAATGACGTAAATCTGCGTTGATTGAGGAGGATGTCTAGTATACATTATAAAGCTGAAACAAAACGGAAATTGCTCTAGGCGTGCATGAGAGTTTTAAAATATTTTTATTGGTCAGATGATATTCATAAAGACTTCCACATCAAATGGGTAACGATTGCATCAAGCAGGGTGAGATTTAAACAGGCACTATGGTGAGAAACTGCAGTGCTCACAGGATAGATAAAGAACAAGAGTGGGTGAGGCAGAATAAAGAAAGCATGGAGCCACTCTCTCATCATTTCCATAAGCATTTCTGGGAACTGGATAGCTTACTAGCAATTATTCTTTTTTTTCTGGAATATCATTTTGTAATACATATTTTACCTCAATTACCAACAAATGTTATACAATAAATTTGTAAAAAATTAGTAAATTTTATTCCAACTGTATAATTGATATATATACTTATGTATTATACTTATATGTATAATTATATAGTAATTCACAAGCTATCAATATGTGATTATATTATTGATATATCCATATATTACAATTACATAATATGTAATGTTTTATTGTATATAATAATGTTATTTTATATATTTAGTAGATATACATGTTATTAAGGAGATAAAGTCATTAGGTAATTATAGTCATCTATGTCATAGGCAGTAGAAAAATTTGAGGCATCTTTAATAAGGAAAAAACTATGTTGTTTGAGTTTTCTTCTATCCTACAGAGTTTTCTTTTTCTTTTTCTTTTTTTTTTTTTTTTTTTTTTTGTTGGATACAGAGTCTTGCTCTGTTGCCAGGCTGGAGTGCAGTGCTGCGATCTCCCCTCACTGCAACCTCCACCTCCCAGGTTCAAGCGATTCTCCTGCCTCAGCCTCCCAAGTAGCTGGGACTACAGGTGCACGCCACCACGCCCAGCTAATTTTTGTATTTTTAGTAGAGACGGGGCTTCACCTTGTTGGCCAGGATGGTTTCAATCTCTTGACCTTGTGATCTGCCTGCCTCAGCCTCCCAAAGTGGGAGGCATGAGCCACCGCACCTAGGCCCCCTACAGAGTTTTCTTTGTCATCATGGACCTGGGCTATTAGATGAATGCCAGTGACAGAAACCAAACTTGAATTTTAAATAGTAGTACCCAACTCTATTAATATCAGTCTAATATTTGTAGCCTAAATCTAAATGCTTCAGCCTTCCTTAGGATAATTTTTCCCACAGAAAACATTAATCCCATAAGAAAACAGAATTCTGGTGGGCCCAACCTAGTGGTCTTCAAGTTCTACTCTGGTATTTTTTAATAAGCATTGTAGAGAGTCGGAGTTGGGAAATGGTGAAAGGTAAGCAGATTACATGCAAATCTGTGCTCCATTATGCTGTGAAATAAATGAGTGATAAATTCTAAAAAAGTAGTTTGCAGAGTTTCTGCTCTATGAATAGCAAGTGGACTAATTAAAAACATTACTTTAAATGTCAAACTGTTCTTTATGGTTTGATATGTAAATGTTATCAAAGAAAAATAATTCCTATCATATAATCTGAGGGATTAAAAAAATTTTTTATTAGTTATTTTTTACAATTGAATAAATTCCTATGGTCTTCATAACCTATAGATAACATATTGGGCACATTGTTGATTTCTAATAACATTGAAGAGAAGTTTGAAAATTATAGTTTCTCAAATTCATTTATGCTAATTTAATATCCTGTTAGTAAATTAATTATGTTTAGGATTTGGTGTGTTTTGATATTTTCTAGTTAAAAATCAACTGCATTACTAATTATAAAATATAAAGGCTAATCCCATATCTTATAAGTAGATATAACACATTCATTTGTGGACTCTTGTAGAGAATATTTTTATCTTTTTTTTACTAAGTTAATAAAGAAGAGAATGTTCTCTATCTCACAATTACATGTTATATGAAGAGATAACTGCATGTTTAGTATAAATTAATATTAAAAATATTCTACCATTTGTTGAGTACCTTACAATAGGATAAGGACTAAGATATGTAATTTTTTTACTGTCTACTCTGTATTATAATAATAATAAATAGATAATAATAAACAGGTGTGCCAAGGTTCTGAAAGGCTGAGTGCTATTTTTCATGAAGACAGTAAATAAAACCTATGATCTTTATTATCTCTAGTTAATATGTCAGGACCTTGCTCACAATGGTCCTATAGCTAGTTATTGCCAGAACTGGGATTCAAAACACCAAATTATTCTCCTCCAAAGCCTATGTACGTTTGCATAACAACAGTATACCTCACTATCTTGCATTTACTATCTTCCCTACTACAATCTTCCTTTACACATGCATCCTTAATAATTATTTCAATGGTCTAAAATTAAATTTGGAATTTATAAATGTCTGTTATTAAAATACGTGCACACACCCATGTGTGTATAAAATGTTTGTTTCTTTGCTTTTTGCAAAGATTGTATTTTCTTTATACAGGGCTTGCTGTTGGACTTTGATTTGCATACGTAGGCCTTGACACTATGAGATTTGGAGACTTACCTCACTATTGGTTTCGTCATTTCAATGTATATGAATTTATTTTCCCTTTGTTCCCAGGAACTCCACTTATTTTATATACCTCTTCCTTTGTATATATTAAAGTGTAACAGGGTGTTTCAAAAATCATGGTGGGGGTTCGATAAATAATGTGTAAGTGTGAAATTGAATAATAACATTTAGTAGGGACATTAAAACGTCGCTAGGAAAAACGTATGAAACTAAATATTATTTAAGTAGGGATTCTTACTTTGCCTGTTCATGAAACTGATTTCCCGGGGCAGCTTCTTCGTTGTTGCTAACCCTTGTCATGCTTCCAAGATCAATGGTTGAATATATTAGAGACTGAACAAGTTAAAATATGCTCAGAGATCCCTTGCACACCTGACTTTTTTGGCAGCAGCTCGAGTTTTGACATCATGAATCAGCACAGTTTGCTCTTTCAGTGTGAGCTTCTGTCCCTCCTTCCTGATTCCGTTCCTCACGTCAAGGTTGTGGCCAGGCCTTTGTTTGGAAGCCAAGTGGCAAGATGCATTTGCTCTTACTGTCAGTTACATGAAAAAGGCACATTAACCTAATTTTCCATAGAATTTACATATAAATTGACTTAACACAGGGGGTAAGTCAGTTAAAAATGGGAGACATTTAGGATAGACTCAGTATAATATTGAATTGAAATTTTTCTCTAAGAAAGTTTTATTAAGGGTCTTGCCATAGATCTCTTTTTGAAAAAGTCTTTGCTCATCGATGTGTTATCTCTTTTATTGTCCCTTTAAAAAAATCTGGTTTCAAGTTCTTGCAATTTTTATGGAAATTCTCACACCACAAATTAATAGTGATGTCAGGTATATTGTGTCCTTGGCTTTTTATAATCGAAGGTTTTCCAGAATTTAGTGTCTTTTGAAATTTTTATTTTTTTTCTCAAGGTTTCCTGTTTCATATTCTAGTCAACACAGAATAAAATATAACCTCCCCTTTTGTGCTTTCATTCCATTGGGCTGATTTATAGATTATAACTTGGATTTCCGCAGCATGTTGATTCAAGGTGGTAGAGAAAAATGGCTCTGCTGTAATAAACATTTAATTGGCTTATCTGAAAAGAGTAGACTATTTTTGGAGTATATTTATATGACTTGCTTTATATTAATTTGTGGACTTGTTTATACCACCAGAAATTTTCCTGATTTCTTCCTTTTAATGGTTTTGACAATTAATAGGTAGTCCTTTAAGGGAATATGAAAGCAAGGCATTTGGAAGGAAGCTGCCATTTTTCCCTTCTGCTCCATCAAATTTGCCATTTTTTTTTACTTGATTTTGAAATGCAAAATAACTAATAGTGGATAGGTAAGGATTAAAAATTATTAGCAGAATGAAACAACATTTGAGTTAATGGAAAAATCTAGGGTTTTTAGTGAAATTCTGAATATATATGCTAAACAACATTCCTCACATCCATTTTGTTGGGCATGACTTTGGAGAAACACCACTATAGAAACGTTCTTTTTATATCTTCAAAACAGAGAAAACACTTTGTCCTTTCCCATTTGCGTCTTTCAGCACTACAAAATATCTGGGATCTTCATCAGATCTGTGTTTTATACCGGACTGAGTCTAGATTTTTTAATTTTCTGAAATTTTATTAGGTTAAAATTGTTTATTTGATACGGAGATATTGCTCTCAACTGCAAACATTTTGGAGATGCTTCTTCTATATAGCCTTGCAGTGTTCTAGAGCAATTCTAAATACTTCCAAAGATTTCTGCCTAAATTTACACTGATATGGTTGTGAACCTTCTAAGCCATGGTAGACTTTACACGCTAAAAATAAAAATGTTAGCACTACATACATCTGTTCACCTTATATCCTGATATTATTGTACATCCATATTGACTAATATTTTGGTCAAAATTTTGGGATCGTCTGGTTTATTTAGAAACAAAAATTATTTTATGGAAATTCTTTAAAAACAATGAATGGACACACAAAATGTTTAAGAATTTTTTTATATAGCATCAGTATTATGAACTGAGAGATAGAAAATAACTGTTTTGCATAAGTTTTTATAGTGATTTGTTAAGCTTTCCCAGGAAAAATGTCCTTCATTAGACAGCCATGACTGAGTTTTTAACTGATTAATTGTAGTTTAATGATGTAATGTTGACATTAACATGTATTCTTTGCTCTGTTGTTCAATTGTGACAAGGATCTTACCATTATATACAAGACTCTTCATTGAATAAAATATTTGTGAAATTCATGACTTATTTTATCTAATAAACTCAGTGGCTGATTGTTTTTAGTTTCTCTTAAGAATGTATGTATTGTTGGATTCTATGCCAAAATAAAATATTGGAAGTTTTTTGTAAAACAGAGGTGAGTTTGATTGTTTTATTATTTTACTGAGTTAAATTAATATCCTCATACTTCAACGTTAGTATTAAAGATTAGAGGGGAGAGGAATCTAATGACTTACAGTATTTGAAGGATTTAGATTTTATACAAATAAGATTAATATGCTTATTAATGTTTTTAAATAATTAGCAGGATGAGTTACATTAGATATGATGTTATTAATCCAAGAGTTAATTACTGAGCATTTTAGAGACCTTTGGTTCGGAAGAAAGAAACAAAAAATAAATTCAAATACAAATTTCCTTCCACTGGACTTGATACACATTAAAGTATCACTGGACTTGATAGACACTTCATACTTTTACTGAACAAACATCTAAGGTAAAAACAGCAATATTAACAGAACAGTGGTCTATGAAACTTGATTGACCTTAATGGACACTAGAGAACTGGGATTTTGAATTTTCCTGATGAATCTCAAGCTGTCTTGGGTAAAAAAACTTGATAGAACTGGGTTTTATGAATTTGATATGTTGATTAATGAAATAGAATTTTATTTACTCTTCCATTTAATTTATTTGGAAGGATGTATTTTTTAATATTTATGAAATGGTATATCATTTTGGTTTGACAATTTGTGTATTGAAAATTTTCCTTTCTATTTTTAAAAACAGTCTTTGTTCTTAAGACTTTGCATATACTGAAATGAGAGCTCGGGCAAGCCTTTTGTCTGGAGATGCCTATAGCTTCTACACTAGCTATTGCTGTGTTTCTATGGAAACTGTGCAGGACTCTGAGGTATACAGGTTTTATGTACAGTGATAGCCAATCCTTTTCTCTCCCCATTCAAATTGTTAACATATAATTGTGCTTCTGTTATTTACTAAAGAATACAAATAAAATTTCATTACTTTCTCTCACAAGTGTGCTAATATATACATGTCATTTTGTATCAAAGTAGTATTATTTAGCATTATTCTTATTATTTTTAAAGAGTTTGATAAATAGAAAATCAATATTTATCTTGAGAATCATCCTTTTTTAGCTCTGATTGAGATATTTCTTTAAGTTTGAATGTTGAGATTTTATTTCTTTTTCAATTTCAACCAATCTATGCCAATTAGGTTTTCTTATTTTCTGTTTTTACTGTAAAGATGCAACAGTGAATTCTGGAAATAATTTCAGAGCTAAGCATGTGATCGTTTAAGGCTTTGAGTATATAAGAATAGAGATTTTTCTCCACTGAATCCTGAATGGCATATGCCGATCTTACTCCATGACAGGTCAATGTGATTTTAGTAATTAAGAAGCCTCACATATAGAAAATTGTTCTTCTGAAAAACCATTCAACTGTTTTTTAATATGCACTGCAGCCTGTCAACATTAGGCTGGGAAACTTATGTAAACTGATGTTGGATATTTATAAGGGTAGAAGGAATCACCACCAAAACATCATTGGATGAGGTTTTTCAAAATGAAGATTACACAAATTGAAAGGGATTGGTTAATTAAATAATCATAAAAGGCTTTTAGTATGCTGATTTATTCCAATGGCCCTGGCCAAGACCTAAGGTGAATTATTGACCAAGGGGGTCCAGAGGAAATTTTAAATGCTTTGGGTTTTAAGCATGTTACTTTATATTGATTGGACTTGCCCTGCTTCCATTTGATTTCTAAATACTAGATGATTAAGGTTTTTACTCTGTAATGAGTATCTTTCTCTCTCTGTCTCTCTTTGTATTTTGGTGTAAAAAATGTAGGTAGAAAAAGTATGGAAGCCCATGGATGATTGTAATAAATAGAGACAAGGAAGATGGATGCTGAACCCAAGAGAATGTGGAAAGTGAGACTAGAGTGTTCAGTGTGATGTCTCTGCCTTTCCTTTTAATTTTTTTTTCCTCTTTCCTCCAGAGGGAGTGGATAGAAGCCAGTTAGGAAGACCTGAGGCTCAAAACTCAGCAGAATGACAGGAAGGAAGGTTTCCCAGTCTAAAAAGGGATAATGTGAAAATTGGGGTAGTCTCAAGCTCCTTCTTCTGTGATCTATTTGTGACATTTCTGGATGAAACACTGGTAACATAGGATGCGACAGAGCTCTTTGTCAGTGATACACTCTTGCAAGCATGCGACATTCTTCTCTCACATTGCTCTTCATCCTCCTAACCCCCTAGGACTTCAGCCTTTCCTGAGGCTTTTACTCTAACCAAAGCCTCTTTCAAAGTGGCATGTTCTCGGGATTCATTCTCTTTCCAATTTCAAAATGCTATTTACTGGAGGATAAAAATAGGAGCAGTATCCTATTTGAAATTACTGATAATAAATTGTGATTGACAGATAGACTGGCCTCATATTAAGGTGTTTGTGGGACAGAATAAATCTATTTACAATAAGAAGGTGTGTAGGAAACATTCCTAAGATACCCTTATCCTTCCCCTTGTGACTGACCTGGGAGGATCAGCAAATGCGCACTGAGCAGGAGAATGATGGAAGGGGCAATTCCTAGAAATGCACAGGAGAAAATGACAGGACCAAGGGTCAGAAATAAGTCTGTTGGCCTCTCGTATCAAGAAAAATTAATTCAGATTACTGACAAGCAAAATAAAATTCTATACTAAAGCAAGGAAGGTATGGTTTTCACAGAGATTTAGTCAGTGGATTTGATCAGACTATGGCAAGGCAAAGCAGCCCATTGATTGAGAAGAATAAAAGCAGGGATCCTGCCTGCTTTGTTCACCACCCATTGCACATCATTTGCTCGCTCCATGCCTGATGCAGTAATAAACATTTCTGAATTAATGAATAAATAAAATGAGCCATCTATCTGGCTAGTTGTGAGGTAATCATTGGCATTTTACTTTTGTTTTATCTGAATTTTATTTGGATCTTAACTGGATTTTTTATGCTTTTATTCTGTTTTACGTCTTCTAAACATCAAATATAATGTTTATGAAAATTCTTTTTTTTTTTTTTTTTTTGAGACAGAGTCTCACTCTGTCGCCCAGGCTGGAGTGCAATGCAGCCTCTGCCTCCCAGGTTCAAGTGATTCTCCCGCCTCAGCCTCCTCAGTAGCTGGGACACAGGCGAGTGCCACCATGCCTGGCTAATTTTTGTATTTTTAGTAGAGACAGGGTTTCGCCATGTTGGCCAGGAAGGTCTCAATCTCTTGACCTCATGATCCCCCTGTCTCGGCCTCCCAAAAGTCCTGGGATTACAGGCAACAGCCACCGCGCCTGGCCATGAAAATTCTTAAAACTGAAAGTGAAAGCATGGAACGCACTAAAACAGCTGAAGCAGTGGGAGTGACAAAATCCAATTAGAATGTGCCAGAGATTATATGTTCATATTGCAGGGTTGGTAATGGGCAAAAAAACAAGGAAGCAGGAGCTAGGACACTGTGGCCATAATGAAGGTGAGATAGGTTAGGATAGAGAAAATATTTCCTAAAATACCCCATTCTTCCCGCTACAGACATACAGAGGAACGAAGAGGCATTACATATTTGTGACAGGTAACTTCAAAAACCTTGATATTTTCAATAAGTACTTTTCTTGTTATCTGTTTTATTCTCAGAAGGTGCAGGAAGCCGCTCTCAGATTAATACCAGTAAATAAGGGATGCACCGAGGATGAAGTAATCATGTTGGCAGAAATCGGCTAGGTTGTTGTGAGTGATCTCTTCTGGGAAGCCTGTGTAGAGATAGTAAAAACAGTCCACACAGGTACCATCGAAGTATATCTGGATATTATGGCCGATTAACCAGTAGAAAGATGTTAGAGATGCTGCTGAGGAAATTGCACAGTGAGGTCATCCATGAGGCAGCAAGATCAGGGCTGGCAGGGATGTTGGAATTCAGTCTTCAGAGACTGGACCCACATGGGAAAATTTTGAAAAGGAAAGTTGCACAAATATAGCACATGTGCAATGCTGAAGGAAGATAACTTGAAGTAGAACAAACAGAAGAAAGTGTGAGAGAGAAGGCTGGACAGTCAAGCAACGGGCAGATCAAAATGGAAGTTATAAGCCTGAAATTCATTCTGAGGCATAAAAAGCCTCTCTGAAAATGTATTACTAACACGAATTATATGGTAAAGTTAGCATTTTGGAAATGTCATTCTGGCTGACAAGAGATGTAATTAAGAGCTAAGAGATTAAAGGTGAGCCAGCCTGGCAGCCACAGAGCTGTTAAAAGAATCTAGGCATCGGCCAGGCGCAGTGGCTCACGCCTGTAACCCCAGCACTTTGGGAGGCCAAGGTGGGTGGATCATCTGAGGTCAGGAGTTCGAGACCAACCTGGCCAACATGGTGAAACCCTGTCTCTACTAAGTACAAAAAACTAGCTGGGCGTGGTGGCACATGCCTGTAATATCAGCTACTTGGGAGGCTGAGGCAGGAGAATTGCTTGAACCTGGGAGGCAGAGGTTGCAGTGAGCTGAGATTGCACTCCAGCCTGGGCAACAAGAGGGAAAACTCCATCTCAAAAAACAAAACAAAACAAAAAACTGGGTATCTCTTATACAATACTGTAACTAAAAGTCATTATAATAGGTCAAACGTGCAAAAATAATGATATTATTCACCTTGCTATTCTACTTCCTGAATATTTTAGTGGAATGTCACATAGGAATAGAATTTAGCCATTTGATGAGACTGCTAATCAATTGAGACTATCTATGATTAGTCTTAACTTTATTCCATGTTTTAATATTTTCTGGACATTAACTTTTCCAATGGAACAAAAGCTAAGAAATATATAATGGAATGAAAGCAGTTAGCAGGCAAGTTTAGCATTTACTGTGAGGGTAGTAAGACATAGACAGAAAGAAATAAGATGTGGGAATATATCATTTATTTGGTAGATAGTAGACTCTTGAGTATCATTCTGGCTCCTCTCGCAATCTAATGGTGTAAAAGTTGGCTGGCATACAACCCTGGGTTCCTAAGCCTGGCAGAGACCTCATTCGGGGGTGTTTGGATCAGTGACCATGGAGCACATATGAGTCACAGGGGGGCCCTGGGCAAAAAGGTCCATTGATTTGTTTCCCTGAACTCACCTGGATATTTTGCACAAAGTATTTGCTAATCTGATTCCTCATTTTCTCCCAACTTCAAACCCAGATAGGCCTTTGTGTTTAAATCAATTATACATCCTAGAATTGTTTCTGGGCATTTTTTTCATTTAATAATATAGAGTAAGGTAAATTAGGCCTGTTTTCTCAATGGGGCTTAGAAAGATTATGTGGTTTATCCATATTCACATTGCTACTCATTTGAAATCTTTCATTGAAAAGTCAAGATTTAAACCCAAGGTTGTTTGAACTAATATGCAACCATGGTTAATAAACTACCTTTCAATTGACATTTTATTATTGAGGGTGAAAATAGATATTCCTAAAAACTAAGTTTCAGATAGTACCTATTTATTTATTTATTTAGAGACAGAGTCTCACTCTGCTGCCCAGGCTGGAGTGCAGTGGTAGAATCTCGGCTCTCTGCAACCTCCACCTCCCGGGTTCAAGCCATTCTCCTGCCTCAGCCTCCTGAATAGCTGGGATTACAGGCGCCCACCACCACGCCCAGCTAATTTTGGTATTTTTGTAGAGATGGAGTTTCACCTTGTTGGCCAGGCTGGTCTTGAACTCCTGACCTCAAGTGATCCACCCACCTCGGCCTCCCAAACTGCTGAGATTACAGATGTGAGCCACCGTACCCGGCCAGGATAGTACCTTATTTTCTAATCTTGCACTACACATTAATGTCTATATTTATCTTTAAATATTTATGTTCAGAATGATACATAGTGCCAGATAGTTCAATTCAACTTTGGTGATACATGTGAAGTATAGCCTATTATATAATAAAAACTAAAAATGCATAAACTACTCTTATAAGGAGCAAATGAACTTTCTAGGCAATGCATCATTTTTTCCTTTTTTTAACTTAACCTTCACTATTTCTCCTCATCTTGCTTGAGTTAGTCACTATACTGAATTATTATTAATTTTTTAGTTTTTATTCTCTTTTCTGTTTGCTCTAACAATCCCTAAGCTCCCAAGAAACACCTTGAATCTCCCCAACAAGCTACGTCATTTTCCCGTATTTGCAATAAATGGCATCCAAGACATCTTCTATGGAAAGAATTTATTCTTTCAGTGAAAGAAATGTAGATGGCATAATCTGTCTAATCAGTGACACAAAACTGATATATTTCCTTCTTAGAATGCTTCGCACTCTCTTATACAATATTCACAGTCTAAAACTAGAGTTTTAAAAAAATCCCTTGGAACATTTCATATAATTTCCCTATCTTAATCAGGTGAAAGCTTTTTCTTAGAATTTTAGTTGTCAAATTGAGCATCATCATGTTGTAATTAAGTAGTAATTCAAAATCAGAGGTAATTAAAACAAATTCTTCCCCTTTCTAGATAAACATGAACCATATTGTTCTTAATAGAAGTTCCAATTTTGTTGTGTTTTCTCCTCAGTTTTAGGGGTGAACTACTATCTGTTTTGATAAATGCTAAACTAAATGCAGCAGCCTCTAAATCTCTGAAAAATATGTTATCTGCTTGAATCTCCCAAGCAGGCAACCTGATTTTTCAGTGTAGGTATCTGAAATATGTGGCATCTAAGACATCTTCTATATAAAGAATTTATAGTTTCTCCCAGTGCCAGAAACCTGGAGGCCTTGGGATGTTCTAGAGTGAAACCACCCACTCAACATCCGCATTATAACTCTGAATTCATGGGTGACAATCCTGTGTCTGCTGAACATATTTAAGGAAATTCAAACTTTCTAGCTAGTAATGGAATGCAGACAGGAGAAAAAATGTTTATAAAACTCCTAAAATGCATTACTGCCCAATGGCTGAAGCCATAACTACAGCCACATATTTTATTAGATGGTGCACAATTGGTGTGTAGTTACTTTTATTAAAAGTCTCCTAAAAAAAGTGAAATGTGAAAAAACTTTCCTCTAAAAAAATCTGTTTTCTAAAACATGCTGGATTTCTGGTTAAAACACTAGACGAAGAATTCATCAAGGATTTCTCGAGGTTTTCATGGTAAAGCTGCCCAGTCAGGGGTTTCTGAATTTGGCAAAGATTTGCTGTACATAGTGCAATCACATTTTCTTTGGCCAGGTTACAAGCAGTTTTCATGTATAGAGAAATCATCTTCCTGTCCCCCACAGGAGTGTCACCTTCTCACAACATATGTAGCTCTACTCTGCCAAAAATGGGGCAGATTTTGAATCTTGGCTTTCAAGAGCTATTCCATCTGTGGCTCATGATCTTTTCTATAAACTCTCTAACTTCTTTGAAAAGAATAGTATGTATCTTCAGGAGAACTGATGTGCCCACTGAATATTTAAACAGGACTGATAGCTTTTATTTCAGGAAAATGCGCTAGACTCATTAATAATAAAATGGAAGAAGTGAAAGAGCAGTAGTCCTTACGTTTTACTGCATACCCTTTCATGTCCTGAAAGGCAATGGCTGAAACAATGGATTGGCTCATTAACTGCCGAAAAAGTTTATGATTAGAGGGGAAACTCAGAGGTAAAGAGTAAGTGGAGGCCAGGCGTGCTGGCTTACACCTGAAAACCCAGCACTTTAGGAGGCCGAGGCAGGCAGATCATCTGAGGTCAGGAGTTCAAGACCAGCCTGGCCAACATGGTGAAACCCTGTTCCTACTAAAAATGCAAAAATTAGCCGGGCATGGTGGCAGTCACCTGTAATTCCAGCTACTCGGGAGGATGAGGCAGGAGAATTGCTTGAACCTGGGAGGTGGAGGTTGCAGTGAGCAGAGATCACGCCACTGCACTCCAGCCTGGGTGACAGAGTGAGACTCTGTCTCAAAAAAAAAAAAAAAAAAAGAGTAAGTGGAGGCACTGATCTTCTAACACATCATTAGACAATGTGCTCTGCAGAGAGCACTGCATCAATGATAGGTATATTAGATCAATCTAAATCCATTTTATTTATAAGTTAATATATCAAAGGCAATCAGGCACAACAACAAAAGCAAAATGAAGCTAGTGATCAAAACTTAACTGACTAGTGTAAATTGAAATTGCTTTAATTGGAATCACTCATTTAATCTGGATTGACATTTCTTCAGGTTTTTTCCTCCAGATAAAGGCTTATTTTACTGAGCGAATGTTTTCCTAACATGATTAGAGCTGCTGCATTTCAGAATCACTTACCTTTCTAACCCTTTTGTGTTCTTCATCTATAAAACTTAAGGGATAAAATAAAGTTGATTTAATTACTAGTCCTAATTTTAGTATTTTATGAAAATTTTAATTACATGAACTATTCTAGAGATCAAAGAATAACATTGACTTAAGTGCCATATGAACTTTCTACTTAAACGAAGAATATTTATCTCTTACTGTGAAAATCCCCACTGGGCTTACAGTCTCATGTAGGACCGAGTAGTTATACTAATAAGCAGGCCCAAACAATGCAGAATAATGAATCATAAAGAATCAAATTATTTCAGTTCATTTCAAAGGACACCCTAATGTTGGGGCACCCTGATTTGTATTGGAAGGTGATTTGGAGAATATGATGTATGAATAGAGGCCTGAACAATGAGCAGGACGTTGTTAAACGGAGAATGGTTAGGTGTGTGTGGAGGACACACACACATTAAGACAGCATTTGAGAAGGTTCTAGAACAGTGTGGTGCCGATAAGATGTGAAAAAGGTTGATTTCACTGGGGCAATATGAAAAGAGAGCCAGGAAGTGAATTTGGGGAGCAAGTCTGAGATCAGATCATACAGAGACTAATAGGTCATAGCGAGGATTGGGTTTTTATTTTAATAGTAGCAGGAAGTCTCTAAAAGATTTGAAACAAAGAGGTGACATATGGGTATAAAAATACTGCTAGATTGAAGAAATAAATTCTAATATTTAATAGGACAGTAGGGAAATTATAGTTAACAATTATTTATTACATATTTACGATGTTTAGAAGAGAAGACTTGTAATGTTGTCAAAACAAAGAAAAGAGAAATGTTTGAGGCGATGGATATCCTAATTATCTTGATTTGATCTTTACAGGTCATATCCACATATCAAAATATCACATGTACTCACAAAATACATACAACTACAATATATCAATAAAAATAAATTCTTAAGAGATTCCCTCCACTGTTTTTGGTGGAGAATAAACTTAAGATGGTCAAGGCAAGAAGGAAGAGTCCAAGTAAAATGGTGGTTTGGTCTAGTGCAATGCCAGTGATAATAAAGAAAAGTGGGAGAGGTCAAGCTGTTTGCATATGATTTGAAGATGGACTTTACATTGGTAGGGAGGAAAGGAGTGTGCTAAGAATGGCTACCAGGCAGCCAGGTGCAGTGGCTCAAGCCTGTAATCCCAACACTTTGTGGGGGCCGAGGTGGGTGGATCACCTGAGGTCAGGAGTTCGAGACCAGCCTGGCCAACATAGAAAAAACACATCTCTGCTAAAAATACAAAAATTAGCTGGGCATGGTGGTGTGCACCTGTAATCCCAGCTATTCGGGAGGCTGAGGCAGGAGAATCACTTGAACCCGGGAGGCAGAGTTTGCGGTGAGCTGAGATGGCGCCATTGCACTCCAGCCTGGGCAATAAGAGTGAAACTCTGTATCAAAATAATAATAATAATAATAATAATAATAATAATAATAATAATGCCTTTGGGTTGAGTCACTAGAATGGAGCTATAGGAGAAGGTTAAAGAAAAATTTAATATGGATGTGCAAATAAAATAATTCAGTCTGGGGCATATTAAGTTTGAGATGTATACCAGATATCCCAATCAATATGTCAAGGAGGTAGTTGGCTATCAATTCTGATGTTTTTATTATGTTTTTGAAACAGTGAGTTTCATAGTTCATTGAGGATATACATTTTATCTTTGGATATGAAGGATGAGTTCTATACTGGAAAGGTATTGGTCCTGTTTAGAATGAAAACAGTTTTCCCCAAATCTTGTATTCTTATTTTCTTAATTTTTATTTGGAAAAGAAGCCTATCACATGACATACGTTATCTAGAAAAGCAAGCCAAATGTACTGCTAAAATCATAGCCACAAAGTAGAAACAAACCAAATGTCCATCACCTGATGAATGAATAAACAAAATGTGGTATATCCATACAATGGAATAACATTCAAGCATAAGAAAGAATGAAGTACTGATACATGCTACAACATGGATAAATCTTGAAAACGTTTTGCTAAATTAAAGAAGTCAGGCATAAAAGCATGTGTGTAGCATGATTCCCTTTATATAAAATACTCGGGATAGGCAAATCCTTAGAGATAAAGCAGATGAGTCACTGGTAGGTGCTCTAGGGAGGCAGGAACTGAGGCAGGACTGCTTAATGGATACAAAATTTTCTTTTGGGATGATGAAAACGTTCTGGAATTAGATAGTGGTGATGGTTATATAACATCATGAATGCACCAATTATATTGAATTGTACACTTCAAAATGGTGAACTTTGTGTCTGTGTATTTTACCTCAGTACAAAAGGGACCAAAAAATATTTTATTTGATCTTGTTACTTATTGACTAAAACAACATTTCCAAAATCATGTTTCTGATAACTGCATAAAAAGTACTCAGAAAATAAGTCTGATAACAGTAACTGCAGAACTTCACAAAGATGTTATTATGATCTATTAATATCAGCAGTAGTTTAGGATTTAAAACATTGAAAATTTTTCACTGGAGAATAAAAGCAAATTTAAATTAAATTATGTTATTTGGATATATAGAAGACTGTTTTTTTAAAAAAGCCTGTTTTCTGATAGTAGATCTAATTCCATAAGAAATCACTGTTATTAGTTTATTACTGGGACACGTACAATGTTCTATTCCATATTGTTAAGTAAAGAGCCTACTATTAAATAATCTGGGGTTATTCTTTATCATTGCATTTTTCCCTAGATAAACTGCATTTAATGAGGACCTATTACATAAAAGAATTTGACCTATCAATAAGGGGAAAATAAAATTAATTTTCATTGGTCCTTAAGTGGGTTTATGCTTATTTAAAACCTCAAAATTTTAGTAAATTAGTCAAAGGAATCTGATTCATAAAAATAATATTACCATTAAAAGACAAAATACTTGATGGTAATCACAGGATGGAAACTAATTTTATGAGTTCATTGATGTTCATCCAGAAGGGAAAGATTGGCTTTTAAAAATGCATTTCTGGGCCAGGCACAGTGGCTCATGCCTGTAATCCCAGCACTTTGGGAGGCCGAGGCAGGTGAATCACAAGGTCAGGAGTTCGAGACCAGCCTGGCCAATATGGTGAAACTACATCTTTACTAAAAATATAAAAATCTGAAATACTTTTCAAAAATAAAAATAATTGAAAATGTATTGAAAAGTAGTTATTGTTAATGAAAAAACTAGCAGCATCTATTTTTTAACAACTTTATAGATATATATTTTACATATAACATTCACCCAATTAATGTGTACAATTCAGTGGTTTTTAGAACACAGGCAGCATTGTGAAACCATTACCACAATCTAATTTTAGAACATTTTTATTACTCCAGAGAAAAACCTCCTACCTATTAGCAGTCATTCCTCATTTCCCTTCCCTCTCTCCCAGTCCCGCGCAACCACGAGTCAATCTAGTTTCTGTCTCTATAGATTGGCTGCATCTACTTTAATCCATTTTGTTTCTTATTTCTGTTTTTCTTAGTGTCTGAATTAGACACTCACCCTGGGGGTTGTGGGGAAAGAAAAAGCAATCATCTGCACTGGCCCTTGAGACATGCATTTTCACGTGTGGCCAATTGCACAGATGCGCATATGTTCTTGTTTTGTTTTGTTTACCCACTGGGAATCACTTTCCCATAATTTTTTTTAATCGAATGCCTTTTTATAACATTCATGAATAATATTTTATCTGTCTAGAAGTGAATACTTAGATTCGGACATTTAAATCCTTTGTCTGCTGTCTTTTATTGATTTCAGTCAGAGTTTAAATACATTTCATACTAAACATAGCAATACTCGATAAAAGACTAGCAAGCTGATGCTAAATATAGTGAATTTACCCCTATGGCTTCAATATTTGACGTATTGTGAATGTTAGTGCTAGTCTAAATGTTGTTGGGTGAATGAATGAAAGAATAAATAAATGAGTGAATAAAAATGTGGCAAACATGTTGTATGAGCAATAGAGCAATATATTATTAATACCAATTATAGATGTTCTTGGCTGAATTTCTTTTGTGTTTGTTGATAATATTAAGTGGCATCCCTGCACTATATTAAAAACTTAGCAAACTGTCATAAAATGCATACTAAGTGTCAAGTAAGCGTAGAATGACCAAGGGAATTCAAAGCACATTAGACGAGGACACTTGCATCTGAAGAACTCCTAATCTTTTTCAGACATTGAAAGCTTATTATGGCCCAGTGCAGTGGCTCTCGCCTATAATCCCAGCACTTTGGGAAGCCGAGGTGGCTGGATTACCTGAGGTCAAGAGTTCGAGACCAGCCTGACCCATATAGTGAAACCTCATTTCTACTAAAAATACAAAATTAGGCAGGTTTGGTGGTGCATGCCTGTAATCGTAACTACTTGGAAGGCTGAGGCAGGAGAATTGCTTGAACCTGGGAGGCAAAGGTTGGAGTGAGCCGTGATCATGCCATTGCATTCCAGCCTGGGCAACAAGAGTGAAACTCAATCTCAAAAAAAAAAAAAGTTTATTATTTGGCTGGTGAGAAACTGTTGATGTTATTTATCATGTTCCTAGACTAGAAATGGTCAATTAATTTAGATTTTATGATTTTTATTTTTATTTTTTTGTCAATGGAGAGACATTACTCAGGTGTTTTATTACTTTAAAAAACCTTTTAGTATATTATTAATTATTAAATTATAGATGTCCAAATAATTATATCCTACATTTTAAATCTGTTACTTAACTATTTAATTGCGGCAAAATAGATTAAATACAATTGTGGGTCAATGTCTATTTGAAATATTGGTAGAAGGACACCTGCTGTATTTTATAGCATTAGGTTATAGTAACATTGTGACATCATTCAACACATATTTATGGAGATCATATTGTATGCAGCAGTGTAGCGATTAGAATTTTTGCACTAGGCTGGGCCCGGTGGCTCATGCCTGTAATCCCAGCACTTTGGGAGGCTGAGGCGGGTAGATCATGAGGTAAGGAGTTTGAGACCAGCCTGGCCAACATGGTGAAACCCTGTCTCTACTAAAAATACAAAAACAGGCAGACATGGTGGTGTGAGGTAGGAGAATCACTTGAACCCAGGAGGCAGAGGTTGCAGTGAACTCCAGCCTGGGAGACAGAGCAAGATCCATCTTGAAAACAAAAATTTTTGCGCTAAAGCAAGTACTCACTTCTAGCTCAGTGTAGATCTTGACTAGTGACTCTGAGACTGTGTCATTGCTTCTCAAAGTGATACATAACTTTCTCCCTCAGTAACTCTGGGATAAGAACAGCACTTCCCTTAGAAGTTTTTATGAGAATTACATAAAACAATAAATAAAAAGGCCTTAATACCAGGCTTAGTATAAAATACAATTTCAATAATTGTTAGCTGTTATTCTAATGTCACAGTCATTCTGTGGTCATCAAGATGTTTTTTGATTGTCTATTATTACTGTTTATATTTCAGATGTACCCAGACAAACATTTCTCATTCTAAGAGTCCTATTTTCTGTTGTTTTATCCTTAAGCAGGAAGATCTCGGTGTATATCTCTGTATCTATTTCTCTCTCTCTCTCTCTACCTGCATCCATTTAATGACTGAATAATTCACTACTCAGGGAGCTCTAGTTTTATAAATATTCCCTATGGTTTTCAGTTTATATGAAGAGTATTTATTCTTTTCCCATGATTTTCATGTAATTTATAATCATCATTGGAATCTTGATTTAATCTTTATAATCTGCATTTGAATATATCTTAAACCTCTAAAACATATTTCCTCAACATGAGAGTCTTTTGAGCATATATTCATAAAATGTCCTAGAGTTTTATAATGTGAAGAGCTATAAGAGATAAAAATAGTCCCCCAAGGTTGTTGTGTTGCTTGTCTCCTCATCTTTTCTCAGATGCCTTCTTATACATCTTATACACCTGCTTCTTATACATCTTATACACCTGCTTCTTCATTTTGAATTTCACAAATATTTATTTCCATAAACACCTACCTATTCTTGGGAATCACTTGGGAACTGTCAAAAATTCAGAAGTACACACATGGATCAATTTGATTGGAGGAGAAAGCGTTTTAGATGTATTTATTTAGATTTATTTTATTTTATTATTTTATTATTATTTTTGTTGAGACGGAGTCTCACTCTGCTACCCAGGCTGGAGTATAGCGGAGTGATCTCCGCTCACTGCAACCTCCACCTCCCAGTAGCGATTCTCTTGCCTCAGCCTCCAGAGTAGCCGTGATTACAGGCATGCACCATCACACCCGGCTAATTTTTGTATTTTTAGTAGAGACTGGATTTCACCATGTTGGCCAGGCTGGTCTCTAAATCCTGACCTCAGGTGATCTGCCTGTCTCGGCTTCCCAAAGTGCTAGGATTACATGCGTGAGCCACTGCACCCAGCCAGATTTAGATTAAAACATAACATTCTTGTATTCTTTCTGGTAATAGTCTATAAAAGATAATCTCTTTCTTATGAAGGAGAAAATTGCTATATCCCCTCATTAATACATAATTCCTCATATTTTAGAGATTAAATTTTTACTATAAAGTGATACATAATCATGGTAAAATTTCAAAAGCTATGGGATGGTATAAAAACAAATTAACAGTCCCAATTTAGCCCTTCACAAACCCCAGTGTTCATTTCTGGGATAACCACCATTCATAGATTTGTATCTTCCTCTACATTTTCAATTCAAATACATGATATGAGTTTAAACTCATAATCTATCATTAAATAAACTGAATTGCTTGTTGGAGTTGCATAGGTTGATTGCCAGCATAGGTTTGGAAGTCTTTTTTAAGGAAAAGGAAAAGACCCTTGAAATTCATAACAAAAATTATTTAGCAAGCTATGTACAAAAGGGAGAAAAAGGGTAAAGAAAATTTTATGCCTTTTACAGTTTAACCTCTTATTGTCTTGATATTTGATTTTTAATGCTAAGTTGTCTTGAAGAATTATCTACGTATAATTGAAATCACTATTTTCTCTTGCCCCCCCCGTATTCCTCAAACCCCTGTTTAGTTTGGTTTCCCTTTATCAAAATCACAAAACCATCATCATGAGGCAGATAACCACTTATGAAAAACCCATACAGCTACACACAGCAAATAACTGGACACTGTATTCAGACACTAACAGTGAGATTTGCGGTCTCAGAAATGCCTTCAAGAGCATCTGTAACCTGACTTGCTGGCACTCAATGGACACTTAATAGTTTTTGAATGGCTGATTGCATGAACTAAAGATTTAATTTTGCACAATATTGTTTTTTAGAATAGTATAACTGTGTGCTGCATGCTAGACACTGAAAACAGCTGAGGTCTCAAGGAGAGTAGATTCTAGCAATTTTTGTGACTTCATTTTGCCACAAAATGGAAGAGGCTGTCTGCCTTGCATAAATTAGCATGAATTTGGAAATAAAACTTGATGTTGCAATCCCTTTTAAAAACAAAATTGAAAGCTGACCGCCTCCTGGGCACTGGAGGTAAACTGCATGTTCAGTGTGTGATTTTGTATCCCCTGCTGTGCCTCAGTAGAGGACAGCAGGATGTAGTCAGCATCTTGTATTTATTTTTATGTACTAGGACTTTCCTACTGTTACAACCCCAGGAACAATCTTGGAAAAACATTCTTTGTTTCTGTAAATCTAAATAAATTTTCTCAATGTTCCTTTTAGCATCTATAAAAAACGGTCATTTTTAGATTTAATTTGCTATTTACTCACTGGTGGATCAATTGACACTCTCTGCCAGTGTCTCCTAAATAACACTCCACATTTAGGCAGTGCATTACAGTTAGAAAGCTATTTTACATACATAATCATATGCTTGGAATTGGTGAAGCCAACAGATTTAATTGAATCTGGCTAAACTTACGACTTTCATCATATCACTTGCTATTCCTTATTGATGTCTTAAAAGTTGTTATCCATTTTCGTAAAAATGCTACTGTTGAGAAAGCAAAATACCTTGATTTTCTTATGGCACTTTATATTTTTTCCAATTTTTAAAAAAGAAATGGAATAAACAAGAGAATATATTGCTTACTAAGCATTTTTTTGTCCCAGCCCTGTGTTGTATGTTTTAAAATAAGTAATACAAATGTTAATTCTTACAGTAACTCTTACAGATGACTCTGGTTAATTTAGGAAACAGAGATTTGGAGAGGTTCAATGGGTTACTTTGGATCACTCCCTGGGGAAGTGAAGGGCCACAACTGGCAGAGGCCTTTCCTACTCCAGGAACTGAACTTCTTCCATTGTGTGATGGCACTTACTTCTCCATTCTTCTGCTTTGGTTGTAAATGTTAGGTTACATAACATATTTACAATTATGTCACTGCAGTTTTATTTTATCATGATATTAGGCTTTTAACCTACTTTTAATTCCATTTCTTGGCTAATCTGTTCAAACATGTTATTATCTGTACATTTTTATACTTATTCGGGTTCTATGAATGGTTCTTTGTTCAGTCAACCAAGTGTTACCCTTCTTCCTTCTTGGATACAGGGCTGCTCCCTCTCTTTGGTCTCGTGGTAATGCTTTCTAATGAGCATATGATTCTCTCAGATACTCTTCTCATTACATGTCTTTTTCCTTGAACTTTAAAATTAAGTCTTAAAAACCAATTTACCCAATCTCTGATTGTGTACATGATGGGTTGTTACATTCCTTGCTAAGAAATACACTTTATGTTGAGAACATTCATTTTGAACCTAGTCTTTGCTAAAAGCACTAGTGGAACTATGTATATTCCCCATTTGAGTAACTGATCATGATTGTGCTTGTTAGTTACTTATCCAGGCGTAATACATTTTAGTGACATAAAGCAACAACGAACATTTTTATATCCCACGATTACTGTGGGCCGGGAATTTGGGAGTGGCTTGGCTAGACGGTTCTGAATTGGGGTCCTTAATGAGACTGAAATAAAATGTGAATGGTGGCTGTAGTCATAGGCAGTTCTGGCAGGGTTGGAGCATCCACTTCCAAGGTGATTCATTCACCTGCTCATGGCTGGTGCTGGCTCTCAGGGGGAGTCCTCAGTTTCTCTCCATGTGTGTGTTTAGACGGGAATGCCTGTGCCTCCTCATAGCTTCGCTCTGACTTCTCCTAGGGTGACTGAAGCAGCACTCCCCTGTATAACCTGGCCTCAGGAGGGGCACACTGTCACCTCTGTCACATCCAATTGGTCACACAGATAACACCTAATGCAATGCTGGAGGAGACTATCTAAGGGCATGAATACCCCAAGCATCCCTGGGAGTCATCGTGGAGACTAGCTGCTACACATTCCCAGAGGTAGCCTCCAGTTCGCCTTCTTAAACCCACCCATTGCCCCATATTTGCCTTCATTACCTAGCTCCTCTTTCTTCATAAGATAACTAATATTCTCTTTATCCCCAGAGTTGCCTTGTCTGCTTACGATCTCAATTTACTTTGAGATGTCAGTATTTTATCAAAGGGGCAATTGATTTTACTTGTCCTTCTATTGCTTATCACCTAGAGTATTTTTAATACTAATTCGAAGTGCATGACTATTAATGATTGCATATATTATTTAGTGTGTTTATTCCACCGTGTACAGGTGTTTTATAAGTTCATATACCTAGTTCTGAGATCTTCTTCTAGATTACACATCATTCTGCCCATTAGATATGTCTGCTTTTACGTCCCAGTGACAGCTCAAATTTATGTCTGTCTGTGCTTTTCCTTCTACTGGCTCCATGTCCTATCCTGTCAAACCCAATGAATGGTTCCACCATACCTTAGTCTCATAAACAAAGTACTGTCAGTAATTTGGAGTTCTTTTCTTCCCTCACACACAACATGAAACCAGCCAGACTGTTTCATGGAGTCTAACTTTTAAAACCTTTCAAGATTGCCATATATTCTGCCTCGCCATTGCTACAGCCATAACTCAACTCTTGTCATTCCTTTACTGAACTGTGTTGCTAATCTCTATGTTTTCACCATTCTTTCCATCACTCCATCAGAAACCCATCCTTCAGAGAGCTTCCAGAGCATTCTTCCCAAAATGCAAGTGTGAGCATATGCCTCCTATGCTTAGGATCCTTCAGTGGCTCCTTACTACCTTGCAACATAACCCTACTCTCTCTTCTTTCCTTAAGTCTTACCACTCCCTCCACCACCACACCTAACACCTTCCAGAACATGCTAGATCTTAATCACCTAAATAACTTGAAATTCCTAACACATCAGACCTTAGCTCCTATAGTGATATGATCAGCCTTGAAATCTTCTCTCCTCCTCTTCTTTCTTACCTACTGAACAGCAACTAATTTTTCAAGGCTCAATACAAAGCTTGCCTTTTTTGGTTTGCCTTTCTGTCTTCAGTTTTCTCTCCTCATAGTCTGCAGGTCTTGTGATGTCAATGACTATGACTTACTCTTTCCAAATCTCCTGAGATCGTTGTAGTCACTGACACACAGAAGCCATCAAGTAAAATGCTGATGAATGGAAATAGAAATTCATTCATTTGACCTAGGTAGGTGGATTACATGAATATTTGACTCATCCAGGAACACTACATAATTACCTACAACACAGGTTGTGTGTGAATGCTATTCCCAGGCAATTGTCTGTTGGGCTTGCAGAGAAGTAAGTACTACCAACGTAATTGGAGGAAACTTTTTTATGCAATTTTGAAATAGAAGCAAATTTATACTTTCTTTACCACTAGATTGAAGTTTTACATTAAGGAAAATGAGTTAGTTTTTCTTATTTCCTATTTAATGTGTTAGAACATAAATAAACATTTCAGATACCCTGAACCTTAATTCTTGAAAATATTATTATTGATTGCATGATTACAGAGATTCATTTTAGAATTGAAAAATCTCTTTTGCTTCTTGAAAGCTATAAGGTAAATTTTATGTTTAGTCTTTCTGACTGCATTTGAAACCTTAAAATGTTAATTCTGTAGCATTCATGTAATTACAGAGAAGAAAATAGAAGTTATTTTAGGTATAGCTAAGGATACCATATTTGTTTATTTTTTTTCATTTAAGACATCTTTTAGTACAGTTATCACATTGTCAACCAGAAATGCCACATTGTTTCTACATTATTATTATTCTCTTTTTTCTTCTGTAACAACAACCAGTTGTATTTCCTTGGGTCTGTATGTTGTTATGATACAAGTGTGAAAGTGTTTGAATTAAGAAAGGTTAAATGTTTTATTTTTCCCTTATGATATTATAATGTTCAAATTACACAAAAAAATTTTTTTGAAGATTTTTTTCTTTAATTCTTGAGACATAGTTGAAAAGTGCCTACAAAATGTGTAATTGTGTGCGTGTGTGTTGTGGGGGGAGTAGACAGAGGGAGAGAGGAAGGAAGGAAAGGACACAGAAATTGAGATGTATTTGCTTTAGAGCAACAGGAATATCAAATCAATGAATATTTCACTTTGTTGTTGGAATAGAATGGTTGTGCACTGACATCTGGAATAAATAGCTGAGAAGATGAAGGCAGAAGAATTATCTCTATTTTAATTAGATAAATAATTTACAGCTCTACACTAGCCTTGTCTGTGTCCCTGGATTATGCATTCTATTTGTAGGTAAAACAAATGTGAATGTACTTCTAGATACTGGCCTTGGCTATCATTCCTCCTTTACTTTGAGTGTTATTGTGCTTAGAAGTAAATAACCATGAACTTTGAAAGAAAATACCTACAAACAATGTAGTCCTAAAGTTTAACATTGAGCATTTTGGGATTACTATTCCTACTTAGGTTAGAGCTTTGCAATTGAACACAATGTGTTTAAATTATGTAAATAGAAATACAAATTTAACATGAACCCATTTGTATATAGAGAGTTAGAAGTTTGGGATATTTTTATCCTTAGATGTTCTTTTATCTTTTTTTGCTGAGAAGTTACTTTTGGGATCAAAAGGATCTACTTTTCATGTGTTAAACATCCACCTTTCAATACCTTAATCCCTCTCCCTTAAACCAAGGATCTTGTTATTGTTGTTGTTGTTATTGTCACTTAAGCCAACTAACTTGAGCATATCAAGGAGACTGTTGATTCAGCCAGCCAGGCACATACCCATGCATCTAGCCAATAGTCATTATTTTCAACCACAGTTCACTCAGTGTTTTAGTGGGAATTAGCAGGGCATGGGAAGGGATTAGGACTAAGAAGTCATTGAAATATTTACTTATTAAGATATGTTGAAAAATAGTGATTTGGTAATACTTTTAATAGGTGAATTAGGAACAAGTGAATTGATAGATTGGAGCATAGATTTTTCTAGTTGGAGTAATTGACATAAGTAAAACTCTGAGGAGAAAATGCTCTCTCCCTTTATGAAGATTGGACCTACCTGGTGCGTTGGTATGTGTTGGGGTACCATTGCTAAGGGAACAGTAGATGATGGAGCACCTAAAGGCTGATGCTTGATGGAGAAGGCACACCATGATCAAATTGTTGGACATTAACATAGGTCCTTACAAAGTAACTTGTATTTTAGTTGATTCATACACTAAAAATGGAAATAGGATTTCTAGAAAAATATGTCAAAATTGTGTGCATGCTGGGTTGGAAAGTAAAGAAAGCAGAATTTGGAAGACCATTAAGGAGGCTGTTAGTTTAAAATATGAGGGGGCAAATAATTTGCTGGAATATAAAGAAGAATTAGAATATAAATGCCAAAGAATACAATTTCCCATGTAGTGAAGGGAGGGTGATAACTGGGACCTCAACTAGGGAACTTTATGAAGGTAAAAACACATTGTTTCAGAGTTTATCAATTCAGCTACAACTGTTTACTTGTTGGATTCCTTTTAAAATTGCATTCCTATTTTCATCCATAAAACATCATTATCTGCAGTCCATTTTGCTTTGATATTTTTATTTGCAATCTAAGTTAATAATATGCCTATGCTTTCTCTATACATATGTGACTTTTATTAACCTGACTGTGTTAGTATCTTTATAATTTCTTTCTGATCATTTTGAACAGCTTTCTCATCATTTTGAACAGCTTTCTCATAATAAATATGAAACATCACTAAGTATTATTTTTAGCTTATGTAGATATATGTTTCATGGTAAAATTAAACTCTTTTTCTGGTTAAGAATAACTGAAGTATATCGAACATGGAACATCAAATATTAATGATGTTGAAAATCGCTGGGATTGTTTCATGTATTGTAACAGACAAAACGATAAAGTTGCAGATCTCTGGAAATGAATTCATCCCTGTGGGTTTTAACTCTGTGTCCCATATGGGAAATGTAGACACTATGTTTCAGCGCATGGGAATACTAATGGAATTGATTAAATGATTCTTCCTAAAACTAGAGAACATTCTGTCTTTAGTTGTTCACACGTTGTCAAGCATGACGTTTTCCTTTCGAACCATTGGACAGAGTCGTCTCACTCTCTGCAGATGGAGCCTTAACACAGCTTCATGAAGTAAGCTGTTGCCTTGTCTCACTATTCAGATTATGCCCCAAATCCCTTTTAAGAGAGGAAGATGGCATAACCAACTTGGAGATGCTCCAGAACACAGTTTAAAAGGCAGGAAGAGGTCTTTGTCCTTTAATTTCATGTAAGAGATATATAAGCAAATAGAAGAAGATAGAAATAAAGGCTGGTTTGCTTTATTATGTGTCAAAAGTGGATATTCTTAGCAGTCAAGGACTTGAAACCAACCTTCAAACTCTGGAAATATGTCTTCTTGTAGGCTTTTTCTTTGGCATAATTCTTCCTTCTTGGAGCCGACTTTTTTAGAGCATAGAGGAGGGATCACCACATTTTGCTTGAGGAAGATGAAGGGACCAAGTGTGACTGGTTTGAAAGACCAGGAGACAATAATTAGGCAAACATGGGAGAGTTCCAAGTAGAAAGGACAGCACGGAAAAAGGCTCGGCCTTGCAGATACACTTCCTAAATCAGGGAACTGTTTAGTGTGCTGTCCACCAGCAGGCTTAGATTATAACATCAGGGTCACAGGAAGGCCAAAAGGACACTAAAGAGCTCCACAAAGAACAGGGATTTGAAAATATTTCACTTTCAAACCATCATCTTGGACTAGTTAGAAGGCAACACTCTATGCAAGAAATGATGATAGAAGGAATGATCTTCCTAAGTAAGAAATGATCCACAATTATATAAAATTACTAGGTAGACCAGACTGAATTAGTATGTGGAAATGTTGAAAAAAGAGAAAAACAGGAAGGTTCCATAGTTTTCAGCAATTAGGTACTTCCTGGTACCATTAGACAAGACTGGAACCCAGGATAAAAAATGCCAGGGAAGAAGGAGCTAACATCAATTGACTCCTGTTTTGTTTGTTTGTTTTGTTTTAACAATGCTCTCAAAAATAGAGCAAATTCTGTCAGCCATTATTTGTAAGGATAACATTTACTTTAACTTGCTCCCTCAATTATATTTTCTCCAATGTTTAAAAATTTTCCTTTTTTTCCTCTCCATGATGAAATACAATTTCATTTTCCTTGAATTGTAAAACAAACAAACAAACCAAAAAACAAACAACAACAACAAAAAAAAAAACAGGTGCATCGTGTGACTCCGGGTCATTCTCTATCAACTGTCCATGGTATAACCACATGTAATACTACATTAGCTCTCAGTTTTCCAGAATGATCTGTCATATAGTTTGCACAGAATAGATTCAGCTTTTTGGCAAGTCGGCTGGAAAAAGCTCCTCTCTCTCTCCAGAAACCCCAAGTTAATACAGGTGTTCTTATTATAGATAGCATCATTTAACCCTGTGGAGTCTAAGAAATTTGCTGAATATAAACATGTTCAATATTACAGTAATATATGGTTAGTTTATACAGTTAAATTATCATAAGATTAGTGACAAAAAATAAACAAAAGAATATTTTTCCTACAGTATCCTTGGGAAAATAAGTTGCCATTCTAGGTATTAAGGAGAAATTTAAGAAAATAATTTTACTGATTGACTGTAATTTCCATGATTTTCATTTCATATGTCCTAAATGTAATTATTTTATGCAATCAGTTTTCTGTCTATATTTTATATTTTATGATATTTCATGTCTTCTACATTCTCTATGATACTAAATGCTATCATATCCTCATATTCATTTTTATGACTCTTTAAAGCATTTTATTTTGCTGTATTTGAATTTTTGTTAGTGTATTCAGACATTTAGAATATAAATTGTATACAAGATTATGCACATCTTTTTTCCCCCTTCTGCTGATCATATCATCTCAAGTCTCACATTTGCAATGTATTACAATTTAATCTATGATGTTTATTACTGAGAAGGCAACACATATACTTTATCTGCGAATAAACGAATTTCCCTGAAGATTATAATTATAATGATATTTTGCTTTGGATTTCATCTGGAACTATTTTAAAAGCTTTAGTTAGGAGGCTGTAGTAAAATAGCCTCAGCGTGGTGACTCATGCCTGTAATCCCAGCACTTTGGGAGGCTGAGGTGGGCAGATCATTTGAGGTCAGGAGTTGAGACCAGCCCGGCCAACATGGAGAAACTATATCTTTACTAAAAATACAGGAAATTAGCTGGGCATGGTAGCACATGCCTATAATCCTAGCTACTCAGGAGGCTGAGGCTGGAGAATCTCTTGAACCCGGGAGGTGGAGGTTGCAGTGAGCCAAGATTGGTCCACCACACTCTAGCCTTGGCGACAGAGCCAGACCCCTGTCAAAAAAAAGGAAGCTAAAATAGAAAAACCCAACTCTTAACTCTTAATATACATACACTTTCTTTTATAACCTCCTCCATGTTACCATGTTAACTTTGTCTCTAGAATCTCTCAGGAAATCCTCTACTTTTCAATCTAAGAGTGCTCCGGTACACATTAAAGTCTGGGCCCCTAGACATCATTACCCTCATTAGTCTCAAGGTCCATGCTTTGGTTTAGAAATAGGCTCACTTAGGGCCAGGTGTGGTGGCTCACACCTGTAATCCCAACTCTTTAAGAGGCCAAGGCGGGTGGATCACCTGAGGTCAAGAGTTCCAGACTAGCCTGGCCAGCATGGTGAAACCCCATCTCTAATAAAAATACAAAATTAGCAGGGTGTGGTGGCATGCGCCTGTAATCCCAGCTACTGGGGGTACTGAGGCAGGAGAATCGGTTGAACCTGGGAGGCAGAGGTTGCAGTGAGCCGAGATTGCTACACTGCCCTCCAGCCTAGGCAACAAAGTGAGACTCCATCTCAAAAAAAAAAGCAATAGGTTCACTTCGAATAAAGATTAGAGGACATTTTTAACAGAATGCAGTTGTGGAATCTGATCTTTATGTACAAAATGAAATGGCTAAAGCTTTGGGAACATTGCACATAGGCCAAGTGTGAAATGGCAGGACCTGGAGGATGTAGTTAGACCACAAAGGACACAGAAGGCATAGATGATGTGGGGGCAGCTTTTCCATTCTCTTGACAACTCATGCTGGCCTATCAGTTGTGGGGAAGTTGTCATAAAATAGTTCTCAGAAGGATGTCTAAAGAGGAACTCACACCCTGATTATCATGACATTTTATGTAAATATAAAAAAGTAAGGGTGATTTGATGACATCCATCGCTTTTTACATATGCATTCTTCGTAAGTGGTGTCCTACAGAAATATGTGGTTATGGGGGTCAAGATATAAAGTTATACCCTGCTTCGATATTTGAGCAGAGAAATGAAACATATCAAAATGTAAGTTATATAAACGATACCAAAGAACACATTACTATACATTTTAAAGCTATCTTCTGTATGCTTTAAAGTTAAATATTACATTTATTTACACATGCAGACTTCATCTTATTTTATTATGCTTAACTTAATAGCCTTTGCAGACAGTGCATTTTTTATAAATTGAAGGTTTGTGGCAACCGTGTCCAGCAAGTCTGTTAACACCATTTTTCCAACAGCTCACTGTTGACATGTGCTCACTTCATTTCTTGGTATTACATTTGATATTTCTCACAATATTTCAAACTTTTTCATTATTATTATATTTGTTATGGTGATCTGCGATCAGTGATTATCAAAGTTATTAGGTTAATGCAAAAGTTATTGCAGTTTTTGCCATTACCTTTTTTTTGGCAAAAACTGCAATTACTTTTGCACCAATCTAATACTATATTATTTTAAGGTGCCATAAACTATACTCATATAAGACAGCATAGTTAATAAAAGTTGTATGTGTTCTCACTGCTTCAGCCATTTTCCTATCCAACTCCCAGAAGAGAGGTTCTAACTTTCTTTAATTCTGTGAAGGCTGATTGAGGTGGGGGGAAGTTAAAGAAGAGAAGATGGAAATTAGCAGATCTTCATTTATGAGGTTTAAGAAAAGAAGCTATTTCCATAAAAATTGTAAGGTGAAGCAACAAGTACTAATGTAGAAGCTGCAGTGGGTTATCCAGAAGATCTAGCTAAGAACATTGATGGAGGTGGCTACACTAAACAAGAGATTTTCAATAGACAAAACATCCTTATATTGCCTTATATTGGAAGATGTCCTGTAGGACTTTCATAGCTGTAGAGGAGAAGTCAATGCCTGGCTTCAAAGTTTCAAAGGACAGGCTGACTCTCTTGTTAGGGACTAATGCAGCTGGTAACTTTAATGTTTATTTATCACTCCAAAAATCTCGGGGCCCTGAAGAATTATGCTGAATCTACTCTGTCTGTGCTCTATAAACAGAATAACAAAGGTGACAGCACATCTGTTTATGGCATGGTTTACTGGATATTTTAAGCCCACTGTTGACACCTACTGCTCAGAAAAAAATGATGTATTTTAAAATATCACTACTCACTGACAATGTACTTTGTCACCCGAGTGCTCTGAGGGAGAAGTACAAGGCAATTAATGTTTTCATGCCTGCTAATACAACATCTGCTTTGAAACCCGTGGATCAAGGAGTAATTTCAACTTTCAAACCTTATTATTTAAGAAATACATTTTGTAAGACTAGTTGCCGTAGGTAGAGATTTCTCTCATATATCTGGGCAACATCAATTAAAAACTTTCAGGAGAGTATTCGCCAATCTAGGTGCCATTAAGAACATTTTCATTATTCACGGTAGGAGGTCAAAACATCGACATTAACAGGACTTTGAAAGAAGTTGATTCCAACCCTCGTGGGTGACTTTGAGGGGTTCAAGACTTCAGTGCAGAAGTAACTGCAGATATAGAGGAAAGAACAAGAGAACTAGAATCAGAAATGGAGCCTGAAGATGTGACTGAATTGCTACAATCTCACGATAAAATTTGAGTGGATGAAGAGTTGCTTCTTATGAATGAAAAAAGTTTTCTTGAGATAGAATCTATTCTTGGCAAAGATATTGTAAAAATTTAGAATATTATTTAAATTTAGTTGATAAAGTAGCAGCAGGGTTTGAGAGGATTGACTCCAATTTTGAAAGAAGTTTGATGGGTAAAATGCTATCAAACAGTATCATGTGCTACAGAGAAATCTTTTGTGAAAGGAATAGTTAATCAATGTGGCAAACTTCACTGTTGTCTTATTTTAAGAAATTGACACAGCCACCCTAACCTTCAGCAACCACCACCCTGATCTGTTAGCAGCCATGAACGTCTAAGCAAGCCCCTCCACCAGCAAAAAGATTAAGACTTGCTGAAGGCTCAGATGATCGCTAGCAGTTTTTAGGAAGGATTTTTAAATTAAAGTATATACATTGTTTTTTAGACATAATGCTATTGCATATTTTATAGACTACAGGATAGTGTAAACATAACATATTCACTGAGAACTCAAAAAATATGTGTGTGACTCACTTTATTACAATATTCACATTATTGTAATGGGCTGGAATGGAACCCACAATATCTTGGAATATGTTTGAAAGATATTTAGAGCTATTTAAAGCATAGTGCATACTACTGTATGTATAGCAGTATTCCTGTATTTCATACTCCCTCATAATGATGTAATATTTAATTCAGTCTTATTATGACAGCAATGAAAAATACTATGTCTTAGGGTTCCTTCTTTTTTTTTTTTTTTTTTTTTTGGAGATGGAGTCTTGCTCTGTCACCAAGCTGGAGTGTAGTGACACAATCTCGGCTAACTGCAACTTCTGCCACCTCGGTTCAAGCGATTCTCCTGCCTCAGCCTCCCAAGTAGCTGGGATTACAGGCACGTGTCACCACGCCCAGCTAATTTTTGCATTTTTAGTAGAGACAGGGTTACACCATGTTGGCCAGGATGGTCTCGACCTCCTGACCTTGTGATCCACCCACCTCAGCCTCCTAAAGTGCTGGGATTACAGGCGTGAGCCACCATGCCAGCCTAGGTTTCTTTCTTTAAAAATGTATTTGAGTATTGCAGTGTGTGCATGACAAGAGATTTAGACTATCTTCTTAATGGGTTACAATTTTCCAAATTATAGTACTTGCTAATCATCACACAAAGCAACAAGGTTCACTTCCCGATTTTCAGTTCAGTTATTATATTGATAATCCACAGAGATAAACACACATCAGTTTGTGAAGCCCGAACTCTCCTTATGTCTAGCATTTAAGGTTTTCAGAAGATAGCCTTATCATCTAGTTGATCTAAGAAACTCTTTGTTTTTTTAAGACCAAATCAGATTTGGCATAGGTTTAGAAATACAAAATCAAAGTCCTTGGACAAAAATGATCCATTCTCTAAAGGGTAGAGATATTTGGATCTACTCATTTTGGGTATGAGGAGCTTGATTCTAATTATGATGGGTTACACACTTCAGAAACTTACCTATAAGAATTCCAAATGCCATTTTTTGCTGCAGATTTTGATCTTTAAATTTAAAAAAAATTAGATTTTAAATCTGGTCTTTTAAGAGAACACACAAAGCATTGGTGCAGAATAATTGAACATAATTTTGTACATTTATATACAGGTTAATGTATTGGCAACCCAAGATGTGCAAAATGAAGTTAACATCATAACTGTTAATACTTTTTTACTACAGAATTAACAAAACTCCTAGTCAAGAGGAGCTGCAGAAAGTGATTCTACAATGCCCCTGTTTAGATCATGTTTCTTGTTTTTCATAATGTTTCCCCCATCACATACTAATTCTCTCCCTTTTAGCAATCTAGAATGCATACTTTCTGAATCGGAATGTATGGTTTTTGGGGAAAGCTGTTGTTCATATGAATTACATAGAAATTTTAGCCTTTTTGTCTGGAAGTGCTCAAAATGTCCACTTTCAGTTTAGCAGGTGATGAATTGATTTTCTTTTATTTACTCTTGCCACTCATTCTAAGGTCCTAATGAGAACCCTGGTCATCTCTGGTTTGGGCTATTAAAGGTGACACCTTATTTCTTTGCCTCAAGCCTTGTCCCAGCTTAAATCCACATTCACACTATAAACAGCGTGATCTCTCTAAAATATAAATCTGACTATGCCACTCTGAATAAATAAGACTCAAACTTGTTCACATGAAGAAGTCTTCCCAACTTGACCCCCATCTCCTTCTCCAGCCTCAGATAACATTTTTTCTTACTTCGCAACGTACACCTTGGTAATATCAGTGGTGATGTTATTTCTCTCCCCACAGCATGTTGAATATTTTGTGTATTTGGTTATTTTGCACTTTCTGCCAATCTTATCTTTCCATAGTTGAGTGATTCTTATGCATCCTAGGAATAATTATAATGTTCTCGTTATGAGGATTTCTGTGAACCACACATTTGTGTCATCCTGGTTGGAAGACTTGGCAGCCTCCCTGCCAAGTACACTAGGTCTTTTGAGGCAGGGACTTGCTCTCATTCATCTGGGTTCTTCTAGCATCCAGCCCAATGCTTGGCACATGGTGGGCAACAAATGTTTGTTTAACTGAACAGAACAAAGCTCATGTTTTTTATCTTTCTCAATTGCTAATTTGCAAATTAAACATGCAAAGTAAGTACAATGGCAGCTGCAGCCAACTCACATATGGAGGAAGTGGCCCAAGAAAACACTTTCATCTGCTTAATTTTTCACTGAAATTTGTTAAGCTACTGCTGAATAATATTCTCAGGTCTCCAAAATGAACCCAATACCTGTAGTCTTAGGCGATGTTTAAAAAGCAGACACTTAATGTATGTCAGGATAACAGATTTACATTTAGCGCATGAATATTTTGTGTATGCTGTAAAAAAATCTGGTATTTCATGTTTTTTTTCTGATTTTTTATCATGATACTCTCAGAGTATTTCTTTCTTATCTTCATCTTTATGGCTCCTGCAGTAGATAAGACAGTGTCACAAAAAGGAAAACGATTTGCACTTTCCTTTCAGAGAAAAGGGATAATGAAAAGATGAATTGAGCACCTGGCAAATTGCTTACTTTCCTGTCCTTTTTCTTTTTATTATGTTTAACAATTTATATTTCCTGCAATAAATACACATAATTCCTATCCATTCCTTCTCAGCCTCCCTGATACTTCCAGTACAAATTAAAAAGTAATATCAGAACATTGGACCCAGAAGTGGGAGATGTATTTTAATTTCAGAGAAAAAGAAGGTTTCTTTCTACTAGAGTGTTTTGTATTGATGGACAGCTAACGTTGAAGGTTTCAATGTTTATCTGCTAGGGAAAAGTGAATGGGAGACAAACTAAAATCTTTTGAGTACACGGTATGTGCCAGGGACTGTTGAAGGCTTTTACATGTGTTATTATTTTTTCTTCCCAAACTCCAGAAAGTTAATTGATATTGGGCTATTTTTTAAAAAAGAAAAATCTAAAGGAGCTAATCCAATATTAATTGTTTTAAAAATAGCATTAGATATTTTTAAATTTTGAGTTTTAAATTTTTATATTATATTGATTGTCCATCTTATTTTTATTATTCTCTTTCTTCTAATTTCTTAAAGTGGATGCTTAGATCATCGACTTGTAGTCTTTCTTATTTTAAAATTTATGCATTTATGACTATGAATTTCCCTGGAACACAGATTTAGTACATATCAGAAGTTTGGAGCTATACCCTCTTTTTATTATTATTTAATTCAAAGTACATTCTAATTTTCTTTTTGATTTCTTTTTGACCCATAAGTGATTTGGAAATACATTGCTTAAATTGAACATATTTGGATATTCCCCCTCCTTTTAAAAATTTTATTTGTAACTTAATTCCACTTTGGTGAGGAAACATTGTATATTTCAAACATTTTCACATTTGTTTATTACTTACTCTACGGCCTATTTTGGTAAATATTCTGTGTGCATTTGATAAGAATGTATATTCTGCAACTTGTGGTTGCAGTTTTAAATGAATGTCAATTTGGTCAGTTTGTTAACCTTTTTGTTCATCTCTTCTATAGCCTTCTTGACCTTTTGTTTTTTTTTTTTTGTCCTATTAGATATTGATGTACAACTGCTAAACTCTTCAACTATGACTTTACATTTGTTCATTTTCCTTTCAATTCTGATAGTTATTACATTATATACTTGATGTTGTTTAATTAGGTGCCTACATATTTAAAAGTGTTCTTTCTCTTGAATTAAGCCTGTCGATGAAATGTCCTTCTTTATTTTTAGCAATTATTTTTGTCTTAATGTTTACTTTGATATCAGAATACTCACAGAATTTTCTAGTGTTTAGTATTTGCATGCTAAGCCATTTTTCTGCTTTATTTTTTCAACTTTTTGTGTCCTTATATTTAATGCATTTTTTAAATTGTAAAAGTTATTTTTAAATTGTTTTTATTTCAGACACATTTGTCTTTTAATTGAAGTATTTAGTGCATTTATATTTAGTTTAATTAATAATAATCGAGGTCCATGCCTACCTTTTTAGTTTGTACTTGTATTTTTCTTGTATGGTTTTCATTCATTTTTTTCTTCTTGTAGCTTATTTTGGATTAATTGTATCTTTTGTATTTCCTCTTTATTAGTTTGTTAGTATTAATTCCTTTATAAAATGTTCTTAGTGGTTCCCCAAGAGATCACAAAATGAATTTTTAAGTTATTTATGTTGACTTTAAATAAAACGTACTAATTTCCAGACTTTATACTGGAATCTACACTACTTTAACTCTGTCTGCCTACCTCATCATGAACTATTATGGACATTTGTGTTAATTGTACTTATATTTTGAACCACATACTTTTTTTTTTAATCAGTGTTAATCTAGATCTGCTCACAGATTTAGCCCTTCTGAGGATTTTCATTTTCCCTTCCTTGTCCTTCTTTCTGGCATTATTTTCCATTTATGTTTTTCTTTCTAAAGAAAAAAAGAATATTTTGTTGTCTTTATTTCTGCTCTTGTTCTTGCAAAATATTTTAACACTTGAAATAATTATTATTAATTTATTTTTTCTTTTTGTGGCGAATGGGGTCTTACAATGTTGCCCAGGCAAGTCTCAAATCCCTGGTCTCAAGTTATCCTCCCACATCTGCCTACCTAAGTGCTGGGATTACAGGCATGAGCCACCATGCCTGGCTAAATAATTAATTATTTAAGGAGATCATGTCTTTGACTTTCATCGTTCGTATTCTCAACATATTTAGGGCTCTCCTTGATTCTCTTCTCAGAAGCTTGGCCCCTCATGTCAAGTGTGCGTTGATTCCTCTTCGAAATCACTTCTGCTCTTGTGTATGTTCTAGTATATAGCTAGCTTTGAAATTCCTGAAATAGTTTTCTGCAGGAAATTTATTCTAAGAAACAGTTTTTGTACTGAATGTGAAAAACCCAGTAACCGAGCCTTAAATGTACATGACTCTAAATGTCCATTTTCTGATGTGTACTTCTGTATTCTTTTCTGAATAATAGAGTTTGTTAATACAGTGAAATTCAATAGAAAGAGGATGAAATAAAGTAATAAAAAGTAAACAGTATAATTCAGTTTTTGGTAATGCACATTTTGAAAAGTCACTGATAAGCCCATGTATTATTGCTCTATTCTGTATGTGGCATCTCAGTCTTATAAATGTTGCTGGGTAATTAGTTTATATTTTAAGCAGGCGAGCCATTTTGCAAACTGATCTGATCCATGATGTAATAGAGAATTCACAGCTACTCTAGAATTCTCTAGAACAACCCACCATAAAGGAGAAGGAATTATTTTACATTTTGGATGATATAGCTTAGGAATCAGAATAGACTTCCTGTCCCACATTGCAATATGAGTATTTGGGTATTAACTTAGGGAAATAATTACCCTTTCAATTTCATCCACTTAAGAGGAAAAGTTTAATATTTTTTTCCCAAATATTTTATTTTCAAAAACTTTCTAAATTATTTTATGTAAAATAATGGATATAAAATATTTTTATCAGTTGGTTCCATAAACACATTTAATTTTAGTTAGAATAATTTAATTCTTACCTTTAACTCTCATTTTTTCTCTTCCTTCCATAAATGCGTAGCTTTGACTCTAAGTTACCCTTGATTGCAAGATCTGTCATTAATTTACCAAAACATTTTCAAGGAAAAAAGAAGACATTTTGCTCTAAATTATACAATAATTATAAGACATCCCAGAAACATTAAGTTGTGAAAAAACACATTATGAAATTGAGAAATTATGGAATATAATAGCGCCAACTAAATGCTAATTACCATGCTAAGCAGTGAAGACAAGTAGATAAATGAGACATATATCCTGGGTTGCAAGATTCTAGAATCTAGGTTAGTCATTAACAATGCAAACCCACAAGTGTGAGTGTGATGTTTGTTGATAGAAATATAAAGTAGTGTGTAGAACCTATTTATTTGGTAAATTTTAAGGAGCTTGTTATGTTTTGATATTCCAGAAGATCCTGATGGAAGATGAGGTGTTAGATACAGTCTGATAATGAAGGGTCGTGCATTCCATATGAAGATATTTTGGGATGTCTTCCATTAGCAATTATATCCTCAGATACATACGTTAAAACTAAGAATGGTGGCAATGTGAAAAAATAGACTGGAAGAGATCAATCAGTTTTGTGGCTATAATAAATGCAGAAGATTCTTAATGCTCTGAATTAAGATGGTAGGGATGAAGAGGCAGAATAGACAGTGGTTTTAAAAGTAATTCATGAAATTCAAATAAACAGAGCCTAGTAACTAGGGATGGGAAAGATACAGAGAGAAAAGGGAAACATTTCATATTTCTTATGTGTGGTATTGTGTTTCTAAATTGAGTGGTTGTTGAGCCCTATCAGCTTTTACAAGGTAATGCAAAAATAAGTCATTTTTTATTATGCTGAATTTGAGGTGCCTGTGAATACGTTGGAGAACCAATTAGACAGTTCTGATTCTTAGGAGACAATCTATACTACAGAGGAACTTGAAAAATATAAGCCTGTAATTTTCAAAATCATGATAATGGGTATGATTACAGAGAAAAGGGATGCAACATGCATTTCTGAACACCAGAACTAGGATAAAGTTAGCAGCCGGATCTTTATGCACTGATCTACCCAAACCTTCATGGAATATATTTACTGGTGACATTCAGAGCCCTGCCTTAAAAATGCCTTTCATCCATTTTCTTTAGTGTTACTTAAAATGCTACCCTTTTAGTTTATCTTAGATGCTCTTTACATTTTGCAACTTTTTGTGAGAAGCACAAGCATGAAATAATCTCTTCTAAAAACTAAAAGAGGTAAACTCAATTATAATAAAATGAAACAAAAATATTTTCTAATCTAATAACTATTCATCTCGCTAGTTGATGAATGTATATACATGAAGCAAATTTTACCTACCTCCAATCTATTTTCAGAGCTCAAAATGTATCACTATTAAGATATATTCAATTAATTTTTCTTTCTGTTGGGAGGCACTCGTGGGAAGATACTGTAAGAAAACAGAAAATGAGAGATTTTTCTCCACTGAGAAAGTCCACAATGACATTTGCTGGTCTTTAACATTAGGTTCCACAAATGAATTACTTTTAATGGTCTTAAATAATAATGTTAGGTTATTTAAATTTTATTCATAATTTGCATGTAATGCTGATTCTTCCTAAATTTAAATAAATACAAGTTATCATCCAAAATATCATCCAGTTATCTGCTATATCGTGGCAGAAAACATTTTGAGTCAACTTTCTATGTATTTTCATTTTTATCATATAGCTAGTAATTTTAATACAATTTCTATATTGGACTACATATATTTTCAGATAGAATATGATTTCAGTGCTTGTGATTTTTGAGTACGTAATTAAATCAAGTGAGACAAATATATTTAATATGCTAGCCTAAATTTAGTATATGTTTCTTCATAATTCCTTAACATTTAACTAAGCTAGCTTTAAAAAATAGTCTTAGAGACAATATTTTCTACACGCTTGTCTTAGCAAAGTATTGGTCAAATACTATTTACTTTTTTAAAGTCATTTTTGAAGGTTTTTTGTATTTTCTATTTTCCAGAATATTTTTATGTAATTTTCACTTTTGTGGAATAAAATGATCATTGACAAAACTCTTATTTTTTGTGAAAGTAAGGCATAAATAATTTAGTAATTTCTAAACGTTAACTTCTTAATAGATAAAGCTGAATTAGCATTTTTCAGAAGAAAATCTTAAGAGATTATGGTGGCTCAGCACATTAAGAGAAGCCAAGTGACTCAGGATTCTAATGGTTCACCAAAATATTTTCAAAACGTCACTTTTGCCCCTGAACCTTAAGAATTTGAGGTTTGCTATTATAGAATAATTTAGTTATAAAAATGTGACTCATGAATGGAATTAAAAAAGTCTCTATGTTTACAAAACAGCTTAGCCATTCTACCAATCTTTGCATTTTATATGTAGGTAATTTCCCTAATGCATATAGTTAGTAACTTTCAACAACACTTAATTTTTGATCATTATTAGCTCTCAAATTGGGAATTACCAGTATTAAGCTACAGGCATTAGTCATCTGTAGGCTTAGAAAGAACATTTGTTTCTAGCAATAGAGACTTCTGTTTTTGGTGGAAAATATGGCAGATCTCATGTCTGAAACCTGTTAGAAACAACTTCCATCTATAGGTATTTGACAAAATGCATCAAATTTATTATTATTGACGATTGAATTTATATTTCTTCGGCAAAAATACACATGCCAGATGACTAAATGACCTAACATGAGATTTTGGGAGAAGAATGGGGTAAATAGAATAACAAACATACCAATTTTTAAAATTCAGGCAAAGAACTTAATGAGAACAATTAGGAACTTACTCTGTCAGATGAAAACTAAAATAAAGTATCTTCTATTCAACACCTTGTCAGGCACAGCTGTAGTTTTCTTTAATGCTTGCTTTAGACTTATACCAAATGCTTGCTAGTTTCTTAGAACATGATATGACCACCTCCACAAATTATGTCAGTTTTGTACTTAAATGTTTTTTTCATGAAAGCAAAGACTACTAGCCTTCAAAACTAAGCTGTGAGTTTTAAAAACTGAGGTTTTAAAATTCTGCCTGATATCCACGCCACCTATAACTTTGTATATCTCAAGCAAATAGCAGATGGTGTGTAGGGAGGGTGGAGCTCAGCATGCAGCTAAAATGAAAACTCATGGAATTTGTTGGACTTAATCAAATTATCTGCACATTAAATTGTTTACAGTATGAACACATTGTTCCTTTAGAAATTGAGAATTATATTTTTAAAAATTATCTTTGCCTTTTGTTTATCAAAGCTTAGAGATTTTTCAAATTTCTATAAAAATTTTTTTTCATCCTTAAATCACTGAACATTTCACTTCTGAGCCCTCTATTTTTCCCATTCATTTTGACCCCATTCTGCCCTCTTCTCGGTCTCCCTACCTAACTCACCCAGAGATACTATGAAGTATATGGATGAGTTGAGTCCTTTGCTTGCCAATTTAGTGTTTGTATTTAGCTTGCTTGGGATGGTTTTAAGAAAACATATTAAGAATATTTTCTCAAATTAGTGCCACCAAGAGAAGCAAAATGGTAGTACTGACCATAAGGCATACTGACATTTTCTGAAGAGTTCTGCGTGATTGGCCACAATGAGCAGTGAACAAAGTAGCTTTATTTTGATGTTGGGTGGCTGACATGGTTTGAACGTTTGGTCCCTCCAAATTTCATGTTGAAAAGTAATCCCCAGTGTTAGAAGTGGGACCAGCCAGACGCGGTAACTCATGTCTGTAATCCCAGCACATTGGGAGGCCGAGGCAGGCAAATCACCTGAGGGCAGGAGTTCGAGACCAGCCTGGCCAACAGGGTGAAACCCCACCTCTACTAAAAATACAAAATTTAGCCAGGCGTGTTGGCACATGCCTGTGGTCCCAGCTATTCGGGAGGCTGAGGCAGGAGAATCGCTTGAATCCAGGAGGTGGAGGTTGCAGTGAGCTGAGATTGCACCATTGCACTCCAGCCTGGGCAACAAGAACGAAACTCCACTTCAAAAAAAAAAAAAAAAGGGACCTAGTGGGAGATGTTTAGATGCCCTCATCTCATGGAAGTGCATCCCCATGAATGGCTTGGTGCCCTCTCCAAGTAATTGGTGAATTCTTGCTCTATTAGTTCATACAAGAGTTGGTTGTTTAAAAAGAACCTGGTACCTCTCTTGTTCCTTCTCTTACCTTATGATACATCTGCTCCCCTTCGCCCTTCATCATGACTCAGATATTCCTAAGGCCTCACTTGAAGAAGATTCTGGTACCATGCTTGTACCATGCTTTGTTCTGAACAAAGATGAACATGTTTTCATGACATTTACAAAGTAAGTATTCAATTATTGTTCATTGTCTTATTGGAAAACACATGTAATGTGGAAAGTTCTTATAAATAAGTAATTCTCAAAGGCATAAAAGAGCTCAGAATAAGGAATAAATTATCTAAAGTAAATATTACAGCATTTTTTTTTCTTGTCACCCAGACTGGAGTGCAATGGCACAATCTCGGCTCACTGGAACCTTCACTTCCCAGGTTCAAGCGATTCTCCTGCCTCAGCCTCCTGAGTAGCTGGGATTACAGGCATGCAGGATTACAGGCGTACAGGATTACAGGCGTGCAGGATTACGGGCGTGCAGGATTATAGGCGTGCAGGATTACAGGCGTACAGGATTGTACGACCTGCAGAATCATGAGCCACATAAACCTCTTTTCTTTATAGATTGCCCAGTCTCAGGAATTCCTTTATAGCAATGCTAAATGGACTAATACAGTGACCAAGAAGTGCTTTGGGTTTTGAGTGTTCAAAAGCAGAGATCATCTTTTACTTCACACCGTGTTCTGTAAATGGTGGGTGCCCAAGTGAATTCTACTATTGACATGACTAATCTAGAGTTCTTTAAAAGTCAGGAATATAGTCAATACATAAACCAGTAACATAGTCATTTATTATCATTGCCAAGTGTTATGCACTGTACATAATTGTTTGTAATATACTTTTACACTACTAGTGGTCCAATAGGCTTGTTTACACCAGCATCACCAAAGATATGTGACTAATGCATTGTGCTATGACATTATAATGCCTATGATGTCATTACGTGATAGAAATTTTTCAGCTACATTATAATCTTACCGATCCACAGTCATATATGCTGTCTCTTGGTGACCAAAACATGGTGACGCTCTGCATCAATGCAATATAATTTGCATTTATATTAAGATTTGTTTTTATTTTATTACTACTAATTAATAACTATCTTTTAAAGAGAGATTTTATACAAATATGCCAGTAAGCATCCTTGTTAAAATAAATCTGAAGGCTATATTTCACTAGAAGTTTTTACTCAGTAAATTTAGCTATTTTGAGATATTATTTATTTCTGTTTCAGCAACGTAAAGCCAATATTATTGAGAACAAAAATGATTATCTTCTTTATAGAGAATTGCAATTATTTTCAAATTTTTTTAAAGAAAACCTTGATATCGTTAATATTTTGTGCACAAAGATAAAATAACTTGGTAATGAGGTGGTCATTCTTTAAAACAGGTGGCATAGATCCTCGGAGGTGAAGACTCTATGTTAGTTTATTCACATTTTTATACATGCCTCCTTCTAAGAATCCTTTCTACAAGAAAACTTTTTTTTATGCCATGTGCTGTGGGTCGCGCTATAATCCCAGTGCTTTGGAAGGATGAGGTAGGAGAATTGCTCGAGGCCAGGAGTTGCAGACCAGCCTGAGCAACATAGCAAGATGCCATCTCTACACATAAAGAAAAAATTAGGCATGGTGGTGCATGCCTGTGACTAATTGGAAGGCTGAGGTTGGAGGATCCCTTGAGCCCAGAAGTTCAAGACTGCAGTAAGCTATGATTGCACCACTGCATTCCAGCCTGGGCAATAGAGTGAGATCCTGTTTCTAAAAAATGTAAATAAATAAAAATAAAAGAAAACATTGTTTTAGTCTCACAGACCTTGTGGATGAAACCGAATTTAGAAAGGTTTGTGACTGCCTTTATATTTTTATGTAGGTCTATTTCTAAATAACTCTAGACATATGACATTTATCTTCCAAATCTATTTGTGTTTTAAGATTCATAAATAGACAGGGGGCAGTGGTTCACACCTGTAATCCCAGCACTTTGGGAGGCCAAGGAGGGCAGATCATGAGGTCAGGAGTTTGAGACCAGCCTGACCAACGTGGTGAAACCCAGTCTCCACTAAAAATACAAAAAAATTAGCTGGGCGTGGTGGCACACGCCTGTAATCCCAGCTACTCAGGAGGCTGAGGCCGGAGAATCACTTGAACCCTGGAGTCGGAGGTTGCAATGAGCTGAGATCACACCACTGCACTCCAGCCTGGGTGACAGAGCAAGACTCTGCCTCAAAAAAAAAAAAAAGATTCATAAATAGTTCTAATGGTTGTTTGCAATAGAGGCTCATAATTTGTATTCTACTTTTGATTAATGATTTTGTTTGTGAAAAAAATTTTACAGTGATATCATCTATGCATTCATTACATTTCACAGCCTGATTAGTGTATTTGTCCTTCTCAGAGACTAAGAATGGACCACTTAATAACAATAATTAGGAATAGCAATTCCTTCTTGCTTCCCAAATTAGGCAGAATTTAGGATCAAATCTTAATATAACTATAATCAGTTTTCTCTTTATATGACGCCAGGATTTTAAACTCCTAAAATCTAGGGCCATTTGTTTCTAGCTTTCCTATAAAATTTCCACACTAATTCTTCAGCCTGTTAGAGCTTGAGAGAGATTTTTTGCCGGAAGAAAAAAGTATTAACTCTGTATTTCACAGATCTAATTTAGGCCTAAGTAAGGAAAACTCAAGAAGGATGTACTTTGAAAACTATTATAAGTTGCACCAAATGCCACATATAAAATATACAATATAAAGCACTGTTCTGAACAAAGACAAATATGGTTTCATGACATTTATAAAGTAAGCATTCAATAATTGTTCATTGTCTTATTGGAAAACACTTGTAGTGTGGAGGGTTCTTATAAATAAGTCATTCTCAAGGGTATAAAAGGGCTCAAATAAGGAATAAGGTTGGTAAAGTAAATATTATAGCATTTTTTTTTCTTGTCGCCCAGGCTGGAGTGCAATGGCTCAATCTCGGCTCACTGCAACCTTCACTTCCCAGGTTCAAGCGATTCTCTTGCCTCAGCCTCCCGAGTAGCTGGGATTACAGGCATCTGCCACCACACCCAGCTAACTTTTTGTATTTTTAGTAGAGACAGGGTTTCACAGTGTTAGCCAGGATGGTCTTAATCTCCTGACCTCATGATCTGCCCACCTCAGCCTCCCAAAGTGCTGTGATTACAGGCATGAGCCACCACACCCAGCCTATTATATAGCATTTTTTTTTTTTAAAAAGTAAAGGACTGATTACATTTGAAATAAATTAACATAAACTGAGAAACCTTGAAACTAGCAAAGAAGACTGAGACCAAACGTTCAAACCATGTCAGCCACCCAACATCAAAATAAAGCTACTTTGTTCACTACTCATTGTGGCCAATCACGCAGAACTCTTCAGAAAATGTCAGTATGTCTTAATAATTATTGCACAGAGATCCACTGAGTGTTTTTTACAGGGAAATGATCAAGTGACAGTAGTGAGCCAATTTAATTGAGGGTCTTTTGGGTGCAAATTAGAAAAGAGAACAGCTAAAGACAAGGGAACAGAACCTGGTTCTGAACCTTTAATAAAAGTACAAATTGAAGAGTTGCAAGTAAGAAGAGCAGCACTGGCAATCAGATGTTGAAATTAAAAAATATATATATATATATATATATATATGGCAAAAATTAAAACAACCTGGTTTCAGATTGAATATAGGCAGTAAGAGAGATAGATTTAATTAAAATGCACTTTTATTTTTCAAGCTTTGATCGTGGAAGTCAAATTGAAAGAGATGAAAGTTCAGTTTTGAGTAGAACAAAGCATTAAATTGGGCATGCTCTGTAGGAGTTACCATGTTTGGGACAAAAGTTTAAATAGGAATGCCAGAAATATGATGATAATTCATAATGGCATTTTAATTTTCTAAATAAACTAATTGTTAAATTATCGTTAAAAGACCATTTTAGAGATGATTAATGCTAGCTTTTAAAGCATGGCTAAGCGCCTATGCTGTGGGCCCACTACTCGCAGGCACACAATCAAGCTTGAAAACAGGATTGTTTTCCTCTATCTTTGTGTTTTATTCTTTTCATAGTCTCTCAGAGATAGAATGAATGAGTTAGATCTCAGGTACATAAAATAAAGAGCACATGTTGACTTGGAAAAAAACACTTTTTTTTTTAAGTGGAAGAATGTTATGAAGTTAGTCAAACCTCCAATAAGGAGACATTTCTCCTCACATAGGTAAAATAACAGCAACAACAAAGGGCAATTGAGTTTAGTTTGCTTGTTTATTCATTTATTTATTTTGAGACAGCGTCTTGCTCTGTCACCTAGGCTGTAGTGCAGTGGCGCAATCTTGGCTCACTGCAACTTCCGTCTCCCAGGTTCAAGTGATTCTCCTGCCTCAGCCTCCCGAGTAGCTTGGACTATAGGCGGTGCCACCATGCCTGGATAATCTTTTTGTATTTTTAGTAGTGACAGGATTTCACTGTGTTAGCCAGGATGGTCTCCATCTCTTGACCTCATGATCCGCCTGCCTCAGCCTCCCGAAGTGCTGGGATTACAGGCGTGAGCCACTGCACACTGCCAAGTTTATTTTTTAACCATAGTTTGAACTGCTTAGGCTTATTTCTCAGAGTTTATTTATTTATTTGTCTTGCATCTTCACAAGGACTGTCTTTAAAAAAAACAGTGATTTTGTACAGTAAAAAGACATTTCACTACTGGGCTAAAAACTTCATGAGGAAAGTAACATGTCCATTTCACTCGTTATTATATTGTCTGTCCCTAACTTGGGTCCCACACTCGGTGGTTGTGGCTTATAGCTTAACTCTGCTGCTGCAATTTGTGTGGACTTAGGCAAATAAATTAATATTCTATGTCTCAGTTTCCTCAGATTATGAAATACAGTTAATAACACAGAAATTCTTGCCTAATAATTGGCTTAATAGGTGTTAAATCTCCTCAAAATTTAAACCCCATATAAATGTAAATCTTAGCATTATATCATAATATTTCTCTGAGGTAAATGAAAATTTGATGATAACCTTCAATGTATGAAGAAGTATCATAAGAAGCTACAATAAGCTTTTCTAGTATCACATACTACAAGGTAGCCTTAAGTTATGGTATTAAGTATTTGAGTTAGTTATAGAAAGGTGATATTTTCATCTCAAAGAATTCTCATTATTTGTACGTTTTTAAAGACATAAGATGAAATCTTTGTTACCTGGTTTAATATAATTGTACCACTTACAGAAACAAATATTAGTCTTCCAAAATCCCATGCTTTTTCAGATTATATAGATAAATTTAATGACAAACATGATGTATATATACATCCATATACACACATACTCATAGAAAAAAGTCTTTCATCTTTTAAAAGTTATACAGCTCTGGAATTTAACTAGCATACTAGAAGGCAATAATTAATATAGAAGAAAAAGAGACCAAGGAATAGGGAACACCAGAGGGTTTTGGATAAGGTCAGAAAAATGTGTGCTACTGTAGCAATAACGCTTGAACAAAGAAGTGAGGAAGTGGGCTGGGTGCAATGGCTCACACCTGTAATCTCAGCACTGTGGGAGGCCGAGGCGGGCGGATCACGAGGTCAGGAGATCGAGACCATCCTGGCCAACATGGTGAAATCCTGTCTCTACTAAAAATACAAAAATTAGCTGGGCATGGTGGCACACACTTGTAGTCCCAGCTATTAGGGAGGCTGAGGCAGGCGAATCGCTTGAACCCAGGAGGCAGAGTTTGCAGTAAGCTGAGATTGAGCCACTGCACTCCAGCCTGGGCGACAGAGCAACACTCTGTCACGAAAAAAAAAAAAAAAAATGAAGTGAGGAAGTGAAAGAGGAAGTCGTGTTCCCTACCTGAGGGAAGAACATTACAGGTACAAGGAACAGCCAGTGCAAAAATCTTGAGGCAAGAGCATCCCTGTCATGCATGAGGAGCGGCAAGGCTAGCGGGGCTGGAGCTCAGCAAAGATAAGGTCAGAGAGGTAGCAAGTGTTGAAACTGTGAAGCCTTTATATTGCTAGGACTAGGCTATCGCCCTGAGTATACTTAGGGGCTATCAAAGTGTTTTAAGAAAGGGAGTGACGTCATCTAACTTTTTAAAAAAGTTATTCAGGCTGCTTCCTAGAGAATAAAACTAAGTTGTAATAATGAACAATTTATTTTCTACAGAGTGCTTTTCAGATGCTTTAACTGTTCATGCCACAAATATTTATAGAGCCTGGCCTGTGCCAGATATTGTGCTGGGCACTGTGTAGAGGACACTGAGCAAAAACCTGCTGCGCCTTACCCTTGTGGAGAGCGACATTCCTTAAAGAATCAAAGACATGATTGAGGTCAGATTCTCGGTGGAATGACATTGTCAGGAAGATCAGGGGAAGTTGTCTCAGGAAGTAATTGTTGCAGAAGTGTAGAAGTTCAGTAAGTGAAAATGAAGGTGTGGCGGAGGTGTGGTTTGGGAGCGCATTGCAGGCACTGGGGTGCTGCAGTACACGGACCGGCTGTGCATCAGGGAGGACCTCAAGGATTCCAGTCTATCGGCTGCAGTGAGAGATGAAACTCCAGCTAAGCAGGGGCCACAGAACAAAGAGTTTTGAAATCCAAGCTGAGAGTTTGTCTTTATTCTAACTAATCTAAGATGTGCCGTGGTATCTTTTTATAATTAGCAAGTAAGCATAAATTGGAGAAATAACAAATTGATATTCAACGTCTTCTGATAGAAATGGGCCAATGGAGATGCAATCAGACCCACTAAGTTCCCTTTGAATGGTCGACAAGAAAAGGATGGTCCGACAGACTGCCAGGAGGTTGGTGGAAAAAGATGGAGGCAAAGGAGTAGAGGAAGAGATGCCAAGAGACCAGAAAACTGATGGATCTTTTGACCCAAGTTAAAGCAGTGTCAAGAAAAATGGAGGGGTCATTAGTGGGCAGTTTAGATGAGAACTGAATCATGTACTTTGGTGAACATGGGAAACCATGAGAATGGTTTGTGTGTGGTAAGAGATCGAGAACGGCCAGCAGCGGTGGCTCACACCTGGAATCTCAGCACTTTGGGAGGCCGAGGCGGGTGAATCACTTGAGGTCAGGAGATCGAGACCATCCTGGCTAACACGGTGAAACCCCGTCTCTACTAAAAATATAAAAAAAATTAGCCGCGCGTGGTGGCGGGCGCCTGTAGTCCCACCTACTCAGGAGGCTGAGGCAGGAGAATGGCGTGAACCCGGGAGGCGGAGCTTGCAGTGAGCCGAGATCGCGCCACTGCACTCCAGCCTGGGCGACAGAGCGAGACTCCCTCTCAAAAAGAAAAAAAAAAAGAAGAGATCGAGACCATCCTGGCCAACATCGTGAAACCCCGTCTATACTAAAAATACAAAAATTAGCTGGGCGTGGTGACACATGCCTGTAGTCCCAGCTACTCGGGAGGCTGAGGCAGGCGAATTGCTTGAACCCGGGAGGCAGAGGTGGCAGGGAGCTGAGATCTCGCCACTGCACTCCAGCCTGGGCGAGAGAGCAGGACTTTGTCTCAAAAAATAAATAAATACATAAATAAAAGAAAATGACAAAAAGATGTAAAAATGCAAGCAGCAATTAGAAGCAGTTTGGCTACGAAGAGAAATAAACCAGGACAGCAGCTTATACTTAAGCTGCCAGAAGGGCATGCAGAGTAAAGGAGAGTTTTATATTTATTTGTAAAATTTTTTAAAAAGATTCAATAATAGTTGGAAGCCAATGTGAAAATCCAGTTGAGAAAGTTGGGTATGCATGAAAGGCAGCATGACTGACTGTACAAGGATCTTTAGATATCAGGAGAGAAGTTGACTTTATATATATATACATAAATTTATTATTTAAATTTATATTAAATAATATATATATTATTTGAATACATATATTAATATATAATATAATTATTAAATACATTAAATACATATATACATTAAATACATAAATAATTATTAAATACATATATTAATATATAATATAATATAATAGATAATATATTATAAATAATATAATAGATAATATATACTATATATTAATTTTTAATTTTGTTTGGATACATAGTGAGTGTATACATTTATTTACATGAGCTATTTTGATGCAGGCATGCAATGGATAACCATCACATCAAGTAAGTAGGGTATCCATCACCTCAAGTATTTATACTTTTTGTTCCAAACAATCCACTTATACTCTTTTAGTTATTTTTAAATGAACAATGAAATTATTTTTTACTGTAGTCATCCTTTTGTGCTAGCAAATACTAGTTCTTATTTATTTTTTCCAACTATTTTTTTGTATCCATGAGAAACTGACTTTAAATAGACAGGGAGATCTTCCCACTTGTCAATAGTGAAGGGATTTTCACTTGGAACATAGAGGAGACTCTGAATGGGTCAAGGTGCATTTCCTGGCAGATCTGTGTACTTGCCACCGGGGAGAGAGGGGCATTCTAATCTGATGGTTTCTATAATCCCTAGAGTAGGATGACCATGTAATTTGTCACTGAAACGGGAACACTTTGGAGAATGAAAATAGGCACTATTAATAATGAAGCTAGGATTGTTTTAGCAAACTGGAACTTGTGGTCACTATCTTAAGTTGAATTCCCCCAGAAACTGTTCTGGTACAGAGATTTGAGTTTTGGTATTAGATCTGATAGATGAGGAAAACATCAGTAGGGGAGTAGGAAATTAATATGGCTAATACAATTTGGGGAAATAAGGAAACCAGTAAAGCACACATTACAAGCCATGTATCACTTTGAGCAGTTGGAACCACATCCACCTGGGGAACCACTTAGAGCCAGTGTAGATCATACACCTTAAGAGTTCTGTCACCCCAAGAGAGAAGCTCAGATATTTATACTCAGCTCCTGTGAGTCACTGGATGAGGGGTGCTCTTAGATGGGCATTAATTTCCCTGCACTTGCCTCAGTAGCAGAAAAAGTATTTGTGAGGCTGAATACACCTTCAGACAAAGAAATGCAAAGGCTACAGATTGAAAGGAAACTGTCAGATAACTAGGGAAGGGCTAGGGGAAATGCAACAGGGAGAGGGCACCAACAGCTTTCAGCCTAAGTTTCAGAGTAAGTTACAGTGCAACTGAAGGTGATCTGAGAGTCAAGGGATAGGTGGGAAGTTGAAAGGAAATTTTATGAGCATGGAAAAAATAGAAACAATTATATGAGAAAACATGATTACTTAGCAGTACTGAGACCTCTGCACCACAGCTAGGAATATTCTAATAGTCCTTGAAATAATTATTTGTATCTTTATCTACAGAAAAGGAACTGGCATGATGGGAAAGTAAATATACAAGGTCAAAAAAACAATAAACACAAAGGTTGGAAAACAAAATCATGTACTCCGGCTTCAGAAGCTCTATGTTCTTTTCAAAATAACATCTGACAAAGATATGTTCGATGAAGTCTTTTTGTTTTGTTTTGAATTTAGTTTTTTTAATTTTTAAATTTTATTTGGTGATGGATCATTTTTAGTTTGTGTTTTTAAGGGAAAAGACTTCATTGTTTCTCTTTGATTCTTTCAGGAAAATGGCTACAAACCATTTGCATGTGTTCAAAATATTTATGTTTCATTCTCTCTAATATTTCTAAGTTCCTCCTTATAATTTAATATTATAACCTTATGATGATGAATACTAATCAAATGAGTGTACAGTTGCTCCATTGTTACCAGAAGTATGTAAGAAGTGAGATGATCTGAAATTGTTAAGGATATTTTCTAGAAAAACCGGTAAGTTTTTTTTTTTTTTTTTTTTTGAAACGGAGTCTCGCTCTGTCACCCAGGCTGAAGTGCAGTGGCACAATCTTGGCTCACGGTAACACTGGTCTCCCAGGTTCCAGCAATTCTCCTGCCTCAGCCTCCCAAGCATCTGGGACTACAGGCATGCGCCACCATGCCCAACTGATTTTTGTATTTTTAGTAGAGATGGGGTTTCACCATGTTGGTCAGGCTGGTCGCAAACTCCTGACCTCAGGTGATCCACCCACCTAGGCCTCCCAAAGTGCTGGGATTACAGGTGTGAGCCACCATGCCCAGCCCACGCCGTAAGTTTTTATAATTGTATAATTACATTAGTGGAATAAATGAATGGATAATTGGTAACATTCAGGCAGTGTATTTAGGTGATGAGTTTTCTAATCAGTTAACTATGAGACACAAATCCATGGCAAATCAGACCACATTAGTATAGCATTTTCCCCATGGATCTACTCAATACTCTGGAAAATTAAGTATTTAATTAAAAAGACCAGAAATTGTCCAATTTCTTATCTCACTAACAGATTTGTGACTAAAAGTTAAGGATATTGAATGAATACAGACAAGATGAATTTGTTTTTCCCTATGTTGCATTCTCCATTAAATTTAGTATTTTTTTCCATTTGCAACTTTAGATGAGTATTTGCTATTCTTCAACTTTTACACTGTACACGTTCTGATATGAGTGAACTAACCGCCGTAGTAGAACTTTGTTTTCAAGTCTACTAGGTTGCTTTTGTGAAGCCTAGTACTGCTTCTACTTTTGTAAATAAATAATTATTTGAAAGTGTGTTTCAAAGATTTCAAACATGTTATCTTTTGGTAATACCGATGACATAATGTCAATTAGTGCTATTTTCCTTTCCTTCAGTGAAATGTAGTATAGAATTTCTGCAATTTGACCATTTTCAATTTGACTATTTTTTTCTTTTGGGGTATTAAAATTTAGAAGGTCATGGGAGATCTTTCTCTTCTAGAAAATTTTAAGTTTTATTTATTTATGTATTGAGACAGAGTCTCACTCTGTCACCCAGGCTGGAGTGCAGTGGCATGATCTTGGCTTACCGTAATCTCCATCTCCTGGGTTCAAGTGATTCCACTGCCTCAGCCTCCTGAATAGCTGGAATTACAGGTGCACATCAACACACCCGGCTAATTTTTGTATTTTTAGTAGAGACGGGGTTTCACCATGTTGGCTGGGCTCGTCTCAAACTCCTGACCACTAGTGATCCTCCTGCCTCGGCCTCCCCACATGCTGGGATTAAAGATATGAACCTTTTATAAAAAGTTAAAGTAACATTTTTGCATTTTAGTTTTTGTGTCTTTTAGCTTCTCTGCATTATAATTATAATAATGCTTTGGAATTTCATAATGGGAACAAAATTCTAATCAATCCTGGAATATAGATAACCAACATAGAGTGAAGATTATAAAATGTAAAGCTTCAGCATAGTTTCCATTAAGGAAAGATTAGCTATTTAGATGTATAATGTGCTTTTGAAATAATGTCAAAAACATAAACACAAAAATATTCATTAGAATTTATTCAGAATGTATTTTCTACAATATGGAGACAACAGTTTTTGGTAAAGGAAACACAATTCTTAGGAGTTTTTCTAAGAGACTTTCAGAAGAATTTTTTATAGATTCAGATAAATAAATGATTCAAATGAACTCTAGTTGCATTAGTAAAGAAACAAGGTAGGCTGGGCGCAGTGGCTCACGCCTGTAATCCCAGCACTTTGGGAGGCCGAGGAGGGCAGATCACGAGGTCAGGAGATCGAGACCATTCTGGCCAACACGGTGAAACCCCGTCTCTACTAAAAATACAAAAAAAAAAAAATTAGCTGGTCGTGGTGGTGGGCACCTGTAGTCCCAGCTACTTGGGAGGCTGAGGCAGGAGAATGGCATGAACCTGGGAGGCGAAGCTTGCAGTGAGCCGAGATCGCGCCACTGCACTCCAGCCTGGACAACAGTGAGACTCCGTCTTAAAAAAAAAAAAAAAAAAAGAAGAAACAGGGTATTTGGAAAACATTGTATGATACATGAAAATAAATTTGATATGTCTGTGAAGTATCTTGCTATAGAAGTTAATTATTTTTATCTTTCATGTTGTCAAATTGAATTATGATTTATGGTTTGCATCTACTCCAATGAACTGCAAAGCATTCATTTCATGTAAATTATTAAAATGCAAAATAGCATACAAATTTTTTCTATATTGATTCAAGACATTGGACTATCCTATATGATAGACAGAAGACAGATTTACCTTTTATTTATACTGTACTCATTGATACCGTTTTTATTGTTTTGGAAATACAGGCTGATCATTTACGTTTGAATGAAAATGTGATGGGAAACAAAAATATACACTAATATAACACTCCTCATTTGGCATAAGAAAATGGGATTAGGTGTGGTGGCTCACATCTGTAATCTCAGCACTTTGGGTGGCTGAGATGGGAGGATCTCTTGAGGCAGGAGTTCTAGACCAGGCTGGGCAATATTGTGAGACCTCATCTCTACAAAAAATTAAAAATTTAGCCAGGTGTGGTGGTGCATGCCTGCTACTCCCAGCTACTTGGGAGGCTGAAGTGGTAAGATCACTTGAGCCCAAGAGGTGGAGGCTGCAGTGAGCCATGATGGCGCCACTGCACTCCAGCCTGGGTGACAGAGCAAGACTCTGTTGCAAAAAAAAAAAAAACAAAAACCCAAAACATAATGCATTAAAAGACAATATAGCTCTATTCTTTTGGGCCTAATAATAAGAGCTTATATTTGTTTAGCTCTTATTATGTGCAAGATCCTCTTCTAATTACTATACATGTATTTTATCACTAAAATAAAATATTAATTGAGCAACAACTATGTATGAGCAGGTAAATGAGAATCCGGAGTTTACATTATGGACCTGAGTAGAGCAAGATGCAATTTGTAGAGTAATCAGGATACAATTTGAGCAAAATCTTGAAGGCAAATGAAGAGGTTAGTTCAGGAGATATGTAAGGGAAGAATGTTTGCAGTAGAGGGCCTCGCCAGGGAGAATGCCCAAGGGCCAGTGTGTAGTGGGTGTTAGTGACACAGCAAGGAGGAGAGTATGGCAGAGTGAGGGAGAGAGAGTGAAGTAGAAGGTGAGGTCGGAGCAGTTATGAGGGACAACATCATGCACGGTCTTGGCAATCTGTTGTAGGGATTCTGTCTTTACTCCAAAGGAAATGAGAAGCTACTGCGGGTTTTAGAGAAAAGCACTCTTCTCTCAAGGCCTGATTCTATTCTCATCTGACTCTCAAGCTATCTCAGTTTTATTGCCATGCATATTTATTATTCATTAACAAATAACATATATAATGCACAGTTCATTTTTTCTACCAGCTTCTCCCTATTCTGCCCACCCCCAGCGTCTGTAAGTGCCATTCTACTCTCTGATTCTATAAGTTAAAAAAAATTTTTTTTTTGAGATGGAATCTCACTCTGTCCTCCAGGCTGGAGTGCAATGGCACAGTCTCGGCTTACTGCAACCTCCGCCTTCTGGGTTCAAGCGATTCCCCCCACCTTAGCCTCCCGAGTAGCTGGGATTACAGGCATCCACCATCATGCCCGGCTAATTTTTGTGTTTTTGTCGAGACGGGGTTTCACCATGTTGGCCAGGCTGGTCTTGAACTCCTGACGTCAGGTGATCTGCCCGCCTTGGCCTCCCAAAGTGCTGGGATTATAGGCGTGAGCCACCACACCTGGCCGAGTTCAACTTTTTTACATTCCACATATGAGTAAGATCACATGATATTTGTCTTTCTGCACCTGGCTTATTTCCCTTAACATAGTGGCCTTGAGGTTCATCCATGTCGTTGCAAATGACAGAATTTCCTTCTTTTTTAAGGCTGAATGCTATTCCATTGTGTATGTACACCATATCCTTTTTATCTGTTCATCCTTTGATGATTAATCCCATATCTTGGTTGCTGTGAATAATGCTATAATGAACATGGAACTGAAGGAATCTCATAGGTATACTGATTTCCTTTCCTTTGAGTATATACCCAGTAGTGAGATTGCTGGATCATATGGTAGGTCTATTTTTAATTGTAATAAACAACAAATAACATTAACAAATGACAAGTATAATATATTATACATTTTTAATAAAATTTTTAAAATATGAGAGTCCTAACAGTTATGGGGTTAATGTATCAACTGATGATAATGTTCCATTAGTTTATCTTTTATTTGTCTGGTAAAAGATTCAATATTTAGTATAACTTAATATGTCTTTATAAATGATAAGACCAGCTCCTTCCCTTATTACTCTTAATTTTCAAATGCAACAAGGCTGTAAGATGAACATTCCATTCCATATTGTTTCTTAATTTAGGTAATAAAGAATTGAAACACAGTAAGTTTATGAGTTCAATTTCTGGAACTTTTTGGTGAAAATATAGCATTCTAGCCAAACTCCCCCAGAAATACCCTTTTGCCTGCCTTTTAGTATTATAGCATCTGTTGAATTTTCAAACTGGCATCCTCTTGATTAGTCAACTACATCTAAGGAGTTTAAAAATCAAATAAAAAAATAAAAATAAAAATAAAATAAATGGTTGAAATGGGAGTCAGGATAATGCTGAGAAAATAGGGAGAAAACCCTAACACACAATGGTGTTCACTTTTATTTAACTTTTTTCTGGGACCAAAGATAAATGGAATCCAAGTCCCTCAGGGACATTTGCTTCCTAGTCCTGAGATGGTCAAGCTTGTTTCTGTCACATTTGTGTTCTGGATTTTGCTCATTCAGTCATAATTACAAATTACTCCAGGTCTTGTGACTTGTCAAGTGAAAGAAAAATAAAATTAGAAAAATATATAGCTTTTGTAACTAAAAATTAGTAAGTGTAGGCCATATTTAGAATCTCATTATGAGAGCAAACCATTGGAGCTACCACAAACCTTTTGTCTCAATACTTTAGACGGGGTCTCTGTCACCCAGGCTGGAGTGCAGTGACACAATCATGGCTCACTGCAGCCTCCACCTCCCAGGCTCAAGTAATCTTCCCACTTGAGCTTTCTGAGCTGCTGGGATTACAGGTGTGTACCACCATGCCCAGCTCATTTTTTTTTTTTAATTTCTTTGTAAAGACAGTTTTGCCATGTTGGCCAGACAGGCCTCGAACTCCTGGGCTCAAGCGATTCGCCCGCCTTAGCCTCCCAAAGGGCTGGGATTACAGGTATGAGCCACGACGGCTGGTCAAAGAAAGAATTTTTAAACATATTGCTGGTTTTAATAGTAAAAAGAAAATTATACATATTGTACATCATGCACAACATAATGTTTTTTGAGGCAGGGTCTCACTCTGTTACCTGCCGGGTGAGGTGTCAGAGACCCCACACCGGAAAAAGGTCCACTCACAGGTTGGTAAAAGTAAATTATGGACACCAGTATAGGTGTGAAAAAGGAAAGTTTATTAGAAAGGAAGAAAGCTGCAAAAGGGTGCAGCCGCGATCCGTGGTGGATTTTCCTTAGGGGTATTTATGGATCTTACTGCGGGAGCTTAAGATTGCAAAATGAGTTTCAGCATGGCATTCCAGAGATGCATAAAAACTTTAATTACTTATAAAAGTTGAAAGAGGCTGGAACCAGATGTGACCAGGGGGTCTTTATTCCCTTCTAAATTCCTCAGATAAGGAGTTTTTCTCTTCGGTGGTCTGTTTGAGGGTCACTGGACGACTTCCACTCTCTCATCACCCAGCTGGAGTGCAGTGGTGAGATCACAGCTCATGCAGTCTTTAAAATATACCTGGGCTCAAGGGATCCTCCTGCCTCAACTTCCTAAGTAGCTGGGACTACAAGTGCACACCCCCGCACCAGGCTAATTTTTGTACTTTTTGTAAAATTGGGGTCTTATTTTGTTGCCCGGGCTGGTCTCAAACTCCTGGACTCAAGCAATTCTCCTGCCTCAGCCTCTCAAAGTTCTAGAATTATGGGCATGGGACATTGCACCTGGCGCATAATATAATTTTATAAATTATTGCATGTAACTTGGCCACACTTGAGAACAAAAGGAAAATAGTGAAAGTTACTACAGATCACTGGAATACATTTTTCTCTGTCATTAGTTAAAACCACTGTGAATGTCTTTCACTCCAATTACTTTCAATTCCAAGTTCAGTCTTAATATGAATATTATCAGATGTTGGGTAAAAATAATCTTTTCAATTATCTAAATTTGCTCACCATCAAATGTATATACCTTGTGAATACCTATTATCTACCTATTGAAGCCACATGAAGTGTCAACAGTTTTTCATCGAGAATACAGAATATTTATTGTCTTCTATATTTTAATTCCAAATAATGTTATTTATGTAGTAAGAAGTGTCTTTAAGAATTAGCTCCCATGGCTTTCCAGTGGTTTGAGGAAAACATTAAACTATTAAGTTTGTACAGCAGCTGTACAGATAATAAAACCAGTCCTTCGCCCCTTACCACCTCTTAATGAAGTTGTTAAATTAGATCTTGCTTTTTTTTTTTTCTTGAGACGGAGTCTCGCTCTGTCACCCAGACTGGAGTGCAGTGGTGTGATCTCGACTCACTGCAACCTCTGCCTCCTGGGTTCAAGCGATTCTCCTGCCTCAGCCTCCCGAATAGCTGGGACTACAGGCATGCACCACCACACTCGGCTAATTTTTGTATTTTTAGTAAAGACGGGGTTTCACTATGTTGACCAGGCTGGTCTCGATCTCCTGACCTCAGATGATCCGCCCACTTTGGCCTCCCAGAGTGCTGGGATTACAGGCATGAGCCACTGTGCCTGGCCTAGATCTTGCCTTTTTAAAAATAGAAAATATATATATATATATATTAGAATATATATATATTCTTTTTAAAAATAGAAAATATATATATATACTAGAAATATATACTAGAAAAGCTAAAGTAATATATATATACTAGTACATATATATATATAATATATATGTACTAGTATATATATATACTAGAAAAGCTAAAGTAACTACTAGTTGTTGGAAAAATACCCATGAAACAGAAACAGCACAGTTCTGATATTACTTTCTCTATAGTCTTTTCATCACACCTCAGCAGCGACCAGTTACAGCCAAATGCAGAAATGACTATCTTTCTTTACATTGTGAAATACATTTCTAAGGTTTCTTCAGTTCAAGATCCATCTTTTGGTTCTCTTGCTGTGAATTCAGTATATATTTTTCCAATATAATTTGACTGGACATCATGTTGAAACTGAAGGGTAGACATTTTAGTGGGTGAACTTGACTTATCCTTCTTGTACAAAAGATAACCAAAGGAATAAAAACACATCAGAAAATAGAAGTAGAAGATCAGTCATTGGGGTTCTTCAGTGCTGTGTCCATGAGCCAAACTCTGTATGAAATGCAGGACGTATAAAGCTACATGAAACATATTCCTTAGTCTTGAGAACTAGTTATTAATCTCATGTGGCCCACAGTACAGGAGTGCTGTACTTCAGTGTAAAGCATATTCTAGAAATAATAAAGATCTAATGTTTTATTTAGCATTTCTGCCTTTTCAGATATTCCATGGACATTCTTCTATTTTGCAGTATTCTTATTTTCACTTCACAGTCACCAGAGGTGACTGATAGGAATTGAAAATGAGCTTTGTGTGTATTCATAAAATTCTGGGGATTAGTAACATGAAATAAAAAGATTTATGTGAAGTGCAGGTTTTCATATGTAGGCTGAGCCCTCTTAAGGATGTGTCCTGTGGTGAGCAGAATACAAAAACAGCTAAAAGGCATATTCTGTTATCATATGTTCATAGTCCTTTTAACCTCTCTGGAAACCTTTATTTTCAGCCTCTACCGTCTAAAAGTCATATGAGATATGATCAAAAGAAGCAAAGGACATTAAGTATTTAGGCAATGGGATAAATTGGTCAAGACTGAATTTGCTGTAAGAAAAAACAGTGCATCCGTATTTTGTTATCAGGGTGCTCAGGCAGATTGTAATAGAAGCAACAAAATGACAGGCTTATGCTTGGTTCAAATAAAATCGACGTTTCTTCTATAACATTTGAAAAGATTTATGAGGGACTTTGAACTAATATTTCCCTGGCCTTAGGGAGCAAAGCATATGCCAGTAGCTGCTTTAATGAAAGAGAGGGAGGGAGAGAGAAGGAAAATATTATTCTTTTGATTTAAAAAATACGTTTTAGCTTTTTAAAGTCTCTGATGCCTGAGAAAAGATACTGCTTGCAGAAGTGACATATCTACTTTGAAGTACGGCCATTTGTCTCTCTATTTCCAAATGTACCTTAGACAATTCAAGCTCTCTAGACAGCACTTCAGGACTCCAGAAGAGTTTTCCTTTTAACAAATGGTGGCAATTTGTTTCTGACATTGTAACAAATTAATTGTTACATACCCATTTTGAACATTCTGCTAATGTTTATGATACAAAACGGCATACTGTGATTATCAGGAGAGAATTTGTTTTGTTCTCTAGTCCATACATATTTTGAAATAACATTTTGATGTAGGAAATATTTGAGAATATGGCTTAAAATTTTGTGTTATATGAGGTCAAGGGATCAAGACCATCCTGGCCAACATGGTGAAACCCCGTCTCTACTAAAAATACAAAAAATTAGCCAGGCATGGTGGCAGACACCTGTAGTCCCAGCTACTCGGGAGGCTGAGGCAGGAGAATCACTTGAACCCAGGAGGCAGAGGTTGCAGTGAACTGAGATTGCGCCACTGCACTCCAGCCTGGTGACAGAGCGAGACTCCTTCTAAAAAAAAAAAAAAAGTTGTGTTATACCCAATTTCGGTATGTTGTAGTAACTATGAGATAGAATTTTAAAAATATGTGCTTCTTAAAAAATGTTTTTTTAAATTTGGAATAAATATATAAATTCTAAAAAGCCAGATTGCATTAAAAATCTATCATTATGTTTTTAGTAAGATGGTTGTATCTGCAAATGTCTTAGTGAGTTTCTATGAACTAAATTAAAGAAACTGTCTATAAGTAATTCATGTTCTCTTTTTAAAGAGAATTTGAATTTTTTAATTTCTAATTTTTCTTTCACAACTTGAATTCATAATCAGTATTTATTTTATAGTTACTTTAGTCACTTGGTTTTAAAGTTATATTTTTATTTTTAAGAATGGCTTCAAATGTCTCAACTGTATTTTAAGTATGCTCCAATTCTGTTAAAATGATTTGTATTTAATCGTGTAGTGGAGTGTGCTGGTAGATGATCCCATCTTTGCCTTTTTACACTGGTGCTTTGAACAAACCTGTTTCATACATTCCTGGTTTATGTGTGTGTGTCATATGGTTTAAGCATTCACCAATTTAATTGTAGTAATGTAAATATTTCATTATATTTTTTTTTCGACAGAGTCTTAGTCTGTCACCCAAGCTGGAGTGCAGTGGCGCAATCTCGGCTCACTGCAACCGCCGTCTCCCGGGCTCAAGCGATTCTCCTACCTCAGCCTCCCAAGTAGCTGAGACTACAGGTGCCCACCATTACACCCAGCTATTTTTTGTATTTTTAGTAGAGATGGGGTTTCACCATGTTGGCCAGGCTTGTTTCCAACTCCTGACCTCAACTGATCCTCCCACCTCAGCCTCCCAAAGTGCTGGGATTACAGGTGTGAGCCACCACACCCAGTCTAATGTAAATATTTCTTTTTCTAGATTAGTTTACAAAGTTTTACTTGTTCTTTTATTGTTTTTAAAGTAACAATATAGTAAAATATAAATGAAAATATTTTTGATTAGTTAATTCTTGTGTAGGGGATTCTGTTCTCATTAAAAGCCAGATCAATTCATTTCATTATAAAAAGCAAAGATACATATAAACACTAATTTTATAAAAACAAATCTACAGAATATCTGGCGTAACATAAGCTATTGCCATTTTTGCAGCTGTTATTTTTGTTTTAAGAAAATTTCTCAATAACCATAATAATGAAAGCATCTTAAAATTGCTGTGGTCGTGAGGGCACATTTATGCTATACTGAATTGGTGCAATTTTACAAAATTTTATATACTGTTTAAAGTTAAAAAGTGACTTCATATGCCATGTTGCTTCACTAAATAACACATAATACTTATTTAGCAACAGAAAATGCCTTATTTATGCTGAAAACTCTTGGCAATTATAACAGCTTTTCCATGATATCCACAAGACATTAGAAAAATTATAATACATTCTTTATCATATTAACCAAGAACAAAACATGAAGACTAAATTGTGTAATTCTCATAAGTTTGAGATATTTTTGTCTAATGCAGCATATTCCAACTTTTTCCTAGAGGACCAATCTTATCAACTGGTCCTCTCTTCTTTAATTGTCTTTAAAAAGTTGTCTATCTAAGAAGAATCAATCTTAAGTAATGACTGTTTATCTTTTATTACTCATGTCTATGTCTATATGTGGAAATAGCATTTTATACCAGTGCTACCATACAATGTTATAAAATTCCAACTGCAGCAAAAATTTTGGCAATCTGTGAAGTCTCGTCACTGTGAGTGATGAGATTAGGCAGAAAAATGCATAATTAAAAAATAAGCTTCTATGATTAAATTATGGAATTGAATGGATATTATGATCAAGAGAATTCTACATGACCACCAATGAATACCAGATTTTCACTAGTCATTGTTAAATATTGAAAATAAGTAGTGTTCTCTTTCATGGACAGTAAAGGGATTCTCTCTAAGGAAGAGATATTTAAGCTGTAAGCAGGAAGGAGCCTAGCATGGGAAGAGCATCAGATCATCAAGGCAGAGGAAACAGGAAGAGCGTAAAGGCTGGTTTGCAACGAATTGAAAGGTGGCCAATGTAGCTGGTGTGCAGTGAGCCAAGTGGGCCGCAGTGGGAAATGATGCTGGCGAGATCACACACAGCATCCTAGAGTAGAAGGAGTGTGTGGAAAGTATAATGGTAAGTTAATGTAAAGGAAAGTTGAGGAAAGATCTTAAGCAGGAGGCTGACATACTCCAGGTCATACTTTGAAATAATTCCTTCAGTTGCTGAATTGATGTTGTGTGAGATAAGATAAAATATAGACAAATCTGTTTCCATGAGACACATATCCCAGGAATTGCATTATTTTGGAGCAATACTTAACAAATTATTTTCAAAATCATGGAAAATTTTATTAAATACTAGTAAATAACTTGTGATCATAAATTCCTTTAAGAAAAACACTATCTTCTTTTCCTGAATTAGTTTGCTTAACAGGCTGATTATTTTTACATTTATTGGCAATGTCTTCAGCTTGCCCTGTTTGGAATTTAATAGTTCTGAAGGTCTCAGGGTCTTCTGTAACTCTTTCTCTGTTGTTGTTTTGTGTGTTTGTGTTTTTATTTTGAGTTTGGTGGAGAGTCATACTGATAATCTTCAACATTGTGTCATTAACAAAACAGAAGTTTAGAGATGAATACATTCAATACAAGTCCAAGTTTGCCAGTTACTTTGTTGCATTCTATTGTATGATGTGCACAACAAGTTTCTTCTTCTACAAATTTAAGATTATAGTATAATACAGGAAGACTTTTGAATTACCTCTCCAGCAAACCTACATAAACACTCTTTACCAGTTACTCAGAAAGAAAAATAGGCTCACTTTTTAAAAGAGTTATAGGAGGAAAACACAAAATTGTGTGGTAGCTAACCATTCATTGCCCATATTTCTCATTCTTAATCCCAAAGTAGAAAATTATCATGATTCTGATATTTCTCTGCAAGCTGGACATGGTGGAGGGTTTGAAGCTAATGACCACTTTTGGATCTGTCTTAGTTGGTTGTTGAGACATATTTTTCAACTGGATTATTTATTCAACAAATATTAACTGAGCACCTACTACGTGTCAGATATTGTGCTAGGGCATGGGCATACAGAAATGAACAAAATACAAATTCTTTTTTGTTTTAATGGAGTTTTGCTCTTATTGCCCAGTCTGGAGTGCAGTGGTGTGATCTCAGCTCACTGCAACCTCCTCCTCCCAGGTTCAAGCTATTCTCCTGCCTCAGCCTCCCACGTAGCTGTGATTACAGGCATGTGCCACCACACCCAGCTAATTTTGTATATTTAGTAGAGATGGGGTTTCTCCATGTTGGTCAGGCTGGTCTCAAACTCCTGACCTCAGGTTATCTGCCCGCCTTGGCCTCCCAAAGTGCTGGGATTACAGTATGAGCCACCATGCCCGGACAGAAAATACAAATTCTTGACCTCGTAGCTTTCATAGTTTAGTGAAGAGATTCAAAAAAAAAAAAAGTCAATAGTAAGATAAACAGTACATTGCATGGTGATAAGTGTTATGGAAAAAAAGAAAGCAGTCATTTGGGTGGAAATTTCAATTTTAAAATAGATCAGCTTGTGTCAGACTAAACATGGCTGCAGATTCTACCCCACTCCCATTTAGTCTTCAACTCTTCCTCCCATCCCCTCTCCCAGCTGAATCTGAGCTGCCTGTGATTACTTTGATAATAAAATGTGGCAAAATTATGCAAGTTCTCAGCAGTTCGAGGCATGCTAGCTGAGGTGCCGTACGTGCAAGGAAGAAACCATCCTGGACATCCAACCCAGTCAAGCATTCAGATGACCGCAGACCTATTCACTTTCTGGCTGCATCTGCGTGAACAATCCCGAGTGAAAGCTGCCCAGCTGAGACCAATAAACCCATGAAGATGTGGGAAATTATAATAAATTGCTGCTTTAAGCTAGTACATCTTGGGAATGGCTTGTGAGGCAGCAATAAATGGCAAACACACACATGAAAGAAATGAATGAATGAGTATTTTGAGCAAAGTTTTGAAGATTGTGAGAGAGCAAATCATGTGGACATTTAGGGGAGGAACATTTATGTTAATTAGTCCATTTATTACAGAGAAAATGAGGGTTTTAACTGGATTTCCAGACATTATCTGAACAAGCAGGGTATGGGATATCAAAACCCCACAGGTGTATGGAATTCAAGCTAGTTTTTTTTTTTTTTTTTTCTTCCAGGGATTGTTTTTCTACATCAGAAACGTGTCTCCACCTGACTGTTCCCTTACCCTAGGGGCTTATGTATCACAGTCAGAAGAGTATGGTTCTACTCATAATAGAAGCAATTAACTTCTCTGCCTTAGGGAACAAGTTTAATTAATCAAAACAGTTTTGCTAAGTCATGTTGACCAGTACAGAATGTTCTGTAATTAGTAATATATTTCTTAAAAAAAAACGGTCTGAATGTTAAATATTAATCTTAATAAACATTTTCATGATAGCATTTTAAACATAAAAATGTCACCATTCTTCTGAAAAATTCATAATAAATAGGCTTTCATGTACTCTGGCAGTATCTACTGTCAATAACCACTTGAGAAATTGCCTGACTATAATTATAGCTCTTTCATATGATAGCTGTGGAGACCACACCAGGCAATGCATTGAAAGTCTTGGTGACCAGGTATGGTGGCTCTCCCCTATAATCCCAACACTTTGGGAGGCTGAGGCAGGAGTATCCCTTGAGTCCTGGAGGTCAAGGCTGCAGTGAGCTACGATCACACCACTGCACTCCAGCCTGGGCACAGACTGAAACCCTGCCTCTAAAATATAAAAATAAAAACAAAAAAATAAAAAAGTCTTGATATTGTTTCTGATGCCTTGGAACTGTTAAAAAAATTCTTGTTGATATAGTTATAAACTGTATATGTTGTTTAATCATTCGTTCAAATTTCTTAGAGTAATTCCTTATCTTTGTATTAACATGCATATCCTGGTTTATCAAATACTTTTAAAGGATTCAGGGCATCTAATGTGATTTTATAGAATACTGCGTGGCTTGCATATCTTGTAGTATCAGAATGAACTGAAGAACTTGATAAAAACCCACAAGATTCTCAACAGAGGACATCTAAAAATCTATTTTTGACAGCACCCCTGGTGATTTTGATACCCATCCACAAATAGGTAACTACCAAAAAAATTAAAAGATATTATTAAATACAAATATGATAGCAGAAGTTTAAATTTTCACAGAAGGACTAAAAGACAAAAAAAAATCTATGACAAAGTAGAACAAACAGACAAAAGATGGAAATTGGAGAGAAAAGATAAGCAACTTAGAAGATCAGACAAGGAAAACCAACAACCGCTATCAAAAATAATGAGATTCAGCAAAAAATGCAGTGAAAATGCTCCTCCATTTTGTACTAGAGGATACAAAAATGCCTTTGAACGCTGCGAATTTTTTCCTGTTTAAAGATGTTTCTTTTAAAATTAGTAACTGATTTGTTTAAGCAGAGTATTATAGCCATGACTACAATGTTTAAGATAAACACCTGTCATTTGAGTTTGTTTTTGGTAATGCCTCTGTGTTCTTAATGATTCAAATATTTACTTTGACTTTGTGCTCTTTTTAGGCCAGGACATATTTAAATAAGATGTTAATAAAAATTTAACAATATTTAAGGATTATTTGAGCTATATTCTAAAAGGCTTTAAAAATAGGGACTATCAGGCAGGGCTCCGTGGCTCACACCTGTAATCCCAGCACTTTGGGAGGCTGAGACAGGCGGATCACAAGGTCAGGAGTTCAAGACCAGCCTGACCAATATGATGAAACCCCGTCTCTACTAAATTAGCCAGGTGTTGTGATGTGCACCTGTAGTCCCAGCTAATCTGGAGGCTGAGGCAGGAGAATGGCTTGAAATCGGGAGGCAGAGGTTGCAGTGAGCCAAGATCCTGCCATCGCATTCCGGCCTGGGCGACAGAGTGAGACTCCCTCTTAAATAAAAATAAAAATAAAAATAAAAATAGAGATTATCATGTCATTCATTAAAGGGTTAACTATTAAAGAGTGTGTTTGCTAAACATTTTACAGTATAAAGCCTTCCTCAGAAGCCCAATTTTGAAATATCCTTACTCATCTTTATGGCATGTTAGACTTTATGCCAGGGAGCTTTTTAGTCTACTATTCTTTGGATAATTTTGAACTCCAAGCCCACGGTCACTAATTCTGATGTGCTGATGAGCACTGCAATCCTGGCTACACCAACTGGACACTAAAGATATCACAATATTGGATGTTTTCTTACGATGTTTTTGGGAATTTTTCTAAAAGGTGCCAGAACTTTCTAATTTTATTTCTCACTGGTATATAGGCTCAAACAGAGTAGAGACCATATTTTTTGATCACTTCTGTATACACAGTGTGTAGAAGAAACAGGTGCTCAAGAAACATTCTCTGAATATTAACGTAGTGATTCCGTGCCCATGCTGCTAGCATAGGCATAGAAAAAAGGAGTGAGCATGTGAAATAAACTTATTACAGTCAGGTCTTGATTTAATTGTTCTCTTATTTCTACCCAAGGGACATGTTTCCCTCAGTGTTAGGATAAGAGAAAGTCAGGTTGGCCTCACTCCACTAATATTTCCATAGACACAAAAAGGTCTTAAAGCTAACTTCGAATTGTTACAAGTTTTCAGAAATAGTCCTCTAAATAAAAGCATTTGCTTTAAATTTAGTTGAAAGCACTTCTTGTTCCCCTTCTCTGATGATGACTTTTTCTAAGACACTTATTGTCCATGACCCCAATTGCTCTAGCTCTTCTTTATTAATTTGGAGCACTCTGGGGGCACCACGAGCCAGCATCAGGCCTCCTGGCTCTGCCATAGTGTGGCCGCAGGGCAGCAGGAGGTAGTGGGGGCTGTAAGAGCTACAGGAAGGGAGGAATTCAGCCCCAGAAGCAAACTCAGTGAGTGCTACCAATCTACAGACTCATGCCCTTAACTCTAGGAAACCGTTTTATATTAATTATTTGGTAATTTGCTAATCTTCATTTTCACTGCTTTATTGATGAATCTCATTATATTCAATTGTGGTGGTTGTTCTTCCTTGTCTGATCTTCTAAGTTGTTTATCTTTTCTCTCCAATTTCCATCTTTTTGTTCTACTTTGTCATAGATTTCTTTGTGTGTGTGTGTGTCTTTAAACTGTGAAAATGTAAACTTCTGCTATATTTCCATTTAATAATAGCTTTTAATTTTATTGCAGTTGCCTATTTAGAGCATCTATTTATTGTAGGAAAAAACTGTTCTTGTCACATGACCAGGAAAGATTAGGCTTGCAGACACATATAAGGGTGATGAGTGGAATTCATTGAGCGAAAAGGAAAAAGGAAATACAACTCAGCAAAGTGAGATGGAGTCCTGCTAACAGGCTCTCTACTTCACCAACTGAATCCCAGATTACTACACAGGGACAGAAGAGGCCAGCCTCCCCACCCCCCACCCAAACTAGCGAGAACTTCTCCAGGCCCAACTCCATCCTCCGAATGCACAAGACAGCTGGGGATTCTCTGGGGAGCCCTTTTAACTTGGCTGTCTCAAATTCCTATTTTAGGTAAAAAGAAATACATCCATTTTGTTTAGAATGCAATATATTTTGTAATATTCTAAATAAATATATAAATATATACATACATATATGTATTTATATATACAAGTATATAAATATATTATATTTATATATACATGTATGTATGTGTGTGTATATATATATATATATATATATATATATATATATATATATATATATATTTGGTGTGCCAGTGTGCCCTTTTTAAACTCTCTTCAGCTGCCTGCTTTATCTTTTATTTCTTGGAATTTCTTTTTTGCTTATTTATTTCTGTTTCTGTCTTCCAAGTTGGAGGCATTCCTCAAATACCTAGTGGTTGTCTCTTTCTAATTAAGAGTGAATTACCAGTAGTATGGTAGATTAAATAGCAAGAAAACCTTTTTTGTTCCCAAACAATTGAAGTTTTGAAACAAATATGCTTGTGTATTTAAAATATGCTCATTTAAAATATAGGTACAATTAAAATATAATTACTTATATATGTACACATGTATGTACACATTGATGTACTGTCAAGAGAGTATGCAGAACCCTCAGAAGCCAACAATAAAGTTAAAGGAGAAGTTCAGGGAGCTAAGCAAGAAAGCACTGCAGACAGCAGCAGGGCCTGGGTCGTTTTCATATTCCTGGTCTCCTTGGGCTTCACATTGGGTGTCCTGGTAATACAGGTTAGGAAACAGAGCTGAGTTCAGCCTGAGACTGGAGGTCAAGTTGGAACACACAGCATAAGGGTCAGGACTCTAAAGGACTCTGTGAAAGGCTGAGACAGGAAAACAAAATTAAACAAAGCAAAAAATTACAGAACAATAATAGTAACAAAAGTTGTGTGTAAGGCAGAAAGGAAAATTTACATCTTTTATACCTTGAGTGAGTTGAGGGGGAAAATATGTCTCCTGAGAATTTGGTACCACAAGCCAGCTCTCCTGTGAGTTGGTGATGAAAATTTCTGCTACTTTCAGAAACCGAAAAACTCAAGTCTTGGATTTAATTTAAAGGAAGTCACTATAAATTTCAGAGGATTGGCATCCTATAGACCATATTCCCTAACAATAATGCAATAAATATACAAACAGATAACATACAGAAGATTTAAAAAGCTTTCATATTTGAAAACGAAAATAAATAATCCAAGAAAAAAACGACTTATATGTCAAAAAGAGATCTCAATAAACTTTAGAGAATACTTAAAACTGAACAAGAATGAAAAGTTTGCATATCAGAACTTGTGGAATTCACTCAAATCAGAATTAGAAGGTAACTTTATAGGGTTAAATACTTTTATTAGAGAAAAGTCCAAAGAGCAATGAGCTCAGCATCCATCTTTCCACATTAAAACATTAGAACATATATAGGAAAATTTACCCAAAGAAAATAAAAATAAAGAAAAAAATTAATCTAAAAATAGAAATTAATGAAACAAAATAATCATACCAAAAAAAGCTTATTTGAAAAGAATAATAATGTTGGAAAACCTTCAGCTTTACTTATTATGATAGTCATTAGTGCTGTTTGCTAAGTTTTGTGGCTCCCTGTCTTCTGGAAACATAGCAGAGTTGCACTTTTTGGTCTTTGTGTTTGAAGGGGAGGCAAGTGACTCTTTCTACCCATTAGGCTGGTGTAGAAATGGCATGTACTACCTAGAGTCTAGAATACTAGATTGCCAAAGTGAGATTTCCCTGGTGTTTTTTATTCTGATATCATGACTAGCAGTGTTCAAGATGGTTTTCCTTTATCAACCTGAGCTTCTGAATGGCTATAATGGGAAGAGATCCCCACTATGAAGCTGGGAAGGAAATATTCTAGACTTATTGAAAAATAAAATGTGATGTTTTAAGTCATTGAATTTTTTTTTTTTTTTTTTTTTGAGATGGAGTCTTGCTCTGTCACCCAGGCTGGAGTGCAATGGCATGATCTCGGCTCACTGAAACTTCCACCTCCCGGGTTCAAGCGATTCTCCTGCCTCAGCCTCCTGAGTAGCTGGGATTACAAGTGAGCGCCACCACGCTCGGCTAATTTTTGTATTTTTAGCAGAGATGGGGTTTCACCATGTTGGCCAGGCTGGTCTGGAACGCCTGACCTCATGATCCACTCACGTCGGCCTCCTAAAGTTCTGGGATTACAGGCTTGAGCCACCGTGACCAGCCTGTTTATTTTAATAGCAAACAAAGAGTGTAAAACATAGGTTGTCCTGGCCAATGCTCTTTAAGAAGAGAGAAAGGAAGAAAAGAAAGACAGACAGAGAGAGAGAGGGAAAGAGAGAGAGAGAGGCCCACGTAGAGAGAGAGAGAGAGACAGAGAGAGAAAGGGGGCAGAGGGAGGAAAAGGGAAAGAAAAAAGGAGGAGAGAGGAGGAGAAGAGGGAGGAAGGAAAGAAGGAATGAAATAAAAAAGGAAGAATTAAAATCACTGGAGAAGACCAAAGGAAATACGTTCAGATGACGAACGCATTAAAAATATTATTTAAAATGTTATATACAACTTAATGAGAAAATGAATATATTTTATTAAGTTTACGTATGCTTACAGAAATTGAATTTAGCAAACAGATTTAAGAAGAAATAGAATACTTGAATCACTCTATAAACATCAGCGTATTAGATCAGTAGTTTAAATTCTTCCCATAAAGTACACAAGTGGACTGGATAGTTTTACTGGTTGTTCTACCAAATATTTACTGTGCAGGTAATTACAACTTTATGCAGACTCTCCCAGGGCATTGAAAAAGGGGATCACTTTACAAGGCTGGTATAAACTTCACTAGAAAACAAGAAAGCAAAAATTTGTTGTCAAAGACATTCATTAACATATTGATGTCCCTATACCTTCACCTATTATATTTTAACCTCTCCTGTGTTCCTTTGTCTCTATCTCAATCTATTTTGGCACCACTGGTCTCTTAAATTTTCCTTAGATACTCTAGACACATACCTGCCTCAAGGCATTGACATTTAGTTTCCCTCTGTTTGAAACCTTCTCCCAGGAGTTCGAGACCAGCCAGGACAGCATAGTGAAACCCCATCTCTACTAAAAGTACAAAAATTTAGCTGGGTGTGGTGGCGGGCAGCTGTAATACCAGCTACTAGGGAGGCTGAGGCAGGAGAATCGCTTGAACCCAGGAGGCGGAGGTTGCAGTGAGCCAAGATTGCGTCATTGCACTCCAGCCTGGGCAACAAGAGCGAAACTCCATCTCAAATAAATAAATAAATAAATAAATAAATAAATAAATAAAATAAACCTTCTCCCAGATAGCCTCTTGGATGATCCCTTTACCTCCTCCAGACCATTTCACAAATGTCATCACAGTTATTCCTTCCCTGGTCTCTTTATCAGAAATTGAAACTGATATTCCAGTACTCCTTACCCCACCTCTTTGTTTAGATTTCCTTCCTTGAACTTTTCACAATCTCACCTATATTTCTTCAGTATCTTGTTTATAATCTTGCTTGCACCTCTACAATGAAAGCAGAGATTTTCATTGATTTTGTTTACTTCTAAGGTCTCAGCAATTAGCATAGTGTCTGACACCTGGCAAGGGCTCAATAACTGTTGGATACATTGATAAATGCAAAAGTATTGAACAAAGTTAGCATGACAAATTTAGTGATGTATTTTTAAAAACCCAGTGACACCATTTTTTTTCTCATGAATGCAAGTTTCACTTACATTAGAAAAATTTATTGAAATGGTAGATAAAAAGAAGAAAAAAAATTATTTTACCAGATGGGAAGCATATGATAGAATTTAAAACAAGAGACCATCTTTAACCAATAAAACAACCGCAAGCATCAAACTTAATGGTAAAAGCATAAGTATCAGGTAAAAGCATAAGTATCGATAATATCAGGATCACAAAAGATACCTTTTCGCATTACTTTTAATTTCCTCTCTGTATTTTATCCAATAGCGTAAGACAATAAGAAGATAAAGTAAAAGGCACATATATTGAAAAAAAAAGAAATAAAGCCCAAAATTTTCACAGGTGGTATGATTATCAACTTAAATTTAAAATAATCCACAAACTCAAAATAATTCACAGAATCAATGAAAGAATTTTAAAGTTTGTGGATAAAAAATTAATATCTAAATTACATAAATAATTTATACAAATGCAAAAAGACCAATCAGAATCCCAATGAGTTAATTTGTGTAATCAGACAAACTGTTTTTAAAATTGATTGGTAAAGTAGAAGGGCAATGAATAGCCATGACATTCATGAAGAAAATGCATTGGCTGAGGCAATTTCCTCCACAAATCAAAACATACTATAAGGCAGTGTGGTATTGGCCCAACTGTTACTGGAAAGGGGTCCCCATCCAGACCCCAAGAGAGGGTTCTTGGAACTTGAGCAAGAAGAAGTTCAGGGCAAGCCCATAGAGCAAGGTGAAAGGAAGTTTATTAAGAAAGTAAAGGGATAAAGAATGGCTATTCCATAGACAGAGCAGCAGCTTGAGCTGCTTTACCAAGGATTCTTACTGTTACTTCTTGATTATATGCTAAACAAGGAGTGGATAATTCATGAGTTTTTGGGGAAAGGGGGGAGCAATTTTTGGAACTGATGGTTCCTCCCCTTTTTAGACCATGTAGGGTAACCTCATGACTTTGCCATGGCATTTGTAAACTGTCATAGCACTGGTGGGAGTGCCTTATAGCATGCTAATGCATTATAATTAGCATATAATGACCCATGAGGATGACCAGAGGTCACTCTAGTTGCAATCTTGGTTTTTGGGTTTTAGCTGGCTTCTTTACTACACCCTGTTTTATCAGCAAGGTCTTCATGACCTGTATCTTATGCTGACCTACTCTCTCATCCTGTGACTTAGAATACCTAACCCACTGCATATGCAGCCCAGCAGGTCTCAGCCTTATTTCACCCAGCCCCTATTCAAGATGGAGTTGCTTTGGTTTAAACACCTCTGACACAGTGATAGACAGACTAATGGGACAGAATAGACAGCCCTCAAACAGACCTATACCTCTCTGGACACTTGATAATGACAAAAATGACGTAGGTCAGGAGAAGAGCAATCAGCCGCCTGGTAAATAATATTAGGAAAAATTTATCAATGAGTCAATTGTCAGTCTATTGTAAATCTCACTTCTCAACCTCTCCTGTCAATCACTTTTCCAGAATCCACAATTTTGTTGGCCTCTCTTCTTTGTTGTCTGTCTCTCCTGGTCTTTTTCTTATTGGTTTAGGTTCTTTTCCCTTTATTTGTTTTGATGCAGTTTGTGGAGTGAGCAAAAGCAAAGGCATGTATTTGACTTCACAATGTTTAAATGGAAATAAATTAATCAATGTCTTTTTAAAAATGTCAGTATCTTTTTTTAAAGATAACATATCTTCACAGCTTCTATTTTCTTTTTCTATTTCTTCTATTTTCTTTTTCTATTTCTTCTATTTTCTTTGAAATTTTGAAGTTATTTCTTGTATTAGTACAAGTCAATCTATAACTTCACTAATCTTTGGGCAAATGCTAATGTTTCAGAGGGTGTGTTGAACATCTCATAATTCTTTTAATATTTGTTTTCATGTTAAAGCTGAAGGCACAGTATTATTTCATTTTGGAAAGTATAACCAGAAAATGGATGTGAGAAATACCTCTTTGTGTATATAGGTAGTGACTAGAACATGTAAATTCAGTATTCCCTATTTGAGCCATCTGTTCTATTTGAGAATTAATGGGCCTATTTTTATTATAATATCTAGTATTGAAAATGTTTCCTGTTCAAAGTAATCTTTATCATTTTACTGGAGAGTTTCTCAAGAAAAAAATATCTTCTCCAGCACCAGCACTCCACTTCCTATGCCTTCACTAATATTCATTTAATACAGTGGCTTTTCATTTGCAGTTCAGTGAAAACGTGGTACTGGGGGCAGCAAGATCCGCAGCCTTAAAGGGTGATTGTTGGGAACCTATCCGGGGCCCAGGGGCAGGGTTGCTATGACAACTCTGCTGCTCTGCCAAGGCTGTTCCTCTCTGTGGGTGGAAAGAAGCTCCCCTGCCAGCAACTACGTGGGATCCTGGCAGCTGGAGAGAATACTGAAATAATGCGCTGCTTCCCCAGATGGGAGTTCTGAGAGTCTTCTTTTAAAACGAATAGGCAACTCGGGCTCTGTGGAAGAGTGGGGATAGTTAGGATCTAGCCCGTTACAAGTGCGAAATGTGTGTGATGAAATACTTAAGGTTTCTTCCTTTGAATAGAAGTTTGACGGATGATCAGGTCTTAAGTCAAAAGATTTTAGCTTAACTTCACAGTAGTGCAAGTTTAGAGGAATTTGTATTTGCCATAAAGGTAATATGATTCTGAGAGATTTAAATAATACTGTTTACATAGAGTAAAAAGACCTTACACTCATTTGGAAATGCACGTTATCTCAGAGTTGTCAATTTGGGTTGACCCAATTTTGGAATTTATCTCGGGCTTTTCTTTCTAAATTTGAAAGCCACTACTCAGTTGAATTTATACTTGATGCTCTGATGCAGAACTCCAGTATCCCCCTTGCAGCTGTAGAGCATAGTGTGGAGGCTAGAACTGGTCCATTTAAAGTAGAGTGGAGAAAATGAGAAATAAGTGAAACCGACCCTGAATTAATACTTAAATTAATCAGAAGTCCCCAGAAGTGGTTTTGGTGATCAGTCATGAGCTTACCACTTTATCTGCTCCTGAGCTATCCTGATTCTGATTTTGTCTTTGCTCAGTTATTAACTTTAGGCTCTAGGATCCAGCAAAGGCAATTCCCACCTATGCATTCAGTGTTTGAACTCTTCATATATGAACTTATTCTACCTTGAACAGTTTTGTGAAACATGTTCATCTATCTGGTTTTCATACTTCTGATTGTCTGCAGTAGAAATCTCCCACAACCACATCAAATCCTTCGAGAACAGTGAAAGACAGAAATCACAGATGAATAGGATTTAAAATCATGAGGCTATGTGGTATACTTGCCAAAAATAGGGATAGCTCTACATTGGGCTGGCACTAATTTTTTTATGATTATTATTTTTAAATAATCAGTGAGGTGGAAATTGTAGAACATCAAGAGACAGAATAGTTGAAAGATTTTTCTGCTGCCCTGTTAATCTCCACCCAAAACTGTGTTCAGTGACATTCAGACACTACACACATTGTTTTTAGCCATCTGCTGGTGAAATCTCTTCCTATTACATGAAATTTCAAGCTGTTCTAACCTTTTCTACTTCCCCACATTGTGTGTGTGTGGGGTGGGGGGGCGTGCACACGTGCACGTGTGTGTGTGTGTGTGAGAGAAAGAGAGAGATGTGTGTTGGGGGAGGAATGTTCAAGAAACAATTTTGCCTGCACAAACAACAGCTACTGAAGTGGGAAGGTGTTCAGACTCCTTTTTTTAACCTCCTCTGGGGCAGATGGGATGGACTAGAATTGTCAAGAAGGCCAGTTCAGTGAGCAGCATTAAAAATAGCAGACTAGCTCAATCTCTCAATATAAACTTAGTTCTCACAGGAACTTTGCAATTATCACATGCTTCATATGTTGCTATATGCATCTATGCCTTCTAGATAAAGTGCACACAGATCTTCCTATGACTTAAGCACAATAATAATCCATTTTAAAATCTTGTTTGTCATTTGTTTCTGAAGAAAAAGGAAAAGTCATTATCTGAGGGGCTTCAGCATTACAAAGACAGATTTGATCAAGGATTTTCATAAGGAGGAAATCTTTGGAATGAGGATATGTGTGTGTATCTGAGGGGTGGGGTGGCTAGAGGTGGGTACATATGGAACCTAGGTCATCCTTGCAAGTACCCTTAGCCTGTCAGCTCTCTCATCTAAATTCTCCTTTATCAGCTGTGGCTGGCACATAGTGCCTCACCAGTATTTGCTCTTGCAAAACATATATACTTAAGCATTTCTAGTTAATTTCTTAGAAGATATCTAGCAATAGCCTAGGAAATTGTGACCTTTATTTTGAATATTTACCATCATTTTCTGATGTCTCAGTTTAAATGCTTAAAGCTGTGTTTTAATAAGTAAAAGTGATGAGACTTCAAAAACCAAAAGTGACCATGATGGCCAAAGAATTTTTGACAACCACATGACAGCACAGTAATAGTTCATATGAATAATAGTTAAATTAGGCTGGGCGTGGTGGCTCATGCTTATAATCCCAGCACTTTGGGAGGCTAGGGTGGATGGATCACTTGAGGTCAAGGTTTGAGATCAGCCTGGCCAACATGGCAAAACCCCGTCTCTACTAAAAATACAAAAAATAGCCAGGTGTGGTGACGTGCGCCAGTAGTCCCAGCTACTCGGGAGGCTGAGGCAGGAGAATCACTTAAACCCAGGAGGCAGAGGTTGCAGTGAGCCGAGATCGCACTACTGTAGTCCAGCCTGGGTGACAGAGTGAGACTCCATCTTCCACCCACCCCCAAAAGTAATAATAGTTAGGTTACATCTAATAATGACAGATAACATGTAGTGAGTAGTTACTCTATGTCAAGCACTATTTTTTTATATTAACTCATTTAATGCTCATGAGAACCATATGAGAGATTATCTTATTGTCACATTTTTAAAGACAATAAGCTCAAAAGAATAAATTTGGCAAAAACCACACAGGGATTGGTGTGTCCAATGTGCTCTCATTTGCTGTGCCAGTGTCTTTCTCATTTTTTCAAACCATGAATGATAGCAAGAAGTAGATTTTCATTATGAGTCACCACTCAAATATCATATAGGAGTACTGAAGTCAAAAGAGTCAAAAATAATTTCCCTTACTACATAACATGAATTCAGATATTGTCTCTTCCAGTCTCTGTCACTTTTAATATTTGCTGGTCAAAGTTCACTGAGTTTTGAGGTCAAGAGTTCGAGACCAGCCTGACCAATATGGTGAAACCCTGTCTCTACTAAAAATACAAAAAAATTAATGGGGCACGGAGGTGTGTGCCTGTAGCTCTAGCTACTTGGGAGGCTAAGGCAGGAGAATCTCTTGAACTCGGGAGGCAGAGATTGCAGTGAGCCGAGATTGTTCCGCTGCACTCCAACCTGGGCAACAGAGCCAGACTCTGTCTCAATAAAGGAAAGAAAACAGTTCACTAGGTTAACTTCACAACATACTAACAGGCTTCAACTTACTGTCTGAAAAATTGGTTAATGGGTACAAAAACACACTTACGTAAAAAGAATAAGTTCTAGTATTCGATAGCATAGTAGGGAAATTATAGTTAAAAATAGTCTATTGTATATTTCAAAATAGCTAGAAGAGAAGAATCTTAATGTTCCGACACAAAGAAAACATAAATATTTTAGGCGGTGGATATCCCAATTACCCCGATTTTATCCTCATACATTATAAACATGTATCCAAATATCTCCTGGATCCCCAAAACTTGTATAACTATGACACATCAATAAAAATATCTGTTACAAAAAAAGAAAAATGCAGATACACAGAGTGCAAAAGAATAAATACCATTGAAATAAAACCATAAGCATGTGACATTTGGGAGCAATAAATTCAAGATGGAATGATATGCATGCATGTATGGTGAAGATTAATTATTATAGAAAGTCTGGGTTGGGAAGGAAGGGCTTCTCTAGGTTTTGCGGTAGATGAGGAAGACATCAGTCATGGCAAACATTCTCTTATTTGTGGAGGATGGGTTTATAATTAAGGAATTTGATCTTAGTATCCTTCAATGCACTCTAGGACTTCATTTGTATGGTTGACCTGGTATTGTCAGTGCAAATATACTTTCCCATAGTGCTGAAGTTTGAAAAAAAAAATTAAATTAGGTTAACAAAAATATGAATTTCTCCCTTTGTGATCTTCTACAGGGTGTTTTGAATGCTGTATCAAATGCCTGGGGGGCATTCCCTATGCCTCTCTGATTGCCACCATCCTGCTCTATGCGGGTGTTGCCCTGTTCTGTGGCTGCGGTCATGAAGCGCTTTCTGGAACTGTCAACATTCTGCAAACCTACTTTGAGATGGCAAGAACTGCTGGAGACACACTGGATGTTTTTACCATGTAAGTCACTCTAGTATTTCTTGTTATTTTCCATGTATATATTTACACTTCTATGTGTTAAATGATTAGGGGCCTACAGTTAGATGAGGTGATAATATATATGAAACAGCACTTTTAGGGTATACCTGATTCAAAAGGGTAATCATGATTCATGATTGCCTTCACAGTCAATAGAAGGCACGTAGCACAGGATCAGAGGCCGACTTAATCAGGACTTAACCAATGCTTTAAATGTAAAGTTGTATTCGAAATTTGGTTACCATTAAGTGGAATTCTGGGACTTCCCTTGCTCTTCTCATTTGAACAGAGGCTGTTCTATTAGAATAGTGCCAGGTACAAATCTGGCCCTTGCTACTAATTTTAGGAAAATCAGCAAAGCTCCATGGGTGCTCCCACCTTTAAAAGAAATAAACTCAGCCCTGGGTATGGTATCTTACTGTTGCTGTTACATTTACAGAAATGATGTAAATATTGTGCAAAGTTCTTATTGTCTTCTGTAAAAGAGTAAATCATAAGAAATCAAGCAACCTTTTTTTTCAAACACCAATTATACTTTTCTCTCATAAAATGTAAAACTCCTAAGATCACTATGATTATGTTAAAATAACTTTTTTAGAAAAGTAACTTAAACAGTCTGAAAATTAAAGTTTGCTGTTGAAATTTCAGCTCCTTATTGCATAATATAGAGAACAAAGGTTTGGGATTGAATTCTAGAAACGTTTATTGCTAAATAAGTTACTAATTCAGATAATTTATTCAGTGATTTTTATGCCCATGAAAAGAAAATAATTTATTAGTTTGTTTGTAATCCCAGCTGATAATAAACTTGTCTCCTGAGCCCTTATAGCTTTTGTTATATTTATAACTTCTTGTGTTTATTTCATGCTGTTTGATACCTGTGTTTGTAATCTTCTTCATGTTCCTTTATTTTGTCATTCTAAATAAACTCAAACATTCTTAATGTATATACATTTTTAACTAATATGATGCTTTTAGATTTACAAATCTGAGTGAGTATCTGGATGGTTAGTGTAGCTTTGCTTTTTAATCTTATCATTCCATCTAAGAGAGGTTGATCACAATTCTCATTTATGCAGGGCAATTCCTGTTGAACTGGTATAATTTTAACCTAAGATCCTACTCTGAAAAAACACTTGGTCAACCCAGACAACTTTTTAGGTAGAAGACAACTTTTCTCCAACTACAATATCAGGAATATATCATATTGCTAAATTTCTTATACTCCATCAGGTTTAGGCAGATTATCTTGAACAAGGTATTTTTCAAAGTAATTTTCATAAATTGTTTTTCATAAAAGTATATTTCAAAGTATTTTTTATAAATATCATAATTTTTTTTTATTTATTAAAGTTACTAATTTCCCCTGAAAATGAAAAGAGAATAGAGTTGTGGGCCGGGTGTGGTGGCTCATGCCTGTAATCCCAGCACTTTGGGAGGCTGAGGTAGGCAGATCACTTGAGGCCAGGAGTTCGAGACCAGCCTAAGCAACATGGTGAAATCCCGTCTCTACTAAAAATGCAAAAATTACCTGGGCATGGTGGCACAAGCCTGTAATCCCAGCTACTAGGGAGACTGAGGTATGAGAATCGCTTGAGCCCAGAAGGCAGCTCCAGCCTTCGCAACAGAGTGAAACTCTCTCTCAAAAAATAAAAATTTAAAAAAATGAGAATAGAGTTATACATTTCTATCAGGTAACAGAGCAAGAATGCTCTGTTTTGGGGGGTGGGTGGACAACATATACCCCTGGACAGAGTACATAGCAAAATTTTTAGTAAAAGCAAAGCTGAAATATTTGTTTATTTAAAACCTGTTGATACTTAAAACCTAGAGAAAGACTGATAAGAAAATAAGAAATAAAATGAGGAAAATGAGATTGAGAAAACCCAGTCCCCTCCACCCCCCACACATACATGGGGATTAGAAGAATGGAACTGATTAGCTACTAAATTAAGAAGTGAAATTATTATAAAAATATAGTCCATAACTCTGTAGTATCAAGTGAGAGCTTCGCTAAGGTCATGACAAATGGGAATGAAGAATTAACAGCAAATTGAAAGTTGCATATTATATTTCCCAATGTAAATTTATTTTACTAATTAGTTCTGAAAAATTGACGTTATCCATTAAATTGAATCCTTTAAGCATTAGTAGACAGTTTATCAGTTTTCATCAAACTAAATACAAACCTATGTATAAAACCAAAATTCAATAGCTATCAATGCCTTAGATTCAAATAGCATGAATCAACCCTTTAAAGATTATAAGTCATATTCATCATTTGGAATATAATTAAAATGCTCTAGATTATTGCAGGTTAGCTTTTAGAGAGTCTTAAGAAAATGATTGCATGGATATATTTTAATGTGATAAAACTGACATTTTCTAGATTTATCTCAGCCTACCCTGGACAAAATATGTTCTCACTGTGCATTATTTTAAACCATCACAGATGTCCTTAACATCTACAGATTCTCTCTATGTAAACTACATCCAAATTGCTAAATTTACTTATAGAATTACAAGTTTGTAAGAAATCATAAGCCTAATGAATGGCAATAGATGCTTATGTACATCTATCAGCAATTATTTGTTAAGATATTTGATATTTAAACAACAAACTTTCATATATTGTAGAGATCTACTAAAGCTCTAAAGGCAGTGTATGTAGGGGTGAGGGGAGTTTAGAAGAAAGATTGGAGATTATATGCTTAATTTGGTAGTTTTACCTTTGCTCTGTTATATTATGTATTAAATGTGAAACCAATAATGCATGTTTGGAATGGGAAGAATACCATTTTGATTGGAATAAAAGTAAATGTCAAAATTATCTCTGTTTTCATATTTCACATTACTAAAATTCCTTATACAGGCCCTGCAGAGCTAACAAAGTATTTGAGACTCTCTCCCTACCAACAAATAGTTCATGAAAACACAGAGGGAAAATATGTACTGTAAACCTCTTAATACGATTAGTGCCAAGTGATAAATTTAAAGATTACATAAAGGTTTCGAGGAGGTAGATATTACGCTATGCAGGGCTGCCTTACGGGGTATCAGAGGAATGGAAAAAGTGCTGAGGAAACAGAAGATGTAAAATAAGCAAACAGAAGGCAGAGGAGGCTGAATGATTCGTTTGCAGGCCATACATCTCCTTGGAAATCAACTAAGGTAGGTTTGGAAAAGAATGTATAAGAGCATAATTGTGGAGAAAAGACTTACCTAATTTTAGTAATTTACAGAGTCTATTTCTTTTCTCCATAGTTCTCATACTTAGTTCAACCAAATTCATCACTCCTACATTATATACTTGGAAAAGAAGCTTGTTTACTGGATGTGTGAACTAAAAGATAAAACCAGTTCCAGTTGCCCAAGCCCTGAATCTTCCATCTGTGGTGCTCAGGATTTGAGGAGTTACCTACTTCTTTATCTCAGGGACCACAAAATTTCTCTCTCCCTCTCTTTTCCTCTCTCCACTATCTCCCTTCTCTTAAATACATACACTTATCTCAACATGATCAATATTTCCAAGTCCAGAGGGAGACATGAAAGGCAACAGCAAACGCAATGACGTGTGACTATTCGGTTTCACTAATCACTTGTCCAGAATGCAAACCATACTGACCATAAATGAGCTTGCAAATAATCCTCATTCTTATGTAATCTGTATTTTAGACATATAATTCTAAATACTATCAGCCCCTGCCAGTGGGAGCTGGCCTGAAGTTGAGCTCCTAAACTCTTAGCTGATATCACCCATTATACTGTTTTGTCCCATTACATTTGAGGTGTGGCAACCTCCAGAGAGAGAGAAGAATGTATTTCTCAAAGAATTTCTCAAAGATTTTGTTACTCATTTATATAACTCATTTATAGTCATTTGTATAACTTTTAGTACTTCTCTGTCTCTTGTCTATTTTCTTCCCCAGAAGCTTTTAATCCCTTAATTTTCAGCTTAGTTTCTCAAAGCCAGGTCATTTGTTAGTTCCAAACTGTTTTGATAAGAAGTGTGCAACTTCTTATCCATTAGGAGTTATTTCTACACTCTAATCACAACTTCTGTTGGTTTAGCATTGCCATTTAGGCCCACTCAGCACTCAAAACAGCTCTGCCGCTTTCTGCTATGTGATGAGGAGGACATTTTTTTCATCAGAAAAATTGTGATTCAGACTTTCTCTTGAGAGACATTTGGAAAGGTGTTATTACTGTGCTTCATAAGTCATTTGACAAACTAAGTAAGAAGTAGGGTAGGTATTTTGCTTCTGTGAAGCAGATTCATTTGGGACAATAAAATATGGAGACTGTTAGAAAATTAGATATCATACAGAAATCCAAACCACTAATTTTGCTAAGTGACTTGGCTTTTTGAATAGCTCTCCAAAGGACTGGGCAAGGAACAGTCTTACTCATAAGCATGCCCTCCTGTAGCTTATAAGATAAAGACTGTATTTGGGTGGTCTTCTAGAGTGAATATTTTATTTTCAAAATTTTATTAATTTTTTAATGACTGTAATTTCAAGTTAACACATCAAAAACTGAGTTCACTACCTAGTGAATTCTTTAATATTGCATGCACATATAAAATAGTTCCTATTTACCTAAAACAAAATAAATCAGTAAGCTCAGACAAAATAGATATATAGATTTTGTTCTCAACTAACTTCGGGTGGGTTTATATCTCTAAGTTTGCTTGTAGTTTACGTTTACTCCTTGGAAGTTAATGAAGTAGGAAACAGTTGTTAGCAGCTTAATGGATGAGTGTAAGAAGGGAAAACTGTGAATTAATAGCAAGAAAAAACAAAGTTTCATAGGCTAACATGAATCACAGTACTGTGTAAACTGCCTGTACTGAACTAGGTTGTTGACAATTAAACCTAATTGCTGAAGAATTCTACTCCAACAATGGTTGAAGATCTGCCAAATTTGTATTGATGTATGATTATTGATTATTCTTGGGGAGTCAAACATAATGTAAGTCATAACTAGAACTCATGTTAGAAAACCATACTGAATTCCTAACTTTTGAAATAATAAATAGTGTGCATTTCATTAGGCAATATTTCAGCCAGGTTAGTACTCCTCAAATGGGTGTTTTTAAAAACCTCAAAACACCAATATGAAATAACAACAAGAACAAAACCAAATACTTGAACCATGAGGAATTTAGATAGACAAGATAGTGTGGTGAATAAGATTTTGGAGTCAAACTCCCCTGAGCTTGTTCCATATTGTCTCTGCTTCTTTCCAGCTTTCTTACCTTGGAAAAGTTACTTAACCTCTTTGCCTTAGTAACTAATCAGTAAAAGGGATGTATTAATGCTGCTTACATTCTAGAGTTGTATGACAATAAAATTAGTTGATAATTAGTTGATATTTCAAAACAATAATAACATGGCTGGCACAGAGTAAGCACTATACAAGTGTTTATTATTATGATGTGATAGTGGGGGTGATAGTGGTTATGATAATAATGACATCTACTCTGAAACTGACTCACAGTTTTAATACCTACTTTCATGCTGCCTTAAGTCTGTTTGTCCCTGAACATACCCTAAACAACCAGTTATTGTGAATTATCTCACAACAACTCACTCACTCACTATCTCCAGAGCAGCACTGAGGAGATGGTGCTAAACCATTCATGAGAAACCACCCCTATGATCCAATCACTTCCCACCAGTCCCCACAATGGGGATTATAATTGAACATGAGATTTGAGTGGGGACCAGATCCAAATCATATCATTCTGCCCTAGGCCTCTCCCAAATCTCATGTCCTTCTCAAGTTGCCAAATACAATTATGTTTCCCCTAAGTTCCCCCAAATTCTTAATTCATTCCAGTATTAATTCAAAAATCCAAAGTCCAAAGTCTCATCTGAGATGAGGCCAGTTCCTTTCACCTATGAGCCTATAAAATAAAAAACAAGTCAGTTACTCCCAAGATACAATTGAGTTACAGGCATTGGGTAAATACTCCAATTTCAAAAGGGAGAAAAGCTGAAAGAAAGGGGCTATAAGCCCCCATGCAAGTCCAAAATCTAGCAGGGTAGTCATTAAATATTAAAGCTCCATAATAATTTCCTTTGACTTCGTGTCTCACATCTTGGGCACACTGCAAAGGTTGGGCCCCCCCAGGCTTTGGGAAGCTTTACCCCTGTGACTTTTCAGGGTTCAGTCCTTGTGGCTGTTCTCATGGGCTGCTGTTGAATGCCTATGGCTTTTCCAGGCACAAAAGACAAGCTGGTGGTGGATCTACCATTCTGGGGTCTAGAGGATGGTAGCCCTCTTTCACAGCTCTACTAGCTAGTACCCCAATGGGGACTCTGTGTGGGAGCTCCAACCTCACATTTCCCCTCCATAGTGCTCTAGTAGAGGTTCTCTGTGAGAGCTCCAACTCTGAAGCAGGCTTATGCCTGGACATCTAGGCTTTTCTGCATATCTTCTGAAATCTAGGCAGAGGCTTCCAAACCTCAACTCTTGCCCTCTGCTCCCCTGCAGGCTTAACACTACAAGGAAAGCTGCCAAGGCTTATGGTTTGCACCCTCTGAAGCAGTGGCCCGAGTTGTATACTTGGGGGTCTTTTAGCCATGGCTGGAGTGGGAGTAGCTGGGATGCAGGAAGCAGTGTCCTGAGGCTGTGCAGAGTAGCATGGACCTCAGGCCAGGCCCTTGAAACCATTCTTTCCTCCTACACCTCTGGGCCTGTGATGGGAGGGGCTGCCACAAAGGTCTCTGAAATGCCTTTGAGGCCTATTCCCCATTGTCTTGGATATTAGCACTTGGCTTCTTTTTACTTATGTAAATTTCTGCAGCCTGCTTGAATTCCACCACTGAAAATGGGCTTTTCTTTTCTACCACATGGCTAGGCTGAGAATGTTTCACTTGTATGCTCTGCTTCCCCTTTAAATATAAGTTCCATTTTTATGTCCTTTCTTTGGTTGTGAATATGAACACAAGCTTGTTAGAAACAGCCAGGTCACATCTTGAATGCTTTGATGCTTAGAAATTTCTTCCACTAGATACCTTAAATCATCTAGATCTCTAGAGCAGAGACATAATGTGGCCAACCTCTTTGCTAATGCATAACAAAAGTGACCTTTGCTCCAGTTCCCAGTAAGTTCCTTCTTTCCATCTAAGAACTCCTCAGCCTAGACTTCACTGTACATAATCACTATCAGCATTTTGGTCACAACAATTTAACAGGTGTCTAGAAAGTTCCAAACTTTCCCTCATCTTCCTGCCTTCTTCTGAGCCCTCCAAACTGTTACAGGCTCTGCCTACTACCCAGTTCCAAAGAGGTTTCCACATTTTCAGGTATCTTTATAGCAATGCCCCACTCTTTGGTACCAGTTTTCTGTATTAGTCCATTCTCACACTGCTATAAAGAAATAGTTGAAACTGGGTAATTTAGAAAGAAGAGGTTAATTGACTCACAGTTCTGCAGGCTGTACATAAAGCATGATGCTGGCATCTGCTTGGCTTCTAGGGAGGCCTCAGGAAACTCACAATTATGGTGGAAGGCAAAAGGGAAACAGGCCTATCTTACACGGCCAGAGCAGGAGCAAGAGAGAGTAGGGGGAGGTGCTGCACACTTTCAACAACCACATCTCACCGTAACTCACTCACTCACTTTCACAAGAATAGCACTGAGGGGATAGTGCTAAACCATTCATGAGAAACTGCCCCTATGATCCAACCACCTCCCACCAGGCTCCACCTCTGACATTCGGGATTACAATTAAACATTAGATTTGGGTGGGGACACAGATATAAACCATATCATAGCAACTTTAGGGAAACATATCTATAAATAAGAACACGATAGTTTCATTCCAATAATATTTGAACAGTTATCAGATAGAAGAAAACTTGCTTTGTTCTTTATGGTTCAGAGAGAAAGAGACTTAAGCCGAAGTATTTCAATTTATAGAGAAATACTTTCTTGGCATCATATAAAGAACTTTCCAAAAATCTTTTCAAAAAAGAATACATAGACTACCTTGAAATGAGGTGATTTGCTTATCAATTAAAGTGTTTAGGGAAGGATGGTAATGAACTTGTAGTTCTGAAATGCTTACAGTCTGTAATTCACTTAGTCTTGTTAACTCAAGAATAGCTATCTTAGTAATAGTTCATGTTTCACAAATTGAGCAATCATGAATTTCAAGTATGAAAATATATTTTAAAATATTTGTATTTATTATACTTCTATAATACTCCTGTTTCCAAATATATATATACTTATATATGTATATTTTATATATATATGTATATATGTATGCATATGTGTATATATATATATTTAGGCTAATCTTATGTCTGATTAATCTTTTAATGAATGTACTCATTCAGAAAAAAACTTAGGTGATACTACGTGCCACTCACTGTGCTCATCTTTAGAAATGCATAGCAGAGCAAGACAAATTCCTTGTCTTCGAGCACTGAAATATGAAAGGTATGTGAGAAAAGTGCCATCCACATCAGCTAATCAGATACAAATAAAGAATGGTAGAGCTAGTACTTTAACAGAGTTATAGGTTTCATCAAGCTAAACAAATACAGGGAATTGAGAAGCTGCGGTAATTAATATTATACTATATGGTATTTTGCAGAGACATAGAAAAATATATAAAATGGAGCAGAATATAAAGGTAAAAAGAGACCCAAGTCCATGTAAGTACTCATAAATACACATGAAACTATGTTCCTACTTTATATTTTACCAAAATTTTTCAGGTGCATTAAAAATTAGAATTTAAAGGTAAGCTAATTTGTAAAAGCTAGACAAATACATAAATTAGGGTTTTCTTTATCATGGGGTAAGAAGGATACAAGCAATATAGTAAATCACAAAAGAAAATATTTATGTATTTGACATACTATAAATTAAAATTGTATTCATTGAAGTGTTATAAAAACATTAAAATGTATTTAAAAAAACTGAGAAAAATATTTGCAGCTTACATGAAAAGAGCTCCTAATTTTATAAAAGAAAAATTGCTACATCTACAGCAAAATGTGTCACTAAAAACAGGGAAAATATAAAAACAGGTATACTAAAAACTACAAAAGCTTAATAGCTTGTAAGCATATGTTCATCCTCACTAGTAAACTCAGAAAAGTAATTTTAAATGATACCATTATTTATAACCTATCAATTTATCAGAAAAAAATAAATTATAATACCTAGCATTAGGGAACAAAGAGAGAGTAAGACCTTTGCTTTTTATTAATGCATCTTCATTTTGGCACAAACTTTCTGGACACCATTTTGACCATATGTACATTAATTTTTTTCTAGGAATTTATCCCAGGGAAGAAATCTAGACTGAGAACAAATATTACATAATATTATCATTATTGCCATGCTGTTTTTAATAACAAGTTCTAGCTTACCATTGCTGCTGCAAAAAAGAATTACCACAAATATGGTTACTTAAAACAAAATGTATTATCTTAGAGTCCTGGAGGTCACAAGTATGAAATGGGTCTTACTGGGCTAACTGAAATGAGCTAAAATCAAGGTGTTGGCAGAATTGTGCTCCATCTGGAGGCTCTCAGGAAGAAGCCGTACTCTTGCTTGTCCTGGCTTCCAGAGGCCACCTGCATCCCTTGGCTCATGGTCCCTGTCCATCTTCAAAGCCAGCAGTGTGGCATCTTCAAATCTCACTCTGAACTTGACCCTGTCTCTCTCGCCTCTCTCTTTTACTTTTAAGGATTCTTGTGATTACAATGGGGCTACCCAGATAATCCAGGGTAATCTCCTCACCTCAATATCATTAATTTAATCACATCTCCAAATCCTTTTTGGCATATGAGATGACATATTTACAGGTTATGGAGATAATGATGTGAGCATCACTGGGGCCCTTCAGTCTTCCTACCACTGAACAAAAGTAGACAATTGGTAAAATCGATCATGATATCTTCAAGTGACAGAATGTGTCATATCCTAAACATTGTTTAAAAAGGTATATAATAGTTTAAAATATTCATAATATATTGATTTAAAAGGAAGTTTTCAAAGTGGTATATAGTAAGCATAGCTTTGTGGAATTAATTAAAATAAATTAAAAACTGGTAGTATAAACAGTGAATAATCTGCATTTTTCTTATATGCTTTTTAAAAAAATTTACAATGCTTATATATTGCTTTTACAATTAGTAAAACAGTTGTGTAACAAAGTCTGAAAGTCTACATTTAGGAAGGAGGTAAAGTAAGTGAATTAATCCCTTAAGAAGTAGGATAATATGGATGATTGTTTTGGAAGGCAAAAGTAGTGAATGTAAAACTTCTTCGCTATTTCTCTATTTGATCCTTCTGTGACTTCATAATCAGTGACTTCTTCGTCAGAGGATTATTTATGCATCTTGTGATATATCACTGACAAAAATTCATCCTCACGTAGATAAGTAAGAGTTTAATTTTCCTAATTTAATATTTGAAGTTATGTATTCTATTAACTTTATATATTGCATGTTGATAAAAGGACACTTTTGTGACAAAGAAGAGAATTAAGTCAGTAAGATACCTCAGGTTTATTATAATTTAAATGTTTGATGATTTAAAATTTTGAAATGGATTTTGGAATGTAACATTAGCACATGTCCATCACCACATTGTTTGAAGAAAAACTTTACCTAAGAATATTTGAAGGTCAAGGAATTAGCATTCAACTTCAATGAAGTCTATAGCTTGTGACAGGCTGATAATGGCCCTCAATATTATAATCCTTGTAACATCATATGTTACCTTTTATGGCAAAACAGACTTTGAAGTTGTGATTACATTCAGAATCCTGAGGTGAGCAGATCCTCCTGGATTATCTGGATGAGCCCCAAATCCCCACACAAGTGTCCTTATGAGAGGGGAACAGAGAGCCACTTGACCAGAGAAGAAGGCAGTGTTACTTCTAAAACAAGATGCTACCTGCTGGCTTTGAAGAAGGAGAAGAGGCCACTAGCCAAGGAAAGCCCAGAATGGAGTACTCTGAAAGTCGGAAAGTGCAAGGGAAGTTTCTCCAAGTCTTTAGAGGGAGTAGGGCTCTGCCAATACCTTGATGTCAGCCCAGTGAAACTGATTTCAAACTTCTGACCTCCAGAACATAAGAATGCGTCTTTTTTAAAAAGCCACCAAGTTTGTGGTAATTTGATAAAACAGTCATAGGAAATTAACACATAACTTAGGCTAATTTATTGCAGCATTTCCTGCCAGGTATTTTTACAGAGTGTTTGAGTTAAAGTTTGAAAAGATAAAATCAAAAGGTTTATATTTGCTATAATTGCCACCAATAATTTACAATTATACTTCTAGCATAGATGCCACACCTTGCAGTCTCATATGTTTCAATTGAACGAAATATGAATTTGAGATAAGTGATGTCAGCAAGTTGGTGGACTGGTATGTCCCAGCCCTTGTCCCCCATAAAACATCAATTCAACAGTAATTTACAGACCAATACCTTTATGAGATTTCCAGAATCCCCTTAAGAGTTTGCAGTACTCCAGGTGAGCACAAAGCCCGTAACAGCCATGTTGAAACAGGGGACAAGAGCAATCTTATTTATCCCACATCAGCCCCTCTTCCAAGCTAGCTCACCTCAGCACTGGGAGAAAAAGAGACCAGAAGGGTAGAACACACACCCAGTGCTCTGGCTTTTTGGAGGGTTGGTTGAGGGACTGGTTTCTGTCTCACCTCATTCTAAGCAGTGACAGAACTAGCCTAGTGTAGATACCTGGCGGCTTCTGAGAACATCTCAGTGAAATTGGGAGAAGCCTCACAAACATTGTTCTGCAAACACTGACAGACCCGAAGGGAGAAATTAACAGTGACACAATCATAGTAGGAGATTTCAATACCTCACTTTCAAGAATGGATAGAATATCCAGACAGGTAACAGAGACTTGAATTACACCATAGAACAATGGCATAACAGCATGTACAGAACATGCCACCCAGTGGAGTAGAGTACATATTCTTTCCAAGTGCAGCTGGAACATTCACCAGGAAATATCACATCAGCTCATAAAACAAGGCTTAAAAAATTTAAGAGGGTTGAACTTATATTTCTACAACTCCATTTACAATAGCTTCAAAAAGAAAAAAAAAAACGCTATAAATAAACTTAACCAAGGAGGGAAAAGGCTTGTACACTGGAAATTGTAAAACATTCTTGAAAGAAATTAAAGAAGACACAAATAGATGGAAAGACTTCCCATATAATGCACTGAAAAACTTAATATTGTTAAAATGTTCTTATGAACCAAGGCAATTTGTGGATTAAAGCTATATTTATCAAAATCACAATGGTATATTTTGCAGAAATAGAGTAAATCCTAAAATTCTTATGGAATCACAAAGGGCTCCAAATAGTCAAAACAATCTTGAGAAAGAAGAATAAAAGTGAAACTTCACACTTCTTCACTGCAAAACATTATAAATTGACAGTAATCAAAACAATCTTGGCCAGGCATTGTGGCTCATGACTGTAATCCCAGTGCGTTCGTAATCCCTATCTCTACAAAAAAAGTAGAATAATTAGCCAGGCATGGTGGTGCCTGCCTGTAGTCCAAGCTGCTCAGGAGGCTGAGACTGGAGGATCTCTTGAGCCCAGAGGTTTGAGGCTGTGGTGAGCTATGATTGCACCGCTACACTTCAGCCTAGGTGACAGAGTGACACCCTGTCTCTAAAAAACAAACCAACAAACAAAAAACAGAAAATAACAAAAACCAACAGTTTGATATGTATGTATATATGTATGTATGTATTTATTGGTACATAATTACACGTATTTGTGGGGCACATGTGGTATTTTGATATAGGCTTACAATGTGTAATGATCTAATCAGGGTAATTAGGATACCCATTGCCTCAAATTTTTATCATTTCTTTGTTCTGGAGATGTTTCAAATATTCTTTTCTAGCTATCTTGAAATAAATTATTTTTAACTATAGTCACTCTACTGTGCTGTTGAACCCTAGAGTCTGGTATTGACATAAAGACAGACACATAAACCACCATAGCACAGTAGACAACCCAGAAATAAACTCAAGCATATACTATCACCGAATTTTCACCAAGAAGACACAATGACAAATAGGTAGTCTCTTCAATAAAGGATGCTGGAAAAACCGGATCTCCACATGCAATATGATGAAATTGAATGCTTATATTACACCACACACAAAAATAAACTCAAAATGAATTAAACTTTAAATGTAAGACCTAAAATTATAAAACTGCTAGAAGAAAACATAGGAGAAAAGTTCATACCTTTGATCTTGGTGATGATTTCTTGGATATGACACAAAAGTCATAGGTCACAAAAGCAAAAATAATAGACAAGTGTGACTAGATGGAGCTGAAAAGCTTCTGTGCAGAAAAGGAAACAGTCAACAGAGTGAAAGGGCAGCCTACAGAATGAGATAAAATATTTACAAACTGTTTATCTGGTAAGGAATTAATATCCAAAAAATATAAGTAACTCCTACAACTCAATAGCAAAAAAACAAAAACAAAAATACCCAATTAAAAAATAGGCAAATGAGGACTTGAATAGGTATTTCTCCAAAGAAGACTTACAATTGGCCAACAGGTATATGAAAAGATGTTCCAAATCACTAACCATCTGGGAAGTGCAAATCAAAACCATAATGAGCTGTCACCTCGCACTTATAAGGATGCCCATTACAAACAACAAAATAAGACAGAAAATAACAAGTGTGGGTGAGTATGGGAATAAATTTGAACCCTAGTGTTCACTGATGCTAAGAATGTAAAATTGGGCAGCCACTATGGAAAACAGTTTGGCAGTTCCTTGGAAAATTAAAATTAGCAATGCTATGTGATCCAGCAATCCCATTTCCGGGTATTAATACAAAAGAGTTCATATCAGGATCTTGAAGAGATACATATACTCTCAAGTTTACTGCAGCATAATTCACAGTATTCAAGATGTGGAAACAGACAAAATGTACATGGATAGATGAATGCATAAAGAAAATACAGTATATACATACAGTGTAATCTTATTTGGCCACAAAAAAGGAGGAAATCCTGTCATTGTGATACTAGATGGAAGAAGTTCAAGGACATTACACTAAGTAAAATAAGCCAGTCACAGAAGGATAGTGCTGCACAATTTTATTTATATGAACTATCTAAAATGGTCAAAATTATAGAAGCAGAAGATAGAATGGTGGTTGTCAGGGCTGTGGCCTGGGGAATATGGGGAGTGGCTGTTCAATGAGTGTGGAGTTTCAGTCTTGTAAGATGAAAACGTTTGAATGATCTGCTATACCACGTTGTGCTTATACTTGACAATGCTGTATTGTACACTTAAAAATATGTTAAGAGAGTAAATCCCATATTCTGTGTTATTTACTGCAATAAAAAATAATGAAACATGACTTTCCTTTACCACAACCCTAAACATTCTAAAGTAGCTTCAATATAGCCTGCAAAATTGCAGATACTCTGTTCTGAAGTCTGGTAGAGAAGCAACTGGAAACATCAACTTCAATATATCTATACACTAGACTAGAAAAGCTACTCATTTTTACTCAGGAATGTTTGGTTTTCAGTGCTTAGGAAGAAGCAGGCATTTCTTACTTTTTAAAATTGCCATTTTCCAGCTCTAAAGAAATATTGCATACTCTAGCAACTTGTGTGTCAAACCACTGTGTTCTAATAAATGACTTGTAGCATACAAGTGCATTAGACAATGTCAGAATTTGTTTCAAGCAATCTTTACATACAGAACAAAAAGATGTAATAATTAATTAGTCAACTATATTAGTTCACTGTGACTGCCATAACATATAGCCACAAACTGTTGGCTTAAAACAGCAGAAATGTATTCTCTCATAGTTGGAGAGGCCAGACACCTGAAGTCAAGGCGTCAGCAAGGGTGGCCTCTTCCCGGAGATTGGTAGGGGAAATTCTGCTCCTTGCTTGTTCCTGACTCTGGTGGTTGCGGGCCTTCCTTGGCTTGAGGCCACAGCACTCTAATCTCTGCCTCCGTCTTCACATTACCTTCTTTTCTTCCGTGTGTCTCTCTGAACCCCCTCCCTGTATCTCATAAGGAAACATGAGCTTGCATTGAGGCCCCACCTGAATAATGCAGAATAAGCTTCTCCTGTCAAGATTTTCAATCACAATTTATGCCATGAAAGTTAATATTCACTCCTTTGCCATGTTAAGTAATATTCATAGGTGTCAGGGATTAGGAAGTATTTGCTTGGTGCAAAGTTATTGCGGTTTTGCCATTGAAAGTAATGGTTAAAACTGCAATTACTTTTGCACCAATCTAAATAAATGTATGAAGTGAGGTTTTTTATAGCTGACCACAGTAATCAAGGTTCATTTTCGCTCTTGCAATAATTGCTGCCTGTGACAACTTTTTGTAAGAATTGAAATGTTAGAAACTTTTGGAAATGCACAAAGTAAGCCTGCCTGTGTAGTTTTACTGGAGGCACATCTGATTTCCTGCTTTTTGCCATGGGAAGAATCCATGTGAGCATAAGCAGCATCTTGGAACATTGGAATATGTGGACGAGACAAAAAGAAAGCATATTTCTAAGCCTATTCCTGAAACAAAAACAAATGTGTGTGCGTGCACACACACACACACACACACACTTTTAATGATCATTTTTACTTCAATCTAGAAGTTATGTTAGTAAAAATGCTGCTTGCCAATAAGCTTTTGGGAAGATAAGAAGAGATGTATGATATGTGTGTGGGGGGGTGTATAAAAATGTCACAACTCTAAACCCAGAATATTACACAATGAGACACTCCCACTAAAGTCAAGAACAAAGAAGGCTAGAATCTCTGCTTTTCATTCTCCTCCTCTTCTCTGAATCTCTGCTTAAACCATTGTTCTAAACAGAAAACATGATAATTGGCAAACAAGAAATAAAACTCCCTCTATTTCCAGGTAACAGGGTGAGATACTTGAAAAATGTTAGGACCAATGATTAAGCCAATTCCAATAATAATAGAATTCAGCAACATAGTAGGATATAAAATTTACATGTAAAAATCAGGAACATTTGTATAGCTACAGAAGAATTTTTAAAGGTAAAGGTAAACTTGATTTATAGTAGCCAAAAAAGTAAATTAAGGACCTTAACAAGAAACGTTCAAAACTTACATGAAGTTGGCTGTGAAACACTCCTCAAAGATGTAAAAGTAGATTTGAACAAATGAAAAGGTATTCTTCATTCTTGTTGAGGATTATCAAAATGTTAATTCTCTCAAAATTAATGAATAGATTCAGTATACCCTAATAAAACGTCAATGGACATTTTAATAGTGCTAAAGAGGAACATCCTAAAGTTCATGTGTAAAAATAAACACACATAGGCCAGGCGCGGTGGCTCACGTCTGTAATCCCAGCACTTTGGGAGGCCGAGGCAGGTGGATCACGAGGTCAGGAGATCAAGACCATCCTGGCTTATGTGGTGAAACCCCGTCTCTACTAAAAAATACAAAAAAATTAGCCGGGCGTGGTGGTGGGCCCCTGTAGTCCCAGCTACTCGGGAGGCTGAGACAGGAGAATGGCGTGAACCTGGAGGCAGAGCTTGCAGTGAGCCGAGATCGCACCACTGTACTCCAGCCTGGGCGACAGAGCGAGACTCCGTCTCAAAAAAAAATAATAATAAAACAAAACAAAACAAAACAAAACACACACACACACACAAATAGTTAAGAAAATACAAAGAAGGGAGAGCTATGAGAGATCTAATCTTACAAGATATTAAGACATACGTAAAGCCCCTCTGATTAAAACAGTGTGTTACTGGCACACAAATGAACAGATTTATGGAACAGAATGGAAAGGACCGAACAGATAAATCTAGATATAGAAATTCATTGTATGACAGAAGTAGACCTAAAAATCATTGCAGCAAAGATGATCTTTTGAATAAATGATGTTGGAACAACTGGACAGCCATTTTGAAAAAAAGATAAAGTTAGATTTTATCTTTTAGATAAAATTGATTTTATCTAATTTTATCTAATTTATCTGATTTTATCTAATTTGATAAAATTAGATTTTATCAATTCTTGTGCCACCCAAAGAAAAAATGGTAAATTGATCCAATGTCTAAATATAATAAAATGAAACTGGACACATGCTAGAAGAAGGCATGGGTGAATTCCTCTGGGTGTAGGTAAAGGCTTCTAACTGTGATAAAATCCCAGATGAGATGTAATAAAAATAAACACTGATAACATTGACAACATATAATTTCTCTTTTTTTAAAGTTGCATAGTAAAATGCCATAAGCAAAGCCAAAAGACAAATGGCAAACTAGAAGAAAATATTTGTAACATCTGTCACTTGTGTCTTAGCCCTCTCTTACATTGCTATAAAGAAATAACTAAGACTGAATAATGTATATATATTAAAAAATGTAAGGCCGGGTGCAGTGGCTCATGCCTGTAATACCAGCACTTTGGGAGGCAGAGGCAGGTGGATCACGAGGTCAGGAGTTTGAGACCAGCCTGGCCAAAATGGTGAAACTCCATCTTTACTAAAAATACAAAAATTAGCTAGTGTGGTGGTGCACGGCTGTAATCCCAGCAATTCGGGAGGCTGAGACAGGAGAATTGCTTGAACCCAGGAGGTGGAGGTTGCAGTGAGCCGAGATCACATCACTGCACTCCAACCTGGAAGACAAGAGCAAAACTCCTTCTCAAAAAAAAAAAAAGTATATGTATATATGTTTAATTGGCTTATGTTTCTGCACACTATAGAAGAAGTATAGTGGCATCTATTACTGGGCAGTCCTCAGGAATCTTCCTATCATAGTGGGAGGCAAAGAGGGAGCAGGCACCTCACATGGCCAGAGCAGGAGCAAGAGAGGGAGAGAGAGAGAGTTAAAGGGGAGGTGCCACACACTTACACACTTTTAAGATAGCACCAAGCCATGAGAGATCCACCCCCAAGACCCAAATGCCTCCCATCAGGCCCTACCTTCATTATTGGGGATTATAATTCAACATGAGATTTAAGCAGGGACAAATATCCTAACTATATCACTCCACTCCTGGACTCTCCCAAATCTCATGTCCTTCTCATGTTGCAAAATATAATCATGCCTTCCCAACAGTCACCCAAAGTCTTAACTCTTTCCAGCATTAACTCAAAAGTCCAAAGTCTCATCTTAGACAAGCCAAACCCCTTCTACTTGTGAGCCTGAAAAATCAAAAACAAGTTAATTCCTTCCAAGATACAATGGAGACACAGACAGTAGGTAAATATTCCCATTCCAAAAGGAAGAAATTGACTGACATAAAGGATATTATAGGCCCCATGCAAGTTCAAAATACAGCAGGGCAGTCATTAAATATTAAAGCTCCAAAATAATCTTTACTCTGTGTCCCACTATCCAGGCCACACTGATGGAAGGGATGGGCCCTCAAGGCCTTCAGCATCTCTACCCTTGTGACTTTGCAGGGTTTAACTCCTGTGGCTGCTCTCACAGGATTTAAGTGCCTGCATATTTTTGAGGCACAGAGTGCAAGCTACCAGTGGATCCACTATTCTGGGGTCTGGAGATCAGTGACCCACTTCTCACAGTTCCACTAGGCAGTGCCCTGGTGGGGACTCTGTGTGGGAGCTCCAAACTCTTTTTCTGCTTGGCATTGCATCTAGCAGAGGTTCTTGTGAGGCCTCCACTCTTGCAGCAGACTTCCTCCTGGGCACCCAGGCTTTCTCATACATCCTCTGAAATCTAGGCAGGGGCTGCCAAGTGTTCTTCACTCTTGCATTCTGTGTATCTACTGGCTTAGCACACCATGGAAGCTGACAGGGCTTATGGCTTGCACCCTCTGAAGCAGCAGCCCAAGCTGTATCTGGTGCCTTTTGAGCCATGGTTGGAGCATGAGCAGTTGGGATGTGAAGAACAGTGTCCCAAGGCTGCATAGGATAGTGGGGCCCTGGACTTGTCCCCTGAAACCATTCTTTCCTTCTAGGCCTCTGGGCCTGTGATGGGAGAGGCTACCACAAAGGTCTCTGAAAGGCCTTCAAGGCCTGTTCTCCATTGTCTTGGATATTAGTACTTTGCTCTTTTTCCGTTATGCATATTTCTCTAGCAAGAGATTGCTCCACGTCCTGCTTGAATTCTGGAATTCCTCTCCAGAAAACTTTTTTTTTCCTCTTGCCACATGGTCAGGCTGTAAATTCCCCAAACTTTTATGCTATGCTTCCTGTTTAAATATTATTTCAAATTTAAAGTTATTTATTTCTTCCCACATCTGAGCATTGGCTGTTAGAAGCACCCATGCAAATACTTAGCAGCTTAGAAATTTCTTCTGCCAGATACCCTAAATCATCACTTTGAAGTTCAAACTTCCACAGAGGCCTAGGACATGGACAAAATGCAGCCAAGTTCTTCAATAAGGCATAACATGTGTGACCTTTGCTCCAGTGCCCTATAAGTTTCTCATTTTCATCTGAGACCTTGTCAGCCTTGACTTCACTGTCGATGTCACTATCAGCATGTTGGTCACAATCATTTAATCAGTGTCTAAGAAGTTCCAAAGTTTCCCTCATATTCCTGTTTTCTTCTGAGCGCTCCAAACTCTCTCAACCTCTGCCTGCTACCCAATCCAAACCTGCTTTCACATTTTCATGTATCTTTATAGCAATGTCCCACTCTTCAGTACCAATTTTCTCTGTTAGACCATTCTTGCATTACTATAAAGAAATACCTGAAACTGGGCAATTAGTAAAGAGATTTAATTGGCTCATGGTTCTGCAGGTTTTACAGGAAGCATGGTGCTGGCATCTGCTTGGTTTCTAAGGAGGCCTCAGAAATCTTGCCATCATAGCAGAAGGTGAAGGGGGAGCAGGCACATCACATGGCCAGAGTGGGAGCAAGAGAGAGTTGGAGGGGAGGTGCTACACCCTCTTAAGTTAGCACCGAGCCAGGAGGGATATGTTCTCATGATCCAAACACCTACCACTGGGCCCCACCTCCAGCATTGGGGATTACAATCAACATGAAGTTTAGGCAAGGACAAATATCTAAACTATCAACAGACAAAAGTATAATATCCCTTATTTATAGAGATCTTTTAAAAATTATGGGGTGCAGAGAGGACCACAAATCTTATGGTAAAATGGCAAACACATGAATAGACAATTCATAAAAAGATATATAGTGCCCATAATCATATTAAAAGATGTTGAATTTCATGAATACCTAAGATAAATAAAGCAATACCAGGATACCACTCATCACCCATCAGATTAGCAACAATTTAAAAGCTTAACAATGCTTTCTTCTGTTGAGGATGGGGAGAAACAGACATTCTAATATACTGCTGGTTGGAATACAAAATGGTACAAGACCTATAGAGAGGAATTGGCAATACGTAACAAAACTACATATGTCTTTAATTTCCAACTCAACAATCCTCCCATCCTAATTCTAAAGATACATCTTCAATTATTTGAAAATACATATGAACAAAGTTATTCATTGCTGCAATATTCTAACTGTAAGATATCAATAACCATATAAGTAAGCATTGGAGATTTTGTGAATAAATGATAGTGTGTAAATACACATGGAGTAGTATGCAAGTTAAAAAGAATGAGAACAATCTCTATGAATTTGTATAGAGAAATTTTCAAAGACTATTGTTCATTGATCAAAGTACAAATGTATGAATATATGGAGTATATATGAAGAATATATGGAGTATGCACATTTCATGTAAAAAGAAGGGAAAATAGACATATACACAAACATGCACACACTTGCCTTTACATAAAAACACAGTAAAGATAATCAAGGATCCAATGAAATGGGTTACCTACAAGGAACAGGACGGACAGGATAGAAAAGTCTTGCCACTTTTCTGGATATGTCTTTTGTATAGATTTGACTTTAAGAAGCATGTTAATGTCCTGTATATCCAAAAATGAAACTAAGTCAATATGGATGAGATGGACAACGTGAAACTGAAACAAACAGTTGCATTAACATGGCCACAATGAAGGGAAGAAAAAATACACTAATCCATGTAACTTAGAAACACAGTATATTGACTATATAGTCTCAGTCTTGGGCAAGGTGTGGGAAGGATTGCAAACCACAAGAACTCTTTCTAGATAGATATGATTTTTGTAATGAGGTGAATAAGTAATTCTGAAATAATTTTAGATTTATTATGGAATTAAACCAAAGAATAAACGTGTTAATATTCTTGGGAGTCAGTATTCTCATTATGGAAGAAAGACGTACAAATATCAAAGGAGGAAAGCAATAAAAATCCCTGTAGCGATAGACTGGGTTTGGAGGTATCACTGTATACTCAATATTTCTAAAATATGTGTATATTTGTTATGCAGTTACATGTGCACATGTATATATATGTATATATGAACACACATACATGTACACATATATAGATATGTTTATATAGTTGCATATATTGATGTGTGTGTGTATACATACATGTGTTTCTTACCTTGATACAATAAAAAGACCTAAAGGTAAAGACACAACATTTGCAATGAGCACATATAGCACCACATCTTGGTCCCGAATACCATTGCTCTTTAATAGGACGAGAGTTTCTCAAAGAGATGCCTGTTTCTGAGGTTGAAAGAGGTGTGTGCAAGGTGAGCCTGGAGCATCTTGCTATGTGAGAAAGCAAGGAGTATTCTTACAAATTGCTAGGCACATGTCACAAAGATACAAGAACCAGCTTGAAGGGATTCCTATTGCTCAAGTCTAGAAAAATTTGAGTACCAAAATAATGAGCTATTGTAATGGCATTTAAACCTTGAGAAAAAAATCAGATACCATTAGTCCGTGTCACTAACAAATAGACAAATCAATAAATGGGGGAAAAGGGTGGGCTCTTCTTGCATCAGAATACCTAGTGCTATTTGCAAATGTGGAGCTGGTAATGGAGTTAGGAAATCATCATTTTGCAAACATGATAAGAAGATTGGGTCTGGCAATACTCATCATTGGATGGGGTGCTAACATTGGGGAGAAGTTTTGACCGGGAGCAAGATGTTTGCTTGGTCTTAAAGTATCTCCTCACAGATCGCTTGTTAGTTGGAAGAGAAGTAGTACACAGTACAGAAATCAGACATCATCTTAACTAGATGATGAAAATTAAAATTAGTACTGAGAGGCAGAAGGGCTTTGTGTGAGTGAGGAGGGAGATACCCTGACAGGAGCACAATATCGCTTGTATAGTATTCTAGCCAAGAATGAGTAACCCGTATCTAACCATGAGGAAACATCAGACAAACTCAAAAGGAACATTCCGTTCAAAAAGGGCAGAATAGAGTTATATTCTTCAACAACATAAATGTCATTAAGACACAGAAAGACAGTGGAAGTGTTCCAGATTAAAGAAGACCAGAGACACAGCAAATGGGTATAATAGTAGCCCCTAGATTGGCTCCGGTATCAGGCAAGAAAGAAATCCCACAAAGTTCATCATTGAGTTGGTTGATGAAATTGAAATACAAATAAAGATTTGACATAAGTATGTCAATGATATATTTCCTGAGGTCAATAACTATACACTGTGAAGATGTTCTCTATGTTCAGATATATCATCCAGAGAAAACAATCAAGTAAATGAGATAAAATGTTACAGAGAAAGGATGTAAAGTTGCTCCACATACTACTTGTTTTATTCAACTTTTTTCTGTAAATTTGAAATTATTTCCAAATAAAAAATTAAAATATGTTTAGAAAACATGCCATTTTCACCAAAAGAATTGTATAGAATAGCCCATGAAACACTCTTTAAAGTGTTCTTGATGTCAAATTTGATCTGTAAGTTGACATCCTCAGATTCTTTCAAATGCGCGACAGGTTTACACAGTTCACATCATCTGCCTCATTGCCTTTGACAAATAGATTTCTGCAATATTTAGACTTTCAGGCAGTGAAAGTCAGCCACTAAACAATTGCTCTGGGACATTACCATTACCAAGTTCTTCTCTCTCTCTCATCTGCTATGCAGCAAATCCTATTTCATGCATTCTTTCAAAAATATTGTCACAGGATCTCTAGATTTCTATCAGCATAATCAAGCTTTCTATCCCCTCATTTTGCTCTTGTATATAATCACAGGATGTCTCCATCACTTAATGCCACCCCTATCCATTCTAGTCGTACTCTAATTAATTAAGAAAATAAATTCAAGCTTGAGAAAGTGAAATAAACAACAATTTGTTAATAAAACAGTATCAAGGCTGCAGAAATAGACCTTTAGCTAATATACATACTTTTCCACACACCATGACCCCTTCTTCACTTCAATAAAATTCCTACTCCCAGAAGATTCTTTCTCTTTTCTCCAATGCCATTGACAGTTCTCCTCCAGATGTTCCATATGTTCTTTGCCTTATCAGTGTGAAGTCATATGTGTGAGTGTGTCTCTGTGTGTGTCTGTATGGCCTGGAGTGGGGAATTCAAAATATTAAGTGACTGCTTCCACATGATGAACTCAAGACGTATACGCTGTTTTTTCCATATATATAAAATACATGTGCTAAAGGAAGAAATATTGTTGAGGTCCAATAATTTAATAGAGATAGCTATATCCTAACCATCATGTGACTGACTTAGGCTAAAACTTTTTTGCTCGATTGTTTCCTGTGTTGAAAGAATTATTCAATGGACTAGCAATCTGTGACCACGTTTTTCATGACTGGTACATTTGGATATGGTGATATGCTTATCTCAGGATTTCTTTAATATAGGCTCTTGCTTTTTGTTTATAAGTTCTTTTCTAAAATATTTATTTAGCAGATATTATCTAGTTCTTTGAGAGTGTAATGCTTTTGTTTAATTACATCAGAAAATTTTTAGAACCAGAATGATCGGAAAAAGATTTTCTGAGCAATAATTAGTTTTTAGAGATTAAAATGGATTTCCCTCAATAATTCATTTCATATAAAAACTAGGAAAATTATTGAAAGCACTTTTTTTGGCCAAATTCTTCCCATTTAGCATGTTTGCAATTTTTTCAGTTCTATGCCTTAAATTTCTTTTTTTCTTCCCCCCCATTCATTTGTACTTTTGTCTACCAAACAAATCCTCTACAAGAAAATCATTCCCTACTTTAGAGGTTTTTGTCTTATGCCAACAAATTCTCTTAGCCTTTTTTGTTTATGTGTTAGCACATAGAAAAGTAGAGAAAACCTATTTGCCAAGAGGGAGGAAGATGTTAAACCCCTCACTTCCCCAAAATGGTACCGAAACATAACATTTCAGGCCAAATTTATAGCCTAAACAGTAGTTACACAATGAAAATGTATTACTTATCATAGCAAAAATGTGTTCATTCTTCACACATTATATAATATTCATTCCTTATGTACATATTTAATAACATATTCCTATGTTATTAAAAACAACAACAAATGCAGTTTTTTGAGCTATGAAATTTAAGCAAATTAGAAACGATTAAAATTACATTGATGAATCTTGAAGTTGATCTAAAAAATTACTGTTGAAAATAAATAGGGTACTGGTATGCTGAAATTTACTTAAATAATTTGACAAGTTAAGTTTGAGCCACAAAGGATATATATGTGACCAGTTTTAATTGGGAAAAAAATCATGGGATAGATACTTAAATAGATCTGGAGGATTCAAATCAAATTTATTTTCTAAGAAAATGATAGCTAAGAATTAAGAGGCTTTTGATAGACACTTATCTTATTCATTAGCTCTTTTGTGATACTCATTAACATACATTAATTTAATGATTAAATTACTTCCTTTTTTTTCCTTTCACATTTTTTACATTTAGATAGGTTCTCACTTTGTTTCTCAGGCTGGAGTGCAGTGGTGTGATCGTAGCGCATTGCAGCATTGACCTCCTCAACACAAACAATACTGCAGCTTCAGCCTCCCACGTAGCTAGGACTACAGCCTTCTGCCAGCAAGACTGTCTAGTTTTTAAATTTTTGTAGAGATGGGGTGTCTCTATGTTGACCAGGCTGGTTTCGAACTATGGTTCAAGTGATCCTCTCACCTCAGCCTCTCGAAGCGGTGGGATTGCAGGCGTGAGCCACTGCCCCCACCCAATTCAGTTTTTTATCCAGCATTGTCAGATATCGTTCTAGTGGAAGATACAGTAGTTGATATAAATGATCAAAACTTCTGTCTTTATGAAACTTATATTCTAGTAGAGATGTCAAAAATTAAAGGGAGGCTGGGTGTAGTGGCTCACACATGTAATCCTAGCACTGTAGGAGGCCAAGGCTGGCAGATCCTGTATTAGTCCGTTCTCAGGCTGCTATAAAAGACATACCTGAGACCGGGTAATTTATAAAAGAAAGAGGTTTAATTGACTCACAGTTCAGCCAACTGGAGAGGCCTCAGGAAACTTACAACCATGGTGGAAGGGGAAGCAAACACGTTTTTCACATAGCGGCAAGAGAGAGAAGTGCAGTGAGAAGCAGCAGGAAAGCATCTTAGAAAACCATCAGATCTCACGAGAACTCACTCACTATCACAAGAACAACATGGAGGTAACCGCCCCCATGATTCACCTACCTCCCGGTGGGTCTCTCCCATGACACATGGGGATTATGGGAACTACAATTCAAGATGAGATTTGGGTGGGGACACAGCCAAACCATATCAGATCCCTTTGAGCCCAGGAGTTCAGATCCCTTCAGACCAATCTGGGCAGCATGGCAAAACCCCGTCTCTACAAAAAAAACGAAGAAATTTGCAAGGCATGGTGGTGCACACCTCTAGTCTCTACTACTTGGGAGGCTGAGGCGAGAGGATCACTTGAGTCCAGGAGGTTGAGGCTGCGGTGAGCCATGCTCGTGTCACTGCACTCCAGTCAGGGTGACAGAGGGAGACCATGTCTTGAAAAATAAATAAATAAATAAATAAGTGGAAATTATACGAAGAAAAATCATTAAAAATCTTAATTATGAAGGAAATTAGAAGTTCAAAGGAAGATTAGTGGGTTTATTGAAAGTGTAAATTTGTTTCATACTCACTGAATTCACCCAGCAGTCTCAAGGAAATATTTAACATCAACAAGTACTTATATATTGGTGCTGTATTAACTTTTAATTAGAAAGTCATGGTCTCTATCCAAAGAAATGTATATAATTAATACATTCCCAGTGTTAAATATAACCTGTTTTTTAGGTTAAGCAACTATTGCATAGCATTCAGTTGGTGTTATTGCCACATCTGCATTTAACTGGCTGTTTCTACAACTCTTACTACGTTGAATATAAAAGCTCACTGATCATGCAGATATATATATAATATATATACATATATACATATAAAATAAATAAATCCTAATGGAGTATTTAACTCTAGCTACACCTAGGACTATGAATATTCCTACAGATTTAAAAGATATTATTTGGAGCATATGTATGGAATGAATGTTTTCAAAACATGGGAATGCAAATGATCTTCATTCATAAATGAACTAATTGTTCTTAATGTTATTGAATATCATTTCCTAGTTACAGAGCTGGGGAAAAGAATTAAATCTATCTATCTATCCATATATCCATCTGTTATTATGTATCAGTTCTGGCTGTGCACATTTTTATATTTTCTAGATAAATGTTTTATTTTAGCCACATGGTGTTTTTTTCTTTTAAAAAAAAAAAGCAAAACTGGGTAATCAATTGTGAGAAAATGAAAAGGACCTTCCCATGCCACTATAAAAGTATGCCATATCTTGGCTCAGATCCAATTCTGCTGAATATTCATTAGTGAGTATACCTAAATGGCTTCATTGTCAATGTTTATCTGTAAAACCATATCTTTTCATTATTCGCATTATCATTAACAAATACACATGATGTGTATGATGAGTACAAAATAGAATACAACTATAATTGACTATCTGTAACGTAAAAATATGGAATTTGTATCATTTTATGTAAAACTACTGCATCATTAAGTATAAAGCTTCCTTCCCTTTTAATGTAAGTTTTAAAAACCAGTGTTACATACACAAATCTTTGCATTTGGTATTTTGTCCTAATTAGAGAAATCATATGATAATTACCCTACTTAACAAATGAATAGGCCAGGAGTAGTGGCTCAGCCTGAAATCCTAGCACTTTGGGAAGCCAAGGTGGTGGATTGCCTGAGCTCAGGAGTTTGAACCAGCCTGGCCAACATGGTGAAACCCTGCCTCTTCTAAAAAGACAAAATTATCTGGGCATGGTGACACATGCCTGTAATCCGAGCTACTTGGGAGGCTGAGGCAGGAGAATCACTTGAACACGGCAGGCAGAAGTTGCAGCGAGCCGAGATCGCACCACTGTACTCCAGACTGGGCAACAGAGCAGTCTCTGTCTCAAAATAAATAAATAAATAACTAAATAAAAATAAGGAGCAAATTCCTTTAGAAGTATAATTTATTGCTTATTCCAGCTTACTTTGGTGTGAACCAGGGAAGAGGAGAAGTTAGAAAAGAAGAAGAAACTGACAAACATGAAAACCTTAAATCTCTTGTCAACAAATATTGGAAGTGGCAGCAAAAAAATTGTATATAAACATTAGATATATGAAGCAAACATGTTTTTAAATCCAACCTTCATTATGAATATAAATATTCTATAACTTTCATTCCAAAAGAATCATGAGCATGTGAGAATCAATTTCTGCACAGCAGCAATGAAAAGTTATTGAAATAAATCACTTTGTCTTTTCTCTCAGGATTGACATCTTTAAGTATGTGATCTACGGCATCGCAGCTGCGTTCTTTGTGTATGGCATTTTGCTGATGGTGGAAGGTTTCTTCACAACTGGGGCCATCAAAGATCTCTATGGGGATTTCAAAATCACCACTTGTGGCAGATGTGTGAGCGCTTGGGTATGTTAGTTCTCTACATTCAGTATTTAATGTGGATTGATTTCAATAGCACACAGGTGTTTGCATTCATCTCCCAAGAATTAAAGTATTTTTTTTTCACACAGTAACGTTTCCTTCTGTGATGCTATCTTAAATCTTGATAACATTATTTTTGAAATTAAGATTATTCCTTGTGAAAATTCAGTTTCAAATACTCAGATTCTATGTAGCACAACTAGTTTTGTTTCTAGAGGTAGCAACACTGTTGATTGATGTATGGTTTTTTTTTTCCAAAGGGCTCTGTGATTCTCTTGAGAATCACAGAAAAATTCATCTCCAATTTATAAGCAATACATGTGCCTGTCTCCTGTTAAACATATGTCTCTGTATTTTACTGTAAATTTGAGGACAGCTATATCATATGATTTCTGTTTTCTATTAATTTAAGAATTCTATTAATTTCAGCATTAAATTTTAATTTATATAATATTTAATGGCAAATCAAACTTATAGTCTTACTCTACAGTTTTGTAATACAGACAATGCGTATCTATCTATTAATGCATGAGTGGTGAAAATGAAAAATAATAAGGTTGAAAGTACTTTTGCACTTTTATACAGAATAATTTTTCTAGAATGAAATGTTGAAGCTTCCATTCTTGACAGACATATTTTCCTTTTTTCTAATGTTATGTAACAACATGTGTCTAATTATAGCATATAATTCATGTTAAGTAAGCTGTCTCTAATAAGGACTGATGTAAATTACTTCAATCTCACAGAAATGTTCAAAAATGCCTGTTTACCAGCAAACCTTTTTTATTTTAACCTGTTTCTAACACATTTTATTATGCTTCTTGGTGTCAACAGCAACAATAATCTGATAAGATAGTTTGCCTGAGTTGTGGGTATTTGTAGTGGTCTCTGGAATTATTTCTTATAAGAATCATCTGTTTTTAGTTTGGGACAAAACTTATTGTAACACCCAAAGAGATAAAATATATGAGTAGGAGTAAAACTGGAATCCCAATAATGTGACTAAGGGGCTTTAAATTGTGCCTTATTATTGAAATTATTTAAATCAGTAATAGCGAATTATAGATCCAGGGAAACTTAGTTACAGAGAGATATTGGATTGATGAAAAAATAAAATATGACTAATTTGTGGTCCAATTTTCAGTGATGCCCAAGCAATTTCTCCAGTAAAAAGGCAAATTCCGATTTTAAGATTCATTTCCCTTCTGTCAATAGAGTATAGTGAATTGAGTTATATAGTAATTGGCTTTTTATTACAATTGGAACAGTAACATTGTAATGCCACTGGTGTGCCTTGGCAAGTTACTTACCTTTTATGGATCACAGTTTCCTCATTTACAAAATGAGGATCATTTCTAAAGCTTATTCCAGCTCAACGAGTCTGTGATTCTAAAACCCTAACGAAAAAATAAAGAGATAAGGGGGTCTGAAAGCACGTCTTTACCGTAAGGTAATAACCTTCTGCCAGGACGAGTGCAGTCAATTGTGTTATTTCATTCAGAATTTGAAAATAACTTCATAATAAAAAGACAAAGCAATCAAGGAAGAATTGCATATCTATATATAGAGAGAGATGCACTTGGTTATCTGCCTGCCATTCAAGCATCTTAAAGGTATTTCAAATAGGAATTTTCGAAGCAAAACATGAGCCACGTTTTCTTTCTTTCTTTTTTTTTTTTTCTATAATGGTAACAATTGTGTCACCAGTCCCACCCAACAGACCAGAAGGGTGGCAGCAGCTGCTGCGTGGGCTCCTCCAGAGGCAATGCAGCAGGGTGTCAGCCCAGCAAGATGCCCCGCCCACTCCTGTAACACCTCCCTGACACCCCGGAATGAGCAGAGCAGAGACAGGAGTAGGAGCTGCATTCTTCTGCGTTCTGCAGAGACAGCAGAGCAGCGGGTGAGGCTCTGAGCCATACCCTGGCTGTCCCAACACTGCCTTCACGAAGGGGGCTAGCTCCACGACTGAGAAGTAAACAGTGGCGGCTGCAGCCAGCGCTGCAGAACCCTGCCTCCCTTCCCCTCTGCCAACCATTCCTCCACACCCCCACCTCAGCTTGCATATCACGCAGGACTTGTAGCTCCATGAAATCGAGGGGAAAAGAAAGATTTATCGTCCACCCTCTCCTGCTACTTATTTCCACTCTACTGATGCTGCTTTTTTTTTTTTTTTTTTTTTTTTTTTTTCGTTTGTAGGCAGATTGTATCTTACGGTCTACTTTATTATGTTCAAAGTGAACCTGTTAACCTCTTTTGCCTGTGTTCCGTAGCTGTGAATGAGTCTGTGCTTTTGAAGGTACTATATCGGTGCAGCTCTAGTTGGAACACTGAATAATACTAAAGGGTGGATTTTTTTTTTTTGCAACAAGTATATAAAAATCTTCCTTAGTTAATACTAACAGAAATTTGTTATTCTATCCCTGTTTCTCTCTGCTGCATAAAAAGTAAATGGTTACTAATTGAAATTATATCAGCACAAATGCAATTAATTTTGAAGCAGCAGGCCGGGCGTGGTGGCTCACACCTGTAATCCTAGCACTTTGGGAGGCCGAGGCAGGCGGATCACGAGGTTAGGAGTTCGTAGACCAGCATGGTCAACATAGTGAAACCCTGTCTCTACTAAAAATAAAAAAATTAGCCGGGCATGGTGGCAGGCGCCTGTAATTCCAGCTACTTGGGAGGCTGAGGCAGGAGAATCGCTTGAACCCAGGAGGCAGAGGTTGCAGTGAGCCCAGATCGTGCCACTGCACTCCAGCCTGGGCGACAGAGCAAGACTTTGTCTCAAAAAAAAAAAAAAAAAAAATGAAGCAACATTGTATCACTGAATGGAGAGTGATAATCAATATTCCCTTTACTTAATGAATGCCTTTGAAAGCATAACTTGGTCTGCATTCTGTGTTTCCTTTCATGCGGTATCAGCACCAATTCAAGTTCATTACAATATTTTAATGCTATCTGTCATTCAAAATCCAGAATTTGAGGCACGTAAAACCACAATATTAAATTTTGAGGGTGAAAATCATTATTAACGACTTTATTAAAACATTATATGAAAAGTTATTAAAGTATTTTAAGTAACAAAATTTATTTACCTTAAATATTAAATGGCACCAAATTGAGTACAAATACATGTTATTGACTACATTGAACATGACCTTTTTAAGTTTAATGTAGAAGTATTTATTTTCTTTAACCATATTTTCTTATTAAAGTTTAAGCCAAAACATATTTATTCCGCTGCAAATTAGGAGACCTTCAGTGTGTCACATTTTCAAATCTTGAGATATTTTTTGCCCCCATCCCCAATTTTCTTATTTCTACAAATTTCCGATTGCTACTGTGACATCATTATGGATCTCAGAATTTATCTATACTTCTTCTGAAATTTAGATTTTTAAATGCAACACTTTCGAAGTAATAGATTTCCCAAATGTACTAAACTCTATGGAATTTTCAATAAATGTATTTTCCATAAATCTACCTGCTCTAAGAGTTAAATAAAACAATAATAACTTTTGGAAGTGTGTTTACTAGTTTGCTAGGGCTACCACAACAAAGTGCTATAAAGTGGATGGCCTAAACAACAGAAATTCATTGTCTCACAGTTCAGGAAGCTAGAAGTTTGAGACCAAAGTGTCACCGGGTTGATTTTTTTTTTTTCCTGAGGGCTGTAAAGAACACCCGGTTCCATGTTTCTCCCCTACCTTCTGGTTGGCTGCTGGTAATTTTTGGCATCCAGTGGTTTATAGAAGTTTCACCCATCACTGCCTTCACATTCATATGATGTTCTTCCTGCCTGAAAAGCTGTGTCCAAATTTCCCCTTTTTTTATAAGGACAGCAGTCATATGGGAATAGAGCCCACCCTAGTGACCTAATTTTTTACTTTTTCAACTCAGTAAAGAGCAATAAGGTCAATCTCTGAGACACTGGTGGTAGAATTTCATCATATGAATTTTGTGAGGACACAATTCAACTCATAACAGTCTTATGATAACAGTAATGTTCTTCCATATATAAGTTTTAAAGAAACAAAATTAACTAGTTGCTATTGTTACCCTGTTTCAGAGATAAAGAAACATAAAAGGTTGAATATCCTAATCTGAAAATCCCAAATCTGAAATGCTCCAAAATGTGAAACTTTTTGAGCGTCAACGTGATGCTCAAAGGAAATGTTCATTGGAGCATTGCAGATTTGGGGTATTTGGATTTGGGATGTTCAACTGGTAAGTTAATGCAAATATTACAAAACCTAAAAAAAATTTGAAATTCAAAACACTTCTGGCCCTAAGCATTTCAGACAAAGGATTTTCAACCCTTATTCTATTTGTTTAGTTTAAAACATCTGTCTTATTAGCCTCAGGTGTTTGTAGATTTGGCCACAGCATATTAGATTAGTATTTTTAAGACATACTCTGTATAATTATCTTAAAATCTATTCTGTATAACTCACAGCTCCGTTCCATAGCTTAAAATCAAATTTTAGTACTAAGTTTAGTAATAATAATGGGAAATATTTGTTAGGCACTTATATATGCCCATACTATACCTACTATGCTTAATTGTAGGACACTGAATCCTCTGATAAACTATGTCATGTAGATACTAGAATTATCCTCATTTCAGAGATGAAGAAGCTGCCTCCTGGAGAGGATGACTGACTTGCCTGGGGTACATGGTGGGTGATGAAGCCAGATTTGAATTCAAGCATCTGGCACAGAGTCCATGCCGCTAACCTCATGATTAGGGCTTCCCTACCATTTTATGGTTTATTTGAGTTCATTTAATAGGATGGTTATCTGTTTACGAGGGTCTTTTATAACTCAGCAGTCATTTTCTGTTTTGCATCTTAGTAAGATCATTCACTGGTCATTGGAAAGCTCCTTCATTACAGAGATGTCCTCATTTTAATCTTTGCTTTTATCAACAATAACGAATTGTCTCTTTTCACAAATACAAGAATGCTCTGCAGGATGTGAGAGAACTTGGTAGTCTAAGATGCTTTTCTGTGACTAACAGACTTTTTGATGACTAGCTCTAAGGAGGCCTAAGATGAATTTCTAAGTATTGTAAAGAAACTCTGCATTCTAGACTATCCCTAAACTTTAATGCCTTTTAAAATAAACACACACACACACACACACACATAAACGTTTGAATCCTAAACTGTGGGAATAGAATTCCTAGAACAAAGCCTTGCCTCTTTCTAGAAACTTAAGACAACATCATTTTTTTTTCCAGATTTTAACTGGTTTCTCAGCAAGGAAGATTTGGGGGGTGGGGTGTAGGAGGTGTAGACTCCTTCAAACATAGGGGTGATATTTTAAAAAAATGTTTGAAAAACCGTGGCATTGAGGAAGAAGGGCCAGGATTTTATTTGCTGCAAGTATCTGAAGTAGATCTCGTATATCGCTTCAGAACTGAACTCTAAATACTAGGACAGTGGACCAATCTCAGTGTAACTGTTGAGATATTAACTATGCTAGTACATAAATTGTAGGAAGAAATAAATAAGAAAAAATAAAGTTCTTATTTTTTCTGATGTCTAATGTAAAAGTTGAAAGAAATTTTCTGCTAGTCTCATAAGGTGGCATTGATAAAATAGAAAACTGTGTAAAGCATCTAGTTTAGATTTTAAAATACAAGAGACTTACAACAGCCAGAAATGGAAAATTGATAAAAAGTTTGCAACATGTGGATGCTTCTCAGATCACCATAAGTTGTGACTGAAATTCAATTAAAATAAAAATAACTTCTCAAAATGTTCAACATTTTATTTTGTTTATATCTGTTTGTTTTTGATTTTTTAGATTATTCAAGTCATGATATATACTCTTTGGCCAAAACTTAAAAAAAATTTGTATATTCTCCTATCAGATTGTTCTAGGATATAATGTTATATAATTTGTGACTGCCTACATTTTTATAATCCTAAAGTAATTTTTAAATAAACATTTTATTTTGGAATAATTTTAGATTTACAGAAAGGTAAAGACGGTACAGTTCCATATATACCAAACCTAGTCTGCCCTGTGACTGACACTCTACTTTAATATGGTATATTTGCTACAATTAATGAACCAATAGTGATACACTATTGTTAACTAAAAGTCCATGCTTCTTTCTGATTTCCTTAGTTTTTGTAAAATGTTCTTTTCCTGTTTCAGTATCCCATTCGGGATACCATATTACATTTAATTGTCCCTCCTTAGACTACTAAGAACTACAACATTTTCTAAGACTTTCATTGTTTTCAAAGGCCTTGGCAGTTTTAAGGAGTATTGGCTGAGTAATACATTTTGTAAATGCACTTTGGCTGTAATTTGATGTTTTTCTCATGATTAGATTGGGGTTTTGAGTTATGAGGAGGAAGGTTACAGAGATAAAGTGTCTTTCTCATCACATCATATCAAGGCTGTCTAAAATACTTTTACTGAAAAAGAAAAACTAAACACATGAAATGACACATTATCTGACCCATGCTTTCCTAAACAAAGTAGTTCTACTAAAAATAATTACATAAAGAATTTATTTTATGATAAACATCCTGTATATAGAAGGTTAATACTCTATGGCTCTCTATTTTGTTTTTACAGAATACTTAAAACCTTGAAGTTTCTAACTTTGTTAATATAAAATTAAATTGTAGAATGTGATGCCCTCTAAAAAGTTTAGGGAAATATCTCCATAACGTATGAATTTCTAATTTCTACTTACAAATATACTATAGTTTAAATGAAGGCATCTGCAGGTTTAGGTTTTTCAATCAAATTTTGCAATAAAGCCAGGAATTAATCTCAAGGATAGCAAATGCTCAGCCTCAACTTTTTAGACTTGATGGCTCCCAAGGTAACAATCTGGATACATTCATTCACATTAACTGTTGTCATCAATGTGATTAGCTCAATATTACACATTCAGGTGACACTCGACAAGGAAAATATGGTTGTAAAATTGGCTAATTCCAGCTCAACTACCCTTCCAGTATGCCAGATAGTTTCAAACATGTAATAGTTATTATTAAAATAGACCACTAGAGTAAGGATGAAATAATAACCACAGACTATTAATGGTCTTTTAAAGAACTGATAGGTTGATGAGTGCCTCTATTTTTCAACCAGAAATCGTATGCCTACTGTACTGGGAAAAATCTTTATGCAAAGATATTGAAAAATTATTTTCAGAAAAAACTCAAGAGCTACATTTTTTTTGACTCTGCCTTTCAATCAATAACATTTTACAAAAGATATCGCTTCACAACATATTGAGACTCCATTTCTTTATCTCTGTTTCTCATTTTGAGATTAACCACTACTATAGTTTATATTTTAAGGTTGCTTTATGGGGAAACTAAGTATTTTGAGGGTATTAAAGTTAAATGTTCACTGAAGAATTAGTAAGACTAGCATTATTGTATTGGGAACACGGGTCAAAAGTACATTTCTCAGTCCGGGCACAGTGGCTCACGCATGTAATCCCAGCATTCTGGGAGACCGAGGCAGGTGGATCACCTAAGGGCTGGAGATCGAGACCAGCCTGGCCAACATGGTGAAACCCCTTCTCTACTAAAAAATACGAAAATTAGCCAGGCGTGGTGGTGGGCACCTGTAATCCCAGCTACTCGGGAAGCTAAGGCAGGAGAATTGCTTGAACCTGGGAGGTGGAGGTTGCAGTGAGCCGAGATCATGCCATTGCACTCCAGCCTGGGTGACTGAGTGAGACTCTGTCTCAAAAAAAAAAAAAAAGTACATTTTTCAGACATTTACAGTATCACTGATATTAAAATTATATTATATTGTTAGTACTCACCAAATGGAAATTTCCTTTGCAGTAATATTTGCTGGAAAAAATGTATATTCTACTAAGATGATGCCTTTTTTTTTTTAAATGGAGTTTTGCTCTTGTTGCCCAGGCTGGAGTGCAGTGGCATGATCTCTGCTCACTGTCACCTCCACCTCCTGGGTTCAAACGATTCTCCGGCTTCAGCCTCCTGAGTAGCTGGGATCATGGGCGCACCACCACACCAGGCTAACCTTTGTGTTTTTGGTAGACATAGGTTTTCATCATGTTGGTCAGGCTGGTCTCAAACACCTCCTGCCCTCAGGTGATCCGCCCGCCTCAGTCTCCCAAAGTGCTGGGATTACAGGCTTGAGCCACCACCACGGCCGTCCAATGCTTTTATTTTTTATATAATTTGACTTTATTTGAATTTTGTTTTCAATTGAAAAAATAAAATCTCTGGCTCGATTTTATTTTTTTTTAAGGATCTGTTACACGGATTGATGTGTCATCCTGAGTTATGAGGATTCATCAAGAAACAAAACAGAATCCCTATCCCTCGGGAGTCCCTAGTATAGTCAGAATACATGGGAGACTTGTACATGAAGACATGCATGCTATACATATTGATGAACATGCAAATAGCTTACAGTGTTTGCACGGAGAGAAGGGATTAAAGTCTGTGATAAAGAAGTGTTGACTAGTAGACACCTAAGGCCTAGTACAGTACACATTGTGGGCACACAGGACATTTTAATTACAGTGATGCACCCCCTAATGTGTTCATCAGTGCTGAACCACGTGTCAGAGGGTGGTCCTGTAGGCTTTCAATACCATATTTTTACTGTACTTTTTCTATGGTTAGATATGTTTAGAGACACAAATACTTACCATCCTGTTACAGTTGCCTCCAGCATTTGGTATAGTAACATGCTGTGTAGATTTACGGCCTGAGAACAATAGGCTATACCATGTAGCATAGGTTTGTAGTAGGCTACACATCTAGGTTTGTGTAAGTATATATTAGGATGTTTGTACAAAGACTAAATTGCCTAATGATGAATTTCTCAAAATGAATTCCTTTCTTTAAAGGATGTATAACTCTATTAACAAATTAGTGAGTAAAAGGGGCTCTTGATCTTGGGTTGGGAGGATAGAACGAACTTCTACAAGTAACCCAGAAGATGTGAAGTAGAATGAAATACATAGAGGACTGCAGTCATCCGTGTGCTAGATCAGGATGGAGAGGTTAAGTAGATGCAAAACTCTGATGCGTCATGTAAATCTTGAAGTATATGAACATGATTTGTTGAGTGGATGAGACCAATGCAAGATAATAAAGAAGAAAGTATTGCAGTTAGTTTTTAAAAGTTAACTTTATTTTTTAGAGCAATTTTAAATTGGCAGCAATATTGAACAGAAGGTACATAGGCTCACATATACTCCTTTTTCTTACATATGTGCAGCCTCCCCTCCTATTAAAATCCCTCACCAGAGTGGTACATTTGTTACAATCAACAAACCTACATTGACACATCATCACCCAAAGTCCACAGTTTAAATCAGGGTTTATTCTTGGTGTTGTACATTCTATGGGTTTGGACAAACGTATAATGTTGTGTATCAACCATTACAGTATCACACAGAGTGTTTCACTGCCCTGAAAATCCTCTGTGCTCCACCCATTCATCCCTCCCTCACCCCCAACCCCTATAGACAGCTGATTCTTTTACTGTCTCCACAGTTTGTCTTTCCCAGAAAGTCATAGTTGGAATCATGTAGTATATAGCTTTTTCAGATTGGCTTCTTTCACTTAGCAATATGCATTTAAGGTTCCTCCGCATCATTTCATGGCTTTATGGCACAATTTGTTCTTTTTAAAAATATTTATATTTTGGCTGGGCACGGTGGCTCATGCCTGTACTCCCAGCACCTTGGGAAGCTGAGGTGGGCGGATCACAAGCTCAGGAGATAGAGACCATCTTGGCTAACACAGTGAAATCCCGTTTCTACTAAGAATACAAAAATTAGCCGGGCGTAGTGGCGGGCGCCTGTAGTCCCAGCTACTTGGGAGGCTGAGGCAGGAGAATGGCGTGAACCCAGGACGTGGAGCTTGCAGTGAGCCGAGACTGCGCCACTGCACTCCAGCCTGGGCGACAAAGCGAGACTCCATCTCAAAAAAAAAAAAAAAAATTTACATTTTACCAATTGATTGATTGATTGATTTAAATTGACAAGTAAAAGTTGTATATATTTATTTTGTACCACATATTGGTTTCAAATATGTATACATTGTGGAAAGGCTAAATCAAGCTAATTGATAAACGCATTACCTCACATGGTTTTTTGTATTGAGAACACTTAAAACCTACTCTCTTAACCATTTTCAAGAATACAACACACTGTTATTAACTATAGCGACCATGTTGTACAATAGACCTCTTAACTTATTCCTTCTAACTGAAACCTTGTGTGCTTTGACCAGTATCTCTCCCCAAACCCCATCACCTCCAGCTCACTTCTTTTTAGCATGGACTAACATTCCATTGTCCAGATGTACCAAGGTTTATTTATCCATTCACCTACTGAGAAACATCTTGGTTACTTCCAAGTTTCGGCAGTTAGCAAAATGCTTTAAACGTCTGTGTGCAGGTTTTTCTGTGGACATCAGTTTTCAACTCATTCAAGTAAATATCAGAGAGTTGATGGCAGGATTATATGGCAACAGTATGGTTAGTTTTGTAATGCATTGCCAAAGCTGCTGTACCATTTTGCATTCCCATAAAAAATATGTGAGAGATCCTACATTGTAATTAGTTTTGCGCTTTAGAAAAATTCTTCTGATTAAAAGTAAAGGCTGGATTGAAGAGGAAAAATGTTTGAGGTAGGGAAAATTTATATTTTTTACTCTGTCACTTATGTTCTTATTACTTAATGATTTTATATATAGTTATTTCACTACCATGTTTGCTTCCAATTGTATAAGCAGTGATTTTTTTTTAAACTTTCTATATTTTAATTTGGCCATGTCATTTCTAAGTTAATATGATTTGTTTTCTAGCTGCTATTTTGGGTGCCCTATTTAGAAATCATCCTGATAGAATCTTCTTGGGTTTTTCATATCTATCTATCCATATATCTATATCTATAGATATATATCTGTATATTGCTCTTCCTACCTGTTAGATAGGTAAATGTCTAAATATTTACCTAATATTTACCTAATAACCTAAATATTTAAATACCTGCTAAATGTGTTTTTTTCTTTGGTTTTGTTTTTGGGTTTTTTTGAGACAGTCTCCTTCTGTTGCCCAGGCTGGAGTGCAGTGGTGCGATCTCGGCTCACTGCAATCTCCGCCTCCCAGGTTCAAGTGATTCTCCTGCCTCAGCCTCCCTAGTAGCTGGGATTACAGACACAAACCACCATGCCTGGCTAATTTTTGTATTTTAAGTAGAGATGGGGTTTCACCATGTTGGCCAGGCTGGTCTTGAACTCCTGACCTCAGGTGATCCACCCACCTCAGCCTCTGAAAGTGCCGGGATTACAGGTGTGAGCCACCGAGCCTGGCCTAGCTAAATATGGTTTTAAGTGAGAAAGAAAGCGAAGCACTAGTTGAAAGTGTGTGCGAGGTGGTATGCAGGCAAGAGGGTGTGCTCCTGTAATCACTCCCTTCCGTCAAAACCCCCAGTATATTATACAGGGAGGTAGAATCACACTGTGGCATATATTTAGATATTTTCTTTGGTATGCCTCATTCCATTGACAATCATAATAATATTAAATATGCCTGTCATTGTTTTGTTTAATTGCTTTCTGTGGTTCTTTAAAATTTTTCCTATCACAAACCTGGATGTAATTTTTTTTAAAAAAATTTATCATTTCAGTCTATATAGTTCTGTTTTATTTCTATTGAATGTGCCAAAAAGTATTCAAGTAGCATTTTTTTAACATTTTTAAATATTTGAAGTTCTGACTCAATGATAATCTCTCAGCAGATTGACACACGTATATGATATATGTGGTGTTCTCCTGGATTTTGATAAAGCTTATAATTTCCTTTACATGATCAATTTTAAGAGCTATTTTTGTGTTATAATTTCACATATAAATTATGTCCTGTATGTTGTCATTTGGTAGAAAAACAGACATATTCTCAATGGTCTGAAACATGTCTCACTTCATCCCAGGACAATGATATGAAGAGATGTACCAACATTTATTTCCAAGACTTTTTCTGGTCTTGCGCAACTTTCTGAAGGTCACAATGGAGGGGCTGATTTAAAGAGCAAAAACTCACATGCTGGTTTAGGGATCATATGCTTTCAAACAATGGAAACACCTTTAAAACAATAATTACATTTTAGCATGGCCTTCTTCATTGCTCCTTTTCAAGTTTAAAAATGAAAACTAACATCCTCAGTGACTTTCAGTGACTTTTTTTTTTTTTTTTTTGAGACAGAGTCTCACTCTGTCATCCAGGCTGGAGTGCAATGGTGTGATCTCAGCTCACTGAAACCTCCACCTCCTGGGTTCAAGTGATTCTCCTGGCTCAGCCTCCCAAGTAGCTGGAATTACAGGAGCCCTGCCACCACACCTGGCTAATTTTTATGTTTTTAGTAGAGACGGGGTTTCGCCATTTCATCTGAAATTAAATGCCCGTCAAGGAATGCATACTGGTTATCACTCACTTCTAATGAAATTATATTTTTCTTTGATATTGAGATATATTCAATGTGTCAACATTGTTTAAATTCTCCATCTGACTTAGAAAGATAACATTCTAGTGTTTTTATCAGAGTTATATATACATTTATTATGTATACACCAAGTATATACTGATTGCACAATTAAATGTATTCAGGGTTTGCATGTAAATCTGATATCTTAATTTTTTTGGTTACTTAGCCAAATATTTTAAAATGAAAGTTAGAATAACCAAGGTAGAAAAGTCCATAATAATTGTTCATCAGTGGCAGAATTACCTTACTTGCAGGGGTGGTAGTAAAAAGTGTCACACTGTCAACCTAAGTGAGAAAATATAGCCATAGCTAGAATTTTTCTTCCACATAAATCAGACCAGCATATGCATTCAATGACAGTTTACTTGATTTTTTTTGCTTCTTCATTCTAATTTTTGTTAATTTTAATTTGAGGAAGAAGAAGCAAGACCCTTGTTAACAGGGGAATTTGAGTAGTTTTAGCTCACCCGTGGTTACCCTGTTTTATTAAGTAATAGCAACACTTTCTTTTTGTGTTTTTTAAAAAATTGTGATTATATTAGTGTACACTTTTTCCAGCAATATTTTTGTTATTTTTTAGCAACATATTTCCTTTATTCAGCATTATATTTCTAAGAAAATATTTACAAGCCAAGAGTATGTCTAGTGTTTCTATTTTTTCACATAATATATTAAAATTTTCAACACATGAATTCATATATTTATCATTAGTGCCATACTTGGTTGTAGACAACTTTTATGTCCATATACTTCTTTTTTTTTTTGAGATGGAGTCTTGCTCTCTCACCCAGGCTGGAGTACAATGGCACAATCTCGGCTCACTGAAACCTCTGCCTCCCAGATTCAAGTGATTCTCCTGCCTCAGCCTCCTGAGTAGCTGGGATTACATGCCCGGCTAATTTTTGTATTTTTAGTAGAGACGGGGTTTCAACATGTTGGTCAGGCTGGTCTTGAACTCCTGACCTCGTGATCCACCTGCCTCGGCCTCCCAAATTGCTGGGATTACAGGTGTGAACCATCGCACCCAGCCTATATACTTTTTTTTAATTTTGCTCTCCCCCAAAATCTTTTACTTGTCCTCATCTTTTCCAACAAATGAGGAATCATCATCTTGTAAAATCTTGAGATTTGTCAGTTTAAAAATGACATTTAACGTCAATACTGTATTATTGTGAACAGTTGCCTTTTATTTGTCATATTTTTATTTTTAGTTATCAGTTAATGTATCAAAACCCAATAAATCATAATGATAAACACATGGTAAGATATATTTCCTCACAAGACAAACCTTACATTCACACTATTGTTCATTCAACAGATGTTTGTTGAGTGTCTACTGTGTCCCAGGCACTATTTTGAGCCTTAGAGATAAGCAGTAAGTAAAACAGACAGAAAGTTGAATATATTTCCCCATCTAAGCACAAGAGCTCATGCTCTGATTTCTATTAATTTTAACTGGTAATAAAATAACTCTGGATAATATGACATGATAAACTTATCAAGAGTGTGCTTGCCTTTCTATTGCAATTTTCATGACTATCATTTTGGGGCTTTAGACATTATGTAAACCTGTTCCATTTAAAAAATAAATTTATGGAACATAATAATCCAGTTTTGGTTATGTTATTTTTCTCTTAACTATTTTTAAAAAAGGACATTGAATACTTTCAATACTCTTTTACCTTCTGCAAAGTAACAATACATAGTAATACTGTATTTGTTATTTCAATGGGCTATTTTTATTTTACTCTTTAAAAAAAGGTATCTCCGCCAAGTGCAGTGGCTTACTCCTGTAATCCCAGAACTTTTGGAGGCCAAGGTGGGCGGATTGCCTGAGCTCAGGAGTTTGTGACCAGCCTGGGCAACATGGTGAAACCGCGTCTCTACTACACAAAAAATTAGCCATGTGCTGCGGCGTGCACCTGTAGTCCCAGCTACTCTAGAGGCTGAGGCAAGAGAGTCGCTTGAACCCGGGAGGAGGAGGTTGCAGTGAGCCGAGATCATGCCAACTGCACTCCAGCCTGGGCCACAGAGTGAGACTTTGTCTCAAAAAAAAAAAAAGGAAAACAAAAACAAAAACAATTTATCTCATATGACAGGATTTAAGATTTTCTTCCTCTATATCTAAGGTAACATATTTTCAGCCCTTACACTCACTGCCTGAAGATTCTCTGTAGCTTTATCTCTGTAGCTCAGTGTAGGAAACCAGACTGTTTCACAGATCATTTTATTCTGATGAAATCATCCTTGCCAATTGAGATTGAAGTATTTAATCATTTCACAGTGACACTGGTGATTTTTATGAACCAAACCACACAGTGAACACTTAGATCGTATTAACATTTCACATATGCTCATGAATAAATTCCTCAAATCATTTTTTGTTATATAAATAGATTTTATATTTTAGAACCGTTTTAGGTTTCACAGCAAAATTGAGGAGAAAGTACAGGGATTTCTTACATAGCCCCCTCCCCAGCAAGTGGATAGACTCCCGTTATCACTACCTCACCACCACCAGAATGGCACATTTACAATTGATGTATCTACATTGACACATCACAATTGCCCAAAGTCTACAATTTAGATGAGGATTTTCTCTGGGTGTTGCACATTCTTTGGGTTTTGCCAAATGTATAATGACACGTATCCACCATTATACTTTCATACAGAATAGTTTCACGGTTCTACAAATCCTCTGTGCTCCACCTATTCAGCCCTCTCACCCCCCCTACACTTGGCAACCACTGATCTTTTTACTGTCTCCATACTTTTTCTTTTTCCAGAATGTCATAGAGCTGAAACTACACAGTAAGTGAATGACCTTTTCAGATTGTTTTTTTTTTTTCAGTCATATGCATTTAAAATTTCTGCATGTCTTTTCATAGCTTGATAGCTCATTTCTTTTTAGTGCTGATTAATATACCATCGTTTATCTAGATGTGCTGGGGTTTATATATCTGTTTATCTACTGAAGGACATTTTGGCTTCTTCCAAGTTTGGGCAATTTTGAATAAAGTTGTTATAAGCGTAACAAATCACTTAAAAAGAATTTTCCGATCACAACTTGAGCATAGGTAGTTTTGGGCTATAATGCTGACAACGATGATGATGATGATGACTGCATATTTTTGAGTAATTTACATAATGATTTAGTAATTTTCTCTGCATTAAGCTATACACTGTGTAATTTCCAGAGCCTACTTGATTGTAATGTTTTTTCCCTTTGCAGTTGTAGTGATAGTATGTTCAGGTGTTCATTTTCTTCCCTTTGACTTGGTGTTCTCCTGCCTTAGTGTTGTGGTTTATAGCCAAGAGCTATTTTCCCCTCAGGAAAATTGAGACATTTTGATTGCACAACCGACATCTGACATCTAGTGGTTAGAGGCCAGGGATATTGTTAAATGTCCTATATTATACAGGACAGTCCCCTTAACAAAGAATGATCTGGCCTCAAGTTCAGTAGTGACAAATTCGAGACACTCGGATTTAGATATCTGGCTCATGTCCGGTACCCCACTCATTCATGCCTTTGGCTATTTTATTGACATTAGTAGGTGTGTCTGGCTTATCATCTCATTGTTTTTTTAAACATTAGGAATAGTACCCTGTCAGAGTCTAAAGTTGAAGATCAAATAAGTCTTCACAACACATGTACTCCTGAGATCTCCTTTGATTCCAATATAGAAAGAGTTCTTAACACTGGATATCTATGAGAATCACCTGCAGTGATTTTAAAAGTATAGATACAATTAGCATGAGAGAGGCCTGAGCTGCTTTTTCTCTCTCACATTAACCAGATGATCCTAATGTCTGGCCATGGTGAAAACCATTATTAGAAGTTGCATTCCCTCAGCTACTGTCTATCTATTGAAGCTTTGTTTAAAATCACAGGATTATTAAACTCTGAACTATTTCTGCCTTTGATAAAATTTAAAGATACTTCCTTTGTTGTTAAAGTGGGAAACATGATTAGATTGCTACTCTTTAAATTCATTCCAAGATGAGAAAATACTACCAGAATATATCACTGTGAAATATAAGGTTCTGAGCTAAGACTTAGCAAACTATTTTTATATCCTGTGCCTTGAAACAGTGAGAAACAATGACCTGAGTTCAATCTGATAGAATATTTTTGGTTATAAAGAGACTTTGGATACATCAGAACATCCATTTTATTCATTTCACTAAAGTTTAAATGTGCCTCATATCTGAAACTCTTCATTATATCATAACATTCCATTCAATATGTGGCATATGTTTTCATCACTTAGTTCAGAGACTCAGAGACTTGTGCAATCAGAGTCAGCTGGCTTCTTTTCATCAATGCTGCTGACTTCCAAGGTGTTATTTTTACCTCTACTGGTGCACATCTGCTGAAGTTGCCACAGAAAGTCTAGACCTCAACAGGGTGTGATTTTCTTAGACATTAAGTCTAAGTTCATAGGAGTTCAGATGAAAAACCAATTACATTTTACAAGTTATTTTCAAGTTAAATACACTGCAATCTCAATGGCTACATAATCAAGAAGCAATATGTCACCTTTTTCTAAAGAACATGAAACCTTGCCTCTTGTAGTTCTGTTTCAATTTCTCTACCAGATTTCTAAAAGTGATTAGAATATCCAGATTGACATCAAAACAATAATTACATGTGGTTTTATTTAATTTCAAGTGATAAAGAAATAATTCGTAACAATTTTGTTGAATCAAATGCTAACATGTGGTAGGATCTCAAGAAATTTATACTGAGTAAAAACAAAAATCAAGCAGGAAATATAGTAGGAGGATGCTTGTTTTGCCAGACATTTGCATGTTCTGATGAAATGCTACTAAAATGATTATGGGATAATGGAATATGTCAGCTATTAATTAAATATATAGCACCCAATCTTTATCATTTTATACCAATTTTACTATCAAAGATCAATGAATTAACTAATTCAAATTAAGGAAGTTTTACTGAATTTTTTTTTGTGGGTCAAGAGGATTTAGTCAGCATTTTACTATATGTGAGTGATCCTAAATAATGACCAAAATGAGAAAGGCCAATGAGGCCACTTTATTTATGTAATTTCTACAGAACTTATCTTCCCTTCCTAGAATTACTATAAATTAAAATTCAGTGTCTGTTCAAAGCAATAAATACCAAATGGGACAGAAATAGTTTCCTTATGTCCATACCTACCCTTTGAAAGTACAAAGTAATACATTTTTATTAAATCAGACTATCTCCTCTCTTTGAGTTACTGCTTACATTTCCTGCTAAGTGACTTTATATAGAACCTTCCCCTTGTTTACATCATAGCCCTATGAGAAAATTATCATAATTTCCAGCTCGCAAATTACAAAAGTGACTATGAGGGATTAAGTGATATGTCAAACTAGTGACTAGGTCATCTGATTTCAAGTTCAGTAGTACTTTTATCATTTTTTTTCATTTTTCCACCATGTTTCCCAAACAGATATTATGAAGATGAATTTCAGAAAGAGTTGAATCAAAAAACAGAAATTAATAAAGGCACACATATACAAAAATGGTTTTTAAAATCAGAAAAATTTTTCACATTCTCAGAGTTTATTCTAACAAAAGTAAGAGCAGCTTATTAATTTATTTAACATTCAGATGACAAAATATATATATCCATGATATGCTTCAAAATGTGAAGTTAGAAATAAATTTATAATTATGCAATATTTTATTTATTACATAAAAAGATTTTCTACGTAGGATTACGCATAATCAATTTGAATAATTCTTCAATTTTAGTAATCATCAGATTCTGAAATAGAACATAAAATGGAAAGATCAAATTATATTTTAGCTTCCTTAAATACTTTAGTGAATATTTTAGTGAACTGCTACACCCTGAAATGCCACTAGTTTACATTCAAAATTAGAAAATAAAGACTTTTGCATTTTTCTAGAACAAAACTTATGCATTAATAGTAATGAAAATATTTTCTCACCGCACTGATTTACTCTATATCATCCAGCTTTGTTAATTTGCTGTAACATAGCTCAGAGTAGAAAGAAGATGTAAGGCAGTCCTGTGGTTTCAGAAGTTAGACCTTTCATTGCCTTGTAAAGTAGCAGTAACAACACACTTCAAAGTGTTCCAAGCTACTTTGAATCTAAACCTATTGAATTATAAGTCCCATTCTACAGTGAACAACATCTTCAAAAGAAGCTTTAGAAAGATCCCTAAGGGTAGAACAAATGAAAAATAAGATAGAAAGGATGCAACCAAAAGGATGCTGATTACTCTTCCATGGATTTTAGAGTTGCTTTTAGTCCTCCAAAGCAATGTGCTTCAGGCTGCCATATCATGTTTATTGTTCTAGAGACTATACATTAGCCTTGAGATCTACAATTGCAAATAATGAAAATGTTAATAAAAAAGATTTTTTCCCCCAAAGGTGTTCTTTTAAGAAGATTTCTTCACTTTCAGGGTGGTTTCCAAGAATTTCTGGAGGCTTTCTTCTAGAGAGAGAGCTCATTTTGAATAACTTTCCCTGACTCAAGAACTCATCATTCTTTTAATTTATCCAAACATGAAATGAAATCTAATTCCTTTATTCTATAAGACTATATAGAATTACATAATTACATAGTATGTACAAAATATATGTAGCAAGAGTAGTAATCACATTGATATTTTCAATGATAAAAATAGCTAATATTTTTGTCAGAGCTTCTTATGTAACAAGTTTCAATGCTAAATGCTTTTCATGCATTATCTCATCTCAGGCTCACTTAAGCATGTGAAGCCAGTTTAGAGTTATTTCCATTTTACAGAAACAGAAACGGAAGTATAAAGAGCAGACTACACTCAAGCCAGCTGAAAAGCCTGTGCCTTTCATCAGTATGCCTGAAGACCCCCTTTTATTGCTAAATGCACGTGATATTTAGTTTAGGATCACAGTAAGTGGTATGCCAGTGATTGTTAAATAAACGGAGAGATAGGTTTCTACCTCTTGCATATTAGAATCCAATGGCAAAAGATGGAAAATGACCTGCATTATGTCATAGGGCTTATTAGTGTTAGAGGTGAATGGGTATTGCCGCTTGGAGTATACTTATCCACGTTCAGAGGCTTAGCTGACCATTGTCACTTAGCCTGGGTGCCTAAGCAATGATGTGATAGGGTAGGGAAGGCTTTGAGAGGGGAGAAATTCTGAGCTGACCCCTCCACTGTTCTGTGAGCTTCACCTATTGATGTGCTTCATTCCACGTTCCAGAAAGAAAGGATAAAGACCACTTAAAAATATTAATATTATCCTTTCACTCTGGGGAAGATGAGTAAAATGTTTACCATATACAGTCAAGTGTGTCTAAAGACCAAATATTCTCTAAATTTCCACCTGGGCTATTTTATTCTTTTAATCAGTAAAATAAGGGGGAAGTGTTATTGCCTTACGTGACTGAAATCCTGCCATAAATCTTTATGCATATTTTGCCTCATAAGTGTTTGTTCAGCAAGACTAAAATAATTCTAAAAGGAATGTAAACTTTGATATTATTTTAAAAAAGAATACCTTTTTTATGATAGTTACTCTCCTTCCTTCGGTGATTTAAATAAATTAATATTCAGCAAATTTTATTTGCTAATATTCTTAAGGCAGGGTTTGTTTCATCTTAGATGTATAAAGTATAAATATGTCTGCCAAATCTTAGTTTAAGGACGTTGTTGAGACAGATGTTGACCCCAACTATTAGCATTTCATAGTAGAGACAAAAAGGAAGTAAGAGTTGAGATGAGATAAAACAATATTATTAGAAAACATGTGTTTGAGAATGCTCTGGGGTTCTGAAGTACTGGGGCATTTAGTAACTGCTATTTAATAAAAAGGTTTGATCTCCTGCCTCTCTTTATATTTGTCATATAAATTCCTTGCTATCCTTAATCCCAATAAACTCTATGTTAATCGCAATATAACTTTAATATACGTGCATAAGTTCTATCATGGGATTGATTCCCATTTTACTATTTTGCAAAAGTGCTAATTTTAGTATATATTATGAGGGTTATTGAATAAGTTTGACTTGTTTGAGATTTCACCTAAATCGTGGGGTAAAATCTAGCTAATAACTCATCACAAAAGGGATGAATAGGGTTGAATAAGAGGTCTAGTTTCATTCAGTATATTTATTATATGCTGTACTGCTATTTTGAAAATGTGACTACTTGAGGTGTTAGAAGTTTAGCCAGAATGCACTAGTGAATCTATTCCAGTCTTTGATCAAAGTGTACTTCTGAAATTCAGAAGAACCAAATATCTATAGAAATGTAGATTTTGGCATCCAGGGGCTATATTTCAGACAGTTTTCTGTCTAATGTCTATCATCCATCCACTAATTCATACATCTACATGTCCTTTTATCCAGCATTTACCATGTGTGAACTAAAGCTTCATGTAAATCCATGCTTAAACTAAGTATTTTATTCAATTCTATCTAGGATACATGAACACCTTGTATACACTTTATAAATATTAAAAATTGTTTCTGAAATGTATTTTTAAAGCTTGGGTATTTTCAAAATTAAAATAATATTTTACCATATATAAGTGTATATACTATATATAAAATATGTATATTAACATGCATAAAACAAAACAGACTTAAGTTTATAAAAATGTTAGAAGAGTACACACTAATATTATATACTAATGTGATTTGAGAATTGCCATATTTGTTAATGGTAAACATGATTAAATAGCTTAAATATTTGCGACATGACATGATGACAGTTTAGTCCTATGGAAATTTATTGACAGACTTTTAATTCTCCTGAATTCCTTTTGCAAAGTGAATACTTTCTAAATACCCAGGAATATTTTCTAAAGTTTAAAAAAAATCTGTGGTGAGATTTGAAAGTTAAATACATGGATGAAGAGGCATGATAATGCAGATGGATTATTTTTTTCTTTGTACATCAGAACTTCTGCCAAGATATGATTTTCCAGCAGGTTTATTCACTTAACCCATTATGCGCACTATTTCTCAACCTTCTGTGCTGCAAATCAACAGTGTTGTGATACTGACTTATGTACTGTATCCCATAAACTTCCTATAATGGAGCTTTGCAGATTAAACACAAAATTCTTCTTTTTTGGTAGATTACATTTTCTCTCTCCATTTCTTTCTCTTTTGCAGTTCATTATGCTGACATATCTTTTCATGTTGGCCTGGCTGGGAGTCACGGCTTTCACCTCACTGCCAGTTTACATGTACTTCAATCTGTGGACCATCTGCCGGAACACCACATTAGTGGAGGGAGCAAATCTCTGCTTGGACCTTCGTCAGTTTGGTAAGTGGATATTGGATCTCTAAACTGTAAAACACCATCCCATATTGTGTTACCTACATAGCTGCCTCTAAAATATTATAGATCACTTTGGAATTATCAGTACCTTTTCTACCACAGAGATAAATTTATCAGAGTATTACTGCTAAGGCTATTCCCTTTAAATTTAAAGTAGAAAGTCAAGGGTGAATGGATGTTAATATCACAACATATACACATGTATATTGACCAGGATGTCAGATCACATTACCTGATATTGACAGGTTAGAAGTGTGGTTTCCTTTTCTTGATTCCTTTGCTCTTTTCCAAACTCAACGTGATGTCTGCATTCTACTTTTATCCTCCCATGATAAACTGCACAAAATGTCAAGTCTACAATAAAGATCACCTAAGAAGGGCACAGTTCATTGTCTTCTGAAATGGGAGGGCAGCATCTTAATTAGCATTTAATAATAATAAAAACAAAAAAAAAAACGCTAAATAAATTAGGAGTCTGCTTTGGTTATTTTCATTTAGGGCTAAAATCTCATGTAGTAATAATACTCATATGTATATGGATTTACCACATATAGACCCTATTTTAAGTATTTCACATGTGTCACATTGTTTACTTCTCATGACTCTATATAGTAGGCCATACTGTTTTCTTCTTTTGTAGATGACAAAACTGAGGCACAGTGGGGTTGTTCAGTGACTTATCCAAGTTTATACAGCTAGCAACTGACAGAGATAGGATTCAAACACGGGCAACGCAGGTTGAATCAGAGGCTGTGTTCTTGCTCATAAGTCAACTGCCTTTCATATTAAAACTTAGTACTGAGCTGGAAGTGGAAAGGTAGAGTATAATCTCAGCCTATTTGAGATTCTATGTTATCATGTGTAACATTATGGGAGCTACAGAATTTATAAAAGACATGCAAATCCATATTTGCAAATGGATTATTTTTTCTCTGAACAGACATTAAAAGCCACCCTACTAACACCTGGGGACACTGAGCGTTTTTCTCTAATGAGGTTTCCTCATACTTCAGAAAAGTAGGAGACATTTCACTTAGATGGGGTATGAAGGGCTTGTGGCTTTACAGTTATACTGTAAGTAGATTATAGGGTAGCCAACTAGCTGTGTGTTCAGAACAGTGGCTCACCCACCATCCTACAAGATGAAGCCTTCAGTCCCCGTGTAGTGTGATCCACTACAGTACACTAGTTCGCATTTAATAATAATGAAATCAGGTGGGGCGTGGTGACTCATACCTGTAATCCCAGCACTTTGGGAGACTAAGGCAGGCACATCACCTAAGGTCAGGAGTTCGAGACCAGCGTGGCCAACATAGTGAAATCCTGTCTGTACTAAAAATTAAAAAATTAGCCAGGCATGGTGGCACATGCCTGTAGTCCCAGCTACGTGGGAGGCTGAGGCAGGAGAATTTCTTGAACCCAGGAGGCAGAGGTTGTAGTGAGCTGAGATGGTGCCACTGCATTCCAGACTGGGCAACAGAGTGAGACTCCATCTCAAAATAAATAAATAAATAAATAAATAAATAAATAAATAAATAAATAAATAAAATAATGAAATCAAAGAGTGCCAAATAAGTGAGCAGTCCTCTTTGTTTTATTTTATTTAGGGCAAAAATCTCACATAATAATAGTACTCATATGTACATGTGTACGGGGGGAAAAGCAGAATAATATGCTCTATGGGTGACGTTCTTGGCAAGAGGGAATATGGACATTGGGGAGGTTTTACTCTCAAAATCAAATCCCCTGTAAATATCGGAAAAGGAGCCCACAGCAAATGCTACTGGAGGTCACTGCAGAACAGCTGCTTAGAAGGCCGTGGCTCTGCTCTCTGCCCCTTGTCCTAAATGTCTTCCTTTTATTCTGCTGATCCTAAAAGTTAAATTTGGAAAATATGTGATTAGCCTCTCAAATAGGGTTGCCAGGTTAAAATACAGGGCACCCAGTTAAATTTGAGTGTCAGATGAACAAACTATATTTTTTATTACAAGTATGGTACCAAATATTGTATGGGATATAGTTATACTAAAATGATTTGTTCTTTATCTGAAATTCAGGTTTAACTAAGGGACACTGAGATTGCTTTCACTGTTAAATCTGTTAACCCTACTCTCAGAGCTTCGGTTTAATCTTAAGAAAGTGTTACCACAGGAAAACATGAGGGTCGGATTCTCTTGTATGTGATGGTTTATACTTTCAGAAATACACGAGAGATTAGCATGCTCTGATTAGGAACATTTCATTTCCTGTAGGATAATAAATGCAAATAGTTAAGTAGGTGATTATAAGGTCTTTGGTATTATCAAACCAGATTCTAAACTGAAAAAACATTGGGAGACTCTAGAAAAATAATATTTAAAATTTCCCCAAGTTTGTTTTCTAAAGGACAGAAAGAATAATCCTTTGTAAAAGATAAATAGACCTTCTTAATATTTTCAACTTTAAAAAGAGAAAAACTTATTAATTCTCAATGCATTCAAGTGCTTGTGATCCCCAAATTAACCTAATTTCACTGAAAGTATTAAGGCTTATACCACTAAGTATATAGGATTCCTTATGACATTAAGCACAGAATATGTCTTAGAGCCATAGAATTTTATAAATGGACTTCATTTGTCACCAGTCCAGCTGTCTGGTCTAAAAGAAATGGAGCCCTAAGAAATGAAATAATTTTCCAGGGATATAGCTACCCAGCAGGCCGTGCTGGGATTGAAAGGGGAGTGTCCTGAATCTTAGCACAATTATTTTCTACTCGACAGCTTTTCCAATACAATTTTTAGCAAAAGAGCTTTTTTCAACTATAATCTTGAGTAAACCATTAGTCTATTAAGTAGACAGAATAAAGGATCCTCAAAGATGTACACATTCTGATTCCTGAAACATATACATATGTGAGATTACTTTCAATGGGGAATTAGGGTTGCTAGTCAACTGATCTTAAAATGGGGAGATTATCCTGGATTAGCCAGATGGGCCCAGTGTAATCACAAGGATCCTTCAAAGTGGAAGAGAGAGTCAGAAGAGAAGAGTCAGTCAGAGATAGACAGACTATAGAAAAAAGGCAGAAAGATGCAGTGTTGCTGGCTTTAAAGATGGAGAAAAGGGGCCAAGAGCCAAGGCATGTGGGTGGCCTGGAGAAACTGGAATAGGAAAGGAAGCTGCTCCTGCTTCTAGGGCCTCCAGAGAAGTGCAGCCCTGATGACCTTTTGGTTTTAGCTTTGTCTTCCAGAACTGTAAGAGACAAACTTGTGTTGCTTTAAGCCACTACATTTATGACAATCTGTTACAGCAGCAATAGGAGACAGATACAGTATCGAAAGCCAAGGTCAATTTTTTTCCCAAACTGCTTACTGTTTTTGTGATCTCCTACATTTACTTGATCATGATGGCAGTCCATTTTCTGTCAAAGCCAGCAAAGTTGCCTCTCCCTGACAATTCTGCAAGCTTAATTCCCCTTCACGGCTTACTCCAACACAGGTACAAGTTCCGGAGTTAAGGATGTGAACATCTATGGGAGGCTATTTTTTGCCTACTGCAGTCTACTCTCTGGCCACCAAAGATACACATCCATTTCTTTGTGTGAAATACATTCAACCTACCCCAAGTTCCAAAGGTTTCATCCCATTATGGCATCAACTCAAAGTCAAAAACCTTATTTCAATCTCATTAGTTCATACCTCTGATTGTCTTTTTTTTTTAAAAAAAGAAAAGAATGTGCTATATTATTTCTTTCTATACTATGTAAAGCATAAATATGTGGTTAAAATTATTCTTTGAAGCTTACCAATGTTTACAACATATTTATCAATATTTATCCAAAGGTACCTTTTCTTTTATGGATTTGAAAGAAAGAGAAGGCACTTTTTAGATGTCATGCAGCCTTTACATGAGCTATTAAGACGTTCTGTTTAGCTCTTAATATAAAATCTATTGCTGTATAGCATTTATTTGCCCTCCAGATTATATGTCCTGATAAGACTCCTGAATGTATGTATATAACCACATTATTATCAAGAAGCATCAGAAGAGAACCATTCCTCAAACATTGTATTAGGATCAATTCAGAATTTACTAATATTCATCAAAAAGACAATTGCATAGATAAGAATATACTTTAATTTCCCTTGTTGCAGAGTTGTCTCCTTAGTATATAGACGCTATCTTTTATTTTACAGGAGACTAGGTATTTAATATGTAATAGGAACTCTCAGCCTATAATGGCCATTATACCTACTTAGTGGAGGTATACATCTTACTGTTCATTCCCATGCATGTAATAAATTTATGCATTTCGAACAGTTCTAATGGCACACAGAGACATTACTTGATATAGTTGGAGGATTTATAGATAGCATATCATATTAGGATTTGCTGTATTTCAAACTGCTCATGAAATAATTTTATTCGTATTTTTGATGCTTTTATTATGATTTCTGTTATCCTCCAATTATATATTCTGTGATTCAATTACATTGGATGTATTAGATGTTTATCCCCATAACTTTATGTGAGGAAATGTTGAAACTGATCCTCATTACATCATCTAGATGTAAGGTTTAAAACTTTCCTCCATTACAACCTGAAGACTTGATAAAACTTAAGAGCCAACACAGAGAGAAAGTAGGTGGGGCTTCTTTTAGACTTTTAGCCAATCCTACCTCTTATTCAGCACACCCACGCATGTTAGCGAGAGCAGCTTGTTTTTATCTTATTTCCATAAAGCACTTCTCAGTAGGATTTCATTTCATTTATTTGCTCACACTATTTTTGTTGCTGAAAGCAGGGATTCGATCTAGGTCACAGTGCTCGCCACACAGAAAGCCAGTCACTGAGACAGAAAGTATTGCCAGGAAGGAAGGCTTTTTCAGGCACTGCAGCCGAGGTGGATGGGAGATCAGTCTCAAATCTGTCTCCCTACCACTAAAATTGGTGGTGGGGTCATATAGTGAATAAGGAATGTAAAACAGGAATTAGGGGATAAGGAGGTAACCATGAATGAGAGTCTGGCATCTCATTGTCTAGATGTGGTGATCTGGTCAGCTTCAGTCCCTTGCCTGATGGTGAGTTTCCTGAGGGAGGAACTCAGATGAGACAAATGTAAATTTCAAGTTTTAAGACCAGCAGGGTTAATTTCTATGTTTGTTCAAAAACCCACAAATATCATTTCCATGGGACAATTGGGTTGGTTTCATTTTCAACAAATATTTAAGGAAAAATTGTGTCATGTGCTAGTACTGCTCAATTTTGAAAGAAAAATATCTTCATGACAAAAATATAAAATGAAGTTTGACACTTACATCATGAACCTGGCTCATCATACTTTCTCTAGAGAAGACAGCCAAGACCTAGGAATATTCCATTATTTGTCCAAGATGTAACAGAAGATAGAGTTGAAACTAGAAATAAATAGCGCTTTTAACCTAAGTGTGTGCTATTCAAAAGGACACTTTATGTTTGCATAAAAATTAGATACATATACTCCTAATAGGAATTCTTTTGTATATCTAGCTATGTGTCATTGCTAATTACTGAACTATATTCATTTCTGCTAAATAATTCAATAATTCATTTGGTAAAATATTGGTTATATTTTTCCTGTGTAGGCTAAGCCTCTGTTTGGTATTCCCATGTTAGGTGACATGTCAAGGGGGAATTGAAGTCACAGATGGAATTAAGGTTGCTAATCAACTGATTTTAAGAAAGTAACGAGCCTGAATTATCCAGGTGGCATCAATGTAATCAGAAGCATCCTTAAAAATGAAAAGTAGGGCCAAAGGAGAGGAGTCATTCAGAGGCAGATGGACTATAGAGGAAGGGTATGAAAAGATCCATTGTTGCTGACTTTGAAAATAAAGAAAACCCCCCTAGAGCCAGGGGAAGTGGGTGGTCTCTAGAATCTGCAAAAGGACATGCTGGTATTTTATCATCTTTAAAATTAGCAACGTAAATGATAAATTATTTTTAAATTTAAGCATTTATATTTCATAGTAGGGAGTTAATTCCTATCGTGCTATCAGACCTCAGAGTGTCATAAGTATCTGCTCATTCTGCTTAACTCCAACTCTCATTTACAATTTTTGTTTGTTTGTTTGTTTTTTGAGACGGAGTCTTGCTCTGTCGCCCAGGCTGGAGTGCAGTGGCGCCATCTCGGTTCACTGAAACCTCTGCCTCCCAGGTTCAAGCAATTCTCCTGCCTCAGCCTCCCGAGGAGCTGGGATTACAGGCGTGTGCCACCATGCCTGGCTAATTTTTGTTTTTTTAGTAGAGACGGGGTTTTACCATGTTGGCCAGGCTGGTCTCGAACTCCTGACCTCAAATGATCCACCTGCCTTGGCCTCCCGAAGTGCTGGGATTACAGGCGTGAGCCACCCCACCCGGCCTACAATTTTCTTAAGAGGAATTTACAACCCTAGGAGTCGCACTTCAACTGTCCAGTAAGCACCAAAGGTTTTTATTGCCTTAGTGATGAAAGTCATAGGAACCGTGTACACACATTACGCATCATTTTCTCTGACGTTGTTCATATTTCAAGTACAAATAATTCTCACAATTCCAGAAATATATTACTTGTGTTTAGCTAGCATGAAAAATATAAGGTACTAAAGAAGCCCGTTACTGCAACTTTCATGCATCAAGTCCTCCCTGTTCTCCCCAATTCTCTTTGCACCCAGTTCTTAATGCTTCTCTTGCCTAGTTTCAGCTTATTATTTTTATTATTTTTGAGACAATCTCACTCTGTCGCCCAGGCTGGAGTGCAGTGGCGTGATCTCGTCTCACTGCAACATCCACCTCCCGGGTTCAAGCGATTCTCCTGCCTTAGCCTCCCAAGTAGCTGGTGACCACCACCACGCCTGGCTAATTTTTGTATTTTTTTAGTAGAGACGGGGTTTCACCATGTTGGCCAGGCTGGTCTTGAACTCCTGACCTCAGCTGATCCGCCTGCCTCATCCTCCTAAAGTGCTGGGATTACAGGCGTGAGCCACTGCGCCTGGCCTCCCTTGCTTATAACTTGCCTTTTCTCCTAATTGCTTTGAAGAAACTGAAAATATCAGTCTGCACCTTTCAGCTAAAAACTTTTCCATAGGTAATAAATATATATATTCAATATTTAGAAAAATTGATATAAATTTGAATAATGTTCTTAATTTTTGGTGAGAACAATTTGGCCATTCATAGACAGATATATGAGAATCAAAATAATCAGGTTTTCAAATTTACACTGCAGCTCATCCTCCACGTGCTCCCTTCTAGAGCTTCATATTATTCACATGTTGATTTTTAAACTACAGTTAATTTTTAATATATATTATATCTATTTGTTATATATGGTATACTTATCACAAAAACTTTATTTTATGTGTGCGTGTGTGTGTATATATACACATATACATATAGCATCAGGAGTACTGGAGGTTCAGTAATGATGTTAGCAGTGGTACATCCATATGGGCCTGCAGCAACCTCACTTCTTGCCTCCTCAGAAGGAAGAATTCAACTGAGGGGCATAAGGCAGAGTAAGATACCGGGGCAAGTTTCAGAGCAGGAGTGAAAGTCTATTAAAAAGTTTTAGAGCAGGCTGAGGCAGGAGAATGGCGTGAACCCGGGAAGCGGAGCTTGCAGTGAGCCGAGATAGCGCCACTGCAGTCTGGCCTGGGCAAAAGAGCGAGACTCCATCTCAAAAAAAAAAAAAAAAAAAACAAACGGAAAAGTTTTAGAGCAGGAATGAAAGAAAGTAGAGTTGGAAAAGGGCCAAGCGGGAGACTTGAGAGATCAAGTACCCTGTTGGATCTTTTGACTTGGGGTTTTATACATTGGCCTTCTTCTAGGGTCTTGCATACTTCTCACCTGGTTCTTCCCTTGAGGTGGGCTGTCCGCATGTGCAGTGGGTGGCCGGCACTTGGGAAGGACCGTATGTGCACTGTGTTTTCTGGAGTTGCACACATGCTCATTTGAGTGTTCCTAGAGGAAGGTCATATATCAGTTACACTCTGCCATTTTGCCTCTTAGTGTGCAGGCTTGAGCCCGCTTCTGCAACTCCTGAGTTCAGATCAAGAAGCTGCCGATCACCAGCTACAGGTGTTTCTTTATTAGGAGCCAGCTGTGACTAATTATTATTTTAGAAAGACAGTTAACAACTACCTGACTGTCACCTGATGGTGGCCTGACATCCTTGGTGGGCGGTGAGTTGGGGTCTCTCTTGCTCTGCTCATGTCTGACTACCTACTGTAACGATAGTATTTTTTTTTAATGATGTAGAAAAATTGCACTGAGCAGTTGTCATTTGAAGGACAGGAGTAGCTCAGCTCTGGGAATATTCTTGTCAGAGAGAAGAGCCGGTGCTAAGTTACCAAGCCAATGTGATACCTGGTTTCTCAGGAAACAACAGGGAAGTCAATGTGTCTGAAGTAGAACAAGACAGTAGGACAAAAGACTGAGATGAAGTCTATGAGTTCCCACGATGTACCATCTTGATGAATGCATTACAGAACATTATAGGTGTGGGGTTTTATTCTGAGGGGAGTAGAGAGTCATTACAGATTTTGGCAGAGGCAGGAGATGGTCTGACTAATAATAGAAGGATTACTCTAGCTGCTACTTGAAGAATGGTTTGTAGGAAGGGTAGAAGCAAGGAAGCCAGTTAGCAAATGATTGTATTAATCCAAGTGGGAGATTTTGGTGGCTTGGATGAGGAGATGGCAAGGGAGGTGGGAAGAATCGGTCTGATTATGGATGTATTTTGAACATAGAGGCAGCAGAATTTCCTGATAGATTGCATGTAGGGTTTGCGGGGGAAAAAAGAGAATTCAAGGAGGAATTTCTTTTGACTGAGCAAATGGTAAGATTTGCTATCAAGAAAGATAGGAAAGGCTATGAGAAGTGTTTGCTTGGGAGTGGAGCCAGCAAAGGAGAAGAGCAGAAGTTTTTTTAAAATGCTTATTAGAAATCCAAATAGAATGGTCAGATGAGAAATTGGATATATGAATCCTGATTTCAGAAGAGAGATATGGGATGGCCACATAGATTTAGGAGTTGTTGACAGTATTTAAATATCTGGGACTGGATGAGATATGCATGGGAGAAAAAAGGCTGAGGAGTGAAGGGTGGGAAGCTGCAACTTAAGAGGTCAGAGAGAAGAGGAGGCAACAGACAAAAATATGAGAAGAAGGAGCCAATGAGATCAGAAAGGCAAAAACTGAAAACTGTAGATTTTAGAAGACAAATGAAGAGAGCATGAAGGAAAAGGTGGGCATCAACTGTGTTTAATACTGTCAACTTGCAAGAAGATGAAAACTGAGAATTAATCCTTGGAGGTCATTATTATCTTTATAAGAAAATTTCCATGGAGGGGGGTTAGGGCAAAATCTGACTTGAGAGGATTTAAGTAGAAATGAAAGGAAAGGAATTACAGTGAGGTTAGGCAACACTTTCTAGGTGTTTTGCTGAAAACATGAATTGAGAAATGAATAAGGAAATGTAAGCACAACATAAATATTCCACAAAATAAAGTCTGTAATGGATTACTATGAAGAGAGAGAGCCTTGACCAGAAGCTTTTTCAACAATGGTGATTTTTTAGGGAGGAAATCTCATGAGAGAACCCTTTTAAATTTTTACCCACTCTTAGAACCATCTTGGCAGAAAGGAAAGGCTGTAGAGAGGGATCTCTGTGTTTGTTTACTGCAAATAGATTTTTCACACTGAAATAGATTCCACAAACTATTGGCAAAGGACAAACTAATAGCAGCAGCTCTGTAAGAGAGGGAGAGTTGATGACACCCCATAAAGCTAAGAATATGTAAATACATATACATATTAAAACTAAATAAAGAAGGCCTGGTACCGTGGCTCCTACCTGTAATTCTGGCACTTTGGGAGGCTGAGGCGGGCAGATGACTTGGGGTCAGAAGTCTGATACCAGTTTGGTGAACATGGTGAAACTCGTCTCTACTAAAAACAGAAAAATTAGCTGGGTGTGGTGGCGGGCACCTGTAATCCCAGCTACTCTGGAGGTTGAGGCATGAGAATTACTTGAACCCGGGAGGCGTAGGTTGCAATTAGCTGAGATTGCACCACTATACTCCAGCCTGGGTGACAGAGTGAGACTCCGTCTCAAACAAAACAAAACAAACCATGAAAATAAAACAACAATAACAAAAACAACTAAAGAGCAGAAAATGCTAAAATCTTAGGTATTAGAATGTCCTGAAAATGTTTTATCATGCCTGTATGTGTTTAGCACTTCAAGAGTTCAGAAAATAAAATTAAAGAGCCATGCTCAGATGAACTTGGTTACTTTTGCTCTCTAAGATGAGACAAAGAGGCGTGCCAGTGAATTGCCTCTGTGCTCGTTTTAAAAATGCAGTGTTCTAGGCCTAATATTCATAGATTCCCATCTATCAGTTTTGTGTTAGAGTCTAAAAATACATATTTTTGACAACTTCCTAGGTGATTCTAATGCTGTTGGTCTATGAACCAACTGGAACAAGGGTAAATAGAAGCGAAATGGCAACTTTTCATTTCCTGTTACTAATAGCATTGTTTGCAATATTGGCAGAAAAAAAAGTACTCCTTTGGGCAGTATGCTTTTAGAGATTAACAGAAGCACTGCACCAGCTGAACAAATTTAGATCCTGACTTCAGCACAGTCTGGGGCATAGTTAACAAAATAATTGTGATGCCTATACTATCACATTAATGGGCCAAACCAATAAACTGGCTATAATTGAGTCTGGAAATTCTGGTGGTGAGATTCAATTGAATTCAGATTGAAATTATTTAAATTGCTTGAGGGCTAAATAGTCTTGCATATTATATTCATAATTCTATGCATAGTTATTATCCACAATGAAAGCTAGATTATTTTTCCACTGTAACATAACATAAGATAAAATGGAACTTGCTTAGATTTGATTAGCAAAAACTCATTTTTTTCTCTCTTGGCTCTTCAAAACATTTATACTGCTAAACTGTCATTTCCCACACATTGTAGGAATTGTGACAATTGGAGAGGAAAAGAAAATTTGTACTGTCTCTGAGAATTTCTTGAGGATGTGCGAATCTACTGAGGTGAGTGTTTTTACAGCCTTTAATTTTGTCAGAATTTTAGCATTCATTTTTTATTATTTGGATAATGTATTAAAACTAAATCTATATTGACTTTTCCCTTTATTCTATCAGAGGCAATTTTACCTGAAGTAGTGTTATTCAGGAGGAGTAGAGGATAAATAGGAATTAGATGCTCTGCATATTTCAATAAAAATTATAATAACTATTTCAAATTTTCTGGAAACTCATTTTAATGAAGGCTGAAAACATGATGAAGTTGTTTTTAAAGAGAGCATAGCCCTCCTTATATTGTTATAATGTTACTGATGAAAACCATCATTATTAATCATTGTCTCATCTTTATAATGAAATTATGTTATAATGATGAAGTTGAAAGGATTTAAATGATTTGCAGGGGAAAATATATTGTAATAATCTGTTTTAATCAGGTGGGTGATTTATCACAGGCTCGCTTTTATTTAAGATGTACAAAGTCTTGTTTATAAGACAGTAGCAATCTTGACTTCTCTTCTACCTATAACTCTGACACCTTTTGATTCTCTGTGGTTTCCATTGCAGCTGAACATGACCTTCCACTTGTTTATTGTGGCACTTGCTGGAGCTGGGGCAGCAGTCATTGCTATGGTAAGACCTCAAAGCGCTGGTGCTTGGTTTTCAATGTGAATTCCAAAGCTATTTGCTTGTAGAGATGATAAACTATCTCTAAAGTTTGAAGTTCATGTAAAACACATTTATGTCATCAGATTAAAAAAAGTAGGGAAAACAATGGGTAAGTAAGTCAACAACAAGACTAAACCCCAAGAAATATTATTATTACCATATTGAGAACATTAACAAAAATAGTAATTCATTAGGATTTTAGATATTAGATTACTATAAATATAAAAATTATTTCTGTAGCATATATGTACATACCAATGTGACATTGTGAGTAATCTAATCAATTCCTTGATTTACTTTTTTTTCCTTAGCTAAGAACATTAAAAAGCCATATAGAGTCATTTATGAAAAACAAATTAGGTTATTAAAAAAAACAAATGTCAGTAGTTTCAAGTCATGTCTTCTATATCTAATTTGCTTCAGAAATATTAAGAGCCAGTCTTTAGATCTTCTTTTAAGACATCAAGCTTTTACACAATGAGGAGGATCTACCACGTGCCAGAGCCAGTCTCCTCCTTTCTAACTTGGCATGAGTTCCAGTATGCCCACTGGAATGCCAAATATCAACCCTGAGCAAGTGCTCTGAGTGTCAGTAATAGCTTTTGCAGCCAATATCTTCAGTCTTTGTTTGTATCCTTGAGGATGAGTAGTCTAGAGCCCTAGAAGGACTCCCAGTAACCTCACGACTGTGACAGCCGAGTCAATATGTAAAGATGGTGAATGAATTGGAATTTATTTAATTATTTTCCTCATGGTGCCAATATCTATCTAATGTATTGGTGAAAGGAACACTTTCATAAAAAAATGTTTTTCTCTTGTCAGAGACTAAAAATAAGAATGATGAGAAAATACTAATGTGCTAATTAGCCATGTCAGAGTGGTTATTTTACTGATTTCATAAATATTTTGTATTTAATTTGTTTTATTAAAAATGACTTACATATATATTCAATAAAACTATGTCAGTACTAACATGAATTTTTGATGTTTTGTTACTTTAGCGTTGCTCAACATTTTTGATACAGTGACCTCTATATAGAATAAACCTCTATATAGAAATTTTGTTTCAGAACGTGAGACGCTTGATAAGGATCATGTTGGTTGATTAATTGGGGGGATCAAAATAGAACAAAAGCAAAGGCCTTATATTCTCAACCTAAAATTAATGCTAAACTATGCCCTGGGGAAGAATCAGCAAGTTCTGGCCAATGATATACCAAACATTATTGTCCTTAGGAGAAAACATGCTGGTTGTGATATCAGAGGAAACATATGTACCCTTGTGTTCATACACCCATTTCTATGCTGTCAAAAACTTTAATGACACGGGTATGTACAAGCAATATATACCCAGGTACAAGAAGTCTGTGAAGGTATCTTTTAAAAAGTGGACTATAATAAATATTTGTTTGCATTTGCTACATATATGTGCATATAAAATTCTGTCTAAAAATACAGGTATACACTAGTGAAAAACACCTATTTAGACAAATGTTATTTAAATGTCCCTGAAAATGCTTACTCTCAAAACAAATCAACAGATTTTGAGATGATAGAAATTTATATATTATGTATTTCTTAAGCAATCTATGCTTTGCATATACTTAAAGCTATACGTACATTTTATTTAAAACAGAAAGCTTAGAAGATTATTTTTTCAAGTACTAAGCATTATTTGGGGGTTATTTTCTCTGTCTAGAGTCATCACAAAACCCCATACTAGCTTAAATGATTGACCTAAGTATTTCCAATTTATTAGCTCTGATAATGATGTAGGTCTTGGGAGACAGGTAAAATATAACTACTGCTACTGTTCCTGGTACTAATGCTGCTAGTACCAGGAATAATAAAGCAGGGACTTTATTATTAATAATATTTCTTAAAAACTTAATATTAAAAATTGAGAATAGTAATTGTAATGTTATTAATAATATTTCTTAAGAACTTATTCTGTTCTACTCTACTCCATTATTTGTAGAGAAGTTAGGAAGTCCTACATGCTGACAAAGTAAATCGACTTAGCATTGGACCAGATTTCAGTAATCACTGTTCACCTAGCGAGGGACAGTAATAAGCCCTGCAGCTTGGGTTCCCCTTAAGGCCAGAGGAAATGCTTGTAAGAACCATGAGGAAGCACCTGTTTCTGAATTGGAGTGACCTTGAGTTTCAGTATTTCATTCATGCATATATGTATATATATATATATAATATATAAATATTATATATAAATAGATTATATATTTTATATTATATATTATATATTTTTATATATAATATATAAATAGATTATATATTTTTATATTATATATTATATATAGATTATATATTTTTATATTATATATTATATTTTTATATAATATATAATATATTATATATAAATATATATAATATATAATATATTATATATTATATATATATTATATATATTATATATTTTATATTTTATATAATATATAATATATATATAATATATATTATATATTATATATTTTACATAATATATAATATATTTTATATAATATATAATATATTTTTATATAATATATAATATATTGTATATTTTTATATATATAAAAATATAAAGGTTTTATATATATATAAAGGTCATATATATATGAGGTTACTGGGAGTCCTTCTAAGGCTCTCCATATATTTTTATATATATAATTATACATTTTTATATATATACTATATTATATTATTATATATTATATAATATATTATATGTTATATATTATATATTTTTATATAATATATAATATATAATATATATTTTATATTATATATAATATATAATATATATTTTATATAATATATAATATATAATATATATTTTATATTATATATAATATATAATATATATTTTATATTATATATGATATATTATGTCACATATAATATATGATATATGTCACATATATGATATATTATATGTGACATATAATATATCATATATAATATATTATATATTATATATCACATATAATATATTATATATGATATATTATATGTTATATATTTTTATATTACAAATATTTTATATATAAATATATTATATATTTTTGTATTATATATATTTTTATATAAATATATTTTTTATCTTATATATATTTACATATATAAATATATATAAATACATATATATATATATATATGCATGAGTGAAATACTGAAAAGAAATTCAAGATCACTCCAATTCAGAAACAGGTGCTTCCTCATGTATGTAAAATATATATAATATAAAAATATATATTTTATATATAATATATATTATGTAAATATATATATGTATTTTTTTGAGACAGAGTCTACTCTGTTGCCCAGGCTAGAGGAGAGTATCATGATCTCAGCTCACTGAAACCTCTGCCTCCCAGGTTCAATCCATTCTCCTGCCTCATCCTCCCGAGTAGCTGGGATTACAGGCACGTGGCACCACACCCAGCTACGTTTTGTACTTTTAGTAGAGATGGGGTTTCACTATGTTGGCCAGACTGGTCTTGGACTCCTGACCTCAAGTGATCAACCCGCCTTGGCCTCCCAAAGTGCTGGGATTACAGGCGTGAGCCACCGCACCTGGCCTCAATTATACATATTTAATAATAATTTGGGGGCCACATTTTCTCAGATATTATGAAAAGTTTTTGAAGATTGAAAAATACATTCATTTATTTGGCAAATATTTTGTGTATCTGCTATGTACTAAGCACTCTCCACAGCACTTGATATTTTACAGCAACAAAATACTGCATAAACTTCATTATGTGTATAAGCCTTATTTAATCCATATATATATGTATATATATATATATATATATATATATATATATATATACAGTGATTATGCTTTCACTATGTAAATGCCATAATGTACAAGAATATAACTCACAGCCCCTGCTTTCAGGTGGCTTACAATATTCCTTAAACAAAATGCTAAACTTCAGAGGAAACAGAAAATTCTAAAAATAGGTTATTTATAGTGGTATGCATCTTTTCCCCTACATCCCGTGTCAAAATTATTTTGTTTTTTGCTGTTTGTTGACTACCTGAACACACCACAATATTCATTATTTAGAATTGACATTGCATTCTTTATATCCATCTGTACTTTTCTAGAACCAGCCCGCCTCCTCTTTCAATGTACTGTTTACTAATTATCAAAATCTTAGTGTTCTATTTTTCTGAATGTTGGATTAAAATATTGCCCACCCTTTAAAACTCAGAGAATGTAAATAACTGTCAACTTAGTTTCTCTTCCCTATTCATCAAAATTCATCATGTGGAAAGCTGCTTTATCTCCCCTGTGGACCAAGAGGGAAGAAAGAAAAGAAAAACAAATAAGCGGTCTCATTGCTGGGTAAACTCAAGTCAAATAAAGGAGCTTTATTTCTCCAGCAACTTCATTACTCAAGACAAACCAGGAGCTTCCTTTTTGAACATGGCACTATTCCAGTTTTTGTGAATGTATATACATATAAAAAATCCATGTAACACAATATTTTATCTCCTGTAGTTTATAACCAAAAAGAAACTACAAAATTCATCATATGCAAAATTAACCTGATAATCAAGTCCACAGGTATATTTGGGGGTTTCCATGATCTCTCTTTAATTGGGGTAATAGAACCTCCAATTAATTCAAGTCAGTTAGACACAACGGTATGTGAAAATATTTCTGATTATGGATTATAAAACATAGATACATGAACATGAAATGAATCATCTATGGTTTGGGCAAATGAGGACACATTGGGCAGGAAACATCCTATAAAGACTAAGAATTAGTTTTGGATTACTTCCAAGAATTGAAAAGGAGAAAGAGATACTGAAAGAAATGGTGCCAAGAATATGGTGGGATATAGTTGGAGGAATGAAAATATATTTTATATTGTTTCTGTTACCAAAGAAATTTTGTTTCCATTTTATATGTGAACATTTCCTATAAAGAGCTATAATTCGAAGACTTCTTTCGAGATAGCAAGGTGTAATGAAGACACTGAACAAACTTCCAATATAAATTATTTTTCTCTTTGATTAGGTTCACTACCTTATGGTTCTGTCTGCCAACTGGGCCTATGTGAAAGACGCCTGCCGGATGCAGAAGTATGAAGACATCAAGTCGAAGGAAGAGCAAGAGCTTCATGACATCCACTCTACTCGCTCCAAAGAGCGGCTCAATGCATACACATAAATGCATCTTCCTGTTCTTTCTACCATTTGAATGCATTGGTGTTTAACTAAGGGCCATCCAACCATCCAACCTTTAAAAAACAAAACGAAAGTGCTTCTCATCAATGATATGTAAGGTGACTTATGAATCACCTGAGTACAATTCTTTGTTGTTTAGCACTTAAATTTCCCAATTTATTAAATTGATGTAAATCAGATCTTTTCTACAAGCTCCTATCCAGCCTTTTTTTTGAAATTTCTCAAACTCATTTACTAGTTCTGTAAAATCAAAGATACTAACATTGTCAAATGCAAAGATTTGTTTGATTTTTAACCACTTCCCATGTGTTATACATAACACCTTTTGCATTATTTCTTATGTTTTGAAAAGAAAATAGCTTTTTATACTTTTTAGTTTTGATTTCGGTAACTAGTTTAACTACAGGTAACCTTCAAAGGGACCATTGTACATTATGAACAATAGATAGAGATTACATCTTGATGACTCTTGAAATATGGAAATTTTGTCTGAAGATCAGTGGCCATATTACTGTAGGCCCTGGTTCATGTTTTCATCAATCTAAGGTGCAATTTCTAAATTTGTAAGAGTAGGTTTAAAAAAAAAAGTGCTTCTTATCTTTGTTAACATTGTACTTTTCCTTGATGTTCTTAAAAGGTATTTCCCTCAGATTACTCATGTTTATGTTGTGAGCATGTAGAAACAGTAATGCTAATGCATGGCTAGTTGCCTTTTTAAGATTGTGACACCAGGCTTACCTTTTAAAGTTTAGTATATAGAGACAATTTTAATGGAAATAACTACTGTAGACTATTGAAGAATGATCTCTTTGTGATTTAAGAAGTGGCTGGATTGGAACTTTTAATATGCTAATGTGGAAAATTAATTACCTTTATGAAGGTGGTTTATTACAAATAAGCACACTAACCCCTCGGAAGTTGTTTTACCTACTTTAAAAGTTTTAATGGATTGCACCTCTGTAAACTATTCCTAAAATGTGTATGATATATTTGAAAAGGCTTCCATTAATATAATAGCTTTGCTTGCAGCCTTCCAATCTATGTTGGTTTACCTGTAGTGTTTTATAAAGTGTGGTCAGAGGCCCCTATAGAATGTATTGTTTGAAAGTGTAGTGATATATTTGTGTTTTTATTTCAAGTAAGTCATTTTAACCGAATGTTCATTCATATTCATTTATAAAAAGTACCTGTATCAAAGGAATTTTAACAAAGAGCAATCAGTATTATTGGACCAAATTTGGTGTTTGTTTTCACCTTGACGCTCTTCTTTTCATTATTTCTAATGCTACAAGAATGCTGTAAAGTGTCTTCTAAAATGATGTAGCCTGACAAGACATTTTTTTCAGTGTATAAAACTAGGTAGTATTGTGCACTGATTTGACCATTGTGAAATCCTTTCTCAGTGTAACTGCATTTCTAATAAAAATTTATTGAGTGAAACAATCTTTGTACAATGACTAGTCATGCATCATCAGTAATTTTACAAGTTCTTGTAGTAGGTAGGGGGTACTACTAGGGATATCTGTGGCATGATTATGCATTCCGTAGTATTATTTAATTAATTTGGGGTTCATTTTGCTTCCTTTTCTTTATGCTTAGATTATCTTACTGGTTCAACATTTTTCTGATATATGCAGTATTACAGATATTCAGCAAAAGTATTAATGGGCTTCTTTAAATTCTATATTATAGTATTTCAGTTCCGTGTCTTAACAGTTTGTGATAATTTCTAAAACTGTCTTTTCAACTTATGTAATGATGTTGACACTTTTGGCTTTTATTTCTGGTATTAGAGTTTGTATTTTCACAGAGTGCTTTGTAGCAGGCATTACAATTAATCTGTTTTGTACATAAATGTGCCAACAGCTTGATGGTGGCGTTTTTGAAATGTAGAACAGAGTGCTTGCAAAATGTAATAAATACACTTGTGTACTTTGTGTACTTATTATTAGCTTCTGCAGTGTATCTGTTTTTTTTCTTTTTTGTTTTGTTTATTCCTCTTTCCTATGTGTGTGAATTCTTTTCAAGTACAATAGATGCCATCCCCTTATGATTCTACTTCAGCTGAGCTGAACTAACACGTCAAAATTCAATGACGATTCTGTGCGTAAATATTCAATATCAGAATGCTGGACAGAGGGAGTAAAGACTTTGGAGGTTATTTTATTTAGAAAATGATAACTTTTTCTGAGTGCTGCCATTTTCTTGTCTGATCTCTACTGTTTTGTGTTTCCTTTAGTACTTCACAAACAAACAGAAAAAAAAGCCTAATGCAATTCAGAAAGAAAAATGCTTTCTTGGTTTGCTTCAAAATACAAAGGTGAGAGCAATGAAATTTAAATGTATTTACATTTTTTCTAGGCTTTGTATGTTTTAGATCTGATTTCTTCTGGCCAAACTAGAAGTTATGGCAAGTTAAAAATAATAAGATAGTTATCAATAAAAATACTAACTTTCATAAGGCTTAAGGAATTATATTAGTCTCTACTTACATATTACTTTGAATGGGAACATGAAAACCTCATGAACTTATGTTAGAAATGTCTACAATAATTATAAGTAGATGTAGACAAAGGATTTTAATTATGTTTTTAAAAGTTATTTTTAAGAAAATAAAATTATTTTCTACCTATATCTTATTAAATGATAATTCTTACTTCCAGTGTTTATTAAATCCTTATAATAGCTGCAACATAATTGTATACTACACAATATGAATATGAACAACAATTTTATAATATATGCTTTACAAAAAGTGGATTATTATAAGATTATTATAATTTTTGAAAACTGAAAAGTCAATTTCTCTTTGTAAAAATGTGCATTTTATCCTTAAAGCAAGTAATTTCCTTTTGAGAATTTTAAGGTTAATATTAAGCCTAAGGAAATTACTTACTTTGAGAATAAGATGTGTGTAGATCAGCTCTAACTTGCATGTAAATAGTTTCATTCTTTATGTTAAAACAAAAATATCAGATTTCTTCAAAGAACAAGTAGATCTTTGTTTTATTTATTTATTTGCCTTAGACAAAATAGAAACAGGTGATTTTAAAATATATTTCATTTAGGCAACCTGGTAGCAGAAATATAATGACCACCATGCAATTTAAATTATACTATAATATCTTGAAGAAATTCTCTTTGGTTTCCTGTGAGGTTTTCAGATAAAAGATTGTTTTAAGTCAATGGAGTCAAATCTGTATAAAATGCTTCTAGCTCAAATGTGTTTTTATTTTCTTAAATAAGCCCAGGACCTTGAGTTTCTTCTTACAAAAAACATTTTACCTTTCTGATCATTTTAGGTTATTTGGCTCTTTACCACAAAAACCCATCACAGGTTAGCAATATAAAATTGAAAACAACTTAAAAATGAGAGAAATCAATTCTTTAACTCATTATTAAATGAATAATGAAATAAAATATTAAATGAAATAATATCATTTTGACCACTGTATTGCTAATCTGTAGAATCTTTTATACATAGTTGGAAATACCAAACAAAATTTAAAAATAAACAAGCAATTGGAAAATTAAAAAATAGAAAGGAGAAGAGCCGGTAAGTGTAAATCCAACTAATTCTGTTATTATTCTCTGAGTAAGAGAGAGAAAGAAAAGAGCAATGTTATTGGAAGCAATGTATTTCATGTAGGAATAATTTTAAAAAGTCAAAACTACAAAAACCCCAAATTAGACCAAGAAATAATAGCATATTAAGTAAAAAATATGCAAAAAATAATTGAGACTGCATATACTGTTTTCTTCAGGGTTCTTTGCCCTCCACTCTAGGTTCTTGAGCAAGTATTCGTTGTCCAGGTGTTGGAACACTAAAGAGAACACTCTTTAGTCTCCGAGAACCTGGAACCCACTGACAGAGGAGCTGATCCCATCCAGCTACCCAACACCACTGCTCTGATTTTAAACATGGGAACTATTTTTGTCTTTAGAGAAGTGTTGCAATGTTTGCTTTTTTACTTTTTTCAACAATTATTTTTGTCTCTTGAGAGCCATCCGAATAGAAATATAATATTCGAAGATAAATCTAACTGTGTGAGTCAAATTCTCCAAACCATTTCATGTATATCGGACAGAACAATAATCAAAAAATATTGCACCAAAAGATGGAGCAGAGGTGCTTTTTTGGTATCACTTAGGATACTAACTATGTGTGTGTAAGCACCAGATTTTAAGCACCAGATTTATTGTTTTTTCTCTCTCTCCACATTTTTTGGTGTGTCTCAAAGATACTGGTATGTCTTTTCTCTGAAATATTTATACAACTTGTCATAAATAAATTAACATTACCATTTTGGCCGATGTATTAGTTGACATGCCGGTAAAGGCTTACCCATATGATCCACTAAAAATCCACTATGAAGTTCTTTTGTGTTTTCTAGTAAATGAGCATTGAGAATTAGCAAATTTTTTTCTGGTCTTTTAAAATTATTTAACTCTGACGTCTATTTTTTTTATAGAAACCTGTTCACCTATTAACTAATCTATTAATCACCTTTTGCAAAAGAAAAGATGATGTCATTCTAGCCTTTTGATATATAAAGAAGATTCCCAGAAACAAGGAGTGAGTTTTAAGAAATACTAACAACACTTCAAGGAATGTGTGAATAACTCAGCCAATTACTTTAACACAAGAATGAAACTTAACAGGACAATAATTTTACCAAATGACACCTCCGTGACTTAAAAGTAATTATGTTTTCTAAGCCACCTAGATCATAACTTGTAAGTAGTACACAAAGTAGGTTAGAGCTAACAATGTGATAAATGCAAATGGTAGAAAAATCACATTTTTGGCCAGGCACGGTGACTCACGCCTGTAATCCCAACACTTTGGGAGGCCGAGGTGGGCGGATCACGAGGTCAAGAAATCGAGACCATCCTGGCCAACTTGGTGAAATCCCGTCTGTACTAAAAATACAAAAATTAGCCAGGTGTGGTGGCGGGCGCCTGTAGTCCCAGCTACTTGGGAGCCGGAGGCAGGAGAATCGTTTGAACCCAGGAGGCGGAGGTTGCAGTGAGCCAAGATGGTGCCACTGCACTCCAGCCTGGGCAACAGGCTCAAAAAAAAAAAAAAAATACATTTTTAACATCGAAGTTATCCTGTTTATACAAGTTGACACAAATAGCTTAAGACTTTTTCCCTTGGTTTCTTAACATCTACTAACTAATACCCAAGCATCATCAGGTACCATTCACATTTCTCTGAATAGAATACCTATTGATTTATATAAGTGTAAAATTAATGCTTGAAGTAACAAGAGAGGTTTCTGGTAAGCCAAGAGGAGACTTCAGTTATTAATATAAATACCTTGACAAGTCAGTTGCAAAGGCTGGTATTTGTTTCTTCTCCTCCAATGGTTTTGACCCCATCCCACCCTAGCCACTGAAATCCTAAAAACTCACAATTTCTAATAATTGCAAACCATGCATAATCTAATTTTTAGTTATCTAATTTCCATCTTCCATCTGCTGTTTCCAGCTTTCTTACTCCATGAGGACCTATCTATTGATCTCCTACAGTCCTTCAGTCCCCTTATGTCCTTAATTTCCCCAGTAACTAGCTTATACTGCAAGTTCATCATTGTAAAATCTTCCTTGTCAAATACTCAGCTCCTTTGACCCTCTATTTTCCTTAAACAAGCATGGTAAGATGCCAACCTTGATTTAATTCAGCTGTCTGCCTATTCCTCCACACTTGAGCCTGCATAGCATAATGTGGCTGGAGTAAAACGCATGCTGAGACTCACCTAAGTTTAGGTGAGCACTCAGAACCCCCAATAAACCTACTCCATTTTTCTAGAACAGGGTTGGTAATCTTTTTTCTGTAAATGACCAAACAGCAAAAATGTGAGTTTTTTCTTTTCTTTTAGAGATGGAGGTCTAACTATGTTGCTCAATCTGGTCTCAAACTCCTGGGCTCAAGTGATCCTCCTGCCTCAGCCTCCCAAGTAGTTGGGATTACAGGTGTGAGCCATTGCACTAGCTGGGATTATAGGTATGAGCTACTGCACATGGCCAAATCTGTGAAGTTTTATGTGCCATGAGGTTTCTGTTGCAACCACTTAACTCTACCTTCATAGTGCAAGAACAATAATAGAAATATGTAAATAAATGCCCATTACTTACATATTCTGTGTTCCAATAAAACTTTATTTACAAAAAACCCATGAGGGCCTAGATTTAGCCTGAGAGCCACAATTTGCTGGCTTACGGTCTGGAACATTCACTATTCTACATCCCCTGGTTGGTTACTATATCATAACTCTTATCAATCTTCCAACACTATTTCTATCCATAGAGTCAAAAATTGCTTCCTATTTTAGGGAGAAATTAGAAATAATCAGAAGTGCATTTCTGTAAATTTCCATTATTCATCTATCAACCTCTCTGCATCAACATGCATAATCCCTGCTTTTTCTCTTTTTATTGTGGATGAAGTCCCCATTTTTCTTAGGCCAAAGCATTTGGTGTCTTCTAGATCATAGGCTCCTCACCTCCTTGAGGGAAGGTTATCACTCCAAAATTTTTTTCTCTCTAATCTCTTCTGAATCAGCATTTTTCCCTTTCAAATGGTTTATCCCAATCTTAAAATAATCAAACAAGAATAAAAATTAAAACAAACACCTTCACTTAATTCTACATTGATCTACAGCAAGCCTATTTATTGCTTTCCTCTACAGCATATTTATGTAAAAGAGATGTATAATCATCTCCAGTTACTCTCCTATCATTTTATCTTAAATCCCATGTAATCAGCTCCTGTACTCAATACTCCATGGAAATTAGTCATGGCAGAGTAACAAATGCTTTCCAGATTGCTAAATCCAGTGCTTAGTTCTCGTTCATTTTGTATCATGTGATTTTGAGACCCTACTACAGTTATCTTCTAGACACTAGGATCTAGCAGTGAATGTAATAGGTAAAAATCTAGTGTAGTTTGTATTCTGATGCAGGGAGATAGATACTAATTAGATACATAAATAGAATATAAGGTATTTTTGAAGCGAGACATGCTATGGAGAATTATTAATCATGTGAGATACTCCAGGAATGTTGCAGGGTTGGGCTGGGGTGGTAAATTTTCAGGGGAGGCCTTCCTGAGAAGGTAACATTTTTGTTAAAACTTGAAAGAGTTGAGGAAGTAAGTCATGTAAGTTATATGGGGGAGAAACATTCCAGGCAAATGGGACAGTAAAGAAAAGGTTTTTACCTGAAATGACAGTTGAACCAGTGTGGATGAACGAAAGAAAAGTCATTAAATCAGGTAAAGAGGCCAAAAATGAGAGATCATTAGGCATGGTCTTGCAAGACATTGGATCCTTACTCAATTTGTGAGCAATATTTGATATAGTCAGTCATTCCCTCCTTTCTGCCATGCATTCTTCCCTTGGATTTCAGGAGGCCCTCCTGAAAACCCCCTCATGGTTTTCCTATCAACTCCCTGGCTGTGCCTTTCTAAATCTCCTTGCTCATTCTTGCTCAGCCATGTAATCTTTTAGCATTCTAATTCCTTGTCCTTAACTTTCTTAGTAAATAACGTCTAATCTCATGGTTGAAAATATCAATAAGCTAATGACTTCAAATTCATCTCTCCAGTCTAGAATCTTCCTCTGAACTAATCCAGACTCATTTATCCTAAGGATATTCAACATGTTTTTGAGGCCTCTCAGAGTTAACACATATCACACTGCAGACCTGCTGTTGTCTCAGTAAGCTGCACCTTCTACAGTCTTCTCCACCTCCATAAAAAACAAATCCATACTTTAACTTCCGCAGACCCAGATATGTGAATCATTCTTGATTGTCTTTGTTTCTCACATCCCCTATCAGCTATTTGAATATTCAAAAATATTCTCAGAATAAGTCCTTCATGATTTCCACTCCTCGAGACACAATTATCTTCTATCCTGATTGCTGGGGGCCTGTACTAACTGGTGTTCCTGCTTCCATTCTTTTTTTTCTTTTTGAGATGGAATCTTGCTCTGTCACCAGGCTGGAGTGCAGTGGCATGATCTCGGCTCACTGCAACCTCCGCCTCCTGGGCTAAAGTGATTCTCCTGCCTCAGCCTCCCAAGTAGCTGGGACTACAGGCACATGCCACCACAACTGGCTAATTTTTGTATTTTTAGTAGAGACAGGGTTTCACCATGTTGGCCAGGATGGTCTCGATCTCTTGACCTTGTGATCCACCAACCTCGGCCGCCGAAAGTGCTGGGATTACAGGCATGAGCCACCACTCCCAGCCCCCTGCTTCCATTCTTAAACCTCCTGTTTCAACCATCTTTTCTCAACTCAACAGCCAAAATAATCCTCTTAGAAAGTAAGGGAAATCAGATCACAGTTTTGTATGCAACCTCCTAAAACTCCCTGTCACATTCAGGAGTTAATGCAAAGTCTATACTATGGCTTACAAAACACAATTTTATCTTGCCACTCAATACCGTATACTTCTTCTAACCCATTTCCTCCCACCTTTCTAAATTTGCCCCAGCCATTGTTGTTTGTGTACGTCAGCAACTCTGCCCTTTCTGGGCCTTTGCACTTGCCATTCACTCTTCCTGGAATGCTTTTCCTCAAAATACCTGTGAGCCTCATCCTTTTTCTTGTTTGCTCGAAATGTCTCAGTTAGTTTTCCTGTACAACCTATCTATAGAATGGCTTATACCTTATATCTGCTCTTTTCTTTCTTTCTTTCTTTCTTTCTTTCTTTCTTTCTTTCTTTCTTTCTTTCTTTCTTTCTTTCTTCTTTCTTTCTTTCTTTCTTTCTTTCTTTCTTTCTTTCTTTCTTTCTTTCTTTCTCTCTCTCTCTTTCTCTCTCTCTCTCTCTCTTTCTTTCTTTCGTCTGTTTTTCTAGGCAGAGTCTTGCTCTGTCCCAGGCTGGAGTGCAGTGGGGTGGTCTCGGCTCACTGCAACCTCCACCTCCCGGAGCAGCTGGGACTACAGGGGTGTGCCACCGCACTCAGCTGATTTTTTTTGTATTTTTAGTAGAGACGAGGTTTTACCATGTTGACCAGGCTGGTCTGAAACTCCTGACCTCAGGCAATTCGCTCGCCTCGGCCTCCCAAAATGCTGGGATTACAGGAGTGAACTATTTTTCATAGAGAACTTTCTACCATTTGACCTACTATCTGCATTTACAAATTTATCTTTATTGTCTAGTTTCCTTCACTAAAATGTAAGTCCATGGAGATTTAGATTTATTCCCTATTACATGGCACATAGCAAGCAATAAATGTTTATTAAACTAGTTATCAATTAAAAGAGTTACATGACCACAGCATTGAAGTAAGTTTGCTTCTAAAATGCAGTGATAATTTATTAAAGACCAATTATAAAAAGAGTTCTAATATTTTTTTCTATTTTATGGCACTCTTACAGACATGAGCTCATTATTTTTGTTCTACATGTTTTAGAGAGAACAAGTGATATTTATCTTTTTCTAAATTTGAAGCACTGAAACCTGAAGTGTCTGTGATATGTATAATAAGACAGCCTTCTTTCCAATTTCATTTTTTTCTCCAATTTATTTCCATTCATTCTTCCTTCTGTGGTCCTAGGAGAAGTAATTATGGCACAAAGAATTTGTCTGGTATTGGCTTGGCTAGAACTAAAACATTAAGAACACATTTTTCTTCTACATTTTCTTACGTTTTCCAAAACACTGTTTTGTTGAATGCTATTTTAAGGTGAGAGATGAGGTTTCCGGAAAAAAATCAATACCACAGTTTGGTGAAACTTAAACTGGTCAGAAGACTTTTCACAACACTATTGGCACAGGGATTACAGGAGCAGCAGAAGAAGGGCAGTGGAGAGGAATCAGATTTCTGGGTTGATAATAAAAGAACATCACTAAATATTGAATTTCAGGCACTGAAAAGTTTCATCACCACCAATAAGGAAATCAGAATAGCCTCTGTGAATAGATAAGAGAGGCATCCAGAAAGTGAGATTTCATCTATTCAATTTAACTTAAAATCTCCATTATTAAAAAAATCAAACTAGTGTACTGGGAAAACAATGGGGCAGTTCTTTAAAATTCAGATTTTGGGGTGTGTGTGAGAAATATGTTTGTCTTGTGAGTTTTTTAGGAGGATTAAATGAGGTATTGTATTGCATGAGGATTAAATGAGATATTGTTATTGCATATAAATTGATGGTGCTGTAAATAGCAGCAATGCTAATCAATGGTGGGTATTTATTTTTAATAAAATAATACATCTGCCAAAGTATTAATACTATGATTTGATAACCAAATTGAGATTATGTGATGCTTCTCTATTGTCTCAATCATATTTCTTTGGGAATGGTGGGGAGTGCCTGTGTCTGAAAGATTAAAATATAGAGCACTTACGTTTCCCATAGGAGGGAATATGGTATTCACTGCGCTTAGATACTTCAGGACTAAATGGTTTGCAACGTCCTTCTCTGGGTTATTGCAGTGGATGTGTTCCTCCTTATGTCTGAGACCAGAACTTCTCTATTTGCATAGCTGCTCTCTTGCCTTTGTTAGTAATTTATACTTTTTAATAGTCTATAACTTCAAACTGCTTCTCTATAGGAATATACCATTCAGCTTTTGATTCTGCTCAAGTTGCCTGAACTTATGTAACAAAAACATGAGCAAAAATAAAACTCTCCCTTACCTCATTTCAACATATATCCACTTTTCTTTCACAGTCAAAATTATCAAAGGACTTGTCTGTTCTCTCTCTGTAGTTCTTTACTTCACCAATCTTAAATTGCTAAATCAAAGCTAAATTCTGATTTCCATTATCTCTCATTTGACCAAAATAACTATCACTAATAATTCACCACTGGCACCTATGTTGTCACATCCAATAGACGCTATTTGGTTTTCATCGTACTGTTGTTACATTTTGTTTTGGATTATTTGTTTAAATGTAATCCAGCTCACATTTTTTTTTTTGGCAATACAAATACAAGAGTTCAATAGGCTTCCACTCTGTGTCCTAGTAACAATATCGAAAGTTCTTCTAACATATTGTTCTAATGCTTCCTCACTTCCACGGCTTTCACTCCTAACAGCAGCCACCTTAAGAAGATCCGAAACAACTGTGTGGAAGATAAACTATAGTTGGATCTTTATCACCAGACTGAATATCGAAGGGATTTTATCAGGCACAACCCTTCCTCCACTTTTTCTGTTTGGAATCTATATGGCAACAGTCAGCTTTTTGAACTTAGTGAGACCCCACATTTCTAGACTCTCTTTTTAGTTCTTTGAAAACTAACTCATCTTTACTAATCTCAATTATTTCTTGTAATACCTACCCAAACCTGGCCAACAGGAGCCAAAACACACTATTAACATTTTTTTCAACTTCTTTCCCTAGGGCTATAGGTTTAGTAGGTTACAAAAGATGATAATTTTACCAAATATTTTAATCATGTACCCAAAAAGCCACCATTTTTAAAAAGTCTACAACAGTTTTCTTATTTTTGACCTCTCAAGATTGTGACTTCTTATTTTTTGACTGAAAGTGTGGTGCTTCTATAAAAAAGCAAAAGAACATGCAAATACACACACACTCTCACACACACACACACACACACACACACACACACACACATATGCATTTATGAGTATTATGTGAGTTCATTTGTATTTTGTTTTGCTTTTTTTTCAGAAGCACCACACTTTCACTATCAATTTCTCCATTAGGTAAGGTAAACTAATAGCTGTGAAAACAATCCTGAAGTCTCAGTGGCTTAGGCTTCTACCGTGCATTTCTGTTTCTCATTTACTTTGCAGCACACTAGGAATCATTAGAGGGAGCTCTGCCCCTTGCAGTCACTGAGGGCAGGCTGCTATCCCGTCACACTCAAGCCTCCACTCATCTTCCTCAGTCAGTAACCAGAAACAGAGGGGACTGGACTGTGCAGCAGTTATGAACCAGGCTTCTGCCCGGATTCTACAATTCAGCCGCATAGCTGCACCTAACTTCAGAAAACCCCAAGAAATGGAGGTAGCTGTGTTCCCAGAAAAAAAAAAAGGGGGGACAGTGATTTGTCAGTTAACCAGCCAGTGTGGGCCTCAATCTCTCTTCTCAACATCCCACTGGAAGCTTCACAGTTACTGAGGCAACTAAATGTGGAATCTCATCTCTGTTTTCTCCATATTCCCTATCTTAATAAGCAGCATCAATACATACCCACAGTACCAGCTGGAAGGGTTTTACTCAACAGTTTCTCTACAACACAAACGTATCTATTCAACGTTATTTTCTAAATATCTCCCAAAATCATCTATTACATGCCATCTCCACACAATCAATCAATTTCAAGACACCAATTTTCCCTTCCTGAATTTCTATAATAGCTTCTTCTTTGGTCTACATGCAGCTGTGTGACTTGCCTCACAAACCATTGTCTGCATTGCAGCCAGAGAGATTACAACATGAACAACATGTAATTGATCCTGTCCCTCCTCTGCTTAAAACTATTCAGTGCCTTTCCTTGTTTTTAGGAGGAAAATAAATTTTAATAACATACTTTATAAAGCTCTGCAGGATCTTGTCCCTACTGAGGCTCCAGCTGATTATCTACTGACTGTTAGAACTCCAGACACTGGGATCTTTTGATCTTCACATTCATCCTTCTTTTTTTAACCACTCGACTTTAAGATATTCTTAGTCTCTGCTTAGAATACTCCTCTCCTCTTCTTGTTCAATTCATTTCTATGGATCTTATAGATAGCAGTTTGAACTGTTTGTTCTCAGAGAAACAGTTCAGTTATTCTCTTACATCTGTGCTCAGGATGCTGTAATCCATCTTTAGAGCAATTGTCATTATAATTTAGTGATTTTGGGGAAATTGTGTTGTGTCTGTTTCCATCCAGGAAAGTGCAAGCCTGAAGAGACCACTATCTTATCCTCTGCCTTTTATTCCCAGCACATTGTAGTGTCAGACAGCAGGTTTTCAGTAAATATTTGCAGAATAGATTAATTTGTTGGGAATAGAAGAATTGTATAAATAACAATGCAGAGCAGTTTGTGGTATGGTAAAGCAATATTGGTTTTATTAAACTGAATTTGAGCTGTGATGTTTAAGATAAAATAAATATATTTTCTTAGGATAAGTTCAATCTACAGATTAAAGTAACATCACAAATCTCATGAAACACAGAAAGATGTGTTCGTTTTTATTAGTTTCTACTTATTAAATAATTATACTTTAATTGATGAAATTGGCTTGTGTAAATGAGGTGGTCTGTATTTGGTATTGTAGCTCTTATACAGAGGCAGTTTGGATGAAAATAATTGTATTTAATGTAATTCTCAGCACACTGGTAACTTTTGGGAAGGAAAAAAATCCAAAATCTAGCTTAATTGAAAGAAGTTTCTGTAATAATTTTTAGGGGTCTAGTTTGCATACGTTTAAACTTTTTAATTAAAGGGTAACATATATACAAAGAAGTACACGGGTCATAAGTATATGCTTCATGATTTTTCACAAACTTAATATATGAAGAACCAAAACATTCCCAGGACCTCAGAAGCCCCTCTTTTGCCCATTCAGTTATTAACTTAAAGGTAGCCACTATCCTGAAATTTACATCACAGACTCTATAAATGGAATTGTACATACACTTTGTGTCTGGCTTTATTTTTATGAGACTCATTCATACTGTTGCAAATATTCGTAGTAGATTTTTTTGCTCATTGAGGTGTAGATGTCCACTGTTGTTTATATTACAAGTTTTTTTTGTTTTGGTTTGCTTTGGATTTAATTCATTCCATTTGAGTTGCTTCTAGTTTTTAACTATTCTAAATAGTGCTGCTTTGAACATTTTTGTTGTCTTTTGATAAACATATATGTGTATCTCTCAATAGAAATGAATATATAAGAATATATAGAATATGAATATATATGTATATATGTATATTCATTTCTATTGAGTGTATATCTAGAATTAAATTGTTGGGTCATATATTATGGATATGTTGAATTTTAGCAGTACTGCCCACTAGTTGTTTAAAATGGTTGTACCAATTTACATTTGCACCAAGACTTTCATGATAGTCTAGTTATTCTACATATTTACCAATATTTAGTGTTGTCTGTCTGTCATTTTGACCATTCTAGTGGATGTGTACTGCTATGCTATCACAAAGGAATTTTGATTTTCATCTCCATTATAACTAATGAAATGGAGGTCACTTCACATGTTTGCTGGGTGTTTGAATATCCTTTTATGAAGTAACTATTTAGTCTTTCACTCACTTTTTTCCATTAGATTTTCTGCTTGTTTAAAATCAATTTTTAAGCACTGTGGATACAAGTTTTTTATGGAATATATACATTGCAAATATCTTCTCCCATTCTGTGGATTGCCTCCTCCCTTTTCCTAACGGTATGTTTTGATAGACAGATGTCCTTAGAATCAATCTCAACACATTATCCTTTTTAAGAAAATGTATGATTAACACATTGGAAATCTTTGAAATTTCTTTTTTTAAATAAGGACAACCAATTGTTCCAGAAACATTTCTGAAACCACATTTTTTATAGCTCTATAAAAATTTTAATATATGCCAATATGAATGCATCTTTTTTTCTACTTTTCAAGAATTCAGGACTATTCTTGGTCTTTTTTATGTCCACTAACATTTTATAATTAGCTTGTTGCTTTCTACCAGAAAAAATCCACTGGATTTCAAGGGGAGGTATGTCAAATATATTGATAATTTTAGAAACAATTGACATGTTTGAAACAGTGAGTTTTTAAATCTTGAATATGGTATAGTCTTGTCTTAATTTAGGACTTCTTTAATTTTCATTTGCAATATTTTATATTCTTCACTGAAAAAATCTTGAACATGTTCCATTACATGTTTCCTAGGTATTTAATATATATTAAATGCTTTTCTCAATATTTTTTAATTTTATTTTGCATTATGTTTTATAGAAACATGATTGATGTTTGAATATTGTCCTTGGACAAGTGATTTGCAAAAATATGCTTATTGATTCTCACATTCTGTTGACTTGCTCAGATTTTCTATGTACATAGTCATATCATCTGAGAATGCTGGGAGTTTTATTTCTTTCTTTATAATCCATGTGTCCTTAGTTTTATTTATTTACTTATTTATTTTTGCTTCACTGCACTTACTAAGATCTCTAGTTCAACACTAAGTTGAATTGAGGTTGGAAGCCATCCTTTTTTTGTTTCTAGAAACAAAGATGCAAAATTTCACCAATAAACATATTTTTGTGTAGTTTTTGGTAAACATATTTTAGCAGATTAAGGAAATCCATTCTATTCATACAGAGTTCTTCACAAATGTGTGTTAATGTTTATCAAATGCTTTTTCAGAGTCTTCGGAGATGACCATGTGGCATTTTTCTTCTTTGTTCACAAACAGAACTTCATTTATTGAGTTTTTGAAGGTTAAACCACTTTGCCTACTTGAATGAGCCCAACTTCATTATACATAAATAATGATTATGTATTATATATAATCTTTCCTTATATATAACTAGATTTAATTTACAAGAAGTTTATTAGAATTTTTCCATCATGTTGATGAGTGGTGATTGGCCTGCCATCTCTTTTTTCTTGTGACATTCTTGTTGGGCTATGATAGCCTTATGAATGGGCTGAGAAACACACCCTTGCCTCCTCTTCTACTCTCTGGAAGAGTTTGTACAGGACTGTGTTATTTTTTACTTAAAAGTTCAAAATAATTCATTAATAAAGCTCTCTGGTCCTGGGGTTGTCTTCTGGAAAAGTTTTAAAAAATGGATGGGATTTCTTTAAAAGGTAACTGTGTATTTACGTGTTAGTTGTGTTCTACAGAAGATATTTCTGATGTAGACTTAGGAATGTGAGAGTTAATCCATTCAGGAATTAATGCCTATGAAACATAAAATGGAGAAGAAACAAGATTGATGAGGGAGAGCCTTGAGGTCTTGATGCAAATATGACAGTCTCAGCCAACCTAATGGCTACTCCAATGAAAAATTGCCTCTTAGAAGAGTTCCACATTTGGAAGAAGAGTCTAGGCTCTACCCCTGTTGTGCTCACTTATTGACTGGGGCTGCCTGAGAAGAGTATGGTCTCATTCTCCAAGGTGAAATGGATACTTAAGTTGCTATCAGCTAGATTGCTTACTACATTACTTGCTGCCAAATGGCAAGGGTTTCCTTAATGCGAAATCAAAGCAGTACATCTCCATACTGCCAAAATTCATGTTTTGCTATCCCTTCTTCTGTCATTTCAGTAATGTATGTTTTTGGAGGAGTTTATATACATTAGCAAATATTTTTGTGTAATGTTTTTGTAATATCTCCTGTGGTTTTTTTTTTTTTTTTTTGCTTGTAGGTTCTACAAACATGAATCCTTTACATTCTGGTTTGGTTATTTGTGGTCTTTTCTTTTACTTTCTTGTTTAATTTTGCCAGTGATCTATCATTTATGCTAGTTGTTTTTAAAGATCCAGTATTTGACTTTGTTGATTTCCTTTATTGCACGTTGCTTTCTATTTCATTTATTTATGCTCTTATTTTTATTCATTCCTCCCTTCCACTTTGCGTTTAATTTGCTGTTCTTCGAATGGTTTCTTTGACCCAAATCTTTAACATTCAGTTCTTTTCTTTTCTATGAATTTTCCTTTGAACACTATTTCTGCAGCACCCTACCGGTTTTAATGTAGTGTATCTTTGTATCTTTCCATTTAAAATGTTGCTTAATACTCATTGTGATTTTTTATTTGAATAATGGTTTAAAAATGCAGTATTTAATTTCTAAGCAGTGGGGGACATTTATAATTACTTATTTTATTAATTTTTAGCTTAATTTAACCATGGTCAGTGAAAATACTCTGCATGATTTTCATCTTTGGAAATATGTTGAGACATTCTTTTGGCCCAACATATAATCAATATTGGTAAACGTTTCAAGTGAACTTGAAAAGATTGTAAATTATTTTGTTGTGGCAGCTATACCACTTTTCTTTTGGTTAAAGTTAGTATAGCACTATTTATACTCTATTCCTACCATCAAATTTCTGTTTGAGTTTTGATGAGTGTCTAAAGTAATCAACATATTTTTTCCAGTCTGACAATCTTAGTCTTTTACAAAAAATGTGTAATCAATTTAATTTCATGTGATATAGTTGGGTGTATATCTATAATCTACTGACTGTTTTCTATTAGCTCTTTGTTTTTTGTCTTCTTCCCTGTCATTTTCCCTTGGATTAATTCATTTTTAAAGAAATTTTCTGGTATTAACTTCTTAAGTACATATTTTTACTAGTTTTTCATTGTTATTTTAGTAACTATAATTTGCATCCTAGATTATCACAGTCGAATAAGAAAATTACTCTTAGTCCTTTCACAATCATGGTAGAAATTAAGGACACTTTAGCTTCCTTTACTGCTTTCCCACTTTTTAGTCTTAATCGTGCTCTTCATTCCTCTTCATAAGTCCGCATCACCAAGTATGTAATTCACTTCTTCCTACAGAACTACATTGAGTATTTATTTTCCTTTGACCTGCTTAGGAAATGTTCTCTCAGTTATTGTTTTACTGTAAACATCTTTATTTTTTACAGGATATTTTCATTGACTTACTCTATTTTACATTGTCATTTTAAAAATGTTATTCCATTTTCTTCTGGCTTTCATTGTTTTCTTGTGGTCTTCATTGTCACTTGTTTGAAATAAATGTGTTTATTCTTGCTGGTTTGGTTCAAGATTTTTTTCTCATTTATTTTCAGCATATTGACTATGATATAACACTGTATGTTCTTAAATTATATATATATATATTTTTGTTGTTGTGGTTTTCTTTTTTTTTTTTTTTTTTTTGAGACGTAGTCTCACACTGTCACCTGGGCTGGGGTGCAATGGCACTGTCTCGGCTCACTGCAACCTCTGCCTCCCGGGTTCAGGCGATTGATTCTCCTGCCTCAGCCTCCCGAGTATCTGGGATTACAGATGCCCGCCACCACTCCCAGCTAATTTTTTTGTATTTTTAGTAGAGATGGGGTTTCACTATGTTGTCCAGGCTGGTCTCGAACTCCTGATCTCGTGATCCGCCCGCCTTGGCCTCCCAAAGTGCTGAGATTACAGGTGTCAGCCACTGCACCCGGCCAAATTATATTTAAGTCTGATCAGTGTTTGCAAAGATTCCTGAATTAGTAAATTCATATACTGGCTTAAGTTTGGAAAATTCAGTTATCTTTTTGAATTTTTCTTAGTCCTATTTCCTCTTTTCTCTTTCTAGAACTTCAATTTTATACATTAAACTTTTCCACTGTGTCCCATGTATCTCGAAGGCTCTTATCTGTGCATATTTTCGATTCATGTCACTAAAATGTGGCCTGTAAAGATTTCAACTGAACAGGTGATGGTTTCAGTTCATCAACTTTAAGAAACCAAGCCTCTTTTTTTCAAAAAATTTTCACTTGTTTCTTTAGTCTCCTATAGAGCTCAGCATTGGAATTTAGTAACCAAACGTCATATATTCTCACTCATAAGTGGTACCTAAGCTATGAGGATGCAAAAGCATAAGAATGATACAATGGACTTTGAAGACTCAGGGGAAAGGATGAGAGTGGGGTGAAGGATAAAAGACTACAAATTGGCTTCAGTGCATACTGCTCAGGTGATGGGTGCATCAAAATCTCACAAATCACCACCAAAGAACTTACTCATGTAAACAAATACCACCTGCTCCCAAAAACCTATGGAAATACTTTTTTTTTTTAAAGAGGGGAGATCTAGCTTTGTACATGAGGAATTCAATTATCCAATTTTGTCTCTCCAGTTTTGCATAACAAACCAAAATTTGCACGTGTATTTATTATACAGCAATGGGCCTCTGCTTAGACCAAGCCATGCCTTCAGCCTTTTAACTGTGTTTAGAGTTAGCAAATTTCTTCAGTGAAAACACACTTACAGATTTTCAGGTCAAATTTAGAATGTTCTGCCTTCTCTAGAATTGTAATTCTCCTAATCATCACTGCTTTCACAGATCTCCAATGTCACTTTAAACATGATTATGCTATTCACGCAGTTATCATGTCTGTTCTCAGCAAGAACATTGATCTGCTATAAAAGATTTCATCTTCTCTTGTAATTAAATTCTTCTGGAAAGTGTCCATATGTGGGTGAACAAAAAAAAAGATTTACTTTTTTGTTCTTAAATTATTTGAAATTAAATTGTTCAGTGCAAAAATAATAGCAATATAGTTTACTGAATATATGTGTGTATGTACACAGATATGTATATCAACAGTAGGTTGTTATATATAACAAGATGAAATGTAAACTACATAATATTTTTGTAAGGTTTGTAAGGTTCTTACAATATACATAGAGGTGGTATTGTGTGAACTCAAGATAGACTGTAATACATTGAGTGTATGTATTTTAACTGACAGAGTAAGTAAATACAAAGAATACCTGGAAAAACAAGGTAAATTTACAAGAAATTACTAAAAATACTAAGCTCAAATAGAAAGAAGAGGCATAGTCTGAAGAGCTAGCGGACAAAAGGAAGTTAGATACATGATAATGATACAGGAGTTAAGAAGAAATTACTTAGGCAGATAGTTAGGGTAAGGAAGTCCTCAGTAAGGTTTTCCTTTTATTGAAAAGCAGCCCCAAATTATTTTTCTTTCTAACAAAGAGCAGCCTGTAAAATCGAACTGCAGACATAGATGCTGGCAGTTGCATGAGGCTCCATCTTCCCTTCTCTTTGTCAGCCACGGGTACAGTAAGGAACAGACAAGATGGCAGCCGGCCAAGGGGAAAGTTCATTTGCATAATAAGATTGGCGTGGGGAGGCCAGCCTTCCTGGCACTATGTAAAGGTCATACCTGATCGAACCAATCTTTGAGCTCTGTGTAAATCAGACACCACCTCCTTATGCCTGACCATGAAATCTGGCGCATCCCCCCAATGCGGGGGGAGCCTTTTCTTCTCGGAAGTCCCCTCTCTCACTAAAGAGAGAGCTGTCTTCCTTTTTCTTTCTTTCTCTCTCTTTGCCTATTAAGCCTCTACTCCTAAACTCCTTGTGTGTGCCCATGTCTTAAATTTTCTTGAAATGAGACGACAAACCTCAGGTATTTACCCCAGACAAGGTAGCCGCTTCAATAAGATGGTAGATTTAAGTCCAAGCTGATCAATATTTACATTAAAATAAAGGGACTCTCTGCCTGCCAGGTGCAGTGGCTCATGCCTGTAGTCCCAGCACTTTAAGAGGCTGAAGCAGCGGATTGCTGGAGCTCAGAAGTTTGGAGGCCAGCCTGGGCAACACAGTGGAAACCCCATCTCTACAAAAAATATAAAAATTAGCTGGACATGGTGGTATGCGCCTGTAGTTACAACTACTCAGGAAGCTGAGGTGGGAGAATGGCTTGAACCCGGGAGGTAGTGGTTGCAGTAAGCAGAGATTGGGCCGCTGAACTCCAGCCTAGGTGACAGAGCAAGACCCTGTCTCAAAAAAAAAAAAAAAAAAAAAAAGATAAAAAGTAGGAAAGGAATTCTCAATTCCAATTTAAAAACAGAAGTTGTTACACTAATGAAGAGCAAAACTCAGTTTTATCCTGCTTACAAGAGATGCAAAATGAAAACACACATAAGAAGGCTGATGCTACTATATTGATATCAGAACGGTAGACTTCAAACCAATAAATATTACCAGAGACACAGAGAAATATTTTCTAATGATAAGTCATTTTTAAAAGAACACTTTCAATGTGTAAATGTGTATGCATCTAATAACAGGTCTTCAGATAGATGAAACTATATTTATAAAACTAAAGAGAAAAATAGAAAAATTCACAAACACAGACAAATATTACAGCACACAGTTCTGAGTAGTGAATAGAAAAAGCAGAAAATAAATCACTGAGCCTAATGGAAGGTTACAATGCTATCAATTAAGTGGACTTAACTGACATTTATAAAACATAATAACTACACATTGAACAACACTATACTCATTTTAATTGCATGTGGAATATTTTCCTTGATAGATCAAATTCTGGAAATGAGTTAAGAAAGTATTCTCCCATGAATTCTGTTGAACATCATACCTCTTAGGGGTTCTCATTTATTGCAATATGGCAAGAAAAAGAAATACAACACACATGGATCAGCACAAAAATGAATAAAATGGTTTTATTTATATATGACATACTAACATAGAAAATCCTTATAAATATATGAAAATGCCCTACTATAACTAATAAGCAAGTTTAGCAATGTCATAAGTTAATGTTAAAATGTCTACTGCATTTCTATACACCTACTAGAGACGTTGGAAATAAAATTTAAATAATTATATCTTAGCATCACAAAATATAAAATACTTAAGAATACATTTAATAAAATGTGTTATTTCTTTAGTAAAACCTCAGAACATTGTAGGGAGAAAGTTAAAAAGGCCTACACAAATGAAGTCATATACCATGTTCAAGAACAAGATGGGTCAATGTTTTTAATAAGTCAATTTTCACAAAATTGATCTATAGATTGAAAAACAACTCATTCAAATTTCCAGCAGATTTTTGAGCAGAAAATTTGAAACTAGTTCTAAAATATATATAGAAATGCACTGGGCTTATAATTGTCATTACACTCTTGAAACAAAAAGTAAAGTTGGAACATTTACAGCACTTTATTTTAAGACTTATTGGAAAGCTCTAGTAATGGAAGCAACGTAATTTTGGATTAACTACAGACAAATATGGCAATTCAACAGGATAAAAGATATGATAATAGACTTAGACATGCACAGTCGAGGGACTATTGACAAAGGTTCCAAAGCAACCCAATGGAAAATATTTTTAGCAAATAGTTAAGAAACAACCAGATATCCACTGTAGGGGGTTGAGGGAAGAGTGAGGGGGATAAACATTGACTCTACTACCTCACATCATGCACAAAAATTAATGTAAAATGGATCATAGAACTAATTATCAATGCTAAAATTATTAAGCTTCTAGAAGGAAATACCTTAGTGGAATACTTTAGTAGAGGCAAAAATCTTTAGACATGTTGTAAAAGCCCAAACTCTAAAATGAGTCACTGATGAATTGGATTTTATCAAAATTAAAATTTTGATTTTATCAGCTTATCGAAATGTAAATAAATGAAAACAAAAGACACAGACTAGAAGAAAGTATTTGTGATACATATATTTGACAAATGGCAAAGGAAATATATCCAGAATGTATAATTTATTTAAATCAATAAGGAAAAGAAAATCCAATACAGTTGAAAAGAAACTTAACCAATAAGATGTGCAAATGGCTAATAGGCACCTGAAAAGTACTTAAAATCATTAATTATAAGATAAATTAAACATAAATCCACGATAGATGCTACTTGACATCATTAGAATACCTAAAACTTTAAAAAAGTGACAGCAGGATATGTTCAAGAAGTGGTGCAACTGGAATTCTCATACATTACTAATATAAATACAATTTGGTAATGCTCCATAAATCCTAGATTATAACAATTTAACTCCTAGATATTACTCAAGACAAACGAACTCACAGGTCCAAAGAAAGACTGTACAAGACTGTCCAGAGCATATTTAGTACCAGCAAAGAGGAAAGCAACCCCTGACTGTTGCAGCTTGGAGCTAGCTGGTCGGCGGTGTGAGATTGTCTCTAGCAGAATATAAACAATTTCAAAATACACCACATCAGAAACACGACCGTAATAGAACAAGGCCAAAGCAACTCCACTCCAGAATTATGTATGGGCAGAAACTGAAACAAGAAAATCACCCAAACCATAATCTATTTTGTCCCTCTCATTGCTAACTTAAGTGACCACTGATTTTTTGCCACTTGACCTTTAACACCACTTTGTCCTTTCTGCCTTTCAGGTAAACACCTTTAAGACATCCAGTCATAGAGTTTCCCTCACTTTTGGATAGCATTCAACCCAGAGAAAAGAATCTTTGGGCCTTGCCCCAAGTATTCCAGATCAATTGCAAATCTTATGACGAGCCTGTTATCATGGTATTCGTTATCAATTGCTGCCTGCCAAATTACCCAAACATATAGTGACTTAAAACTACTTTGTAATCTCAGCCTCAGTTGGTCAGCAATCTGAGTACAGCTAGTCTAGATTATCTAGATCATCTGGCTCCAGATCTGTAACATTGGAAGGATCTGCTTGGTAGCGCACTTACACAGTCGTTGGCAGGATTCAGTTACCTGTGGGCTGAGCACTGATATCCCTTTCTTCATAAACTGTTAACAAAACTTCCTGATACTCTGTATCTTTATTGGTGTAGTGGTTATATGAGTTCATACAGTTGTCAAAACTCATGAACCTGTACATGAGTCTATAAACTTAATTTTATGTACATTTTATATAATAATATGTCAATTTTAAAAGTCAGATTAAACAAAATCAAAGATAGAAGGAAAATGCATATTTTTGAGATCGTTTCTCTGGGTTCATATCCTAGTCCTGCCATTGTAATCTTGGATGCGTTTTAAATCACGTTTGTGTCAGTTTCCATATGTGTAAAACTGAAATTGGGATAAAATAGTTTCTACTTCAAAAAGTTTTGCAAGTAAATCCATTTTAAGTAACTGAGAGATGGTGAGACCATTATATTACTGTATGTCTGAAATAGTTAATTATGTCAGCAAAATTATTAGATTTGGGGATTAAAAAGAACTTTAGAGATAATGTTCTCATTTTTTATTTATGAATAAATAAATTCAGAAACATGACAATTATCTGAGACTATACTAATTTATTTCTCAAGCTCAAATGCCAAGTTTTTTAAAACTATGATTCAAATGAGTTGGGCGGGTCCCTGGAGTGGATGACCTCATACTATATTTTCTTTGCTTCTGGGATTTCCATAGGGACTGTGAGCTGAATATTTCATAGAAAACATGAGGCATAAAAAATTAAAGGCATAATAGAAATAAATATATTAAAGGATGATAGCTTTTTTCATTTATTAATAATTTTCACAAACATCTGCCCAGTTGATAATTTTAGCAATTTACTATTTTCCCATCTTTTTCCTGAAAAAGGAATCTATTTTTTATGTTAAAAATCACAATAATTGGCCTTCTATTGCAATCTTTGTAAAATCAGTGATTTTATTTTACTTTTTAGTTTATTTTTTGAGACAGAGTCTGGCTCTGTTGCCCAGGCTGGAGTGCAGTGGAGCGATAAATCAGTGATTTTAAAATGTCATGTTTAAAATGACAGAGTTTTTTACATAAAAAATAGAACTATTCAGTACTGAAGGAAAGTTTTTTTTGTTATTTGGTACTTTCAACAATAATATTCTGTAAGTTTATAATCACCACTGATAACTACCAATTGTGGCTGATTAATTTATAAGTGATTGTATGCCAAAGAGTATATTTTAATTTTTTTATAAATAGTATTGTTGGGAACAAGCCCTCCAAAATCTGGACATAAAGTGGCCCCAAAACTGGCCATAAACAAAATCTCTGCAGCACTGTGACATGTTCATGATGACCATAAAGCCCATGCTGGAAGGTTGTGGATTTACCGGAATGAGGACATGGAACACCTGGCCACCCAGGGCAGAAAACCGCTTAAAGGCGTTCTTAAGCCACAAACAATAGCATGAGCGATCTGTGCCTTAAGGACATGCTCCTGCTGCAGTTAACTAGCCCAACCTATTCCTTTAACTCAGTCCATTCCTTTGTTTCCCATAAGGGATACTTTTCGTTAATTTAATATCTATAGAAACAATGCTAATGACTGGCTTGCTGTTAATAAATATGTGGGTAAATCTCTGTTTGGGGCTCTCAGCTCTGAAGGCTGTGAGACCCCTGATTTCCCACTTCAAACCTTTATATTTCTGTGTGTGTGTCTTTAATTCCTCTAGCACCACTGGGTTAGGGTCTCCCCAACCGAGCTGGTCTCCACACAGTATCTTGTGTTTTAATTCCTAGAATCACAAAAGCTTTGGAAAAGTCTTATGTCTTGGATTGAAAACCCTTGTGTACTTAATGTCCTCATAATCTGAGATTTTTCAGAATAAACGTATAGTTTAAACTTTAAAACAAAGATTTCCAGCAATGAGTGAATTAAAATATAAATGACTTAACATTTGATCTGCCATTGTGAATATAAGCTAATTTTAAATGGAAGTTCATTTTTTTGACCTTATCTATTCTTCATACTTTAAGATGCCACTAAAGAATCCCTACTAGAACCCAGTGACAGAGTAGGTTTGTGAAACCTACTCTATTATTTGAAACAAGCTCATGATCTCTTTTGGTCATTTCACTACAATGGTTCAACTTCTTTGTGCAATAACATATGTGTGTTTCTACATTGTCATCATGTCCGATACTTTTATAATTCCTTTCAGTTTTAAAGTATTTATATAATTTTCATCACTTTTCTGCATAGTTATTATTTTGTATAACTTTGAGGAACCTGAGATTGGTGTCTTTAAATGACCTGCCATAGGGTTGTTTTGTAACTGATTGGCAAATGCCAGTCCGATGTACCAGGTTAATAGGCCATTTCGTTTTAGTGTGATTTTTGTCTCATTATTTTTAATTAAAATTGTAATTGAGAGAGTCCTTGCTGTGGCATCTTAGTTTGCTTTGGTGTACTTTGCAGCAGTTACTTGAGGAATGACAACCAACCAGAATGTCAAGCCGCCAGGGTAAATTCATGGTCTGATGTAAATTTTTATTTATCTCAGGATTGGTAAATAAGCTGCCCAAGAAAGTGAGTAGGTCTGTGGTTCATAACAGCAGAAATATTTGGAATTGTCTGCCTTTTGGTAAAGCTTTGTTTTGGCCAATGATGATAGCTGTGAGGGCGTATTTGTCTACTAGCTTTCTGAATATATGTTGTCTTACCTGTTTTACTTTTAAATGTTCATAGTTTGCTTGCTTGATAAGAGGTGGGATCTATCAAAAATATTGTTTAGTGTTCTGTATATCTTGATTTTGTTTTATTACTTTAAGGAAACATCTCTAATTAGATGAATTTGATTACAACTTTCAACTATATTAATGTTTTATGTTAATGAAAATTTTTATGAACAGGAGAGCATCTCCTACTGTGGGCCAATATATCTTATCTTGAAATTGTCCATGTAGCACTGTAAAATAATCCTGTAAAAATTCTGTAAATTTTCCCCCAATAATTGCATTTATTCTCTACTGTGATGATACCAATGGGCACAGCAGTGCTAGATAGAAGTTAAATTAAACTCTTGAATCACAGGAGTCTCTGAGAGACCCTGAATAGACTACCAATAATGTTAGGGTTTGTATTGAGTCAGTATGAAGAGATTGATTATAAGAGATCAGCTAACCAATCTTGTTTGATTGAATAAGCAATGAGCTAGGATGAATACGGCAAACAAATTGTGAAACCGTTTACCATGTTGCTCATCTATAAGAATGATGACAGTATCAACCTCAGAGTTTTAGTAAGGAGTAAATTTATATATCTATTATACATACATGTTAAAGGCTGGGGACAGTGGCTCACACCTGTAGCACAAGCAGTTTGCAAGGCTAAGGCGGGCGGATTGCTTGAGCCCAGGAGTTTGATACCAGCCTGGGCAACATGGTGAAACCCATCTTTACAAAAGTTACCTGGGCACAGTAGTGTGTGCCTGTAGTCCCAGCTACTCACAAGGCTGAGGTGAGAGGATCACCTGAGCCCAGGAAGCCAAGGCTGCAATGAGTCATGATCACACCACTACACTCCAGTATGGACAGCAGAGCAAGATCCTGTCTCACAAACAACAGAAAACAACAACAAAAAAGTGTTAGTTATGCAGTCATTTATTCACAAATATTTATTGAATATTTTATATGTACCAAGTACTGTTTCCAATGGTTTCAAATCACTATAGAAAGAGACTAAGATTATAGCCCTTTTGTAGATTGAATTCTAGCAGTGGATACAGATTATTGCCTTAATTTAGGCAAGAGCTGATATTCCTGACCAGTGTGATAACAATAAGGGGTAACATGAAAGGGCCAGATTTTGGATATATAGTCAAGTTAGAGCCAGGAGGATTTCCTGAAAAATTGAGAAAGCTTGGAAAGAAAGAGAGGAGGCAAAGTTCATTTCATATTCTTCGGATTGAGAAATGTAAAGGATGAGGTTATTATCAAATGAGGTACTAAAGGCTGCAAAAGACATAGCTATGGGAAGGAAGATCAAGATTTCAGTACTGGACATATATTGAAGATGCCTATTAGATATCTAATGGAAGTTTTTGAATAGATAGTTGCACATAAAATGTGGCAGGTCTGAACTGAAGGTAAAAAAAATGGTGTTATTGATATTTAAAAAGTGCTATTTAAAACAATGAGACTGAATGGCTTCCCTAGAGGAATGAGGGTAAAGAGAGAAGTAGATCAAACATTGATATCCTGGACACTCCAACATTAAATAGACAGGGTAAAGCTTTAGTGTTGAGTAAAGTGGAGTAAACACACTCTACCAAGTCTCACCTGATGAATGCAGCTATAAAACCTGAAAAGAATGCAAGGAATGGTGATTTGAGGACACTGAAAATTAAATACTAAAAGGCTGACTATGGAGGGAGAAGAGAATTTGAAATATCCCTGAGTTAGTGATGAGTTTACCATTTTTTTCCATCCATTACCTCTGGCCTCAACTCAATGCAACCCAAAATTTGGGAGTGGCATCAGAGTAGAAAGATATAATGCTCCTGGAGAAACGCTCTCATTCTTGCTTTAGAAGAATTAAATAAATCTTCTAACACTCACAGTGGGGATATATCCTGTTTATTTTATTTTCTCTGTGATCTCATTTCCAGCTTCCTAGCAATACTGTTTCAATGATGGAGTTAGTAACAGCAATGACAAAGGCATTATTTGTTCAGAGTACTAGAACTGTTGTCTTAAGAGGATGGCCTGAGCCGCTATTGCATTTTTAAAAAACTTTCTGCCCTCTTGCTGCTCAGCACCAATGCTGGTGCCCTGATCTTGGACTTTTCAGCCCCCAGAACTGTGAAAAATAAATTTCTATTAATTGTAAATCACCTAGTATGTGGTATATTGTTATGGTAGCACAAACATACCATGAAAATATTAATTTTTGTGTAGAATATAGAGTCTTAAAACAATATTTGTCTTCAGAGAATTGTATAAAATTGAATGATCATTTTCTTAATAAAACATCACTCTATAAATTCCAGGTTAATCTTTTTTATGATGAACTTCTCGGAAATAGTTTCCATCCAGATAACAATATATTCCATGATTAAATTATATATATATATGCCTCATAACACGCCAGATTTTACAAGAATACTCTTTCTTACCATGATCTTTCCTAATAAATTCAGTTACCATAATTCCCAAAGGCTTTCTGTATATGTTCAAAGATCCAAACCGGAGTAAGGTGCTAATCAATTGCTAATCAAATTCAGAAGATTTTATTTTCTACTAGAATCTAAAATATCAGCTGTTTTATAACATCAGGGTAACTAGACTGACCTTGAATATGTATGCACATAGCTCTCTCTGAAAATAGAAATTGCAAAGGTATTATTAAAAAAGAAATTAAGAAATAAGCCTGAAGTTCAAGAGGTGGAGAAAGAGAATAAAGTAAAATGTAATTTATGCAATTCCATGTGCTAAAGGTGAGAGTCTTCCAAAATCTAACTTCTACAGCTTTAGGCATCATTACTTCAAACAGAATCAGTAGCCACTGAACTCCAAAACACAGAGTTAGAAGAATACAAGAGGCTGGTGGGATAGTGCTTAATGTCTTGTCTGAGCTTTCATGCCTTTAATAAACTATTTTGAATTGCTTTTCCCTCCACTTCATTCATTTATCTAGATTCGCCTGTTCATTTTCTCATACTTTTTTTCTTTTTCTTTCCTTTGATTCTCAGAAAGCAAAATGCCTGGAAGGCAAAGGAATACGTCTCAGCATTAGCGTGACAAAGGAAGAACTATAACCCCTTGGATAAATTTTTAGATAAATTCAAGATATAATAAAGTCAAGAAAACAGTAGAAGTATCATAGATGCTGATAATAAACTTTGTTATACTTGTCTCTCTATTTCTACCAGGTGGGGATTGGTTCCAGAATGCCCATAGATATAATTTTAAATTTACTGATGGTTAAATTAAGGTAATTCTGGAACAAGCAGGTGAGAGTGTCTGATATGAAATTCTAAACAAGGACATAAAACTTATAGTTGTCGGTAAACTATAAATGCCATTAAAAATTTAATTTATTATTAAAATCACTAATTTTCAAAGTGCTTACTTTTTAAAAAGATTGTAAGTAGTGTGTAACATTTTTATGCATATGTTCCTATTTCTAGGGATCATCTTTTTAATAGTCTAATATTTGATGCTTGTTTTTTAATTAAAATCAACCTAACTGTAGAATGTGCATATAGACCAAAAAAAAAAAGTTTTTAAATTAATTCAGGGAGGAGCCAAGATGGCCGTATAGGAACAGCTCCGGTCTACAGCTCCCAGCGTGAGTGAAACAGAAGACAGGTGATTTCTGCATTTCCATCTGAGACACTGCTGCTGATACCCAGGCAAACAGGGTCTGGAGTGGACCTCTAGCAAACTCCAACAAACCTGCAGCTGAGGGTCCTGTCTGTTAGAAGGAAAACTAACAAACAGAAAGGACATCCACACCAAAAACCCATCTGTACATCACCATCATCAAAGACCAAAAGTAGATAAAACCACAAAGATGGGGAAAAAACAGAGCAGAAAAACTCGAAACTCTAAAAAGCAGAGCTCCTCTCCTCCTCCAAAGGAATGCAGTTCCTCACCAGCAACGGAACAAAGCTGGACGGAGAATGACTTTGACGAGCTGAGAGAAGAAGTCTTCAGAGGATCAAACAACTCCGAGCTACAGGAGGAAATTCAAACCAAAGGCAAAGAAGTTGAAAACTTTGAAAAAAATTTAGACGAATGTATAACTAGAATAACCAATACAGAGAAGTGCTTAAAGGAGCTGATGGAGCTGAAAGCCAAGGCTCAAGAACTACATGAAGAATGCAGAAGCCTCAGGAGCCGACGCGATCAACTGGAAGACAGGGTATCAGTGATGGAAGATGAAATGAACGAAATGAAGTGAGAAGGGAAGTTTAGAGAAAAAAAGAATAAAAAGAAATGAACAAAGCCTCCAAGAAATATGGTACTATGTGAAAAGACCAAATCTACGTCTGATTGGTGTACCTGAAAGTGACGGGGAGAATGGAACCAAGTTGGAAAACACTCTGCAGGTTATTATCTAGGAGAACTTCCCCAATCTAGCAAGGCAGGCCAACATTCAAATTCAGGAAATACAGAGAACGCCACAAAGTTACTCCTCGAGAAGAGCAACTCCAAGACACATAATTGTCAGATTCACCAAAGTTGAAATGAAGGAAAAAATGTTAAGGGCAGCCAGAGAGAAAGGTCGGGTTACCCAAAAAGGGAAGCCCATCAGACCAACAGCTGGTCTCTCGGCAGAAACTCTGCAAGCCAGAAGAGAGTGGAGGCCAATATTCAACATTCTTAAAGAAGAGAATTTTCAACCCAGAATTTCGTATCCAGCCAAACTAAGCTTCATAAATGAAGGAGAAATAAAATACTTTACAGACAAGCAAATGCTGAGAGATTTTGTCACCACCAGGCCTGCCCTAAAAGAGCTCCTGAAGGAAGCACTAAACATGGAAAGGAACAACCGGTACTAGCCGCTGCAAAATTATGCCAAAATGTAAAGACCATCGAGGCTAAGAAGAAACTGCATCAACTAACGAGCAAAATAACCAGCTAACATCATAATGACAGGATCAAATTCACACATAACAATATTAACTTTAAATGTAAATGGACTAAATGCTCCAATTAAAAGACACAGACTGGCAAATTGGATAAAGAGTCAAGACCCATCAGTGTGCTGTATTCAGGAAACCCATCTCACGTGCAGAGACACACATAGGCTCAAAATAAAAGGATGGAGGAAGATCTACCAAGCAAATGGAAAGCAAAAAAAATGCAGGGGTTGCAATCCTAGTCTCTGATAAAACACACTTTAAACCAACAAAGATCAAAAGAGACAAAGAAGGCCATTACATAATGGTAAAGGGATCAATTCAACAAGAAGAGCTAACTATCCTAAATATATATGCACCCAATACAGGAGCACCCAGATTCATAAAGCGAGTCCTTAGAGACCTGCAAAGAGACTTAGACTCCCACACAATAATAATGGGAGATTTTAACACCCCACTGTCAACATTAGACAGATCAATGAGACAGAAAGTTAACAAGGATATCCAGGACTTGAACTCAGCTCTGCACCAAGCAGACCTAATAGACATCTACAGAACCCTCCACCTCAAATCAACAGAATATACATTCTTCTTAGCAGCACATCGCACTTATTCCAAAACTGACCACATAGTTGGAAGTAAAGCTCTCCTCAGCAAATGTAAAAGAACAGAAATCACAACAAACTGTCTCTCAGACCACAGTGCAATCAAATTAGAACTCAAGATTAAGAAACTCACTCAAAACCGCACAACTACATGGAAACTGAACAACCCGCTCCTGAATGACTATTGGGTGCATAACAAAACGAAGTCAGAAATAAAGATGTTCTTTGAAAACAATGAGAACAAAGACACAAAATACCAGAATCTCTGGGACACATTCAAAGCAGTGTGTAGAGGGAAATTTATAGCACTAAATGCCCACAAGAGAAAGCAGGAAAGATCTAAAATTGATATGCTAACATCACAATTAAAAGAACTAGAGAAGCAAGAGCAAACACATTCAAAAGCTAGTAGAAGGCAAGAAATAACTAAGATCAGAGCAGAACTGAACGAAATAGAGACGAAAAAAAAACCTTCAAAAAATCAATGAATCCAGGAGCTGGTTTTTTGAAAAGATCGACAAAATTGATAGACCACTAGCAAGACTAATAAAGAAGAAAAGAGAGAAGAATCAAATAGATGCAATAAAAAATGATAAAGGACATATCACCATCTATCCCACAGTAATACAAACTACCATCAGAGAATACTATAAACACCTCTATGCAAATAAACTAGAAAATCTAGAAGAAATTGATAAATTCCTCGACACATACACCCTCCCAAGACTAAACCAGGAAGAAGTTGAATCCCTAAATAGATCAATAACAGGCTCTGAAATTGAGGCAATAATTAAGAGCCTACCAACCAAAAAACGTCCAGGACCAGATGGATTCACAGTCGAATTCTACCAGAGGTACAAAGAGGAGCTGGTACCATTCCTTCTGAAACTATTCCAATCAATAGAAAAAGAGGGAATCCTCCCTAACTCATTTTATGAGGCCAGCATCATCCTGATACCAAAGCTGGGCAGAGACACAACCAAAAAAGAGAATTTTAGACCAATATCCCTGATGAACATCAATGCAAAAATCCTCAACAAAATACTGGCAAACCGAATCCAGCAGCTCATCAAAAATCTTATCCACCAAGATAAAGTTGGCTTCATCCCTGGGGTGCAAGGCTGGTTCAACGTATGCAAATCAATAAATGTAATCCATCACATAAACAGAACCAAAGACAAAAACCACATGATTATCTCAATAGATGCAGAAAAGGCCTTTGACAAAATTCAACATCCCTTCATGCTAAAAACTCTTAATAAACTAGGTATTGATGGAACGTTTCTCAAAATAATAAGAGCTATTCATGACAAACCCACAGCCAGTATCATACTGAATGGGCAAAAACTGGAAGCATTCCCTTTGAAAACGGGCACAAGACGGCGATGGCCTCTCTCACCACTCCTATTCAACATAGCGTTGGAAGTTCTGGAGAGGGCAATCAGACAAGATAAAGAAATAAAGAGTATTCAATTAGGAAATGAGGAAGTCAAATTGTCCCTGTTTGCAGATGACATGATTATAAATTTAGAAAACCCCATTGTCTCAATCCAAAATCTCCTTAAGCAGATAAGCAACTTCAGCAAAGTTTCAGGGTACAAAATCAATGTGCAAAAATCACAAGCATTCCTATACACCAATATCAGACAAACAGAGAGGCAAATCATGAGTGAACTCCCATTCACAATTGCTACAAAGAGAATAAAATACCTAAGAATCCAAGTTACAATGGATGTGAAGGACCTCTTCAAGGAGAGCAACAAACCACTGCTCAACGAAATAAAAGAGGACACAAACAAATGGAAGAACATTCCATGCTCATGGACAGGAAGAATCAATATCATGAAAATGGCCATACTGCCCAAGGTAATTTATAGATTCAATGCCATCCCCATCAAGCTACCAATGACTTTCTTCACAGAATTGGAAAAAAACTACTTTAAAGTTCATATGGAACCAAAAAAGAGCCTGAATTGCCAAGACAATCCTAAGCAAAAGCAAAAAAGCTGGAGGCATCATGTTACCTGACTTCAAACTATACTATAAGGCTACAGTAACCAAAACAGCATAGTACTGGTACCAAAACAGAGATATAGACCAATGAAACAGAACAGAGCCCTCAGAAATAACACCACACATCTACAACCATCTGATCTTTGACAAACCTGACAAAAACAAGATATGGGGAAATGATTCCCTATTTAATAAATGGTGCCGGGAAAACTGGCTAGCCATATGTAGAAAGCTGAAACTGGATCCCTTCCTTACACCTTACACAAAAATTAATTCAAGATGGATTAAAGACTTCAGTGTTAGACCTAAAACCATAAAAACCCTAGAAGAAAACCTAGGAAATACCATTCAGGACATAGGCATGGGCAAGGACTTCATGACTAAAACCCCAAAAGCAATGGCAACAAAAGCCAAAATTGGCAAATGGGATCTAAATAAACTAAAGAGCTTCTGCACAGAAAAAGAAACTACCATCAAAGTGAACAGGCAACCTACAGAATGGGAGAAAATTTTTGCAATCTAGCCATCTGACAGAGGGCTAATATCCAGAATCTACAAAGAACTGAAATAAATTTACAAGAAAAAATCAAACAACCCCATAAAAACGTGGGCAAAGGATATGAACAGACACTTTTCAAAAGAAGACATTCATGCAGCCAACAGACACATGAAAAATGCTCATCATCACTGGTCATCAGAGAAATGCAAATCAAAACCACAATGAGATACCATCTCACACCACTTAAAATGGAGATCATTAAAAAATCAGGAAACAACAGGTGCTGGAGAGGATGTGGAGAAATAGGAACACTTTTACACTATTGGTGAGACTGTAAACTATTTCAACCTTTGTGGAAAACAGTGTGGTGTTTCCTCAAGGATCTGGAACTAGAAATACCATTTGACCCAGCCATCCCATTACTGGGTATATACCCAAAGGAATATAAATCATGCTACTTTAAAGACACATGCACACATATGTTTATTGAGGCACTATTCACAATAGCAAAGACTTGGAACCAACACAAATGTCCATCAGTGATAAACTGGATTAAGAAAATGTGGCACATATACACCATGGTATACTGTGCAGCCATAAAAAATGATGAGTTCATGTCCTTTGTAGCGACATGCATGAAGCTGGAAACCATCATTCTGAGCAAGCTATTGCAAGAACAGAAAACTAAACACTGCATGTTATCATTCTGAGCAAACTATTGCAAGGACAGAAAACCAAACACCATGTATTCTCACTCATAGGTGGGAATTGAACAATGAGAACACTTGGACAAGGGGCAGGGAACATCACACACCAGGGCCTGTCATGGGGTGGGGGGGATGGGGGAGTAATAGCATTAGGAGGAAAACCTAATGTAAATGATAAGTTAATGGGTGCAGCAAACCAACACCGCACATGTATACATATGTAACAAACCTGCACGTTGTGCACATGTACCCTAGAACTTAAAGTATAATAAAAAAATTTTTTTAAAAACTAGTTACAGATCTGTTACCCTATGAAGGTCTTATCCTTCTCTTGAGCTTTCTAGATACATATACCAGTACTCTACCTGTAAAATAGTCATTGCCAAAAGCTGACAAGACCAACTAAATTTTTTGTTAACAAGAATCCCAATGGACCTGACACTTACATCAGTGTTATTGTCTAGGGCTAGAATAATTAAAACATGCTTGTCATAAAATAATAAGAAGAAACAAAAACACCGTAACCACCAAGCTACAACAAATATGCTAATTTAAAGACAAAGAAAGCACATCACAGTGTAAATTGATCCACTTGAGATGCACCTATTTAGCTAACAAGAAATGGAATATGAAGAGGACGTCTGTCATTTTGTGTGGATGGTATAGTACCAATCTCTTTACAACTGAGTCAAAGGACATTAGACATCTGAACTCAACTTCAGTTGAAGCAGAAAATAAAATTGTACTTTTGCAGGTATATTGTATTTAATGTATTTTAAATTGATGGTAATAACCGCCTTTGGTAAAATGATTCGAAAAAATGGCTACAATTATAAACATTCATAGTAATTAACAAGCTAGAATTAACACTGGAAAAACTGTGATCTACAAGAAGTAAACAGCTAGAGATCAAAAACTAATGAAATCTTTTTCAGAAATCTTCACCAATTGTGTTTTAAAGGACATTTATATAGAACTAAACATCTTGCACTTTAAATATTGCCAGTGAAAATTTTAATCACTAATACTTACATTTCTGTAAGTACAATATACTTACAAGATCTGTAAATACAATAAAAATGGTTCAAAAAATCAAAAATATTTTTTCTTTTCATATTTATTTCCAATGACAAAAAGTGGATATATTTACAAAATAAAACAAGATGTTTTAATATATATACACATTGTGGATTGGTTAAATCAAGTTAACTAACATAAGTATTACCTACTTATCATTTTTGGTATAAAATACATTGTTCTTAACTATAATTATGTTTTACAATAGATCTCTTGAATTTATTCCTCCTGTCAAAATGAAAATTTATATTCTTTGACTAACGTCTTTCCAAGTCTCCCACCTTTGCGCCTGGTAAAGACCATTCTACTCTATGCTTCTGAGTTCATGTTTTATAGAATCCACATACAAAGGAGATCATTTACCTTTCTGTGCCTGGCTTATTTCACTAAACCTAATGTCCTGCAGGTTCATTTGTGTTGTTGCAAATGACAGGCTTCCTTCATTTTTAAGTCTGATTACTATTGCATTGTGTATGTACAATACAATTTCTTTATCCGTTCATCTGTTTATGAACATAGATTGATTCTGTATCTTGCCTATTTTGAATAAAGCTGCAATGAACATGGGAGTGTAGGTATCTCTTTGACAAATTGATTTTTTTCTTTTGGATATATACTCAGAGGAGGAATTACTAAATCATATGGTAATTCTATTTTTAATTTTTTGAGGAGTCTTCAAGCTGATTTTCATAAAGGTTGTACAAATTTACATTCCCACCAACATTATAGCAAGATTCCCTTTTCTTTACATCCTTGTCAACACTTATCTATTATCTTTTTGATAATAGCTATTCTCACAGGTGTCCAATGGTATCTCATTGAAGTTTTAATTGGCATTTCCCTGATGACTGGTGATGCTGAGCATTTTTTTTTCTTATATTTGTTGGCCATTTATATGTTTTCTTTTGAGAAATGTCAATTTCTGTACCTAAATATTTATATCTTTTTTCCAGATTTGTAAGGTTTTCAATTATTGTCTCTTTAAATAAGCCTTCTGTCACTCTTTTTCCTCTTTCTTCTACTTCTTTAACTCCCGTTATGTGAAAGCTAGCACTCTTGTTGCAATCCCATAGATCCTGGGGGCTTTCCTTATTCATTTTTATTCTTATTTCTCTTTTCTGTATATTTTCAAGGAAACTGTCTTCAACTTTACAGATTCACCATTTAATTAATTCTTCTGCTCATGTTCTCTTTTACATTTTTTACTGCATTCATTGCATTTTTCAGATTCAGCTTTTCTAGTCCTTTTTGTTGTAATTTCAAACTCTGTGACATTTCTTATTTTGTTTATTTATGTTTTTTTCTGGTTTCATTGAGTTTTTTCTCTGTATTTTCTTGAAGTTTGCTGAGCTTCTTTAAAACAATTATTTGAATTTTTTGCCAGGCGTTCTGTAAATTTCCCTTTCTTTGAGATCAGCTTCTTGAAAATTATTGTGTCGGCTGGGTGCGGTGGCTCATGCCTGTAATCCCAGAACTCTGAGAGGCCAAGGCAGGCGGATCACTTGAGGCCAGGAGTTCAAGACCAGCCTGGCCAATATGGTGAAACTCTGTCTCTACTAAAAATACAAAAATTAACCAGGCTGGTGGCTTGCATCTGTAATCACAGCTTCTTAGGAGGTTTAGGCAGGAGAATCATTTGAACCTGAGAGGCAGAGGTTGCAGTGAGCTGAGATCACGCCACTGCACTCCAGTGACAGAGCGAGACTGCATCTCAAAAAAAAAAAAAGAAAGAAAAGAAAGAAAATTATTGTGTTGTTTTGGTGATATGTCTGCCTGGTTTTCATGTTTCCAGTTGGTTTATATTGATGTCTGTGCAGTTGGTGATGCAATCATCTCTTCTAGATGTCACAGGATGATTTTGATGGCAAAGAGCCTGCTATAGGAGTATGTGAAAGTGCAACAGTATGATGTTTATTCAGCTCTGTCAACTAAGGTCAGTGTGATGAAGATTGCAGGGATCCTCAGAGGCCAACATTTTAGATATTTGCAGCAGTGGTAATCATTGGTAATGGCTGTTAGGGTCCTTCCAATGTCTATTTCTTTCACTGGGAAAGTCAATGTCAAGGGCATCCTTCTTGACACCAGTGGTAACTTGGGAGCTTGTTTGCAGTGACAGTAACACTGGCATCTGACAGTTGCCATCTGTGGAGCAGCCACCAAGCCAAATCCTGAATCCTAGGCACACATGTAAGGACTTCAGCTCTGGAATCTGGAGTAGCTATGGCTCCAGTGCCTGGGACACAGCCATCTTCTCTACTGCATTGGTAATCGTGCAAGGTGCTTGAGCTTGTGAAACAACCAGAAAGCCAAGGACAGGAGCACAGGCATGAGAAGAGCTCCACTGGCTCTGGGATTGAGTGTGTAGCTGAGCTCTCTTTGGCAGCTGAATTGGCATCTAGAGCACAGATATGTATAGAAAAACTTTGAATCCCAGGCCAAGGATGTGAACTAGCTTGCTATGGCAGTGGCTCCTGTGTATGAGGCATAAATGTGAGCTGTGGAGCCACAGAGAGGTGTCTGAAGTGTGGACACTTGCAGAGCAGCTGTGGCTCAGGTCTCACAGACAGGTGTAGGAAGAGGTAGCTCTAGTCCTGGAGCATCACAACAGCAGCTGATTATTAGGGCAGGGGGTGCGGCTGCATCTCCTCTCTGTGTTTCCTGACAGGAATGACTGTTGGTTACCTCAGTGGCAAAAGATGCTCGTGTCATCCATGGACCAGGCAGCTGCACTCCATGGCTGTTCCCCCTGCATAAACTAGTACTGATAGCATCCACTTTTTTTCTTAGTCCTCGATCTCAGTTATTCTAGCTAGTCCTAGCTTAGTCCTAGCTTAGTCCTAGCTTAGTCCTAGCATCTCAGTTATTCTGTTATCACCAAAAATCCATTCTGTGTAGATGTTCTGTTTTTTGCTCCACTTTGTTGCTGCAGATTTTTATTTTATTTTATAATAGAAACAAATTTATTTCTTGCAATTCTAGAGGCTGGGAAATTGGATGTGGCACTGGCATCTGGTGAAGGCCTTCTTGCACAGTCCTAACATGGTGGAAGGCATCACATGGTGAGAAAACAAGTGTGTGCTAGCTCAGGTCTCTTCCTCTTCGTGTAAGGCTACCAGTCCCATCCTGGTGATCCCAACCTGATAACCTTATCTAATCCCAATTACCTCCCAAAGGCCCCACCTCCAAATACAATCAACATATGCATTTGGGGATTAGGTTTCCTACACATGAAATATGGGGACACATTCAAACCATAACATCCCCCTCTCTTTTTTTTCCTCATGACATTGACTTCTTGAAGAATCCAGCAAAGTTGTCTTCTTCTGATGTTGGTAACTTTTATCCATCCATTTAATTTAACACATTCAATTAAATCAATGTATTTGTATTAGGCTGTTCTTGCATTGCTATAAGGAAATACCTGAGGCTGGGTAATTTACAAAGAAAAGAGGTTTAATTGGCCCACAGTTCTGCAACCTGTAAAAGAATGGCACCGCTATCTTCTCAGCTTCTGAGAAGGCCTCAGGGAGCCTTTACTCATGGCAAAAGGTGAAGCAGGAACAGATACATCAAAGGGGCAATGAGGAGGTGTATTGCGGGATCTGGCCAGCAGCCCTCAATACAACGGAGCTCTCTCTTTGTTCCTAGGCAGATCAGCAGGTTGAGAAATAATAGACACACACAAGATAGTGAAAGCTGGGTCCAGGGGGGGTCATCGCCTTCTGGTCCTGTGGTGCTAACAATGCACTGGATATATCAGCATTTATTATTAAGTTTAGTGAGGGCAGGGGTAGGTTAGTGAGAGATTTAGGGTCATTTGATGATGAAGTGAGATGGTCACTTGGGGATAAAGTAATTCTTTAACATAACATTTGTATGTAGAAGTACAGTACATTTGTATGTAGAAGTACAGTATACAGAGATAAGAATTTACAATATAGTGTGTGCGTCAGTAATTTCTAACAGAGCCTTAAAACAGAAACACAATCTTTCCATAGCCTATGATTAGCAAGATATTAATCAGCAGTAACAGTTGCAGCAAAAGCTGGTTACAAACAATCCATAGAAACAGGACGTGAAGCTAGACAACAGGTTAGACCAGAAATTCTCAGAAGGGAGTATGCCTTAACCCTAAAGAGGCCTAGAAGAGCCGTGGCAAGATGAGGGTGTTTATAGCCCTATCTTATCCATATGGACAGGCACCCCCCATGCGTCCGTTTATAGGCTCTCCACAAGGGTCACATTCCATTCCTAGAGCTATAAACATCTGCTTTTCTGGGATAGGAATCTTGGTGATGTGAAACCTCCCTGACTGCACATCCGTTCATAGGCTCTCTGCAGGAGGAAGCACATCACGCACTGTTGGCTCGTTCTGGCAGTCCAACCTGGCATTGTCTTTACACAATCCTGCATGCAATCTTGTATTTACAATAATCAGGAGAATTTCATCTTTTATTCTGTAGCAATAGTTTCAGGGCATCTCCCTACAGAGGTGGGGTGTCACACACTTTTAAACAACCATATCCCATGAGAAGTCAGTTACTATTGAGAAGACAGCATCATGCCATGAGAGATCCACCCCCATAACCCAAATGCCTCCCAGTTAGAATATAAATAGAAACACTAATTATTTTGTTTTCAGGTTTTTTCATAACAGAAACAGTTATCTAAGGAAATATAATTATTAAACATTGTTTGAAACAGAAAAAAGTAAAGATAGCCTAATTTGCTATATTATGTCAAATATAAGACCATGTGTTATTTTAAAAACTGTATGGCTGGGCACAGTGGCTGACACCTGCAACCCCAACACTTTAGGAGGGCAAGGCAGGAGGACTGCCCAAGCCCAGGAGTTTGAGACCATTGCTGCATATTTTTAAATGGGTTCTTTGGCTCGCCCAGGACTATTTTGTTTGTGGTTAGATGTCTTTATTTGTTTTATTGTGGGGGATAGAATATGCTATGTCTTACTCTTCCATATTGGTGACTTCATTACTCTCCCAAAAATAATTCTTAATAATTGTAACTAAAGACATATGTGAAAAACCAATCATAGCCCTCTACTTATTAGAAATGAATGGGCTGCCTGAATCTTCAGAGAAGCCATTTTTTTCTTCTTTAGATGGAGCAGAGAGCAGACCCAGTGAAGGTCTGATTAATGTTTCTTCTTACTCCTACATGGACAGAAATTGATGGAACAACAAAGTTATTTAAAAGTGATGTTTCCAAAGTGATATTTTAAGCCTATTCATAATACAGATAAACAAGAGTGAAGAAAGAGCTTTCTGTTGATCTGTTTGTTCAGAAAATTTGGGAAGGTTGTTATAGAGGGCAATAAATCATGTGCCAAATCAATTACCATTTATGAAGTCCAGTGTTCATAATGTATTTCATTATTATTGGTCTAAAAGAGAAACACGTTATCTATTGTGTGTGTGTGTGTGTGTGTGTGTGTGTGTGTGTGTGTGTGTGAAGAAAGGAAAAACATAGCTTTACCTAACATGAAAATATACAATAGTTTTTCATATTTGGCACTGCTGATTTTAAAGCATTGTTATGTATATGGAACAATGAATTTTAAGACGTATACAATTCAGTTCTTAATGGATTTGTATATATGTTTAAATAATCAATTCAATCAAGTTTACACTTTATGGAGAGTCAGTATTGTGGTAAGAATGTAATCTGGAGCCAGATTTTCTGGGCTAATTGCCTTAGATAAACGTGCAGCAATGTTTCCAACTGTGTAACAGAGACCTTATGAGAATTAAGAGTTAATACATGAGTCATGCTCAAAACAGTGGTTAACACACATAAGTGTTGTCTATTGTCATTATTACTATGACTAGTATTACCACCAATATATGTAAAGCACTGAATACCGTGAACACAAAGTCATGGTATTACAAATGGAGTGATTCTGCAGTGCTAAGATAAGTTCATCACCCTCTTTTAAAAAATATGGTTTTGGAGGTATTTATATATGGGTATATTTTCCTAGGTAGTGCCTTTAAGCCACAAAAAATAGCACATTTATTTAGAGGTTTAGAATAAATTTATGGAAAAAATAAAAATACAAGTAAATATACCTCAATGAGATGAAATTTTTACTGAATGAGACATGTACGGGGGTTGAGGAAGCAACAGTCAGTGCAGCTCCAGAAAACTTCATGGAGTGGGAAAAATCTGTGCTTAACTTTGCTAGAGCAGCTAGAGCAGCCTTTAAAAGAATGAATCATAGTTAAATACCAGTAAGGAGGGAAAGGAAGAAAGCTTCTGGTAAGAGGAATGACTTAATGTACAAACGAAATGATGAGAAGAATGCTAAAGTCTATTTTTCAGATTAATATCTGTGTAGTGTGAGGCTAGATTTCAATACATTTTAAGATCTGATATAAAGCATGTTTACTTTGTCCTAACCAAAATAGATGAGAATCTAATATTTCTAAATAGGAGATATCATAATGAAAATGCCTCTGAAACAAGGTCAGTTAGGCAGTAACATCTGATTCCTGTTGCAGAGTATTGAAAATGGAGAGACATGACCAGTAAATATGATAGTCTAAGATGTGACCGATAAAGATGATAGTCTAATAATCACTGCATGAGGTAAAATATGATTTGCTTATTTGGGTATTTTCCAAGGAAATTGTGTATAGAAAAGCAGAAGAGTAAGGTTTAGTAAAGTTGTATAGTGAATAAACTTTGACCTTTAGGAGCTGAACTTGCACACTTGGTATGCACATCTGATTTTTGCTCTTTTCATAAAGTGTGTGGAGAAAAATATAAATAGCAGGTCTTTAAATAAACGCAATTATAAAACAGGGCAATTTACACTTTATCAAATTTTGAGGTCTTATATAGATAAAACTTTTTCATATTTATTTCTCTGTATAGCTTAATCGACTTGTATTTATGTATTTCATCTAATAATTTAGAAATGATTAAAGATTTTTGGATAAAGCAAGACAATTGCATATTGACATGTTCAATAAGCCAATGATAACTACAATATTGATTTCCAGTGAAGGCAGGCATGTCTTTCACCAGGGAGGCACAAAGGAAAAATAAAATCATTTTTCCATGTATATAATTGTGTATGACACCATCCTCTTGTACTCTAATGGGAAGCAGAGCTCAGTCTTGTTTTATATCCATACTTTCTTCTTCTCTCATCTTCCTAACAAAATAGAATATAAGTTATTCTAGGTCAGAAAAGTAGAGGTGGTTTTTCCTTCTTTTCTAATTAGATAGTTCATGATCAGATGAGCCAGATATTTGACGCATCTATAGTAAGTCCTCATTTAGTGTTGTTGATAGGTTCTTGGAAACTCTGACTTTAAGCAAAATGATGTGCTGTATGCCATAGCAACTTAACTCTTGTTTATATCAATTAGCCTATCGTAAAATTGGTTTCATTTCACAGTATATCGTTTCACTTAAATTTGCAGTTTTCAAGAAACTATCAATGACATCAGGTGAGGACTTACTACATTTCAAATGAAATGCCATTTTGAATCACTTCATGCTTATTCCTGAATACATAATTTATACAATATAGCAGACATTTCCCTGATAATCAAGAAAATGTGGCTATATTATTTGAGGCATTTCAGATATCAAAATTTTGAGAAAGATGCCCTCACTACTAGCATATATGTTTTATTAGCTTTATTTTGTCTCTCATTTTTCTATCTTTTTTCAGTAGCTATTTTATATTAATAAATGTTAATGTTTCATGATTAAAATCTAAAATATATATGAACAAGAAAATACAAAGTATCTACTGACATGTATAAAATGATTATAAAATGACAATTTTGAAATAAAAAGATAATTTAAAAATATATTATCAGCACAGCGTACTTTAATGAACATAGATAAAAACAAATGAAATAATAACATCATTTTCAAGCCTCCTGATTCATATATTTAAATGTGTAGTCTATTCAAGACAGATGCTTATTCCAATTTTCACAGCTTTATTGAATTCATTTTTAATTAGTCATCCTGCTGACTCCCCCAGGCCTCAATTTAGTCTACAAATTTGTGGATTGTTAGTTTTGAGCCAATTTGATTTTTTTTTTTGGTTATTTATTTTAGGAAGAATTATCTCTGCAGCAATTTTCTTCTACCTGCTATGAGCAGAGATTCCTTAGCTCTTATATTTTAACTAGGTATTTATTTCAATCAATTTTCTCTTCTTAAGATATTTATATATGAAGTGTGTGTGTGTGTGTGTGTGTGTGTGTGTACCTACAGACTGGAAGAAAATACTTACAAATAATATATCTGTAAAGGACTTGTATTCAGAATATCTAATAAATTCTTATAACTTGTTAATAGGAAGCCAAAACCCATAAAATGGACAAAAGATTTGTGTAGACATTCAGTAAAGATCTATGAGTGGCTTAAAGGCTTATGAAAAAGTTTTCAACATTATTAGTCATTAGGGAAATGTAAATTTAAACCAGAAAGAAATACCACTATATGTACAAGGAAAACTATTGTAAAATAAAGACAATACTGACTTTTGATGAAGATGTGAAAAAGCAAGGTATTACATGTTGCTTGTGGAAATGTAATATGTTGTAGACAATTTCAGAAATAGTGTGCTTGTTTTTATAAAAATTTGAACATAAATTTTCCATGTGACCTAAGAGAAATAAAAACATATAACCACACAAAGATATGTACTTGGTGATTATAGAGAGATTTTACATAAGAGCCAAAACCTGAAAATAATCCATTGTTTATCAACTGGTAAATGGATAACCAAAACTTGGCACAGCCATATAATGAAATACCACATAGAACAACTAGAGAAAAAATTATTAAAGAAATAGGTATTCTTAAAACCTCTGTCATGCAGTATGACCAAATGTATACTTGAAACAATACACCTAACAGAGGCAGAAAACTCATGGCACATGGTACATGCTCAGTGTGAGATCATGTACAGCATTAAGAAACAACTCTAAATACTTAAAAAAAGAAATCACACTTACTATATTGATTGATAACAATAAAATTAATGTTTAAATACATAATAATAATATATTATGAGATGCAATAATTTGTAAACTAAACAACTTCTAAATAATCCATGCATAAAGAAGTAATCACAATATAAGTTACTGAATATTTCAAACTAAAGGATACAGAAAAAAAGGAACAGAATAAGTTTATCATTTCAAACAGCAGGAAAATGGGTAAAAACCTAGGTGGATCAATCAAGAAAAAACTAAGTGAATGGAAATGATCAATATCAAGAACAGCAGAGAGATTATTCCTGTAAATTCTGTAGACATATAATAGCTCAAAAAATAGTATAAACATGTTTATGACACCTTTATGATAACTTAAGTATAATTAATAAATTTTTAAAAAAACACATTAACAAAGTGACACAAGATGAAACAGAAAATACAAATAGTTCTATATTGGCTTCATTGTCAACAACCTTTCTACAGAGAAACTCAGCACAATATTGTTTCACTGGTGAATTTCGTAAAACAAAAATCTGGTTTGGTATCTACACAAACTAGTTCTGGAAATACAGATGGAAACTGTATACACACTGGAAACAAAAAGGAGTTTTTTAAAAGGTAGAAATTTTCTTAAATGTTTTTAAAGCCTAAAACATATTAGCAGAAATTAATGCTTTTGAAGAGGTAGTCAGTAAACTCAAGTGAGGAAAGAATAACTGACCTTGAAGACAAGTCTATAGTAACTTCTCAGCTGTAACACAAAAAGAAAAAAAAAAGATAAAGAAATAAACATTCAAGAACACTCAGGAATTGTGGAACAATATCAAAAGAGTAACATATATGTAATGGGAATACTAGAGGGAAAGAAACTAGAAAGTAATAATGACCAAAATTGAGGACACGAAATTAATCCACAGATCAGGATGCTCAGAAAACACCAACTATGGTAAAGATTAAACACACACACACACACACACACACACACACACACACACACCACATAAAAACATTGTACTAAAACTGTGGAGGGGAAAAAAAGACAAATAGAAAGTCTGGAAGGAAGCTGCTGGATGAGAGGCACTTACAGAACCCTTAGGATAAGAATGACAGCCAATTCTTTACTGAAATAATGGAAACAAGAAGATAATAGAGACAAATCTTTAAAGTATTGAAAAATAAATCCTACCAATCTAGAATTTCATGTCTACATATTATACTTTAGAAATGAATGATAAATAATGTCATTCTTAAGCCCAAACTGAGGATATTTATTGGCAACAGACCTCCCATGCAGGAAACACTTAAAGTTTTTCAGGAGGAAGGAGAATGGGATAAGTCAGAATCCTGAATTTCCATGAAAAAGAATATCAAAGAAAGAATGATTTAAAGTAAAGTAAAAATCTCTTTTTATTTTTCTTAATTGAGTTAATATCTGTTTGCTTAAAGCAATGATAACAATATATTGGATGATTATAGAATATGGATAACTAAGGTAATGAAAACAATATCAGAAGAGAACAATCCTAAATTGTTATTTAGGATTAACAATTGTTAATTGTTAATCCTAAATAAATGGAAAGGTATTCTATGTTCATGAATCAGAAGACAGAAGGGACAATATGAAACACACTACTATATGATCTCTACATTATGTGTTATTTCAAGATGAACTAAGATTATTTAACAACATGTAATGCAAACCAAGTTTCATCAAAAGAATGTAAAAAAAAAAGTATAACTGATATACCAAATAAAATGGAATCACATAAAATTCCTAATTAAAAACCAGACAAGGTAGAAAAGAGCTGGAAAACAAGTAACAAAGAACAAGTTTAATGAATAGAAAAATATTATAAATAAGTGTAGTACATTGCAATCCAACTATATCAATAATCACTTTGAATATGAGTGTTCTAACAATTATAGTTATAGTCAGACTGGATAAAAATACAAGCCCCAACTATATCTGTCAGCAATAAACCCACTTTAAATATAAAAATTCTTACAGTTTCAAGTTAAAAGCATGGAGAAAGTTACCATGCTAACGATAAGCAAAAGAAAGCTGTAACAAATGTATTTTAGATAAAGTAACATTTTGAAGAAAGAAAATTATCATGGATAAAGAGGTCCACTGCATAATGATAAAGAAGTCAGTTCTCCAAAAATAATACAATTCTAGCTTGTATGTACCTAACAACAAAGCTTCAAACTACTTGAGGCTAAAGCTGATGAAAATGAAATTTGAAAGTGACAAATCCATAATCATAATTGTAGAACTTAATATCCCTTCCCCTGTCTCACATCCGTAATTGATAGGTAAAGCAGGCAGAAAACCAACAAGGATATAGATACCTGAAAATAAATAATCCATTTGATCTAAATAACATCTATAGAACATCCCATCCCAAAACAGTAGTATACATATTTCTCAATTTTTCGTTGATATTCACCAAGGTAGATCACAATTAAGTGCCATAAAATACATCTGAAAAAATTTAAAAGAAGAGAAATCATGCAACATATTTTTCTCTGGATGCAATGGAATTAATCTTGAAAAGAATAATAAAAAAATGACTAGAAATATCCAAATAGTTGGAAAGTAATCAACACACTTCCAAATAACACATGAGTCAAAGAAGCCTCAAGAGAAATTTAAAAATATTTTGAACTAAATGAGAATGAAAATAACATGAGAATTTGGTTGATGTAGCAAGAGCAGTACCTATGAGGGAAATTTATACCAGTAAGTGCACATATAAAAAAGAAAATAAAGTAAAATTAATGACTTAAAAACTTAAATTAGAATTAATTACTTAATTCAATTAATAACTTCCTAAATTCTACCTTAGAAAAGTGCAGAAGTAATAGCATATTAAAGTTAAATTAACCATAAAAATAATACAAAATATAGCAGAAATAAAAGGAATTCAAATTTTTAAAAATAGAAAAAATTATGAAAACCCAAAACTGATTTTTCAAAAAAAAATTAATAATATTAAGAAACTTCTAGTCAGGCTAATTGGGAAAAAAATGGAAAGGACACAAATTGACAACATCAGTCATGAAAGAGGTTTCATTAGTGCTGATTCAACAGACACTAAAAGGATAACAAAGGAATACTTTGAAAAACTATATGCCATGAATTTTATTACTTAGATCGTACAAATTTCACAGAAGACACAAACTGCTAAACTTGCTTAAGAAAAAAATGTATAACTGGAATAGTTCCATATCTATAAAAGCTATACAATTCAGAGTTAAACACTTCTAAAAATAAAACACAATCACAGGTAGTTTTAATAGGGGAATTCATTACAAAAATGCAGACTGATTAAACATATGTAAACCAGTCTTTGTAGTTCAGAATAACTGCATGGCTATTTCTGTAAATGTAGAAAAAATAGACAATATTAGCATCCTTTAAAAATACAAAATTCTCAAAAATATAAGAACAAAAGAAAAACAAGTAAATTCCTTAATGTAATAAATGGTATATATGAAAAATTTATAGCTACCACTATATTTAATGGTTAAAGATGAAATACTTTCTCTCTAACATCATGAACTGGGCAAAATATCCTCTTCTGAGATCCTTCTTCAACATTATATTGGACATCTTAGCTTGTGCAATAAGCCAGGCCAATAAGATATAAGGTCTATATATTGGAAGGAAAAAAATAAATCTGTGAATTTGCAGATGACATGATGTCTATGTAATTACCTTCAAAGTATCCTAAAAAATCCTAGAACTAGTAAGCCAGCATAACTAGGTCATATGAAACAATATTAATTTATAAAAGTTAATTTTTTATTTATATATCAACAATGTAAAAGTGGAGTTGTTTAATGCAATTTTAAATTTTATAAAAACTGGAAGTACTTGGGCAAAAATCTTCCAAAATATGTACAAGTGTACAGGATTTATATATGGAAAGATATAAAACACTGATTGAAAAAATTAAAGACCTAAATAAATGGAAAGTTATTCTATGTTCATGAATCAGAAGACTTATTATTAAGAAGTTAATTTGTCAGAGTGATCTGTAGATTCAGTACAATCACAGTCAAAATCTCAATAAGGTTTTTAGAGATACTGACATCCTGGTTCTTAGCTGGATACAGAAGCAAAGAACCTGAAATAGCCAACACAATTCTGAAAAAGAACAAAAATAGAAGACCCACATGACCCAATTTTCCGATTATCATAAAGCTACTTTAGTCAAGACAGAAGGATTCTGGTGAGAGAATAAATACATTGATCAGTGAAATCGAATAGAGAGATCAGAAAGAGAGATGAATCCATATAAATATATTCAACCAATTTTGACAAAGGCAAAATGACACTTTGATGGAGAATGGCTAAAATTTTTGCTGGAACAATTGGATGTCTATATGAAAAGAATCTAAAATAAATTCTTATACAATCATCTCAAAATGAGTCATAGACATCAATGTAAAATGAAAAATTATAACACTTTTTGGTGAAAACATGGGAAAAAATCTACAGAAGATGGGACTGGTAATGAATTCTTAGATTCAATACAAAAAATATAATCTATGAATAGAAACATTGTTAAACTTTAAATTAAAACATTTTTGTTCTAAGACCGTATTATTAAGAAATACAAGTTTCAAACTGTAAAAACTTTTGTAAATCAAGTATTTGGTAAAAGACTGATTATGAAGCTATACAAAGAGCTCTTACAACTCAGTAATAAGAAAGAAAAACCCCAATTAGAAAGAAAACATAGATCCAAACAGATGACACCTCACCAAAGAAGATAAATGAACTATAAATAAAATATGAAAAAAATGCATATATTTGTTACTGGGGAAATGAAAATTAAAAACAATAAATGAGAAACCACTATACAATTGTTAAACTGGCTAAAACCTCAAAACTATAAAATCCAAATTGTGCAGAGAATGCAGAGCAAGAACTCTTTTTCATTGCTGCTATGAATGCAAAATAGTCCAACCATTTTCAAAGACAGTTTGGCACTTTCTTATAAAGCTAGATATAGTCTTACTACGAGATCCAGAAATCTTTCTATGTATTTATACAGTGGAATTGTAAACATGTCTACACAAAACCTGCATAAAAATGTTTGGATCAGCGCTCAACTGCCCACCCCTTAACTTTGGGACATACACAGTCTTATTTCCAATGGTGACAGTATGGAAATGAGGAAGGGAGAGTCACATTACAGTAGAGAAATCTGAGAAAGACTACCTAAGCCAAGTGACAAAGGCTAGCCTCATCATAGATATGTCATGTTGACATCATGCACCCTAGACATGGTGTGATAAAAACGGTACTTTACTTCTGTCATTTTCCTCCTTCATACTCAAAACTCTGTTTAACCTCAAAAAGAAAACCCCCAATTAGAGAAACTTTTACAAAACACCTGAGCAACATTCCTCAATTATATCAAGGCCATCAAAAGTCAGGAAAGCCTGCAAAATAGTCACAGCCAAGAAGAGCCTAAGAAGACACGACCACCTGTAATGTGGTCTCCCAGATGGGACTCTACTACAGAAAAAGAACTGTGGGGAAAAAAAAGAAATCTGTACAAAGTATGGACTTTATACCTCACCAAAACTGTTTTAAAATAATTTTTTAAATGTTATTGAACTTAGAGCCAACATGATACATAAATTGGAGAGGTAATATACACTGCTTGCCTGCATTTAAATCAAGATGATTTAAAAATAACTAAGGGAATTGTGTTTTATGCTACATTTCTTTCCCAAGTCAATATTTCCTATTATTTCAAAATACTGGTGCTATTAATTAATGATGAGCAAGCTGTTTTTACATATTTAATCTGTTTCCTGTGCACTCTGTAGTATAGTTTCCTATCTATCTATAATTAGATGACTTTCGTTTTGTACAGTAATTTTCCTGACTCAACTTTTTACTTAGATTGTTAGTTTTATTTCGTAAACCTCTCATTTTATATTAAAAATATGCTATGGACTAAAACAGATACATCTCCACCTACCATAATTAAACATATATTTGGGTACTGAATTTTAGAAGTATATTTCAGAAGGCATGACTTGTTTCCACACCCAAATAAGGAAAAAAGCTAATGTAGTTAAGGTTGGCTGAGAAGTACATAGGAAAAGGTTTCTGAAGGTCTTGTTTTTGAAACTTACATTTTTTGTTACCTAATTCTTTCTGTGTTTTATATTATTAAAAATTGCATGTAAATAAAATATGTATACTTTGTGTTGCTTCCCCTTTTTAACCCCTCTGCAAGAATAAATTCTATCCTCAGTTTTAACAGCATAGATTACTTTCACCTGTTTTTTGCTTTATATAAGTGGAATAATGTAATATGTATGTACTATTTTGTAGCTGATTTATTTCATTCATTTTTTGGTAAGTTTATCCATGTTGTAGCAAACATTTGTAGAACATTCTTTCTTATTCCTTTATACTATTTCAGCATGTGAATATGCTGTAAGTTATTGATCTAGGCTAACACTGATGAGCATTTATATGGTGGGTGCCAGCTTTCAGCTACCATGATGCATATTTCTATGAACATATTAGTTCATGTCCCTCAGTAAAAATATGGAGGCACTTATGTCTAGCCTATAACTCAGATTGCAATTCATCAGAATACATGACATGCTCCTGTTTAGCAGACAGATCAAAGCAATTATCCAATGTTTTTCGACCAATTTCCACAACTAACACCAATATAATAGAGTTCTAATTAATCCATATCCTTGCTAACCTTTGATACATTCCAAAATTTTAATTTTAGCCATACTGTTTGGAAAATATTATCAAATTGCAGATTAAATTTCCATTTCTCTGATAATTAAAAAGTTGATTGCCGGCCGGGCGCGGTGGCTCACGCCTGTAATCCCAGCACTTTGGGAGGCCGAGGCGGGCGGATCACGAGGTCAGGAGATCGAGACCATCCCGGCTAAAACGGTGAAACCCCGTCTCTACTAAAAATACAAAAAATTAGCCGGGCGTGGGGGTGGGCGCCTGTAGTCCCAGCTACTCGGGAGGCTGAGGCAGGAGAATGGCGTGAACCCGGGAGGCGGAGCTTGCAGTGAGCCGAGATCCCGCCACTGCACTCCAGCCTGGGCGACAGAGCGAGACTCCGTCTCAAAAAAAAAAAAAAAAAAAAAAAAGTTGATTGCCTTTTCATATTCCCATGGGCCACTAGATACTCTCTTTGGAGAAATGACAGATTTCTTTGTCCAATTTTCTGTAGGTTTGTCTTTCTCTAACCTTAATATTTTGAAGGAGTTGTCTTAGTCAGTTCAGGGCTGCTATTGCAAAATACCATAAACTGAGTGGTTTATAAACAATCGAAGTATATCTCTCTCAGTTCTGGAGGCTGAGAAATTGAGGATCAGGACACTGGCAGATTTAGTGCCTGGTGCAGGCCCAAGTCCTGGTTCGTATATATCCAACTCCTAGCTGTGTCCTATGTAGCAGAAGGAAGTCAGGGAAATCTCCAGGGTCTCTTTCTTAAGGCCCCCAGTCTCATGAGGATTCCACCCTCATGACCTAATCATCTCCCAAAGGCCATGTCTCCTAATACCATCACATTTAGGATTAGGGTTTCAGTATATTAATTTGGGGAGAACACAAACATTCATTCTACAGCAAGTCCTATATATTTCGCACTGTATATGAATCTTTTCCCATAGATACATTTTGCAAATATATTCTCCAAATAAATAAAGGATTTGTGTTTTCATTCTTTTAATGGTGTTTTTGGAAGAGTAGACACTCTTATTTTTAATGTCTTATATATCAAATATTTTTAACTTATTCAATTTTTAAAGTAAGTTTGCTGATTCTGTGGTCACAAGTCATCGGTCTGTGTTTTCCTTTAATAGATCTATTGATATCTCTTTGACATTGACATCTTAAATCAATCTGAAATTGGCTTTAGGGTACAGTTTGAGGTAGTGATAAAGATACATCATTTTTACATGGGTATCAATGGACCCAACAAAAGCTACTGAAAAGGTGATTTGGCCTCTCTATTCTACTTCACTGCTTAGTATCTATTTTAATTTCCACAGCTTTATAATAGGCTTGAATATCTGATAGTGTTTTTCTTCTCCTTCAAAATACCACATTTTTCTTTTTCTTCAAAATGCCATGGGGATGGAAGTTTCAGAGTAACTATATGAAGAGCTTGACAGACCCTTTTCTCCACACAACAACAATTCAAATGATGAAAAATTTAAAAATGTTTAATGTTGCTGACGATTGTCCTAAGATCATACAACAATTGGAGAAATATTTACCGGAACAAATCTTCTAAATCTTGGTAGAAGAGAAAAAAATCTGTGGCACTTGACCTTTATCCATGATACTGTCTATATTCTGTACAGATGAGACCAGGAAAAAGAGGGTTCACTCAACCCCAAGCTCTGAGGCTAGTGCGATGGATTCACCCGAATAAGAACAAATATCAGACTTACCTAATTCCATCTCCAGCTTCCTGTCATAAAAACTATATTTTGTGTTACCATGAACCAGGTCAACCACCCAGCTTCCACTCATAGGGTGAGAGTTCTTCCCCAGGCACAACACGCCTAGATTACTGAGTCCTCTGTTTTCCTTGCCCCAGTGTGCTTATAGATCAGAGGTTCTATGCCAGGAGGAGCAAGCCAAGAAGACCACGGTCTACTGTCTTCATTCCATACCCTCTTGTAGAAAGGAGATATCACTCCAGTAGAGTGGTTCACTGTTCCCAGTTCCAACTCCTGTATAGTGTCACAGATGTTCTACTCAGAAGGACCAAGAGGTCTTAGCTCTGACTGAGGAGACTGACCTTATTTACTAGAAAATGCAGAAGTTCATGAATAAGGACATTGTTGAAAATAGTGGAGGTTCCATTCACAATAGCAAAGACTTGGAACCAATCCAAATGTCCAACAATGATAGACTGGATTAAGAAAATGTGGCACATATACACCATGGAATACTATGCAGCCATAAAAATGATGGGTTCATGTCCTTTGTGGGGACATGGATGAAATTGGAAATCATCATTCTCAGTAAACTATCACAAGGACAAAAAACCAAACACCGCATGTTCTCACTCATAGGTGGGAATTGAACAATGAGAACACATGGACACAGGAAGGGGAACATCACACTCTGGGGACTGTTGTGGGGTGGGGGAAGGGGGGAGGGATAGGATTAGGAGATATACCTAATACTAAATGATGAGTTAATGGGTGCAGCACACCAGCATGGCACATGTATACATATGTAACTAACCTGCACATTGTGCACATGTACCCTAAAACTTAAAGTATAATAATAAAAAACAAAAAGAAAATAGTGGAGGTTGGGTGGCAAGCAATTAATAAAGGGCCAGTAACTTCATGAACTTCACAGCAATAAGCAAAATGGCAACCTAACCAGAAGTTTAAAAGAGAGAACAAGGTAAAGAGACAGCCAGAAAGATTTCTCCTGGGAAGACAGTCATAATAGAATGTCAGAGGGCTGTGCACATGTGCCACGGTGCACCCATTACAATCAGAGCATGAAATATTACAGACTTGAAGAATTCTTCAGGCCACAGTCAAATCTGTTAGCAAAGTATAGGAGAATCACTGAGTCTACTGGATTAAGCACAATTTCTGATCAAACACTGGCTATACAAAAAGCAACTCTGAATATCAGTAAAGAGGTAGAAATTGGCCGGGTGCGGTGGCTCACCCCCGTAATCCCAGCACTTTGGGAGACCGAGGCAGGTGGATCACGAGGTCAGGAGTTTGAGACCAGCCTGACCAACATGGTGAAACCCCGTCTCTACTAAAATACAAAAATTAGCCGGGCATGTTGGTGGGTGCCTGTAATCCCAAGTACTCAGGAGGCGGAGGCAGGAGAATGGCTTGAAACCGGGAGGTGGAGGGTGCAGTGAGCTGAGATCGCACCACTGCACTCCAGCCTGGGTGACCGAGTGAGACTCTATCTTAAAAAAAAAAAAAAAAAGCTATAAATTATATAAAATAATCAATTTTAAGTTTTTAAGGTAAAAAGTATGATAATTAAAATAAATAATTTTATAGAGGAAATAAACAGAAGATTTGAGCAAACAGAAGAAAGAAAGAATAAACAAACTTGAAGACAGATTATTAGCAAGCAGAAATCTCTCTGAAGAAAATAAACAAGAAAAAAATATTATTAATGCCCCTGAGAAGTATGTGACCTGGTTTGAAGCAGTGGGTTGAAACCTTTCTTTCCTTTAAAAGATTTTTTAAAAACAGCTCTTTGAATATTATCTCTATTTAATTATCTCTTTATGCTTTCTCTGGAACTCCAATATTATGAATGTGGGAACTTTTTGTATATTCTGTACACCTCTTACTTTCTTACTTTTATGCTTTTTTTGTGTGCTTCAGTGTAGGAATTTTTCCATTGACCTACTTGTCTTTCAGTTGAGTGATTCTGTAATCTGATCCAGTCTACTGTTTAACCCATCTACTGAGTTCTTATAATATACTGTAATTTTAGTTCTAAAATATTTACTTGATAATGTCCAATTCAATGTAAAGAGATATTTTATATTCTTTCTTATATTTTATACATTTTTCTCCTTCTTTGAAACATTAATCATAGTCATTTTTTAAATGTACTCTTGGTCCACTGTTTGGATTATCTTGACCACACTTATAGTTTCTCCTTCTGTTTCTTTCCTTTATTTTCTTCTGCTTTGTTTATTATCTAATACAAGGTCATGATTTTTTTTACTCTTAGCATGTATGGAAATATTTTATTGTATGCTAGTCATTATGTAAAAAGCAACCATAGGAGCTCCAGGTGGCTCCACTAAAGATTTGTTCCTCTTTCTTCTGTTAGAAAGATAGGCTGAGGACTTGATTACCTAAATGAATCAGGAGTTTTTGGTAAATCTTGGACTAATTCTCATTTGTTTATATTGCTCAGGTCTGAGCCTGCTAGACTTTCAATTGGGAGTTTATGTGGCTCTATTTCCTCAGCTCTGAAAGATTATGGGGATTAATCGCCATCATTTAAGGGTCCAGAAGCCAGCTCTCCAGCCTCTTGCCACATGCAAGTTCAAAATCAAATAAATATCTTAGGAAGAGACACACTTGTGCTTGAGACAAGCCCTGTATTACCATGACTAATGTCCAAAATATGACATGATTTCAGGAAACTATTCTTTTTTGAAATTTCAAATTAACTCACCAGCATCCCACGAAGGCTTCAAATATAGCAAATGTGATTTAGGGGAAATTCATTATGAATTGAAGGCTCCAAAATGTCTAATTTATGAATCTGGTGTAGTAACTAAGAGGATTGGTGGTTTCTCTTTTTCTCAGCAGAGGTCTCCTAACTGGGTCAAGCCTAATCCTCAATTCACATTCAGCATCTGCAAGTGCTCCAGAGGGAAACATGGCTGCAAATTTAACTTATTTCAGAATTGCATTCCATGCCTAACATTTTCATTCACTTAGTCCTCATTGCTTACACAGTCCTCTGACAGCCTTAAAATATGATTGGTTAATTGGGATTTTCCAGACTTTTCTTTTCCCAAAGAAACCAAGATTTCATACATCCTACATAGAATTCTAAGTATCTTCTTTATCCTATTTTATAAGCAATATTACAAAGAAGTTTAGCGATGTTATCATCTTCTCATTTCAGATTTTGAAGAAATTCTATCTAACTTTAAATCATTTCCCCAAAATGGTCAAAGGTGGTACTAAGAAAAGTTCAGAACTGTCTTAGTCTGTTCTCATGCTGGTAATAAGGACATACCCAAGACTAGGTAATTTATAAAGGAAAATGGTTTAATGGACTCACAGTTCTACATGGCTAGGGAGGCCTCACAATCATGGCAGAAGGCAAATGAGGAGCAAAGTCACATCTTATATGGCAGCAGGCAAGAGAGAGCATGTACAGGGAAACTCCCCTTTATCAAACTGTCAGATCTAGTGAGACTTATTCACTATCATGAGAACACTACAGGAAAAACTCACCCCCATGATTCAATTACCTACCATTAGGTCCCTCCCATGACACATGGAAATTGTGGGAGCTACAATTCAAGATGAGATTTGGGTGGAGACACAGCCAAACCATATCAAAAACCTTCTGTTGTCTAGCTTCTTCCTGGGTCCTCCATTGTACCTAGGTAGGTACTATGTCACTTAGAGTTCTCACAAAATGAGAAACCACACCCTGAGATAATCACAAGCATTAACAAGATGTAGCTATCACTACTAGAAGTAGAGATCAAAGGGAAGGGGTTGGGGTTCCTGGAACCTACAGAGTTGGAATAGCTCTTGTTGTTCTAGGGCTCCAACCACTGAGGAGAGAGCAGAGCCAACCTGCTGCTGAAACCTTTGGAATTTGGTGGAGGGCTCAATGACCTAGGACTCAGAATTCTGAAGGTAAGTTGCTTGGTAGCTGTGCTGGTATCTCTGGGAATGAAAATACTGTTGGATCCAGAAGTTACTAAATATATATAGCATTAAATTTAATTAAAATTTTCCTAAAGCTGCCTCCCTACTTTAACTCCCTATGTAGAAAACTGCAGCCTAACTTAGTGTATAAACAAACTGCAGCCTAACTTAAGAGTATAATCTTATAACAAATATCTAAGTCCCAGTCAATTACAGCAGCTGAGCTTTAATTAATCATACGTGGCTGATATGGTTTGACTCTGGGACCTCACCCAGATCTCATCTCAAATTGTAATCCTTAATTCCCCACATGTAGAGGAAGGGACCTGTAATCCCCATGTGTTGAGGGAGGGAGGTGATTGGATCATGGGGGTGGTTTCTCCCGTGCTGTTCTCATGATAGTGAGTGAGTTCTAACAAGATCTGGTGGTTTTATAAGTCTTTGACAGTGCCTTCTTCACACATACTCACACTCTCTCACCTGCCATCATGTAAGATGTACCTTGCTTCCTGTCTACCATGATTGTAAGTTTCCTGAGGCCTCCCCAGCCATGCAGAAATGTGAGTCAATTAAACCTCTTTGCTTTATAAATTACCCAGTCTTGGGTAGTATCTTTATAGCAGTGTGAAAATGGACTAATACAGCAGCCAACCGATCAGAACATGTCCATATATGGCAACTGTCTCATCGTCTCATGCCCAAATAAGGCCAATGCCCAGCTGAGATCAATCAAGTTGTTATGGTACATCATGTTAATTTTCTGTCTATAGGTACTACCTGCCCCCACTGCTGAGTGGAGCTCTTTGAACTTCTGTTTCTGAGTGCTGCCCAATTTATGAGCTACACTTTATGTAAACAAACTCTACTGAATTTAATTTTCCCAAAGTTTTTCTTCTAACAATATTAATAACATGCAGACTGAAAGCTACTGATGCTGTCAAGGTGAAAGCTGTTACTGAGGAAACATGGACATAAACATCCATCAAACAGTTCTCTCAGCTTTCCAGTCTCCCTCTAGCTCCATTCGTTGGCAGATACTAATAAGGGGAGGACTGACAAAGAAGATATGTGATTTTTAATTTCCCATTTTCCCTGTGACAAAGCAGAGTAAATAGAGGAAGAAAGTTGGAATTGAGAGATAGCAACACACACGCATACACACACACAGGCACACTCACATACACAGGCACACATGCACACATGAACACATGTCACTGACACTCATGAGCTGTGCCTTTGCTTGGGATACACAAGGAGACTAATTCCATGGAAAGTAAATCAGAAAATATGCTTAAAATAATGAAAAGCAGAGATGTAATAGAAATGCCCTTTATTTAATGGCTAATGTTTATGATCCTTTAATAGATCTCTGGGATTTTCTTTCAATGGTCTCTGGCATATATGCTAAATAGACACTAACATTTCTACTTCCAGGACACGTAATTAACATGGGGAAATTTCATTAAGGATTGAGTTTATGTTCTGAAATTGTAAATTTTTGCTATTCTTTGCAAAAATTCTTTGCACTCTTGACCTTTTGCCAAAAGTTTGTCTGCTCCATTTATCATGGATATTGCATCTCTTTTTTATAGTAGCCTCCGATCACGCAAGGAACCCTGTCCTGCACATACACATCTTCTGGACAATTATGCAAGTTCTGTTTCACTGCTCTGGAAGATCACATCCATTGTCCTGTTCTCTGCACACCTTACCTGATGGGATGAACTGCAACGAAGCCCCAAAGCACAAGCAGCCCCAGGTTTCAGAGTGCAGTTCGCCAAACCACGTGAATCTTTTTTACACAACTGTAAAGAACCACAGTCATAATCCTCATTTTCTTCAACCACACCATTCATACAGCATGGCTTTGTGAAGATGACCTCAGGATTTGGTGAATTGTATAAGTACCTCTTTAATTTTTTTTTAACAGTGGTGGCCACTAACTTAGCATAACTGTAACTGCAACTGCTATACCTACTTTCATATGTTACTATTTCAAACATTATGTATCATTTTTTGTCCTCATGGACTTTGGTTTTGTTATTGTACTCCATTCCCAAATTATAACCAAGTGCATGTAACACAATCAATGCAAAAAAAAGAAAATGTGTCACCTATGAAACTACTAATTCCACAATTAAGAGGAAGACTGCATATTGTTCCAACATAATAAATCTAAGCCAAGATATTTAGGGTATCTGTGTCTTACAAAAACATGTGCAGCATTATGGTGTATGCAAGAATTAAAGCTGTTTTTTTAATTCTCAAAATTGTCCCAGAAATGGATTTTTTTCTGCAGAGACAGGGGTGGCATTCCAGACCTCAGTTCCAAGTAAAACCACATCAATGTCCAATGTGGTTAAATAAGCACTTATTTCATGGACAACCATGACTACTTCCTCCTGAACTTTTCAGATATTACATTGCTGATAGAAGAATTGTTTATAGTCTACCACCACTGCCAGTTCAAGGATCCATTTGTGACTCCACCAGCCCTTATATCCACTTTGCATGAAAGGGAAATTATCACTCTCTTGAAACTTGGTCTTGCTATTTCTCCTTCTGTTAATCCGCATTTCATGGGTGGGAACATACCAGATGTTCAAATGTGGTAGAAAGTCTTTTGGGCTTAATTTCATAAACAATGACATTTACCTTTTTATCAAATACCTTTATCTCAATACAAGGGCTTTGCTAAGAGCAACCAGGGTTTCGGGGTTCCCTTCCATGTAACCATGATAGCAGCAGTCATTCTGGACAAAAACCTCAAGGAGAGTACCCTGCTCTGTGTAGGTGAACACTTGGAGGTGTTTAGAAGTTAAAGACTTCTTGACCTTGATTTGGACAGTGTGTCTCTGGACCCCAAATTTCAGACTATAGGAGAACCAACCTGGGGTTTCCATGACTCCACAAGTGCCAGTTACCTTTAGAAGTATCACCACTTCTGGGGGGCTGTGGTGTTGAAAGTGCCTAATGGGGCCATCCAGAAAGAAACAAAAACACCTGCAGCCACAACAGCAGAAGGGTGATCTTCACATGCACCAGGTGTTCTCCTATAGCCTTTATGGAGCCACGACTATGAATCTATGGGTGACAGCAAAGGAGGGGCGGACAGGAGGCACAGCTGGTCTATCTCCTCCCTTTGAGTTGACTGTATGCAGCACTGACTTTAATGGTCTGTCTTGTGGCATACTCAGGCTATTAGAGCAGTACAACTAGAAGAAAAAATAAAAAGAAGGGCAGAGACTCAGGTGGCATTATGAGCAGGCCAGGGTAGAGGAGAAAGGGCAGGGTATGGGTGAAAATGGATTAGCGTTTGGATCAAGACATGACTCAATACACTGCTTTGGGTTGGGGTTTACTCCTGACTATTGGTGAGGCAGCCAGGTTGTGGGTGTACAAAAGAATAACAAGTGGCCACAGGTTGGTAATGACTGAACCTAGGTGACGGACACATGGATTCACTATGCTGTTTTCTAAAAATATGCATATGTATCAACATTTCCCCAATAAATATATAAAACAAAAGGGTCTTCATGGAAAGGCAAACGTATATCATGTTTTGATGAAGAAATCTGGATTTATAAATATGAACTTTGGATAAATAACCATAGTCACTCCTTTTCATTTCAAATGGTAAATTGTTTAGTTATATTACTGAGAACAGCTATGTATCTGTCCTGAGTAATATCTCCTATATAGGAGATACTCAAATCCATACAGTTTTCAGGGTCCTTCAATATACTTCCACACAAAAAAAATCATTACTTATCTTCATCTCATCCTGTCAAACTGCAAAGTGTTAAAGCATCAATTGTCCAAAAATAGTTGTACCTGCTGCAGTGAATACATTTGTTCAATAAAACAATAAACAATAGTGGAATTGGCAGGAGAGGACCTTGGTTTGACAGATGTTACTTGAAGTTGTTTATATTTGATTCTGCTCCTAAGAAAAATATTTTTCAAAGCCTCTGATCGTGTAAAATGGAAATAAAATCAAACCAGCAGGGAAAATACCAGTTGGAGAATACTAAAGGCAAATTATGTTAGTACTGCAATTGGTTTGTTCTTGTTTTTCTCCTTCCTTTAGTTGCAACAACATTTGGTTGTTAATTTGAGATCTTTCTATCTTTTTGATGTGGGTATTTAATGCTATAAACTTTCTTCTCAGCAATGTTCTTGCTGCATACTAGAAGTTTTGGTATGTAGTGTTGGTATTTTCATTTGTTTCAAAAAAACTAGTTTCTGCCTTAATTTCCTTTGCCCAAAGATTATTTAGGAGCAGTTTGTTTAATTTCCATGTACTTTTATAGTTTTGAGAGTTCCTCTTGGTGTCAATTTCTAGTTTCATTCCACTGTGGCCTGAGAAGAATAACATAAATTAGTACAATTTCTATGGAAAACAGTATGAATATTTCTGAAATGACTAAAAATAGAGCTACCATTAGATCCAGCAATTGCACTACTGGGTAACTACTCAGAGTTCCTCTATAAACCACTATATCAAAAATACACACCTGCACTTGTGTGTTTATCATAGCAAAAGTCATAAAATCAACCTAAATGTCCATCAATGGATGATTAAATAAGAAAATGTGGTGTATATATATGCCACGGAATACAATGCCACCATAAAAAGAATGAAAACATGTCTTTTGATGTAATGAGGATGAAGCTGGAGACTATTATCTTAAGTAAAATAATTCAGAATCAGAAAGTCAAATACTGCTTGTTCTCACTTATAAGTAGGAGCTAAACAATGGGTACCTGTGGACACACAGAAAGGAATAATAGACTTTAGATATTCCAAAAAAAATGGGAGGACAGGAGAGGGGTGTCAGTTGAAAACTGACATTATTGGGGCTGGACACAGTGGCTCATGCCTGTAATCCCAGCACTTTGGGAGGCCGAGGCAGGTGGATCACCTGAGGTCAGGAGTTTGAGACCAGCCTGGCCAACATGGTAAAAACCTGTCTCTACTAAAAATACGAAAATTGGCTGGGTGTGGTAGCGGGCGCCTGTAATCCCAGCTACTCAGGAGGCTGAGGCAGGGAAAATTGCTTGAACTCGGGGGACGGAGGTTGCAGTGAACCAAGATCGCACCACTGTACTCCAGCCTGGGTGACAGAGTGAGACTCCATCTCAAAAATAAATAGATAAATAAATAAATAAAATACAAAAGAAAAAAAGAAAAAAGAAAATTTATATATTGGGTACAATGTTCATTACTGGGGAAATGGATGCACTAAAAGCCCAGACTTCACCACTACAAAATATATCCATGTGAGAAAACTGCACTTGCACCTGCTAAATCTATGTCTACAGATTTAGCACCTGCTAAATCTATATCTACAGATTTAGCACGTGCTAAATCTATAGCAGATAGAATCTATAGACCTACCTCCATAAGTATTTATGTCATGTATGAGAATGCATTTATATATCTTCTATAAAAATACAAATACAAAAAATTATCTCAGTAATACAAATATATTATCACATATTTGTGTAAATGAAAAATCTGGTACTAGAACCATGCCTGGTTGAAATGCTAAGTTGTTGCTTTGTTCTTGAATAACACATTAATTAAACCACATAATGTGTAGGCACTACATGTAGAAACATAAATGAATGATACAGATCTAGAGCATGAATTTTTTCAGAATGTGTGGGGCAAAGATATACTTCAGAAATTTGTAAAATTACATTCAATATTTTACATTTAAATACCTTTTTAAATTTAGCTGCTGTGAGCCTCCACAGTCTTTCTCAGATCATTAAAGTAATTAAATTATTAAAGCAATGAGACTAGGAACTACTAGCCCATTTTGTTAAAAAAAAAAAAAGATAGGGGAGAAAGAGAAATTTGCTATGAAGAATCTAAAATACACTGATCAAATACCACTTTCCATGGTTAGTAATGCAAAATGAAAAATCCCAGTTTCAGCACCTATCATCTCCTGGATTCTGATACATTTCTCTTTAATTTTTCCTTTATCTTGATTCTAAGTATTTTTACCTTTTTTCTTTGGAATCATATTCCTATCATTTAAAGCCATGACAATCTCTTCCCCGTTTACATGTATTTATGGAGAGCTCTTTATTTCTACGAAAGATTACAAATACTATATCTCAACAATGTAAAACCCAGCAGATGGGGAGCTTCCCCTTCTCAGAATCTCCATGTGCCCTACAGACCAGATGTTTGGGCATAATTTGCCACTTCCAAGTTACTAAACTGACAGCCATCTCGTTATATCATTATTTACCTTTCTTCCTTGATCTTATAACCACACCCCAAATCAATCCCGAACAAACTACAGAGAACTGGGTGTCTGATACTACTTTCTTCTCTGCCAGTAATCTTATCCATATTCTCACTGTGTTTAGCAAGCATGTGAACAATCCATAGAGCACTCAGGGTTTTCTTTGTTTTTACCCTTACAACTCATCCACAATGATCTTTAGCCATTGACCTATGGCCATGACCTGTATCATATTATCACCCTCAACCATCCTGGCTCTTATACTTTAAATAGTTAACCATAACTTTTATTCTTAATTAAAATTTGCTCATCAAATTTATAGAGGATCCAAATCACTTTTCTTTCCCTTCTTCCCATTTTTCAACTTTCGCTCCTTGTGCCTTTCATCCCCAGAGCCTAGCTCTAAACTCCATCAATTCAACCATTGTTGACCGCAATCCTTAAGCCAGTCTAGATTAATCCCTTTCTCTGCTTTTGCCACTCCTACAGCACGCTGCTGACATTCTGGCATAATAAATCAGAGTATATTTAGGGGATATTAAAAAGGGAGAAACACACAGAATTAGGTTAAGATCAGCCTAAAACTTCAGCCTAAAGGATGAAGTTATGAATAGGTATTTATTTCAAACACTCCTATACTTTTAGTAAGTTTTCTTTTGTTGTCCACATTGTTCCTTAACTTCCTGATTTTCTAAGTTTCCTCATGAATATATAAGACCCTTAGGTGAAAAATCAATACTGCCTTTACTTTTGCAAGTTGTTACTAGTACTGAATTTCGATAATGGTAGTTTAAATAGTAAAACAAACAATTCCTCGTTTAATATTTGTTTAATACAGGATCAGATCTTTTTCTTAGTCTTTTGTTTTGTCATTGCAAATCAGTGGCAGGGGACTTGTTTCAGTCTGAGCATTATACTCCTCATTAAAGTGACGAGAGTGCCTTGATTGCTTGGGTAAAGTAATCAAGTGAAATAAAGGGGAAACTTACCTTACAAAATTTCAAGAGCACAAAAGAAGAAAGCAAGATCATTAGGAAAAATTGTTGAGGACAACACCTCTAAACTGTGAGTAAAATCCTGATATGCTGATTTGCTCTCCATGTCTCTTTTTGATATATAGTTGTTAATTATTATTGCGTGTAAATTTTTGTTGTGGTGGAAAACGATTATTTAAAAATAATGTAGCCCTGTTGATAGTGAATTTGACCAATATAAATCTGTCAGAAGTATATTCCTAAGACCTCACCTTGCAAACACGTCATAGAAAGACTCTAAGGAACTTTTGAGCCAGACTATCTTTGTATTCTTTACATTATTTTATACAGGTGACATCTCCTGAGAGAATATAACATTTTCACTAATTATGTGCTATAGTGCCATAGTAGTGTAGAGACTTCAAGGTACATCACCATATATCATCTTTTATAAATTCTGTTTTCTTCTTCCCACAGTTTCATCAAATTCATCAAACTCTGTATTCTAATTACCACTTCTTTTCTCACTTTCATTTATAACTTAATTCATGTTTTTTAAACTATGAGTGACAACACATTAAACACAACATAGAAGCTCTGAACCAAATAAATCTAGTAGAATAAGAAATAATACAGAGTATAGATACTCCTCTAGATCTGAACATGTGACAAAGAATCAGGCTGTGTGTGTGTGCATGTGTGTGCGTGTGTGTGTGTGTTGATTCATGCCTGCATAAATACTGATGTTTCTCTACTTCAGAGCTAAACTTTTGAATGACTTACAAACTGATGAATTGATGATTCCCATGGTCCTAGTTATAGCCTAATTCATTGTTTGTTTGTACCACCCATTTCTCTGAACAAAGTTTTTAATTTAAGACCTCACACGACAAGGAGAAAGAGAAATCTCCTCCTTCAATTATCTCTCATGTAAGGTCCAGATTTACCTGGCTAGCAACAAAAGTCTCTCATTTTCATGACAAGTGGCTAAGAGTCCTACTTACGCTGGCTCCACTATCTCCACCAAATTTTATTTGTAATTACTCTTCAATGTGAATAAATCTGATTTCCTTACCCCATTTTATATGCTACCTGCGTATAGCATAACCATTTAGCCCTTCGTACTTTTGTTCATACCATTAGCCTGATCCCAGATTAATTTTCCTTAACATTGAACCACGTCATAGAATACTAAGAAATTCCAAAATGAGTTCAGCCTCATTAAAAAAAATTTTTTTCTAAGGGATCCAGATGTCAGTAATTGTTTATATCTTTCTTTTTAATGTCACTGAATAACTCAGAGACATTTCATATCTGCACATAAATATGCTTTCTCTATTGCAGAGAACTGTTTTCAGTAAGAATAGGAAAAAAACAAAATTTAGAAGAAAAGATAGATGAATAAAGTAACAGTGTGGGAATAAACTTCATAAGTAAATTGACTAGCTGGCAGTTTAAGAATACCAATCTGAGAAGATTGCATTTAGCATGCTGGCTGGGGGGAAACCATGGAAACAAGATCAGTTATATTTTATCCTTGAGAGTTTACCTGTAGGAAAAAAGGAGGTTGATAATATCCGCCAGTGCCTTTCCATTGCCCCTCCATCTTGGGAAATCAAGTTCTGTATCTTTCCTTCATTGGACTTTCTCACTTTCTCTCCAGCTTTGATCACAATTTATTCTTAAAGAAACAGATTTGAACATGGCTTTCATCTCTGTTTTAGCTTACCAAGCCTGCCATAACAAGGTAACAGAAAATGAATGGCTTCAGCAATAGAAATGTATTGTCTCACAATTCTGAAAACTAGAAGTACAATATCATGGTGTTCTCAGGGCCGAAATAGGTTCCAGGGAAAGATCTATTTCAGGCTCCTATTATAGCTTGTTGGTTTGTGGCTGCATACCTCCAATCTTCATCTGCTGATTTCTCTGTGTCCACAATTTCCTGTTTTACAGGGACACTTATTTATATCAGATAATACAGACTTTTAGTTAAAAATTGTTAAAAGAGACAAAGAAGGCTATTATATAATGACAAAAGGTCATTTCATTACAAAGACATATAAAAATAATAGCTATATATGTACCCAACATCAGAGCGCCTAAATATATGAAACAAACATTGACAGACCTGAAGAGAGAAATAGAAAGCATTTCAATAGTAGTAGGAGACTTCAGTACTCCTTCAATAATGGATGCAACATCCAGACAGAAAGTCAATAAGTAAACAACAGATTTGAACAAAACTGTAGAACAAATGGATACATCAGACATATGCAGAACATGCCACCCAACAGCAGTAGAATACATATTCTTCTTAAGTGTGCACAGATTACTCTCCAGGATAGGTTACATATTTCATCACAAAGCAAGTCTTAATACATTAGAGAAGACTGAAATCATACCAAGTATCAATTAGTAATCAATAACAAAAGAAAAACTGGATAAATTCACAGATATGTGAAAAGTATTCCATATGCTCTCAAACAACCAAGAAGTCAAAGACGGAATTGAAAGATAAATTTAAAAATATCTTAAGACAAAGAAAAATGGAAACAGAACATTTTAAAACTTACTGAATGGAGCAAAAGCAGTACTAAGAGGAAAGTTGATAGTGATAAACACCTACTATACAAAAGAAGAAAGATTTAAAATAAACAAGTTAACTCTACATCTTGAGCAACTAAAAGAAAAAGAAAAAAAACTAAGCCCAAATTTAGCAGAAGAAAGAAAATAAGAAAGATTAGAGCAGAAATGAATAAAAGGAAAAAAATAAAATCAATGAAACAAGATTTGGTTTCTCTGAAAAGATAAAGGATAAACTCTTAGCTACAGTAAGAAAGAGAGACAAGACTCAACTAAGTAAAATTAGAAATGAAACAAGAAAAATCCATATGAATAGTCATATGCCACTTGAAAGGGAATCGATTGTCTTCCACCAAACAGAAATCTTTAAATGAATGTACCATGATGCCAACGTACATGTTCAAACAGCACATTTTATTATCAATATCTCAGTGAAACCTCCAGATATATTTCAAGAACAACTGAAAGACTAATATAAGACTCCAATCAGATATTTAAAGTAGATGTTGGTAGAGGGAATCTTAGGGAGATTCTTGTTCAGCAATCAAGGGAGTCATCCCTCCACTTTGCTGGGCATAAAATTAACTAAGAGTTTTGTTGTCTTTTATTTTGCATTTTTCATGTAAATAATCATGTCTTCCGAAAGCACAATTTCATTACTTTCTTCTTAATCTGTACATCTTTTATTTCCTTTTCTTGCCTTATTGTATGAGCTCAGATTTCCAGTACAACATTGAAAAAGAGTGGTTGTCTTGTTCCCGATCTTAGTAGGAAAGTTTTGCATTTTTCGCCATTAAGTATGACGTTAGCTGTAATCTTTTTTGAAGATGTGCTTTACAACTGTCCATGTATATAACTCTAAAGGATCTGTAAATAAGCTTTATTAGTCAGGGTTCTCTAGCAGAATCAATAGGGTATTTGTGTTTGTGTGTGTGTGTGTGTGTGCATGTGTGTGTGTGTATTTGTTTGTTATAAGGAGTTGGCTCACGTGTTTATGGAGGCTGGCAAGTCCCAAGATCTGCATGGTGAGTTGGCAAGCTGGAAAACCAGGATAGCTGATGGTTTAGTTCTAGTCTAGGCCTGAAGGCCTGAGAACCAGGAGAGTCTATGGAATAGTATCTGTCCAAACATTGGCAGGCACAAGACCTAGGAAGAGCTCATGTTTCAGTTCAAGTCTGAAGGCAGAAAAAATGTCAATGTCCCAGTTAAAAGTCCACTAGCATCAAGCCAGAAAAATTCTTACTTGGAGGAGGGTTAGCCTTTGTGTTCTAGTCAAGCCTTCAGCTGATTGAGTGAGGCTCACCCATATTAGGGAGGGTAATCTTTACTAAATCTACTGATTTAAATGTTAATGCCATCCAAGAACACTTTCACAGAAACAGCCAGAATAATGTTTGGCCAAATATCTGGACACTCTGTGGCCCAGTCAAGTTGACACATAAAATTAACAATCACATAAGCCAATAGAACTAAGTGTATTGAGCAAGGTTGCAGTTTTGAAAGTCAATATACAAAAATTAATTAAAATTCTGTATATTAGGAATAATCAGAAGAAAAATAAAATAAAAAAATATGATAGCATAATAATCTAACAATCTTTAAGTTTGTATTTTAAAGTGAATATAACACCTATACACTCACAACTATAAACATTGCTGAGTAATAATTTACAAGATCTAAATAAATGGAGAGCTATACCTTGTTCATGGCTATGAAAACTCAATGTAGTTAGATATCAACCTCCATAAATTGATTTGTTAATAAAATATAATCTCAATCAAAATCCCACCAGACTATTATTTTCTAAAAATTGGCACATTGATTTGAAATGAAACTACAAAGGGCTAGATAAGACAACTACAAAAGACTTTTAAACCATTTTGCAAAGTAGTAACATTGCTTATCTTACACTACTTGAGTTCATGACTTACTGTACGGCTTTATTAATTATGATAACGCAATTTCTGATACCAGTGAAACAGAATACAGAGTTTAGGTATAGATTGATACTTATACATCAACTGGTTTTTTTTACAAAGGTGCTAATGTAATTCAATGAGGAAAGAATAAGCATCTGAACAAATGGTTCTGTAACAATTGTCTATCCCTCTACAAGAAATGAACCTTGACCCTTACCTCACGCATAACCTAAAATTAACATCATGCATGTAAATGTTGAAACTAATCTATGAAAGATGTAGAAAGGAACAGAAAATAAACCTTTGTGACCTTGGGTTAGTAAAACATTTCTTAAATAAAACATAAAAATTAGCATAAAAGATAAAATTAATAAATTGGACTACATAAAAACTTTTTTTCATAAGACACAACAATAAAAGAAAAATAAGACTTGTATCCAAAACATAACCCATAACTCATCTGTCAGAAGACAAACAACTCAATAAAATTATGAGCAAAATGTATATTAATAAATAGGTCACCAAAAATATGTAAATGGAATCTAACTTATGAAAACATGCTCGACATTATTAGTCATTAGGGAATTGCAAATTGAAACTGCAGTGAGATGGCAATTCACATACACCAGGATAGCTATAATCAGGAAGACAGATAATAACAAGTATTGATGAGGTTGTGAGAAATTGGAACCCTCGCACACTGTAGACAGGAATGTAAAATAGTGCAGGGACTTTGGAAAGAAGACTGTCAGTTCCTCAAAAAATTAACCATAGAGTTACCATATGACCCACCAATTCCACTCCTGGGTATATAACCAAGAAAAAATGAAAACATATTTATACACAAATCAACAAACCTGAATGTTCATAGTGACTTATGCATTATGGCCCAAAGTTTCACACAACCAAAATGCCCGTTCATCAGTGAACACAGAAATCAACTTGGATACCTCATTTAATGGAACACTACATAGCAATATAAAGAACAAACTTCTAAAATGTGCAAAAACATGGATGACTCTCAAAAGCATTATATAAATGAAAGAAACTAGTCAGAAAAGATGACATACTGTATGTTTTCATTTATATGACCTTCAAGGAAAAGCCAACTGTGGTGACAGAGGTAGATCAGTATTTGTTGGAGCCAGATATCTGAAGATGGTAATTGAGTATAAAACAAAAACAAAACAAAACACACTTGGAACCTTTCTTCATTGCCTCTTGGTATTGTATACAAACAAACTTTTTGTTAGGAAATGTGTTCAGTAATGCCTAGCTGATGGATTGGTTGTAAATGAGCACTTGTATTAGCTTTTTAATATTGATGTAACAAGTTGTCCAAATTTGGTAGCTTAAAACAATAGAAAATTATGCTTTCATAGTTCCAGAAGCAAGAAGTTTCAAGGCAAGGTACCAACAGGGTTGGTTTATTTTGGAGATTCTGAAGGAGAGTTCATTTAATGCCTTCTTCTAGCTTTTGGTGCCAGCATTTCTTAGTGTTTCCTGGCTTATAGATGTATCACCCCAACCTCTGTCTCCATCTTCATATTACCTTCCCCTCTGTGTGTCTTCTTGCCTTCTCTTCTTTTATAAGGACATTTGCCATTTGATTACGGCCCACTGTTATCCAGGATAATATCCTCTTGAAATCCTTAACTGTTACATCTGCCAAGAACATATTTCCAAATGAGATCACATTCACAGCTTCTGGGTGGACATATATTTTGGGGAATGTATTAGTCTTCTGCTGCCATAACAAAATAGCACAGAATGGGTGGCTAACAAACTGTACATATTTATTTTCTCATAGTTGTAGGGGCTGGAAGTTGAGATCAGGATGCCAGCATGTCTGTGTCATGGTAAGGGTTCTCTTCCTGCCTATGCAAATGACTGTCTTCTTGCTGTATTCTTTTGTGGCAGGGAGGGTGCCCTGGTGTCTCTTCCTCTTCTTATAAGGACATTAATTCCATAGGATCTATAAGGGCTGCATCCTTATGATTTCACTTAACCTTAATCACATTCTTAAAGGCCACATCTCCAATACAGTCCCTTGTATGTGATTAAGGTTAGGGCTTCAACCTATGAATTTTGTGGTGACACAATTCAGTCCATTGCAGGGGTCACTATTTAACCCACTGCAGAACGATTCCTTCATTCTTCCTTTACTGTCACAGCCACAGCTTAGACAATTACCTGGCAAAAAGGGAAGAGGAAGAAAATAGCACCAAATAAGACAGATGTCATTTCTTCCTTTCCCTTCTATATCCCATTTCCTACAATTCCTTTCAGACAGAAGACATTGATCATTAAGTGTAAATTATAAAGATGAAATCTAGTGGCTTTGGAAATAATTTTTTGACTTATCTATTTATTTTACTCTCTGGGAAAGCTCATTTAGATACAAACACAGTAATCACTCATTATGTTTGGTAAATTCGTTGGCTTATTCCCCTGAATTTTCAGTCCCTAGATCTTTGTGGGTCCTCTAGGAGCTATGAAATTGAAGGTCAGTGAGATAGTTAAAACTGGTATATTGGAATATTATTATTGTAAAAGGATAAGCAACTCTAAGAAACCTTATTATCTATACATGTCAAAGCTTTTTTTCCCTACAATGACAAGTAATTTATTTTCTTCTGTAAATACCATTTCTTTCCATTGTCTGAGAGTTTTTACAGGACACAGGTAAAATGAATAATGTCACGGGCTTTACTGTCTTCAAGTCAGTCCCTGTTCAGTGTAATTTATTATTCCAGCTCAGTAACTGATTGGTTAGTTACTTGTCCTTAAATTTATAGCTATCATTTTTCTACAGTTTAATTTTGCTGATTTTTTAACAGCATTTCATATAGATTTTATTAAATAATAGGTATATATATATACACGCATATATAATACACTTTTCATTATATTACCAGTAATCACCCATATCTGACATCTTCTCAATACCATGTTCAAAAATATACATACATAAAACATAAAATTTAAACTACAAAATTCTGCTTTCAGCCTTTCTTGCACAACCCCGGGAAGTCTGTGATTTGTTTTTTAGGCTACCTGAAGAGCTATTGTTTGATTAACATAAAAGTTTGTGAGGCAATTCAATGCAGCATTCAGTTAAGAAACCAGACATTTTCACAAAATCATAAATACAGTGCGAAGGCAGATTGAAAATGAAATGCCTGTTGCGTATGTTCTCCACACAGCTCCTCAGGGCTGCCTGTATGTAGAAATTTTCTCACTCCATCTGTTCCCTCTGCCTGAGTGACAGGTCTGCTTCTGCCAGCACTCCCTTCACCAGCAAGAGAGAGAAAATGTTTCCAGGTGCACATGGACACACCTGATCTCTTGCCTCATCATCCTTTTAGCGTATTTACTAAAGAGTGAATAGATCGAGAGGAAATAGGTAAAAATGGGAAAAACCTTCAATTTAATAGATTTGAAGTAAAAAGAGAAATTCATCTGACATATTCTTCTGAGATAGCTGAAATAAAGTCTCTTCCACTAAATATTTGGTGTCCAGGAGCCATCGTGCAACATTGTTGTATTAACAGTGCTACTGAATGAAGACATACTCATGAATTCATGTTTGCTGTTGTACCTATTGCTTAATAAATTGTTTTCAATCAAGATTTTACAGGCATTAGAACTGAATACCAGCAGCATACTAGTGAAGATGGTTATATAATCTCAGCTCACTCCATAGCCTGAAGCAAACAATTTCTTCTAAGTATTTCAATTACTTCATCTAAAAAAAGTCAACTGCTAAGATTTGAATTTTTTTTGTGTTAAATGCACCAATGAGAATTTTTTGGTAAGATGATTCAACGTCCTCTGACTAATTGTGCTATATGGGTTTGAAGTACCAATCACTTATGGAATATTAAGACTATAAAGGATTGTAATTTTTTTAGATGATTCATTTTAAACTCTTGGAATAGGGACTGTTTTGAATATATCTTTGTATCCCCCCACAGAACCTAATACAGTGCCTCACAGAGAGTTGGGATGAATAGATTTTTGTTAAGTGAATGGATTTTACAGTCTCAGTCTGTAGCTACAATTTCCCAGAGAAAAGGAGAGACCTTGTTCTAGAATTGGGATTGAAAGAAGGATCTCACAGCTAAGACTTGAAGGATAAATGCAGGCAAACTGTGGCGAGTTCACAACAGAAAACCATTGCATAACCAGTCTTTAGGACCTTTGTGTTAATATTCCCCAGGTCCACCATCTGTGCCCCTTACACATACATAGCCTTTGCAAAATATTCCATTGTCAACTGCAGCAAAGGGCTTTGGTAGATGTCACTTGATTGTATCTGCCATCACAGTTGGAATGAAGACAGACTCTCCCTCTCTCTTTCTCTGGCTGCCCTCCTCTACAAAATTAGGTGTTGAGAAAAAGTGATATTAGGAGAAAGGCAAACAGCAATTTCCCAGTTATTATTTGAAGATACTGAATATCTGTAGTCTCAGGAAATTTAATGATATGCATTCTCCAGAATGACTTCTTCAAAACTCATGGGCTGGCTTAAGAGATATAACTTGCTTTAAAAATTATTTCCCTACAATGAGTTAAGTAACTCATGTGTTAATTCATTCACAAAGTCACTGATTTTACCCAGCACATATGATGGACAAGATACCATTTTATCCCTCAAGGAAACAGATCTGCAGAGGTGTGGAGATATAGTATCCAAAAATATCCACACTAAAGGTAGAAAGGATGAGATCTGCAATAGAATAAAAACAAGAAGGAGAACTTCAGATATCTTCATTATTTCCTGTGATGTGGCAGATGAAATGCTCTCTTGAAGGAAGAAAGGAAACACTTGTTGAGGGCTTAAGGAGGTAAAAAATATTTTAAGCAGTTTCTTCTTGTATAGTGGCAATGCACATTACATATGTGGGTATACATGTACATGCATATATGCATGTATATGTATATATGTGTGTATATATACATATACACAAACACACAGAAGCTGATATTTTTATTCATATCTGCTTAACATATCATAAAACTCATAATTGTAAAAATAGTAACATCAAATTAATTGTTTATCTTCTTACAAGTAATATGAGTATTTTAAAAGGTATAGAATTTCTGGTTCACTTTCATTTAGATGAAGAAAATGGCTGAACAGAAAGTCTGTCGCAGAAATAAAAAGCCAGCATGTGTGTTTCTCATAGAATTATCAGATGCTGACATCTAGTGGCTCTCAAAATCCATAATTATGAAGGACTTTTAACAACAGGACATACTTTCCATGTACTGCAGATATGCACAGATGGATATATTTTATTTATATGTTCTATTATGGTTCTTTATACATAAAACAGTTGACACTTAGAATGAAAAAACTGTGGCTAACTGGACATGTTGTGATCAGCTACACTCCACATTTTGCACATAGCTGAAGAAAGTCCTCTCTTATGTTTCTGTCTCTCTCTCTCTTTCTTTCTCTTTTCTTTCTTTCTTTCTTTCTTTTTGTTCTTTCTTTCTTTCTTCTTTCTTTTCTTTTCCCTCCCTCCCTCCCCCTTCCTTCCTTCCTCTCTTTTTTATTCTTTCTTCTTTCTTACTCTTTGTTTCTTTCTTTCTTTCTTCCTTTCTTCTTTCTCACTCTTTATTTCTTTGTTTCCTTTCTCTCCTTTGTTTCTCCTTTATTTTCTTCCTTTCCTTATTTCTTTACTTCCTTTTACCTTTCCTTTCCTTTTTTTATTTATTGTGCAGGATAAAGTCTTTATAAATGGCCTTGCCACCTCTTGGACTTTGGACCTTTTGTAATCCGAAAGAAACCTCTTATGCATTAAATTCTTCTGAAATTTTAAAGTGCTTCTCCCTGTATTTCCTGTCTTTGCCCTGCTTTACCACAAAAGTTGATGTTATTCATGCAAAATTATGGCCCCGTAAGACTTCTCATTCCTGTTTTGCTTTGTGTATTTGGCATGTTCTATTAACATTACATAGTTTGTATTTAAATATATATGTAGCTATTCTGTCGAATTCATTTTAACTTTATTTTCCTCTTCCTTCTTTCCCTCCCTCCCTCTTTCTCTTTCTATCATTCTGTCTCTTACTTTCTTCATTTTCTACACCTTATAATTTTAGTACAATAGTTATTGCTAGTACACTTCTTCAAGGCTTATCTAATTTTATTTCATTGATGAATATACATAGTTAAAAAAAACCCTCATTATGGAAAGCAGATTACATTGAATGCTTTCTTGATTTTTTTCAGTTATAGCTTCTCTCCTTGATCCCTTTCCAAAAGCCATGGATTTAATGAGTTTAAAAAGAGCTTTCTGAGTATGAACTTCCTTCCTTGTGGAATTTGCATTCATTTTTCCACAAAACTTCTCAGGCAATTGTTCTGTGGCAGGAAATGCAAGGTAATCAGCTTGGTGCCCTTATTCGTGAGTTCAGTCAAGTTAAGCTGTCAGAAACCCAGAAAATGAGAGAAAAAATGCGTAAATAGATAGATTATAGCTCTCTTGGGTAGTGAAGAGTTTGCGTCCTCGTTGAACCTGTAACAAGCTGTAAGGATTAGTTTAGAGGCTTGCTTGAAAATTGGAAATGGGCTAAGGGTATATTAGAGAACACCTAAAGGAATGAAGTCCAGAATTCCTCCGAGTCGTATGTGCTTCTCCCTCCCACTTCGACTCTGTCTTGCTCCTACTCCTTCGCAAATACACTCTGCTCCTACACCTCAAGTTGACTTTGGAATATGGCCAAAATAGAAAGTTATTCTTGAATAACTTCAGAAGATCTTGATAATTTGAGTGAACTGAGAATAGGTTTGCTAGAATCCTCTAAAGGCAAAATTTTTCTGCAAATTATCAAAGTGTTATAGGAGACTGTTTCAACTTGATTCCATCTGAAGATTCAGTAGGCCTGATTACCTTTGTATCATTTTCAAAATCTGTTTACTACTCTTAAGCTGCTTTTTAGATTACAAAAGACTCCAAACAACCACAGCAATCTTGAGAAAGAAAAATTAAGTTGGAGGCATTCTACTACCGGATTTCAAATAATATTACAAAAACAAAGTGTGGTACTGGCATAAAAACGTACACATAGACCACTGTAACAGAATAGAGAGCCTAAAAATAAACTCAAGCATTCATGATCAACTAATTTCCTATTTTTTTTTTTTTTTTTTTTTTTGAGATGGAGTCTCGCTCTTTCGCCCAGGCTGGAGTGCAGCTGCACAATCTCGGTTCACTGCAAGCTCCGCCTCCCGGGTTCAAGCCATTCTCCTGCCTCAGCCTCCCGAGTAGCTGGGACTACAGGCGCCCGCCATGGCGCCCGGCTCATTTTTTGTATTTTTAGTAGAGACGGGATTTCACCGTGTTAGCCAGAATGGTCTAGATCTCCTGACCTCGTGATCCGCCCGCCTCGGCCTCCCAAAGTGCTGGGATTACAGGCGTGAACCACCGCGCCCGGCCCATGATCAACTAATTTCTATCAAGGGCAGCAAGAGAATACAGTGGGGAAAGGATAGTATCTTCAATAAAAGGTGCTGGAAAATCTGAATACTCATAAGTAAAAAAAATGAAATTAGATGTTTATCTTACCTCATACATAAAACTCAAATCAAAACGGATCAAAGACCTAAGAGTAAGGCCTGAAACTGTAAAACTCCAAGGAGAAAACAGGGAAAAAGCTCCTTGACATTGCCCTTGGACATTTTTTGGCTATCTCACCAATGGCTCAGGTAACAAAGGCAAAAATAAAACAGTGGAGCTGGAGCTACATTAAACAAATGATCCAGCACAGCAAAGAAAACAACAGAGTGAAAAGACAGCCTATAGACTGGAAGAAAATATTAGTGAACCACATATATAATAAGCACTTAATATCGAAAATATAAGAGGCTCACACTATGCAAGAGCAAAAATCAAACAAACCAATTAAAAAGTGGACAAAGGGCCGGGTGCGGTGGCTCACGCCTGTAATCCCAACACTTTGGGAGGCCGAGGTGGGTGGATCACTTGAGGTCAGGAGTTTGAGACCAGCCTGGCCAACAAGGGGTGAAACTCCATCTCTACTAAAATACAAAAAATGAGCTGGGAGTGTTGGTGTGCTCCTGTAATCCCAGCTACTCAGGAGGCTGAGGCAGGAGAATCGCTTGAACCTGGGAGGCGGAGGTTGCAGTGAGATCGCGCCACTGCACTCCAGCTTAGGCAAGAAAGACTCTGTCTCAAAAAATAAAAAGTAGATAAATAAATAAATAAGCAGGCAAAGGACTTGAATAAGTATTTCTTCAAAGAAGAGACAAAAATAGCCAACAGGTGTATGAAAGGTACTTAACATCACTAATCATCAGGGAAATTCCAGTCAAAACCACATTGAGATACCACCTCGCTACTGTTAGGACGGCTGTTATCAAAAAGACAAGAGAAAACAACTATTGGCAAGAAAAGGGAACCCTTGGACATTGTTAATAGGAATGTAAATTGGTGCAGCCATTATGGGAAATAATACGGAGGCTCTTCAAAAAAATTAAAAACAGAACTACCATGTGACCCAGGAATCCTTCTGAGTGTATATCCAATGGAAATAAAATTGCATCTCACAGAGATATCTGTTCCCCCATGTTCATTGCAGCATTATTCACAATAGCCAAGATATGGGAACTTCTAAGTATTTATTGATGAATGAATCGATAAGGAAATTGTCATATATAGGATATAGGATGCAATATTATTCGGCCTTAAAAATTGAGGAGATCCTGCCATTTGCAATAATGTGGATTAACATTGAGAACATTATGTAAAATAAGCCAAATACAGAAAGACAATTACTACATGATTTCACTTATATATGGAATCTAAGCAAACAAAACAAAAAAGCTAAATTCATAGAAACAGAATAGAACAGTAGTTACGAAAGGTGAGTGGGAAATAGAGCAATGTATGTCAAAGGGTCCAAAGTTGCGGTGGTTATAAAGGATGAGTAAGTCTAGAGATTTAATGCACAGCATAAGGACTATAGTTAATATTTGTATTATATACTGGAAATTTGCTAAGGGACCAGATTTCTGGTGCTCCTAACACACATATATAAAAAGGCAACTATGTCAGATGATGGATATATTAAATTGCTTGACTGTAGTAATAATTTCACCATATATGTGTATATCAGAACATCATGTTGTGCACCTTAAATATACATAATAAAAAATTTAAAATGAATAGAAGTCATCACTGGTTCCATAGTTTTTAAAAAAGAAAAAAAAAACAGTTCTATTATGTTTCTATTTTGTCAGTGAAACTGTTTTGCTTTTATAGACTATACTTCTAGTGAATAATGCACTAGAAATCTAAAGACAGTTTTCTCTGAATGTTTGTTATTCAGTATTCCACGCCAAAGGCCAGCTTTGCTGAGAAAGAGGTCATCGTCCCCTTTTTAACAATTACTACAGGTACTTGTGATAAGCCAAATTAGGTGGAGTACTGTCCCATTTGGCCAAATTTCTGCTCATTTCTCAATGGAGGATTTGTCTGCAGACGTTACTTGAGTATTGTGGCTATTCCAGGGACACCCCACTGCCAATTTGTGCTGGATGTGAATGGCATGTGGTACTCGAACTGTGCAGTGGCCTTGGAGTGTTCTTACCTAGATGTTGCTCTTCCTCCTCTAACACTCACTCAGTCTTCTTTCAGAAACCAGGAATCTGGTGCTACTGGGACCCAACCCCCCTAATGCACACCTCTTCTGGAGCTCAAAATTGGCCTCATGAGTGCTCTGCCAATCACACAGATCAAACAATCCCACTATTAATCCAAAGGAAAGGAAATCAGTATATCAAAGGGATACTTCCACACCCACCCCCATGTTTATTGCAACACTATTTACAGTGATGTGGAATCAACCTAGGTATCCATTAGTGCATGAATGGATAAATAAAATGTGGTACCTCCACACAATGGAATACAATTCAGCCATAAAAATGAAAAACATTATGTCATTTGCTGAAACATGGGGGAACTGGAGGTCATTATGTTAAGCAAAATCATACAGGCACCAAAAGACAAATAGCACATATTCTTACTCACATGGGGGAGCTTAAAAACTGGATCTCATGAAGATATAGTACGGAATGATAGATACCAAAGACAGGGAAGGTGTGTGGGTAGGAGTGGGGTGATGAATGGATGTTAGTTAATGGATGCAAACTGTTCAATAGAAGAAGTAAGTTCTAATATTCTGTAGCAGAGTGCAGTGACTATAGTTAACAACAATGTATTATATATTTTTAAAAAGCTGGAAAAGATGACTTGAAATGTTCCCAACACATAAAAATAATAAATACTCAGGGTAGTGGATACCCTGAATATTCTGACTTGATCATTACACATTCTATGCATGTAACAAAATAACACATGTACCCCACTGTGTTAGTCCATTCTCATGCTGTTATAAAGAACTGCCCAAAACTGGGTAATTTATAAAAGAAAGAGGTTTAATCGACTCATAATTCTGCATGGCTGGGGAGGCCTCAGGAAGTTTACAATCATGGCAGAAGGGGAAACAAACACTTTCTTTTTCATTTGATGGCAGGAAGAAGAGCTGAGCAAAGAGGAAAAAGCCCCTTATAAAACCATCAAATCTCATGAGAACTCACTGACTTCACAAGAACAGCAGTATGGGGATCATTGCCCCTGGGATTCAATTACCTCCCACTGGCTGCTCCCATGACATGTGGGGATTATGGAAACTATAACATGAGATTTGGGAGAGGACACAGTCAAACCATATTACCTACACAGATGTACAAATACAAATATCAATAAAATAATAGTATGGGAATGGGGAGAAAATGAGAAGACAAAGGTCAAAGGGCACAAACTAGCAGTTATGTATTATGAATAAGTCTAAAGATATAAAGTCAATGTAATATGAATAAATCTAAAGATATAAAGTCAATACAATAGAAGATTATAGTTAAAAATACTGTATTGTATATTGAAAATTTGCTAACAGAGTAGATTTGAGGCACTCTTTGACAAAAAAAGGAACTAACTATAGAAAGTGATGGAGATGTTAATTTGTTTACCTAAAGTAAGCATTTATTATGTACCTGTATAACAAAACATCATGTCGTATGTCCTAAATACAAACAATAAGAATAATAAATAATTTGAAAAACAAAAAGGAATTAACAGCTATTATGAATAGAATTGCATCATTTTATCTGTATTTTAATAGACTTTTAGTACATATGGATATATTTCAGTGTATGCAGCTTGCTTCTTTTTAACATTGTTTTGAAGATACAGCCACTTTAATATATAGCTTTATGTAATTAACCATAAGTATATTTAACCAGGTTGTTATAGAGCTTCAATTCATCCTAGTATTTGGTACATAACATACCATGATGATAAGCATAGTCTACCTATTATAAGTTATATGTCATATAAAAGTATATTATGACATATATCTTCTTTCTTTACTAAGGGTTTAGGTTTACAAATTTTTCTTTTCTGAACACTGTTACAGTGAACATAGTTTACATGTCTCCTTGTGCACATGCACAATGACTACTTCGAGATGCATAGTCAATAGCAGAATTCTTCTATCATTAAGTCGTAAAAAGATGCATGTTTACTAGCTATTTTATTGATTGAAATTCCGATAATAAAGTATTAGAGTGACCTTTTCTCCACATAATGTGCTACATATTTGATTGTCAGTGTTCTCCATTTTTTCCAATGTCATAGAAGTAAAATGGCATGTAATGATGGATCACATTTGCATTTCTCTGGAAAATATATGCTTATGAAATATTTTTCATCTGTTAGTTGACCCTTTGGAATTCTTTTGCCATACATTGCCTGTTTTTATCTTATATTCATTCTACTGCTGGTAGGAAAGGGTGAAACAATCAGAAGATAAATGATAACTTCCCTAAAAAATGAAAAGTAACAAAATTTGATTTTTGGAGAAAATTTTAAAATGCTTTGAGATTTAATACTCAACGTAAAGAGTTCATGAAAAATTCAGTAAGCTGAAACATTACAGAACAAAAACAGGTCCTCCGAAGCCACATGTTCTGCTGTTATTTTTCTTCTGCATTCATTTATGAAAAAACATATCCTAATTTTCAGAACTAGTAAATTTTCACTACATAATTTTTACTATATAAATATATAAATATATATTGAAAACTTTCTTTACAAATATATAGTGAATATATATTATTAATATATATTTATATAATGTATATTTCATATATACATTTCTATGTATAGTTAATACATAGTAATGTTTATGTCCACATACACACACACTTAAGGAAAACCATATTTATTAAAGAAGCAAAATCTAGTTTATTAATTATCAAAATAATATTATATTTCTAGTAGCATATATTTTAAATGAAAGCCTTAAACTGGTAATTTTCTCTGTGGAAAATGCTTAACAAGTAATTATTAAGTTTCAGAATAAGTTTTCATCTTAAATTATGGCACTTAAAGGAACTGCAAAGCACTGTTAAGAATATCAAGAAGAACCTAGCATAGCTTAAGTATAAAATGGCAAGATATCTGACAGTAAAAGAAAAGTATCATAATTATATCATACAAACGTGTTTGTGTCCATTTTAAACACATTTTCCCCAAGTGTATTACTATATTACTCTGGTTTCTCTAAAAAATATGCCTATGTTACTTAGCTTATTAAATCCCCTCCCGGCTCATGCCTGTAATCCCAGCACTTTGAGAGGCCGAGGCGGGTGGATTACGAGGTCAGGAGATCGAGATCATCCTGGCTAACACGGTGAAACCCCGTCTCCACTAAAAATACAAAAAATTATCAGGGCGTGGTGGCGGGCGCCTGTAGTCCCAGCTACTCAGGAGGCTGAGGCATGAGAATGGCGTGAACCCGGGAGGCGGAGCTTGCAGTGAGCCGAGATGGCGCCACTGCACTCCAGCCTGGGAGACAGAGCGAGACTCCGTCTCAAAAAAAAAAAAAAAAAAAACCCTCCCATTGATTGTTATTTATTTTAATTTCCAGTATGTAGTCTAAGGTTACTATTTGAAGTTTCTCTAATCATTTAATTTGTGAAAGGCAGACTTGAGATTTTTACTCCAGCAGCCCGACTCCTGAATGCATAACTCTACTGGTCTCTTATCATGTAACACGACAAGGGAGCTGCATCTTAACATGTATGCCCATCAGTGATGGTGCTTTGCCCTGTCTTGTTATGATGGTATCGCTAAGCCATATCCTTAATAACCTGAAGCACTGTTGGTGAAATAGTCCACAGTCTCTTGAGGCACTGAAGGACAACCAAAACTTCTTTAGATGATCTGGGGCTGCAGAAAACACAGCTGACCAAGCTGAGTATCTTCATCATGGGTCACAACCAGTAAGGAAGAATTCCATGTCCCTATTTGACATTTTTGTATCTCTAGTAATAGACAATGAAGAGACTTTTTGTTGTTTTCATTGTTATTATTTTCTCCTAGAATGTCTTTGTGCCTGTATCACAATAGAAGATGAGGCAGAATGCTATTGGAGGTAGATTTGACACAGACAAAATGTGGAATCCTCTAATTGGTTTGATTTGGGAGAAGCTGAAAGGCCTATTCTCCTAAAATACCTCCAAACCTGTCAACAGATGTCTGAGGTCCCATCATTAATCTTCTATGCCACTGTCTAATTTACTTTAATCCTCATTACCAAGAATATTTGGTTTACTTCCTCTAACAAATGCTGAAGGGGAAAGATCTGGGTCATCATTCTGCTTCTGTCACCAAGTAGCTGGGAAAGCCTGTAAGAATTTATCAGCTTTTTTTTTTTTTAAACGAGGGCATTGGACTGTGTATTTAATTCAATACTTTCCACTCATGCTAAATCTTAATATCTACATCAGCAGTTCTCAAACTATGGCATGGGGACCTCTGAAGGGTGAGTGAAACCCTTTCTGGGATCTACAAATCAGAATAATTTTCATAATAACGCTAAGACACTATCTGCCTTTTAAAATTCCCATTCCCTTGAGGGAATTTTTAAGAGATAATAAGATGTGCCATTTCATAACAGATTGTGTGCAGAAGCATTCTTCTGTGAAGTTAGACATTAAAGGGATTTGCTAAAATGTACAACAGTGATACTCTTTTCACCTTTTCTTCTAAAATACTTATTTTTCATAGAAGTGTTACTTATGTTAACCTGCAATAGGTTTATTATTTCTATTTTTAAATAGCCTAATAAATAAATATTTTAACACATCTTCAGCTTTCATTTCTAACATGTGTCAATAGATTTAACCATAAATAGATTTAACCCACATAAACAAAAGCTCTTTGCCATACTCAAAAATTTTTAAGAGTGTAATCAGTTTCCAAGACCAAAAAATTCAAGAACTGCTTGTGTACTCCATAGTGGGAAGAGCTTATTACTTACACCGTATCGGGGAGAGCTTATTTTTTCCTACATACAGACCTTGGCGGTGGGATAGGGTTTTGAGGATAATAGGATTGGGAAAGAGAAACATTATAAAAATAGTGATTTTAGAACAGCTAATTAATGAACTCACTATAGAGTCACAGATGATGGTGGCCTCATTTAACTATTTGGAAACTGGAGAGTAGAGTTGCAATCCCTGATACAGAGGTTGGGCTTTTGCGATGGAGAGAAAACAAACAGCAAACAGAAAATGAATTATTTCACAATTATACAGAGATTATTTGCATTAGATTTAACAAAATTAGACAATAAAACATCTACTTTGTATCGGTCTATAAAAGAATTGTACAGTAAGTTTGTACTTCTAAAAGTATTGCTTTGTAATAATATTATTTCCAACAGAGTTAACAAGTGTTGGTTTGAAAATCTGAAAATACATGGTACTACCCAGGTGATATGTTTTATTTACAGAACTGTCCTCTCATCTATGTTATGTTGTAAGATACTACACAGTGTAAGAAATATAACTTATTTTAGAGATAAATAAAAATTGGTAGCTATTATTTGTCTCCTAGAGTATTTCAGAGTGTTTTATGTAACTGTAGTGACAGCAAAATGGAGAGAAAACGGGACAGAGAAAATATTAAAGAGATCGGTGGCATGACTTTTCCTAAAATGATGAGAAATGCAACATACAGATTGGCAGGATAAAAATAAAGAAAATACATTTAGGTGTATATTAGTCAAACTGTTGAAAATTAAAGATAAAGAGAAAATTCTAAACCCTCTAGAGTGGGGGTTTGGAAATGTGATAGCATCAAAAGAGCAACAATAAAACTTTCAGCTTCCTTTGCACACAAATAATGCAAATTAGCATATAGCTTACCAGTCTTGGAAAAATGGTCAACCTAGAGTTCGTCACTAAGTAAAATATCTTCCAAAAATAAAGGCAAAAGGAAGCCTTTTCTTTTCAGATAAACACAAACTGAGAGTATTTGTTTCCATTACAATTGCACTACAAGAATATATTCTCTAGGTGGAAGAAAAATGATTCCAAATGAAAATACAGAACTTCAGGCATAAATCAAGGATGCTGAAAAGGGCACATATGTGAGAAAATAAGAAAAAACAGCAACTACTTAAAGAAACATTAATTTCTGTGTTAAAAGTTATGCCTGTGGTTTTATAAAATGTGAAGGTAAATAGATATAACAACAGAACAAAGGGCAAGGGGATAACTCAAGTTAAAACGTGGTAAGATTTATTTTAAGGAAAGTGATAATATTCTAATTTGAGTCAGGCTCTAATAAGTCACCAATAACTAGTCACTAAAATAATAGTATAAAAGCTATAAAAAAGAGTTAAGAGAGGATATTAAATGGAATATAAAAGGAAACACTTCAATAATCCAAAAGAAGGTAGGAAAGGGGCATAAAGAAAGTAAAGAACGATTGGACTAAGAGAACAAAGAAGACAGTAGACTTAAACCCAATTGAATCAATAATGACAATGAGTACAGAGTATATACTAAAATAACATAAAATATTTTCATACTGAAATTCTTAGAAGAATAGTAAGACCCTATTACATGTGGGGTTTTTTTGTTTTTGTTTGTTTGTTTGTTTGTTTGTTTGAGACAAAGTCTGCCTCTTGTCATCCAGGCTGGAGTGCAGTGACGCCATCTTGGCTCACTGCAACATCCACCTCCTGGGTTCAAGCGATTCCCCTACCTCAGCCTCCCGAGTAGCTGGGATTACAGACGCATGCTACCATGCCCAGCTGATTTTTGTACTTTTAGTAGAGATGGGGCTTCACCATGTTGGCCAGGCTGGTCTTGAACTCCTGACCTTGTGATCTACACACCTCGGCCTCCCAAAGTACATGATATTTTTAAAGATATATTTTAAATATAAAGACACAGATACATTGAAAGTGAAACCATCAAACAAAATATACCATGCAAGCCTAAATAAAAGAAAGTGATGTCACTATTTAAATATTAGACAAAGTAGATTTTAAGCTAGATTAAAACAAGGATAGTTCACAATGGTAAAAGGGTTAATTCAATAGGAAGATATAGTAGTCTTAAATGTCTGTGCACCTAAAAACATAGCCTCAGCTTTCAAATTTATCATTCTGTCTTTCTTCACTTTAGACATGCAGATAATTTTCTCTTTTTTGAACTATGACATGTACTAAATCTTAGGTGTTATATTTTATCTGTAACGTCTCTGCATGTATACAGAAAAGAGGACTTTTACCTCCACCTGCCATGTTTTTATAGTTTTATGTATAGACAGTGTTTCAAAAGGTATTACAAGATGCTTCACATGTGAAGGCATTCTAGGAGAGTAAAGCAGGGTCAAAGACCTAGTGAAGACAATATGAGGAATTCCATAGTGCCATTACATGAAAAATATTATATAGTTTTATCAATATTGTTAATGAATTCTGTGTATTTCTCCTAGTATCCTGACAGGCAGAGTCAAACAGGGAGTCTTCATGTTTTAGGAAAAGTTTATGACTGAGAATGACTCAAGTAATAGGTGCCATTTGTGGTGCATCGTTAAAGCCGTGCATGAGCTAGAGATGACAGGACAGCAAAGTATATACTCCAGTGGAAGTGCTGGTTTCTAGGCTCACGTGACTCTTAGGAAAAAGCATTCTGTGGATGCTTTTAGAATACAGCTGCTAACCTAATTAAACTCCCGCTGATGAAACAGTTATCATTTAACTGTTACAATATTCTGTCCCCAGGCAAATTTTATTACAAATTACTGAGAGAGAAACTGGACATCAATATATCAACCAAATAAACTCTATAGGTTGATTAAATCTGATGATCACTGCAAAGTTATGGCTTGATAGAATTACCCTAATATCTATATAATAATTTTGGGGTGCCCTCACAATACTGTTAATGTAAAAACATTCATCACCACCATTTGATTAATAAGTCACAAAAATGTAATACATTGATCATCAGAAGATACATCTTTTGTAAATCTTGATAAGTCTGGTTTCAGAAATAAACAAGGACTATTGAATTGTATAAATTAATTAAGAATTTTTTCTTCAAAATAAATCAAGAGCCTATACTTTTCTATGTCCTCCGTTTTCATTTAAGATACTAGATTTCACAACACAAAGTAATTATTTTAACTATCAGGTGGTAAATGTGAACTGTATCCTTGCAAAATATTTGTTTCAATTTTTAGAGCTTCTCTAGTTTTAGCTCATACTCATCTGCAATATATCTTATATTTGAGGAAGTTTAAAAGGCTAAAAATAGTGGCTCTGCTTTCATTGATAGATGTGGTTTAATAAACTGGGTAGCAGTAAATATTACTTGAAAAATTTGCTTAATTTTAATCCATTGAAGTCAGAGTGTTATTTAGTCATATTTATTTTGCTATTTAAAAATGCATGGCAACTTAGCTAGAATTGAGTTAATTTTTCACATCGTGACATATTTAGGAGTGACAGTATGTCCTTAGTTGCTTTATTGCTGCCAGAATTAATAAGTCATAATTGGTGTTAAGATATAAATATCTGCTTATGTAATTAAAGGCAGGGTTCCTCAAACATGTCAGACAAGCAAATGTATCCTTTCGTAAATAGTTATTTCCCTTGCCATGAATCTGTCAGGTATGACTGCCAGAGGTCTAAAGAATTCATAAGATCACATGCACCATCACTAAATTATTGTTTCTATGAAATAAATGCGGGCCTCCTTCTGTTGAATTTATTAGCCATAGTATGCATACACATATCTAGAAATCTAACGTTTACATGAAAAGAGTGGAACTTTTTCAGACTGAAATTTCAGACTGAAATTCTTAGAAGAATAGTAAGACCCTATTATATAGTTGTTTTTGTTTTTGTTTTGAGATGGAGTCTTGCTCTGTCACCCAGGCTGGAGTGCAATGGCACCATCTCGGCTCACTGCAGCCTCTGCCTCCCGGGTTCATGCAGGTCTCCTGTCTCAGCCTCAGCCTCAGTTACGCTTTTAATTTTTGATCCCTATGGTTATGATATCCTGGGCTACAAAGATAGCTCAAATGATGTAATACATCTAAGGCACAGAAATAAAAAGGAACGTTTTTATCCAGAACAGTTTTATTAGTGTGGTGAAGGCAAAAGCTGGATTTTAAAGGAGAAAACAAGTTAAAACCTTGGTGTGAACCACACTTAGTTCAATTCTTATCTGAACTACTACAACCATGCCTCAAAAAAAAAATTTCTGTAGATACTCTGTTCACTCCAGAGTCAAAGATAAATCTATTATTTTCTACTTGTTTTTCTTTACCATAATATGTCTTGAAATGACAGTTTCAACTTCTTTTTATTATGTCTTGAAGTCTGTCTTTAGATACCAACTGAAATCTTCACTCTTAAGGGTCATCAATAGTCTCCCAGTTTTCAAAGGCAATAGCAAATCCATCTCCTTGAAAAATTGGTCATTTTGCTTAATCCACCTTCACTACTCCTTCCCTCTTCTCCTGTGACACATAAAATTATTGCTTATGCTTCAACTTCTCTGATATGTTTCTTCTCCTCAATGTCTAAAAATGGATGTTTTACAATATCCTTTCTCTGGTGTCTTTTCCCTGTACAATATTTTATTCAGGAATCTTAACTATTGCAATGTGTTTAACTAACTCTCTATTCAGAAGTAGCCAAATTTAGTTGAACAGGTCCTCAATGCTATTTTGATTTTGCTCTCAAAGTTTCACATTATAATAAGCATTTGGTACACAACTTTATGCATATAATTTCATATCTATTTTTAACAATTTCTTAGATCAAATATTTAAGTATAGACTCCAAAATCCCTTCTAGCTTCCTGCCTGTGCAAAACTGAGAAAATAATGTTACTTTCTCAAGACACATTTTCTACATTTCTCAGGAGAATAATAATCACATCTAACTCATAGGGTAGGGTTGTTTTAAAGATTAAACAAGATGGTAAATGTAAGACACATTACACCATGTCTGATACATGACAATAGACAAAATTTAGCTACAGGCATTATAATATTTATCACGTAATTTTACTAGTATTCTTTCAAGTGTATTATTTAATTTTCCATCAGCAAAATTACAGCAAATTATGCTCTGCCAGCAGTATTTGAGGGCATCCACTTTTTGACATTTTGATAGGAAGTGTCATCCTCAGACTGTCTCTTTTCCTATGAGTCCTTTAATCATTGGAGGAAACCCTCATTTGAAACTCTAACCATGCTTATGCTCAGGTCTCATTGGTCGGTTTGTACAACAGTTCCATGCTTAAACCTCCAGTGGCACAAGGAATGAAACAATTGGTTAGCTGATATTAGAATTCATTCTTCCCCCTCTCTTACCCAATTGAGGCCCTGGTCCTGGGATCTCTCTTTATGGGCATATATTTGCATAATTACTTCTCTCTCCTGAAAGTCTTTGCCCTTTCCAATCATGCCTACCCCGAATACCTATTTAAAATTGCAATGATCCTTCCTGGAACCACAAGTCAGCTGTGATATTATTTTCTTTTTTTCCAACAGTACTTTTACCTTTATCAAGTGAGAGCATTTACCTATTTATTATTTTTAAATTTATTTTCTATCTAATTTCATTATAATATGAGCTCTAAGGAGGCTGATATTTTTGTCTACTATATTCACTGATATATTCCAATGACCCTTTACTCTCCCCGCTGTATATTAGGCCCTTAAATGATATTTACAGGAGGAAATTAATAGAACATGTCAGATCATACAGCACATCACCTGGAACCAAACTGTCTTGTGTTACTATCTCAAGACACATTTTCTTCATTTCTCAGGAGAATAATAATCATATCTAACTCATAGAGTTGTTACTATACTAAAGTCTAAAGTTCTAGAACCAAGCACTGCTAAAAACTATTCATGAGATTATCTAGTGGTGTGATAGTTGGGTTTGCAAGGTTATTGGGTGGTACTAAGGAATTGCTAGTAAATGTTTTAGTGTGATAACAGAATTGTGGTAGTGTTGAATGAAAAAGTTGTTTCCTTTAAGATCTTTACGTACAAATATTAAACAATGAAATAGGAATCTTTAGGGTTTGTTTTACAGTAATTGTGTAGGGGGGAAGGTAGAAGGTAAGGGTATAGATGAAACCAGAATGGCCTAGAGTTGCAGCCTGTTGTCACTGACTAATAAATCCATGGGGTTTGATTGTATTATTTGTTCTGCTTTTGTGGATATTTGAGATTTTTTTTGAAATAAGAACATAAAAACCTATGGATATTAAAAAAATACCTGCCCTTCTGATATGGTAAATAAAAGAGATGTTCTTAGGAATATAAAATGTAGCCTATATTTGACTATTCAGAAACTTCATGCCTCAAGAGTGAAAATGAGCACTGCTTATTTTTACTCTATGCATAAATGTAAACAGAGTTCTAATTGGTACAAAGCAGACCTAGAAAAGTTATATTAAACAATGAAAGAAAACACTAGGCAAGACAAGATGCTGATTTTTTACAATTTCAACTAGTGCATTGACCCTGAAAAGAATCCTGTTCTTTGGAGTGTTTCATTTTTTGCCTTTAAGATTCTTTGAATGAGATAATGTAGATAGATAAATATTTTATTTGAAATTGGAATGAAGCGTCTTCTAGCTGCACTCAACTCACCACTAGACATATGGTACACTGAAATCAGGGCTGGGGTGGAATTGCAAGCCATCTTTTCAGGGCTACTTTGGGAAAGTAAGCCCTGGAAAGCCAGTTCACAGAAGTTTGCATGTTATTAGCAGTCCCAGCTTCTTTTTCCTCTAGAACTGTTATGCTAACCAAACCTGATGAGCACATTTGCCAAACTGCGGTGATTTTTTATATGGATCTATACAGAGAACTGAGATTGTCCCACTCTTTTCATCTATACTAAAGCTAGACCATATCCTTTTAGTCATTCTTCAAAAATGATGTACCTTTTTCTATGTTATACTACACATTTGGAACACATCCTCCTGTAACTTTCATTCTAGTTAAACATTATAAAAAATAAAAAGCACAGATAGTAAAATGTTATCTTCTGTTATGATTGGAGGGAATTGGCCTTCATAGAAAAAAAACACGTATATCAACCTCACTGAAAGGTAGAAGGAATGGAAGGTATTATAGTGTATCTACAGGTTTGTTGAGAAGAATCAGAAACCAACAATGTTGCTTAGTAGTCTGGTGGAATAAAAGCAGACTTGGATTTTTGACCTGCTTCTTGTCTGGAGTTTGTAAGATGTCTTGCTTATCTGTTCCGTGGTGTACTCCTTATGAGGAACTCAAGAAGGAATTCATATGTAGTATTAAGACTGATAATATTTGTGTTTTTCCTGAGCAATTAGTTTAATTGGTTGTTTAAAATGCAGAAACAGTAACTTTTTGTTATTTATCTTTAAGAAAACATATACTGCCAAAGTCATGGGCAATTTCAAGCAAGATATTTATCTTTATGGTATTGCAATTTTTACCCTTGTTTCTCAACGTTTTGCGATTCTGCTCTTGCTTTACAATCTTCACGTTTTTATCTTGTATTCTATCTAACCTTATCAACCACCACAAAATCCTTAAGCAAACTCTTTGTCTTTTTAGGGTCTATGGTTTCTTTATCTGTAAAGTGACCTTTGATGGTTGTATGTTTGTGGAGATTTGTGTTTTACACATCTTATCAAATCAGAATGGCCACCATTTTTTTTGGTATTGCTCAAAAGGAAAAGATAAAAAGCGTTATAACTATATTGCCTAATGGTACTTATTACATAGGCAAAATAGTGAAAAATTACACTGGTATTGAATGAAAATTTTGTGTAGTTTTATTTGGAATTGTTCTGAAATTCTAAAAAAGCAAGAAAACTGGTATAATTCATAAACTTAATGAACAGAAATGGACTTTGTTTATGGTTGGGAGTCACATATATTTGTAAAATGATTTCATTGCATATGTTAAGGCTACCTGAAGAATCTATATTAAAAATCTCTTACCATTGGAAGAAATTATTTCGGCAATAAACTCCAAATATATTAAGGGGAAGATGTAACTGTAACATCAACTTAAAATTGTACCCCTATATCTTATCTAGAATTAACATTCTACTTTTCTCTTTATATTCTGCTGAATGAGAAACAGATTAATCTGACCTATAGCTACTATACTATGAGAATAAAAGCTAGTCAATTTGAAATAAGTGGGCATGTACCATAATATATTTTCAGACTTACAGAAACAGATGTTCTATTCTTACCCATTCCCTGGCAATGTAAAAACCTATTGAAAGGAACTATATAATTCTTTTTGAAAATATTAGACTATTAAATGTGCAGCTATGCATGAGTCATGATTTTCATAAATGTAAGTTAACAGCCAGATGAAAGTGCTGTGGGAGAAGGCATGCTAATTTGTTCTAATTTAATGGCATTAATGCACAGTTTACTGAACAGTTCAGCAAAGCAGAATCAACAGCTGCTGTGGAAATGAGATTATTTAAAACAAGCAGGGGGAGCACATTTATGCCCAGGGTCAGAGCCTGAATACTGCTCTCTAAGCAGTGCTTGGATAGTCAGCATAGTATTTTGGCAGGAGAGAAATGGAAATTGGATGAAATCCAAGAAAGACAATGCATATGAGGCTCCAAATAAATATAGTACTGTCACATTTAGCAAAAATCCACTGACCCTACTTGCAATTCATGACAATAATAGCATGACCAGGAAACCAGGCGGCCCTATTATCATAAAGAAAGCCAGGCCCTGCATGATAAATTAGACCTAAAATATAGTAGGAACATAACTAAGAAAAGGGTTTCGGCATGTTTAGCAGGGAGCAGTTCTGTTGAGCAGAGGTAATTCCTGAAACTTCCTAGACATATGAATCAGAAATAGGGTTGCTAGATTTAGCAAATAAAATACAGGATACTCAGTGAAATTTGGTTTCAGATATATTGAATAATTTTTAGTAAGTGTTAAATATTAAACATACTTATACTAAAGAATTGATTGTTTATCTGAAATTTATATGTATTTAGACATCCTGTATTTTATCTGGCAACCCTAATGAGAAATATTCACTGAAACACTGGAGTTAACTGAGTTGAATCTTCCTATCCCTAGTGCTCACCTTAGTATATCAAAGCCGCTCAGTTAATTTTTGTGTTGGTTTTCTATTACTGCCGCAACAAATTTCCACAAACTCAGTGGCTTAACAGCAACACAAATGTATTATTTTAGAGCCCTGTGGGGTAGAAATCTAACATGAGTCTTACCAGGGTAAAATCAAGGTGTTGTCAATGTCGTGTTCCTTCTCAAGGCTGAAGCTGAGAATCCATTTCCCAGCCTTTACCAGTTTGTAGAGACCACCTACATTCCTTGGTTTACACTGCCCTTCCTACATCTTCTAAGCCAGATAAGGCAGCTGAGTCCCCACAATGCAGCATTCTGACCATCTTCCAAGGCACATTTTCTGCTGACTCTCTTCTAGCTCCATTTTCCACTTAAAAGGACCCTTGGATTATCCATGTGGAAACCCATGGATAATCCAGGATAATCTCTCTATTTTAAGGGCAGTCAGTTAGCAACCTGAATTCCCTTTTGCCACATAACCTATCATATTCACAGCTTCCAGTGATTAAGACATAGCCATCTTGGGAGTGTGAGGGAGGGCATTATACTGCCTATCACAATGATGAAAACATATTTGTCTTGAATTAGGCAATTACCTTAAAGCTGCCTCATCCCAGGTGATTTGGTCTCATCCTCTCCTAATTGGCTAATTATGTTCATTCTTTAATAGGATGCAAAGGAAGCAGATTCCATTTGACTGAGAAATCAAACATTCTATCGGGGGTGGGGGTTGGAAAAAGGCAGTTCAAGACTACACAGAGATGTTGGTGGCGGCGTTGGAAAAAGGCCATTCAAGACTATACAAAGATGTTAGTGAGGAAAAGCCCCAACATACCAAAACCAAGCAATTTTATTTGTTCTTTTAGCATCATTGTCTTAATGAAGAAACATGGAATCCCTGTGATAGTGACAGGAGGCAGAGAAATTCTAGGCAGACCGAGGTGAGTCCCTGGCAAAACCTTACCTTTGAGCCAAAAAGCCTGGAATCTGTGGCCCAAAGTGAGAACTTCCATCTCTGTGTGCCTGCTCTCTCCCAATTGGTTCTTTGTGAATAATGTCTTTTTACCAATCGAATGTTGCCTTTTCCAAGATTACCTATGGCCTACTCTGCTCCCTATCCTGTGCCTATGAAGACCCCTGACTCAGCCGGTGGAGAGGAAAAGTAGATGGATGCTGGAAAGAGGCAACTTGACTTCAGAAGAGAGAGGCAGAGAAGTGGCCTGACTTCAGGGGAGAGTGACCTGCCCTCCCCATCCCCTTTCTAGCTCCCCTCTTCCCTGAGAGCCACTTTCATTGCTTAGTAAAATTCTCCACATTCACCATCCTTCAGTTTGTCATGACCTGATTCCTCTTGGACACTGAACAAGAATTCGGGAAACACCAAGTGCAGATACCCAAAAAGGCTGTCACACTGGCCCTTTGCCCTTGCTGGCAGAAGATAGCTGCCCCACGCGATGAGGCAAAGGGCCCACTGAGCTAATAACATGCTGCTGTCTGCATGACGGTGGAGCTAAGAGAGCCTTGTAGCATGCTCTCTGGGGCATTGTGGTCACAGGCACCCCCACCTGGACGCTGCCACAGGGCCTGCACAGTTTGCTCCTGCTGGGGCTAAAGCAGCCTGCCGGTTCCTACACTCACTCATTTTGGTTCACACACTCATTCTCTCGCTCACTCCCTCCTGCAAGGGGTTGAGTGGGGTGGGCTGAGTAAATAGCTCCCCTGCCACTAGTCCCACGAAGGGGTCAGAAAAATATCCTGCATCTCCTAGACTGTATCCATTCATGAGACTAGTATATAAAATGTAAGCAACAATTCTACAAATATGAAACTTTAGAAGAAAATAATTAAAACAAATGAATAGTATGGACAAATTTCTAATTTTTTTTGATTTATTATTTATTACAAAGCTTTATTTCTAGATAGACCCCAAACACACACACACAGACACACGGACACACACACACACACACACTCTTGGGTCACATATAAGTTTACAAGTTTGAATGGAAAATTACCTGAAGAAATTCCATTCTTATGACTCTGTTATATTGATATGACTCACTAGCTAAAGACATTCTATATATGTCAGGATATTCCCTATCAGCATCTGGAAAGATCTACATCTGTTTGACATAGAAGAAATGATTATCATTTTCTTGTTTAAACAGTGTGGCAATTAGAGAAAAAAAAAAGTTTTCTTTTCAAAGTTTTTGATCTAGACAGGTGTACATATCAGGTAATTAAAATTTCAGCTAAAGATTCCCTTTAGATAAGCAAACTTAGGTGATGAAGACATTTTAAAAATGATTCATTCCCTTTTTACAGCCGCTCTTTGTAAGTTCAATGATAAATTTCCGTGTTATGTAATCTTCCTTAAATTAAAACTCTTAATAACAATAAAAACTACTGCAATTATTGGTCACTCACTAAAAGCCACATTTTATTTTAGGTTCTATCCGTATTCTATGGTGAACTGTGGCATATTTAAAAGAGTTTTTAAAGTTTGAGGATTTTAAAAAATTTAATAGAATAACTCAATATAAATTAAATATAACTTCAAAGAAACAGATTGGTTTAAATTACTGAAATTGATAGGAACTTCGTTAACCAGATTCAGTCTTTATTGAATCCTTATTTTGTTTTGATTGAACTGGATTAGTAAGAGAAAGAGAGATGGTCCAAATCAAACAGAAACCAAGGGTTCATTTCAAAATACCATTTCTAGAGCTGTGTATAAATACCAATTTATTTACTTAACCTTTGGCATTTATGTCTATCCTCCTATTACATAACTGGCGTGCACCATTGTAAATGTGATGCTGTTTAAGAGTTTTTCCATTTAAATTGGAAATTTAAAGTCAAGTCTTCAGGGAACATTTGAGTGTTTCAAGCACTGATGACTTTTATTGCAGCTTTATCTTTGCCCAGTCTTTGAAAATTTTTTTCTCTATTCTATTTAGTATAAACAAGATCCACTTTGTGTCAGCACTCTGGAGATACAGATGAGTTAATGTAATTTTTCTACTTTAAGGTAAATGAAGTTAGAATTGTCTACTTTACTGTGAAAAATTCCAGTTTATCCATTTTCAAGCTCCTCTAAACCATCTAATCCCATTAATTAGAGTACTAAATCCTACATTCTTATGCTCAAGAATTTTGGAAAACATTTTAAACCTTTTTATTTTTAGTTTAACACTTTCCACCCCCACCCCCCACACCCCAACTGCTCAGTTAATCCTAAATTCCCCAGGCTCCACAGAGTAAATACAGTAATTTGTGGGATTTGTGGCTCTTTCAAATATCAGGTGAATTAAAAATATATATTTAAAAATCAAGCAAATTAAGTGAAAGTTCCTTAGAGGATATTTTGAGCACTTGATGACATGCCTTGGAGCCATGAAAGATATTGTGGTAGGGCAAAACGACTTCGAATGTAATATTCAGTTTTATTTTTCTCAGACTCAGCATTTCATTTGTTAAATGATCGTGATATCTGGAGAATCAAAACATGGTTGTTCCCTAGAAGCCCAAGACTTCCAAGTGGAATATAGGAACTGGTTCCTTTTAAATGCCCTCTTTGTTCCCCTCAACAAACAATTTATAAGCAATAGGATGGTGGTCTTCTGGCCAAAGCTTTACCAGAAAGCTCACTGAATCCTGGAATTCTTGAAAAATACATGTATTGCTTAAATACATTTAAGCCTCTAGAAGTTTATGGATGCTGAGTAGCTTGTCTGAGGTCTCCTGTTTGCACCATGACTGGCATCCATCTCTGAACTGTCTCCAAGCTGGGAAACCAATGGTGTTTCCCTCTCCTTTTGAATCAGGATAGCAGCCTTTAGAAAATTGCCCGCGTTTGAATCCTAGAACTGCCACTTACTAGCTCTGCAACCCTGGGTGAGATACTTAATCAATGACGCAGTTGTCCCACCTATAAAATGGGGATAGTATCTACCACATACATACAGGCTTTTGAAGTGAAATTGTAGTTAAATCATGTAAAGCACTCAGAACACTGCGTTTTATGCAGTAAGTTTTCCATAGGTGCTAGCTATAATTACTCATTTCATCCTTTATTATTTTAATTTGTTTTCCTAACCAGCTGGCTCCACCAAGGATTTGAGGTAGTTTACAATAAAGTCATAGATCTAATGGACAAAGAGAAAAATTCAAAACTAAAAGGATGAGGAGATGTTTTTTCTCAGGGAATGGTTCTGAGAAGCATTCATATGATTTTGATCAGAAGCAGTATCATAAGACAAGTGGATCTCGACAAACATGGGAAAATCTACATGACTCTCACTTATCCCCAGCTACTTCTAGATACAAAATATAATGACTAGTTTTCAAAACGTCCTATTTATTTTAACACTTCCTGTGAGAAAATGATGGCTTTTAATAGGTCTCCTAAATAATGATTTGGCATATAAAAATGCCTTAAATCCAGACTGAGAAATTAATGAGGTCATGAAAAAACAGTGTCTTTCTCTTTAGTCTTTTAGTATTTTGAGTAAATATGATGGGACCTTCGGTATTTATGACAGACGACACAACTGTTTGAAGAAAAGTTAATGATTATGGGCACGGTGGCTCATGCCTGTAATCTTAGCACTTTGGTAGGCCATGGTGAGCGGATCACTTGAGGTCAGGAGTTTGAGACCAACCTGGCCAACATGGTGAAACCCCGTCTCTACTAAAAAACAAACAAACAAGAAAACAAAACAAAACAAAAACTAGCCAGGTGTGGTGGCACATGCCTGTAGTTCCAGCTACTTGGGAGGCCAAGGCAGGAGAGTTGCTTGAACCTGGGAGGCAGAGATTGCAGTTAGCCAAGATCATGCCACTGTACTCCAGCCTGGGTGACAAATCAAGAGTCCAACTCAAAAAAAAAAGAAAAAAAAGATTACATTTTTCCCTTTTGCTGTATGTTTTTGAGTCTTGATCAAAGGACTATGACTTAGAAATTATTTTTTTTGGGTGCTTCAGGTACGAGCATTGTGATAATGGTTTCTATTAGCTGAATCATAAAGCTGTAGGAAGTACTCGGGTTGTCAGTTTATCCAATTTACCAATATACATTTATACTAAATAATGGATACATTACTAGAAACTAAAATGCTCATTTGTAATTTGTTGTTACGATTTTATTTTAGATGGTTAGTTTTGAATCACATTAAATGTTACTTTTATAGGAAAAAGAAACCAGAGCTATTGAAATCAATTTTATTTTTAAATCTAATTTCATTAGCATACAAACTGAATATGTATGTTCAATTTTATTATATATTTATAATTCTTTTATCTAATGCTGTGTATTCATCTAGAAAGGCTACAACTTCGTATCAAGCCTCGGAAACTCAAAATTGTCAAAAATGGAAGAAGGTTTTTAGCCACAAGGTGTCGTTGTTTGTCTTTTCTTTAGTGAGGTAACTGTGGCAACTTAGGTTCTCTAAAGGCTTATTGAATTAGGAAGCAGAATTTCTTTTACGGACAATAACTTAGGTTGTTGTCTTAACTCCTCTCATTCCATATATGATACAATTTCCAAAATTGTTTGCCAATTCTGTGTTTAATGAGCACAAGAGTCTAAAATAATACATGTTCTATGATGAGCTGCTTTATGGTTTAAAGTTTTTAAAATTTGAGATTTTTTTCCTCAGACATTTAATAAAATGATTTAATATGAATTAAACATAACTTCATAAAAAAACCAAATTGGTTTGATTTATTAAAATCAAACAGGGACTTCGTTAACCAGATTCATTTCTTTTTGAATCTTTATTTTGATGAAATTGTAAAGAAAAAAATTATAACAAATCAAATGGCATCAAGGTTTCACTTCAAAATGCCATTTCTAGAGATTTGTATAAACATATTTTCTCCTCAACCTTTGGCATTTATCTCTAGACCTTGTAGTACATAGCTGGTTCTCAGTATTGCAAACAGGGAGCTCCTCAGTTAGAAAGAGTATCTTAATAATTATGGCTACACAAAAGTTAATCAAAACATTTATACTCATAAAAAATTCCACAATGTCCTAGATTATTTCTTAATGTCTGATATTTTGGTTATCTGAGGAAATTTCAATGTAGATATATTGACCCAACCTTGATGTAAAGTAAAATAAGAAGTATTGGAGGTTTTGTTAAAATTCTAAAATCAGCTTATTTTCCATTAACAAAAAAGAGAACATCAATATCCAAGTATATTTATATAAATTGTAATATAATGGAAAAAATTTTAATAGCATATTTCCCAAGTACTGGACTTGTTAAATATGTCCAAACCAGCTACTTCTAAACTATATTACATAGAAAAATCATGTTATGGGTTGAACTGTGTCCCGCTAAATTTTATATGTTGAAGTGCTTACCACTAGTACCTCAGAAAGTGACCTTATTTAGAAATAGGGCTGTTATAGTTTGAAGTCAGGTAGCGTGATGACTCCAGCTTTGTTCTTTTGGCTTAGGATTGACTTGGCGATGCAGGCTCTTTTTGGGTTCCATATGAACTTTAAAGTAGTTTTTTCCAATTCTGTGAAGAAAGTCATTGGTAGCTTGATGGGGATGGCATTGAATCTATAAATTACCTTGGGCAGTATGGCCATTTTCATGATATTGATTCTTCCTACCCATGAACATGGAATGTTCTTCCATTTGTTTGTATCCTCTTTTATTTCCTTGAGCAGTGGTTTGTAGTTCTCCTTGAAGAGGTCCTTCACATCCCTTGTAAATTGGATTCCTAGGTATTTTATTCTCTTTGTAGCAGTTGTGAATGGGAGTTCACTCATGATTTGGCTCGCTGTTTGTCTGTTATTGGTGTATAAGAATGCTTGTGATTTTTGTACATTAATTTTGTATCCTGAGACTTTGCTGAATTTGCTTATCAGCTTAAGGAGATTTTGGGCTGAGACAATGGGATTTTCTAGATATACAATCATGTCATCTGCAAACAGGGACAATTTGACTTCCTCTTTTCCTAATTGAATACCCTTTATTTCCTTCTCCTGCCTGATTGCCCTGGCCAGAACTTCCAACACTACGTTGAATAGGAGTGGTGAGAGAGGGCATCCCTGTCTTGTGCCAGTTTTCAAAGGGAATGCTTCCAGTTTTTGCCCATTCAGTATGATATTGGCTGTGGGTTTGTCATAGATAGCTCTTATTATTTTGAGATACGTCCCATCAATACCTAATTTATTGAGAGTTTTTAGCATGAAGCGTTGTTGAATTTTGTCAAAGGCCTTTTCTGCATCTATTGAGATAATCATGTGGTTTTTGTCTTTGGTTCTGTTTATATGCTGGATTACATTTATTGATTTGCGTATATTGAACCAGCCTTGCATCCCAGGGATGAAGCCCACTTGATCATGGTGGATAAGCTTTTTGATATGTTGCTGGATTCGGTTTGCCAGTATTTTATTGAGGATTTTTGCATTAATGTTCATCAAGCATATTGGTCTAAAATTCTCTTTTTTGGTTGTGTCTCTGCCCAGCTTTGGTATCAGGATGATGCTGGCCTCATACAATGAGTTAGGGAGGATTCCCTCTTTTTCTATTGATTGGAATAGTTTCAGAAGGAATGGTACCAGTTCTTCCTTGTACCTCTGGTAGAATTCAGCTGTGAATCCATCTGGTCCTGGACTCTTTTTGGTTGGTAAGCTATTGATTATTGCCACAATTTCAGAGCCTGTTATTGGTCTATTCAGAGATTCAACTTCTTCCTGGTTTAGTCTTGGTTTAGTTAGTGTCGAGGAATTTATCCATTTCTTCTAGATTTTCTAGTTTATTTGTGTAGAGGTGTTTGCATTCTCTGAGGGTAGTTTGTATTTCTGTGGGATCGGTGGTGATATCCCCTTTATCATTTTTTATTGCATCTATTTGATACTTCTGTGTTTTCTTCTTTATTAGTCTTGCTAGCGGTCTATCAATTTTGTTGATCCTTTCAAAAAACCAGCTCCTGGATTCATTAATTTTTTGAAGGGTTTTTTGTGTCTCTATTTCCTTCAGTTCTGCTCTGATTTTAGTTATTTCTTGCCTTCTGCTAGCTTTTGAATGTGTTTGCTCTTGCTTTTCTAGTTCTTTTAATTGTGATGTTAGGGTGTCAATTTTGGATCTTTCCTGCTTTCTCTTGTGGGCATTTAGTGCTATAAATTTCCCTCTACACACTGCTTTGAATGTGTCCTAGAGATTCTGGTATGTTGTGTCTTTGTTCTCATTGGTTTCAAAGAACATCTTTATTTCTGCCTTCATTTCGTTATGTACCCAGTAGTTATTCAGGAGCAGGTTGTTCAGCTTCCGTGCTATTGAGCGGTTTTGAGTGAGTTTCTTAATCCTGAGTTCTAGTTTGATTGCATTGTGGTCTGAGAGACAGTTTCTTATAATTTCTGATCTTTTACATTTGCTGAGGAGAGCTTTACTTCCAATTATGTAACCAAAACAGCATGGTACTGGTACCAAAACAGAGATATAGATCAATGGAACAGAACAGAGCACTCGGAAATAATGCCGCATATCTACAACTATCTGATCTTTGACAAACCTGAGAAAAACAAGCAATGGGGAAAGGATTCCCTATTTAATAAATGGTGCTGGGGAAACTGGCTAGCCGTATGTAGAAAGCTGAAACTGGATCCCTTCCTTACACCTTATACAAAAATTAATTCAAGATGGATTAAAGACTTAAATGGTAGACCTAAAACCATAAAAACCCTAGAAGAAAACCTAGGCATTACCATTCAGGACATAGGCATGGGCAAGGACTTCATGTCTAAAACACCAAAAGCAAAAGCCAAAATTGACAAATGGGATCTAATTAAACTCAAGAGCTTCTGCACAGCTAAAGAAACTACCATCAGAGTGAACAGGCAACCTACAAAATGGGAGAAAATTTTCGCAACCTACTCATCTGACAAAGGGCTAATATCCAGAATCTACAATGAACTCAAACAAATTTACAAGAAAAAAACAAACAACCCCATCAAAAAGTGGGCGAAGGACATGAACAGACACTTCTCAAAAGAATACATTTATGCGGCCGAAAAACACATGAAAAAATGCTCACCATCACTGACCATCAGAGAAATGCAAATCAAAACCACAATGAGATACCATCTCACACAAGTTAGAATGGCAATCATTAAAAAGTCAGGAAACAACAGGTGCTGGAGAGGATGTGGAGAAATAGGAACAGTTTTACACTGTTGATGGGACTGTAAACTAGTTCAACCCTTGTGGAAGTCAGTGTGGCGATTCCTCAAGGATCTAGAACTAGAAATACCATTTGACTCAGCCATCCCATTACTGGGTATATACCCAAAGGACCATAAATCATGCTGCTATAAAGACACATGCACACGTATGTTTATTGTGGCACTATTCAAAATAGCAAAGACTTGGAACCAACCCAAATGTCCAACAATGATAGACTGGATTAAGAAAATGTGGCACATATACACCATGGAATACTATGCAGCCATAAAAAATGATGAGTTCATGTCCTTTGTAGGGACATGGATGAAATTAGAAATCATCATTCTCAGTAAACTATCGCAAGAACAAAAAACCAAACACTGCATATTCTCACTCATAGGTGGGAATTGAACAATGAGAACACACGGACACAGGAAGGGGAACATCACACTCTGGGGACTGTTGTGGGGTGGGGGGATGGGGGAGGGATAGCTTTAGGAGATATACCTAATGCTAAATGATGAGTTAATGGGTGCAGCACACCAGCATGGCACATGTATACATATGTAACTAACCTGCACGTTGTGCACATGTACCCTAAAACCTAAAGTATAATAATAATAAAATAGAATAAAATAAAATAATTTCTAGTAACAATAAAAAAAAGAAATAGGGCTGTTAGGGGGACACTTAAGATGAGGTCATGCTGGACCTTCTTCCCTATCCAACATGGCTGCTGTCCTTCTATAAAGGGGGAATTTTGGACAGACACACTGGGAGAATACTAAGAATGGATGAAAGCAGACCTTGAGTGATGCATTGCAAGCCAAAGAACGCAATTCCAGAAAACCACCAGAAGCTATAAAAAAGACATGGAACAGATTCTTCCTCGCAGCCTCAGAAGCAGTCAACCCTGCTGACACCTTGATATTGGACTTCCAGCCTCCAATACTGTAAGACAAAAAATTTCTGTTGTTTAAGCCACTCAGTTTGTAGTACTTTATTACAGCAGCCCTAGAAAACTAATACAACTAGAAACTAGGAGTTAATAGGTATGTCATAGGATTTTTTTTTTTAAGCTAGTTACTGCCTCTTTCTTAAAACTTCCTTCTTTACTTTTCTTTTGACACGACCTAATTTTATTTTTTTCTCAGTTACCTTTGCTGAATCTTCTTTGTCTTCCTGACCCCTAAACAAGGTAATGTCCCAGGTTTTTATCCAAGGACCTCTGGTTTGTCTAATAATCACTAAGTATCATATCTGTGAATACTTGCTGCTTCCCAAATGCATATCGTCATAGTGACCCATGGCTAATTCCACGTTTCTATGTATATTGATTTACCTAATATTAGCATGTCAACAGGCATCTCAAGCTTCACTCACCTAACACTGAGTTTCGGATCTGCAAACCAATTGCAGTTGATGTCATCTCCATCTCCTTGATTGGGCAAAACGCTTAAGAGACATCTTTGATGCTTCTGTCTCTTATCTACTTTCAGTTAATTGGAACATTTTGTTACTCTAATATATTTTATTCTTTAAAATACATTAGAAATTCAATCAATTTTTAACACAACTTCCACTACCACCCAAGCTTCTGTTGTTTCTGTGATTCATTTCTTCCTCAAGCTCCTCAGTGTATTTGCACAGCCACAAGAGTGACCTTTCTATAAAAATATTAGATGAGTCACTCTGCTGCTCAAATCCATCCAAAGCTTTCTTATTATATTCAGAATGAAATTCAAAGCCTTTACTGTCTTCTGCAAAGCCAGACTTGATTTACCTCTGATTATCTCTCTGGCCATTTTTTTTTTTTTTTTTTTTTTTTTTTACTATCAAACCCTATTTAGTGACCATGGCCCCTTTTTAGTCCTTTAGCACTGAAGACCTTAGGACTATTCTTTTCCTTCTCCTAGAAATTTGTATGGCTCAAGCCTTCGCTTCATTCAGGGTACCACACAAGTTCAGTTCTCAGAAACCCCATCCCTGATAATACATATGTGAAACAACATCCTTTCACTTTTGTTTCCTTAACAGATTTTTAAAATAGCACTTGTATGTATATTTTATAATACTCATAGAGGCATACCTCATTTTATTGCGTTTTGTGTAATTGAAATTTTCAGGCGTTGGATTTTTTACAAGTTGAACCTTCCTAGCAACCCTGCGTTGAGCAAGTCTTCAGAGCCGCCTTGCCAACAGTATGTGCTCACTTTGTTTCTCACTGTCACATTTTGGTAGTTCTCATAGTATTTGAAACTTTTTCATTATTGTCATATCTGTTACATGGTCTGTGATCAGTGATGATCTTTGCTGTTACCAGTGTAATTGGGGGCACCAAGAACTGTGCCCACGTAAGATGGTAAACTTAATTGAAAAATGTTTTTATTGATTGCTTCATTGGCTGGCCACTTCCTCTTTTCTCTCCCTAGCCTCGGGCCTCTCCGTTGGAGAAACAACAGTATTGATATTAGGCCTATTACTATTTCTACACTAGAGTCTAAATATTCCAGTGAAAGAAAGATCTGAATGTTTCTCACTTTAACTCAAATTCTTTCTTTGATTTCTTTCTCTCCCAAAAATGTAGGAATGTGAGTAGGAATGTAATGTAAGAATATAAGTTCCATGTGAGTAGAAAATTATGTTGCTTGATGCTGAATTTTCTATTTCTTGAACTGTTTTGAGGTTGAGAGTTAAGAATGTTTTTTAAAATTTTAGGTTGTTGTAAATCAAACAAGTAAACAAAACTAAGACACATGAAAGAGACCGTATGAGACTGACAAAGCCTAAAATCTTTACTCTCTGACCCTTTATAGAAAAAAATATTTGCCAACCCAGCATCTATTATGCACTCAGTAATGTATATTTATTATACTAGTAATATTTATTATTTTTGTCTATATATTAAACCATATATTTTAACATATAATAATACATATTTAAATCTCTGAGAAGTCCTGAATAAAGTTGAAAGTTGAATTAATTCAGGACTTCTCAGAGCTTTTAATAGGCTGGTATTTATTGCTTATGTCTAAGAGTTGAATTTGGGCATGCTGTGGTTCTCAGATATGTATAGCTACGACCTAGGTTTCATGGCATCTTATTAACATCTTCTGGAACACAGTAACATTCTTCAGAAAATAATTTAGAAAATGCTGTTTAAAACATTAGTAATGTAAGATCTAGATGAAAAGTGATAAACTATGAAGCTAATTCACCAGAAGTCTCATAGTAACTAGCAAGAAACTTACTGGCAAGGGTCCACCTGGGCCCCTAGAATAAAAGATTCCAGCCACGTCTCCTTCAGCATTCAGAGGGAGGATATCGCTCTGTGAAACACATCTGGTCTTACTTTGAGATCTTTTCTGCCACTGGGTACACAATCCTTACAGTGTCAGAAAAGGTACTCTTTCTGTCTGGGCCAAACTCTATAGGAAGGGGCCATTCTGTTTCCAGTGCCCACTGTTTCCTCTCCAGCCAGTCATTTGGAAACCTTCTGTTGAGTTGCCCATTTTCAGATTGTGTCATTTTCCGGCTTTTTGTTGTACACCAAATCAATGACAATATGCTCTGCCTCATTGGTGATAGGCAATAGTTAAGTTATGATGGACCATCCCCTGTAGCAATACAAACTAAAAAACATTCTAGTTTTTACTCATCTGAAATCATGTATTGATTTAGCAGTTTAGATAATTCACAGTGTGACAAGTTTCAAATGCCAGCTGCAAATAAGACACAATTTCTGTCCTCAAGATGCTCATACTCTAGGGGGAATGGTATACATTTTTAAAAATACCTGAAGTGGTGATTCACGACCTGTGTGATGAGGCATCCTAGTGCTCCCCAGTGAAGTCATAAGGGATACATGATGTATTGTAAAACTTCAAGGAAAAGACAGATGTTCAATATTTGTTGAATACTGCTCAAACTACTCACTCAAGGTGCTTCACAATTTCTATATGATATCCTGCTATATTCCTTTCATTGATGTGAGACCTTGCTCAGTTGGGTCTTCACAGTGTGCTGTGATAAAAATCAAGAACTGCATAGGAAATCAATATGGAACAGAAAAGGAAGGTGGCATTGTTCAATCTGATTCTAATATTTGAGAAGTTGTACAGTGCCCAATAGGCAAACACATGCCATTCAAAAGTAATTTTGTTGTTTAAAAGTTAAATTAAAATACTACTTTTTCTTTCCATTTATGTCATTGTTTTGGTTACTATGTTATCAGGGCATAGATACTTAAGTGATTTGGATCTAATTACTTAATAAGCACAACTATCAGGCATTTCTTTTGGTCCAGGGGTGCTATGAAAATAATTATGAGGCATGAAAGTTTCCATGAATTGAGAACATTCAGGAGCCTCTGAACTAAATTCAAATTGGTGAATACCTCGGGCAAAGTATGTGCAATGGTGCATAGAAACACGAAGGAGAGAGATTGGTTTGGTTTGTGAGATGCCATTTGGGGAGCTTAAGAGGGAAGGCTAAACAGAAGTATAGCAATCGAATAATCCTGTAAGGAGTACCTGGAATTTTGTCTAGTGAAAAATAAGGAGTGATAAGAGGAATTGCACTACATTATAATAGCCTATTATTTTAATATTTCATGGAGCTTGTACTTCACTTTCACTCTTTAATTTGCTTTACCAAAGCACCACTGTCTCATTTGGCTGTTTTCTGAATATGATGCTTCATTTCTAAGTGGGTTTGACCATTTTGAAAATCACCTTTCTCCCCTTATCTTAGATGCCCAACACCAACACAAAATATTAAAAGTGTTAAAGTGTTTTCACTCCCTTAAAAGAGACCCTGCATTCAAATTATGCTTGAATCTCTTCTCTGGTCCCTACAAAATTTCCATCTTCTTAGTGGTTTAGTCTCTGGTGGGGGCTGAGGGGAAAAAAAAGTCTCATCAACTGATTCACAGCAGAAGACAAATGACTTAAAGGTTCTCCTGTCCTCTGAAGGCTATTCAAATATTAAAATAAGACTCATGTCAACACAACTGAATTTCCAACCAAAAGCAGTTTATTCTCCAGGACAATACCAGACTGAGAGGAGGAGCTGATTTGGTTAGGGATTTTCAAGCTTGCTGTCACATAGGGTTGAATTTACCCTTGAGATTGTGTTCATTTAGCCAACACAGAATTCTTTTCTTTTGCACATTTTCTTATTGTTTCAAGTAAGTTTCTAACAGTTACTGTTATCATTCTCTTTTGGCAATGTATCGTATAGGCAGCCTAGCAATAAAATATCTCACAAGTCATATGATGACAAATTTAGCTTCTGTGATTTTTTAAAAACTAGGTTTTCCTTTGTGTGGCAATGTATCTATCCAGTATAACTTTAGTTGTGGAAAACTATGTCCCAGTTGTTATTCTCAGTGACTGTTGTATAGAACTCTTTGAACTCATAAGCAAAATAATGTAACAGCTTCAGCGATTGAAAGGTCAGTTCTAGGATGAAACCACAAAGTGCCTAGTGCTCCTTACTGGGTGGCCTCCATAATACCTTGTCCCTCTCTTTTCTCCTCACTCCCAAAGAACCCAGGACGCTTGACCATTACCCTCCTAATAAACACATACACTTTGTTAAGTGCTTTTTTATATATGAATGCATTTAGTCTTTAAAACAGCTAATAAGGTGAATAGTATTGTTATCCCCTTTTACAGAATAGGACACTGAGGCACAGAAGAGTCACAAAACTAGTAAATAAAGAAGTAGAGATTTGAATTCAGACAGTCTGCCTCTAAAACCCATGTATTTTATTACCAATTCACCAGTTCAATACTCTAAAGCTGTTCTGTGCTATAAGGGAGTCACTAGACACATGTAGCTATTTAAATTAAAATTAACTAAAATGAATGAATGGGAGAAAATATTTGCAAAGCATGTAAAAAAAATACCCCTAATATATGAGGAACTCCTACAACTCAACAGAAAAGAAAAACAATAACTAATTTAAAAATGTGCCAAAGACTTGAGTAGAAATCTCTAGAAGAAAGACAAATGAGATGTAGAGATACAAAAAGATGCTTGGTACTGGCTAACACGGTGAAACCCCGTCGCTACTAAAAATACAAAAAATTAGCCCGGCGTGGTGGCGGGCGCCTGTACTCCCAGCTACTCGGGAGGCTGAGGCAGGAGAATGGCGTGAAGCCCGGAGGCAGAGCTTGCAGTGAGCCGAGATCGCGCCACTGCACTCCAGTCTGGGCGACAGAGTGAGACTCTGTCCCAAAAAAAAAAAAAAAGTAAAGATGCTTGGCCAGACACGGTGGTTCACGCCTGTAATCCCAGCACTTTGGGAGGCTGAGGCGGGTAGATCATGAGGTGAGGAGATCAAGACCATCCTGGCCATCATGGTGAAACCCCCTCTCTACTAAAAATTGAAAAATTAGCTGGGTATGGTGGCGTGCACCTGTAATTTCAGCTAATCAGGAGGCTGAGGCAAGAAAATTGCTTGAACCTGGGAGGCAGAGGTTGCAGTGAGCCAAGATTATGCCCCTGCACTCCAGCCTGGACAACAGAGCAAGACTCCATCTCAAAAAAAAAAAAAAAAAAAAAAAAAAAGATGCTGAACACCACTAATCACGAGGGAAATGCAAAACAAAACTGTGAGATATCACCTCACATCTGTTAGCGTGGGAGTGATTTAAAAAATAAAAGAGAGAGATAAGTGTTGGCAATGATGTGGAGGAATTGGAACACTTGTACACTGTTAGTGGCAATGTAAAATGGTGCATCCACCATGGAAGACAGTAAGGAAGTTCTTCGAAAAATTAAAAATAGAACTACCGTATAATCCAGCAATCCAGCATTAGGGTATGTATATATGTATATCCAAAAAAAAGAAAAATAAAGAAATCAGAATCCGAAAGATTTCTGCACTCCCATGTCCATTGCAGCATTATCCACAATAGCCAAGATGTGAAAACTACCTACAGGTCCATCAGCCGGTAAATGAATAAAGAAAATTGGTACACATATACAATGGAACATATGTTGACTTAAAAAAGAAAAATTCCTGCCATACACGACATGGATGAATCTGGAGGACAGTATGATCAGTGAAATAAGTCAGTTCAGAAGGACAAATACTGCATTATTCTACCTAAAAGAAGCATCTAAAATAGTCAAACCCATAGAACAGAGAGAAAGGTGTTTTCCAGGGAATGGTGGGGAGAAGGTAACAGGAAGTTGCTACTCAATGGGTATGGATTTTCAGTTATGCAAGATGATTAAGTTCTAGAGATCTGCTATGGAAACTTATGCCTATAGTTTAAAAATACTGCCTTGTCCACTTATAAATTTGTTAGAAGAGTAGATCTCATACTATATCTTTCCCCTAGAAAATAACTAATGCAGATTGCTGCCTAGTTGGCTGGTGCATCAGGCTAGGCCTATAAGATGAACCAAACTGTGATATTATGTTACTGCTCACTGGGGCAATCAGATATTTCCAGTGATGCCCCAAATAGGTCTAACCACATCAAGGGCAAATGCTGTTCATGTCAGTGCTTTTGAATTGAAATAGAAGAGAGAGTTTGAAATATCATTAATGTTCCAGTTAAAACACAGTTGATAAACCTATTCTGGTTTCAGTAACTACTTACTTCATTGAAGTTACATTTTTCTAAGGTTAATGGTTTTTAGTTTTATTTTGTGTATGTTTCCAGGTTTGAAGCAAAGAAGTATGTGCATTGGTGACTAAATGCTCAGCAACATTTTAAGTAAATAACAAAATGCCTAAAGAATACCTTCGAACTTTTTATGCGATGTCAACTCAGAAAGAACATGGAACTGAGGTTTTGGGAGAAATTATTTCTCAGAGATGCTAACAATCTATCACAACACTAATAAAATAACAATTCTAATTCCCTTTGTCAGTCAAAAAAAGTTATCCCCTGATTTTACTTTGTGATTTATGTTAATCTGTTATACCCATTAGAAACAATTTTCTCATGCTAATAAAATGCCATTGTTTAAGCTTCATTATCGATCATGATGAATACTTACTTTAATTTTTTCTAACTAGTTTGCTTAATTTCAGTTTTCATAGGAGTTCATGAAACATTTATTAAACCAATAAAGCTTTGAATCTAAAAAGGAAATTATATTTCAAATAATTTATTTTTTCTCAATTTATTGAGACAGCTAATAGACAAATAAAAATTATTGAAGGTGTACAATATGATATTTTGATAAATGAATAGATTGTGATAACATATCCATCACCTCGCTTAGTTACAATTTGTATAATGAAAACAGCATCAACTCCCTTAGCAAATTTTAAGTAAACAACACAGTTTTATTAACTGTAGTCACCATGCTGTACATTAGATCTCTGTAACTTATTTTTCCTGCATAGCTGAACTTTCTATCCTTCACCAATACATATTCACAAACCCTACCAACCATCATTCTACCCTCTGCTTTTAAGAATCAGACTTTGAAATATTCCACATGTAAGTGAAATCACATATTATTTGTTTTTCTGTGCCTGGCTTATTTCACTTAGCACAACTCTCTACAGGGTCATCCATGTTGCTTCAAATGGCAGGATTTTCTTCTGTTTTTAATGCTGGATAATATCCCATTGTGTGTGTGTGTGTGTGTGTGTGTGTGTGTTACATTTTCTTTACATATTTTTTAACCTATTCACCATTTACAGACACTTAGATTGTTTTCATATCTTGTCTGTTATGAATAATGGCACAAAGATCATGGTGTACAGGTATCTCTTTAAGATTCTGATTTCATTTCCTTTAGATATGTACCTAGAACTGGGACTTCTGGACCATTTGGTAGTTCTATTTTGATTTTTTGATAGAAAAGCTTCTAAACTTTTCTATAATGGTTGTACCAATTTATATTCCCAGCATCAGTGTACATGAGTTTACTTTTCTCCACATTCTGGCCAACACTTACCTTTTGTCTTTTTGATAACACTTATTGTAATAGGCATGAGGTGATAATTCATTATGGTTTTGGTTGGCATTTCCCTGATGGTTCATGATTTTGAGCACCTTTTCATAAACTTGTTGGCCATTTTTATGTCTTATTTGAGCAAAGTAATGCATGTACAGATCCTTAGAACATTTTTAAATTATTTTGATTTTGTTGTTGTTGTTGTTGGGGCCGGGGAGAAGCATTTTGTTATTGTTGTTGTTTTCTTTTGAGTTGTTTGGGTATTTATGTATTTTGGATATTAATCCCTTAGTGGTTATATGCTTTACAAATATTTTTCTGAATCTGTAGGTTGCCTTTTTACTCTGTTGACTGTTTCCTTTGTTGTGTGAAGAATCCTTTTAGTTTGATGTAATTTTCTCTTTTTTGCTTTTGTTGCCTGTGCTTTTGGTGGGATACCAAAAAAAAATATTGCCCAAACCAATGTCAAGAAACTTTTCCCCTGTTTTCTCTTTGGAATTCATTACTTCCAGGGCTTACATTTAGGTCTTTAATCTACTTTGAGTTGGTTTTTGTGTATGGTATAAAATATGCACCCAAATTTTTCTTCTGCATGTAGATATCAAGTTGTTCAATCACATTTATTGAAGAGACTATTCTTTCCTTATTATGTGTTCTTGGGAACTTTGCTGAAAATCAGTAGATTGTAGACGTGTGGGTTTATTTCTATGCTCTTTTTTGTTGTTATCCTATATTGTGTGTCTGTTTTTATGCCTTTGCCATAATGTTTCGGTTACTATAGTTTGTATTATATTTTGAAATCAGGAACAATGATATTTTCAGTTTTGTTCTTCTTTCTCAGAATTGTTTGGCTATTCCAGGTGTATTGTGATTCCATATGAATTTCAAAATTAAAAAAAATTCTGTAAAGAATGCTGTCAGAATTTTGACAGAGACTGAATTGAATCTGTAGATCTTTATGAGTTGCATGGAATAGTTAACAATATTAATTCTTCCAATCCATGAACATGGAGTATCTTTCCATTTATCTAGGTCTTCATTAATTTTATCTGATAAGGTTTTACAATTTTCAGTGATGAAGTCTTTCATGACTTTGGTTAAGTTTATTCCTAAATATTTAGCTCCTTTCATTGCTATTTTGAATGAAATTGCTTTCTTAATATCATTTTTGGTAATTTATTGTTTGTGTATAGAAAAGCCACTGATTTTAGAATGTTGATTCTGTATCCTGAAATTTTAATGGATATTTTACTAGCTTTAAGTTTTTTGCTAAGTTGTTATGGCTTCCTACATATTTAATCATGTCATATTCAAGACGAGATCATTTCACTTTTTCCTTTCTGATTTGGATTTCTTTCATTTTTCTTCGTATCTAATTACTCCTGCTAGGACTTCCAGTACTATGTTGAACAGAACTTATGAGAGTGGGCATCTTTGCCCTGTACTGCATATTAGAAGAAAAGTTTTCAGTTTTTCCCCAGTGATTTTGATCAACAATGATTGATTATGATCAATAATTATGATCAGTGTTTAGGATCAACAGAGCTTCATGGATCTTAATGTCTGAATCCCTCCCAATATTTGAGATATTTTGAGGCACTATGTCTTTATATAGTTTTCTGCTCTCTTTCTTCTCCTTCTCAAACTTCCATAATGTGTATATTTGCTCACTTGGCATGTCTCACAATTTCCATAGACCTTTTTCACTATTTTTTTGTCTTCTCTGACTGGATTTCATTTGATCTGTCTTCAACTTTACAGGTTCTTTCATCTGAAGGACTGAGTCTGCTGTTGAAGCTCTCTATTACATTTTTCATTCTGTTCATTGTTTTCTTCAACTCTGTATTTTCTATTCAGTTCCTTTAAATGATTACTATCTTTTACTGAACTTCTTATTTTGTTCATGTGTTGTTTTCCTGAGTTGTCAATATGTGTTTTCTTGTAGCTCACTGAGCTTCCTTAAATAATTATTTGAAGTTTTTCATCAGGAAATACATAGATTTTTATTTTTGTGGGTCATTACTAGAGTTTTATTAGTTTCCTTTGGTGGTTCTTTGGGGTTTTTTGTTTGTTTTTTGTTTTTGTGTTTAATTCTTCATGATCTCTGTAGCTTTGTGTTGATGTGTTTGCAATTAAAGGAGCAAACATCTCTTCCTGTCTGTACAGACTGGATTCAGCCTTATCCTCCTGGGTCCCTGGATATATGGGACTGCCTCTGGATTGCAGTAGAGTGGTACTGGAGCCAAGTAATGTGGCTGTAGCGAGGTCCACTGTTGCCAGGCCTTTTACAAGGGCTCAGGTTAGCATGGTTCCTACTGGATCACCTGGAGAATTGAATTGCTTCCAGGAACACAGTGGAGCAGGACTTGTGCCATGTCATGAGGTCTCTTCCAGGTCTGCAGCCAAGTTTACAGATGGTGGGCTCAGTGTTAGGGGCAGAGATGGATGTGACTCCTGCTGGATCCCTAAGAAGGTCCCACTAGGTCCCTCCCTGGGCAAGTCTGTGGGTAAGCAGAACTTCCCCTGGAACCATGTTAGAGAAGCTGGAACTGGGTCACAGGGCTGCTTCAGAGTCTGCCGTTGGGTTTAAGGCTGGTGGGGCCTCTTAGCACTGATTCTAACAGGCATGTTTTCTCTTGGTTCCATGGTTGAGCAAGACTGTATTTGGACCCCAGTGAAGCATGGCTGGAACCAAGTCATAGGGCGGCTTCAGAGTCCATAGTCAGGACCAAGGTTAACAGGCCTGGTTCTGGGGCCACAGACTAGGATTGCTGGGCCCCTGATTTGCAGGACTGATTCTCTTCCATGGTAGAGTAGGGCTGGTGCTGGGTCACAGGGCTACTTTAGGATCTGCCATCAGGTTCAAGGTTGGTTGGCTTGCTACCAGGGGCATGAACAGGTATGGCATATGGGGCTTCTCACAGAACCGTTCCAAATGAGGCAGGGTCCAAGACTATACAGAGATGGGGTTGCTTTCAGTCTGCAGCTGGGACCATGTTGAACAATCTTAGCAGTGGATCCCTGCCTTCTCAAAATGGCTCTCCTCACTCTTGGGCTTGACTAGGGTTTCACAACCTCTTACTAGGATCTCAAAGCTCTCACAAAGACACTTTCATGCATGGACGGCTGCCAGATTGTTGTTTGTCAAGGGAGATGTGAACTGGGGACATCCTATTCGGCCATCTTGCTGACATTACTTCTGTATTTTATTTATTTTTAACTAGTAATTATTAAAATCATGTAATAATTTTCTTACTAAGTACAATTGTCTATTTCTCTATTGTATTTCAGCAACAAAAAAATAACAATAGTATTAGTCACTGACTTTTGTTGGATTTCATGATGTATCAGTGTTTTGTATGTATGACCACTTTTAATCCTCACAGTAAGCCAAGAAAATAGATGTTTTTATTTTGCTCATTTATTCAGAATGAATTTTAAGGCAAAAGAGGGTTAATTAGATAGCTCAAAGTAATATGACCAGCAAGCAGAATTACAGTTTTAACTTAAGTATGACTTACTTAAGAACCTGTGCTTCTACAGAAAACATGTTATGAAACTATGTGATATACTGAACACACAGATATAAATAAACATGACCCCATACTCAAGAAATTTACCATCTTGTGGGGAGCTGACATCCACATAAATAATAAAAGCATAAATACTAATGGAGATTCTCTAATGTTGATGTAGCTATTTGGATATAGTTCCCATCTCTATCTGGGTAGGTACGTATTTGCAACTTCTGAAGGTCTAAGTAGAGTTTAATAGTGAAATGTGAATTTTTTGCCCAGCCAGGTCAGTCAAATCTACTTTCTAGATCAATAGGGTTGCAAAAGCTAGGATCAGATTAACTATGAAGTGTGATAAATTATCTTAGAGTTAGTACTAAGAAATGAGGAAGCTGTAGAAGAAGAAATGAAGGAAGGTCTTGCACAGAGGTCATTGTATTTGAATTTAGCAATCCATACCAAAAGCACAGAGGTCATTGTATTTGAATTTAGCAATCCATACCAAAAGACAAAACTAGTAGTTTTTAAAAATTGGTATTTTAAAAATTTTATCCCTTTTATATACTACTTTTGTCAGCCATATTTCGCCAACAGATTTTTAAGTCAGTTCTAGTCATTTTAGATATTGTCTTCAGTTCTTCACTCTATTTAGCACATCATTTTCTTTTGCTAACTTAAATTTTACTTTAGGATCAATTTTATTTTTAAAAAATTATGCATTTCCCTCATACTTTTATAAACATCTCGTACTAATATCTGGGATTAACTCAATATAGCCGAACAGCTTAAATTTGCTGTGTCACAATTTCTTGTCTGAAAGCAAAATAATGATTTTTCCTACACTAACTATTCTTTCAAAGCAAAATAGTGATTTTTCCTACACTAACTATTCTTTCATCCTAAGGGAAACAGCAAGGAAGGGAAAATAAATGAACTCTGTATTGTGTATTCAGCACTGTCATAGGAGTGATGGAAGGGTAAAAGGAAGTAGCAGATATAAGTAATACCTTCAAGATTTAAAATAAAATCAGTGAGATAAAGCAGACAAATTAAATGTAACAATTCATTAAGGACAGAACTTTGGAGAGGGAAGAGATAAGTGCATATGGAACTATTTAGTAGAAATCAGGTATGGGCGATAAATTTATTTAGGCCATCGAAGAGTGTGCAGAATTTAGATCAACTGTTTCTTCAAGGAAAAGAAGATGAGAAGCAGCAAAAAGGTGGAGAGGAATAACATACAAATATCAGGTTTTGGAATTACTCTCTATTCGAACATAATTGTGTATATTTTTATTCTCTTAAACACATAATTATTTGGTCTTTATTATGTGTTCAGTATTGTTATAAATATCTTCGAAATAAAAAATAAAACTAATGAACTTGAAAATACGATTGAAAAAGTTAAATAGTAATAACCTATTATAAGTTAGAAGACAATAAAAAAACTTAATTTAAAAAAATAGTGAGAAAATTAATGTTTAGTAAGGCACCAAGGAAGAACCTTTCAGATGTATGTTTTCATTTAATCACCAATATTATAAGTGTGAACAATAATCTCTATCTCGTATGATAATTGCAAAAATTAACTAAAATGATATAAGGATTTAATTCAGTTCTACCACATAGAAATAAGCATAGGACACACTTTCAGCCCCTGCCACTATATACATATACATCAACATGCATACATAATAAATCCTTCGAGATGAGGATGCAAAGAATAAGGATTCTCAGAGAATATGAAGAACTTGATTTTCATTAAAGCCAATAATCAGCAAAATAATAATAATATTAATAGTAACAATAAAAATAATATTGTTATGTATATTTAATTTGTCATTCAATCTAAAATATGAACAACTGAGCAAAGAATATATTTTTTAAATGGACAGTAAAATTACAATTCTAACAGAAATTTGGAAAATGTTTCCTACAAATATATGATTGTTATGATATGTAGCATGTTTAAAAATAAATAAGAATTAATAGAAAGGGGCAATACTTTCTGAGTGGCAGAGAAAGGAACTTGTCAGAGGCATGGTCTAGCAACCACCAATTAAGGTGATTAAAAACATTTTTTTGAAAGCAATTAAAATATTTGGTAATTATCCTAGGGCACACAGCAGATGGGAAGTAATTTATTCAGTAAAACCCACTAAATCTCAATTAGAACAGTGAGAATCTATGTTATTCAAACAATATCTTCTTCTCTTACCACCCTCGGCTCTACTCCAGCTCTGGGTTGTAGAAGCTCTACACTGGACTCTTTACTTTGGGCATGTCAGGATGCTCAGAGAGACAGAACCCATAGGATATCTGTATGTATATCCTATTGGTTCTGGATCTATTGTTTCTGTAGATCTATTGTTTCTGTATATCCAGAACCAGTTACGCACACACACACACACACACACACACACATATACACATACGTATATATGGAGGAGGAGAAGAAGAAGAAAGAGAAGTTAGAAGGGATTTATTGGGGAATTGGCTTACATAATTATAGAGGCTGAGAAATCCCACAACAGGCCATTGGCAAGTTGGACATCCTGGGGTACCAGGACGGTGGCTCAGTTCCAAATATAACAGCCTCAGAACCAGTGTAGCTGATGGTATAATTCTCAGTCCAAGGCCAAAGGTCTGAGAATCTAGGAGTTGCTGACCTAAGTCCTGTAGTCCTAAGACCAGAGAGCCTGATGTTCAAGGGCAGGAGGAGGAGAGAATTCCGGCACCAGAAGAGGAAGAAGAAATCCATTTCTGGCCTGTTTTGTTGCATCTGGGTCTCCAGTTTATTGGATAGCACCCACCTACATAAAGGGTGGATCTTCCCCACTCAGTTCACAATTCGTGTGCCAATCTCCTTGGGAAACACGCTCAAAAACACACCCAGGAGTAACGCTTTACCAGTTCTCTAGGTATCCCTGAATCCAGTCAGGTTGACACTTAAAATTAAACATCACATCAGCGGAGAAGACAGGGGTTGCCTTTTCCCTCAGCTCCCAGCCTGGGGGCATGTTTTTCAACTGGGGAGCAGGGGTCTAGCAAAACTATTTCTCACCCCCTGAGCCCCATGTTATAGAAGCTGTATTATAGATAGGTGAAGCAGAGGGGACCAGTTCTCCACCCATCCTTTAGTTTAGGGCAAAACCTCCACCACAGGCACAGTAAACTGTAAAGAGTCTGCCCCAATTGCTCCAACTCCAGCTTGCTCACTGGGGCAAGTTTCCATGCCAGGAAGGAGTGCTGGAATGACTATACTAATATCACACACACAAAAATAGATTTTAATCAAAACATTTAATAACAATAAAGGGGAATTTTTAACATAAAGAAATCAATCCATCAAGAGACTATAACAACTATTAACATACATCAATCTAAAAATAGAGGTCCAAAATACATGAAGCAAAAATGGACAGAGTTAAAGGAAAAAGACAAAATTAAATAATAATAGAGACTGCAATACTTTATTTTGATAATGATATATATATATACCAGTGTGTGCATGTGTGTGTATATATATCACTCCACACAACAGTAGTAGAATACATATTTTTCTCAAGCATGCAGGGAACATTCTCCAGGATAATTACATGTTAGGCCATAACAAGCTACTATATATATATATATGGATTAAATGATACATATGTTCTCGGATCACAATGAAATTAAACTAGAACTATATAATGGAAGGAAAATTGGAAAATACATAAATACATGAAAATTAAAACAATATACTCTTAAATAACAAATATTAAGATATGAAGAAACCATAGATAAAATATCATAGTCTTCATAGTTCTTTCTGAGTTTCAGGAGATTAAATAAAATGTTTTATTTATTTCATTTTTATTTGCTTTATTCACTTTGGGCCATTTCTGGAGAAAAAATGGTTGTTATTTGTAACAAATTTTGTAAAAGTTTTTTTGTAATAATTTTTACTTGGGAGTTTTGCTGGGAGCAGGTCTGCAGATCTCCTCATGCCTTATATCAGAGGTAAAACTCATCTTTTTCTTTTTCTTACAGGTGATGATAGAGTTTTTGTTTGTTTGTTTTGTTTTTGTTTTTGAGACAAGGTCTTGCTCTGTTGCTCAGGCTGGAGTGCAGTGGCACAATCATGGCTCACTGCAGCCTTGACCTCCTGGGTACAAGCCATCCTTCCACCTCAGCCTCCCCAGTAGCTGGGACTACAGGCGCACACCACCATGCCTGGCTAATTTTCGTGTATTTTTTGTAGAGATGGGGTTTCAGCATGTTGCTCAGGCTGGTCTCAAAATCCTGACCTCAATTGATCCACCCACCTTAGCCTCCCAAGGTGCTGGGATTACAAGTGTGAGCCACTGTGCCCAGCTGATTGATAGAATATTTATTGATTGCAAAATCAGTCAGTGCTGAGAAAGGAAAATACTTGTGAGGCCATCTTACTGAGGGCTGTTCTAGATTTATTACTGGGGACAGAAAGCTTATGGAAGTACCAATCTGCCAGTTGTGCCACCATAATGCCAAATTAGCTATTTGAAGAAACAGGCTTAGGTTGGCTATTTGAGAGGGCTAGTGGCAAAAGTCTTGAGGTTCTGGAAACATGTTCAATAGAAGACAATTAAAATATCTGGCAGGCAGTTTATGGATGACTAACAAAGCGATCGTGTTATAGGCTTAAATTAGCATGATGTGTGCATAAAGGTAAGTATCTTAGTCCATTTTCTGCTGCGATAACAGATTGCCAGAGACTGAGTAATTTATGAAGAAAAGATATTTATTTCTTACAGTCCTGAAGGCTGGAAAGTCCAAGGACATAGTGCTGGCACCTGCTCAGCATCCGGCTAGGGCCTTCTTACTGCATCATAACAAGGCAGAAAGGAAAGCAATCACTAGAAAGAAAGGAAATGGGGCCAAGCTCATCCTTTTAGCAGGGGCCCACTCCTGTGATGACTGCAGAGCCCTGCCGGCCTCATCATTTCTTGAAGGCCCCACCCCTTAATAGTGTTAAAATGGCAAGTTTCCAACACATCAACTTTGGGGGCATACTCTAAACACAGCAGTAGGTATTTATTCATTTATTTATTCATTATTTACTTAGAGACAGGATCTCACTCTGTTGCCCAGGCTGGAGTGCAGTGGTATGATCACACCTCACTGCAGTCTCAAACTCCTGGGCTCAGGTGATCTTCCCACCTCAGCCTCATGAGTAGCTGGGACTGTAGGCACATGCCACCATGCCTGTGTAATTTTCTTTTTTGTAGAAATGAGATTTTGCTATGCTTCTCAGGCTGGCCTCAAACTCTTGTCCTCAAGTGATCCTCTTGCTTCAGCCTCCCAAGTTGCTGGCGATTACAGGTGTGAGCCACCACACCTGGACAGCTGTTGTTATTTAGATTTGAAGGTACTGACTATGAATTCCACATAAAAAAACTCCTTTGGAAAACATACCTTAGGGCAGTAGATCAATTTTACAAAAATACTGTATATTTAGAATGTATTGCCTATTGGATAGTCTAGGCCAGATATTAAAATATGACACATGGTCATTTCTAAACTTATAAATTCAGTGAGGAGTTACAATTAAAACTTTCCTTTTATTTATTTATTTATTTATTTATTTATTTATTGAGACAGAGTCTCGCTCTGTCGCCTAGGCTGGAGTGTAGCGGTGCGATCTTGGCTGACTGCATCCTCCGCCTCCCGGGTTCAAGCAATTCTCCTGCCTCAGCCTCCTGAGTAGCTGGGATTACAGGTGCCTGCCACCACGCCCAGCTAATTTTTGTATTTTTAGTAGAGACGGGGTTTCACCATGTTGGTCAGGCTGGTCTCGAACCCCTGACCTCGTAATCCACCCGCCTCGGCCTCCCAAAGTGCTGGGGTTACAGGTATGAGCCACCACGCCTGGCCAGACAATTAAAACTTTCTAACTCTAGAATCAACATAAGAGTCTGTATAACTAACTTTAAGAGCCTATAAAATGATATATCTAATTATCTAAGCTGAAATAAACTAAAAGCATTTTTGCCTAAAGAAAAGGCACGTGTAATTTGTTTAATGTATTTTGTATAATTGTTGGCAAACAAAGCCCTCTTGCAATGCAATCATCCATAAAAGTAAATGTATTATAATCGTTATTCCAGATCACATTTCTTCAATAGCCTCCTTAATAGAAAATGTTTTGTTGAAATAATTTGAATGAGCCATCTTACCAAATCCTCATTATGAGTACTAAACAATGCTTTTAATTATTATTTAATTAAAATTACAAGATTTCCCGTGATGGTTAACTTTAGGTGTCAGCGATGCCCAGATATTTAGCTAAACATTATTTCAGGGTGTGTCAGTGAGGATATTTCTGGATGAGATTAGCTTTGGATCAGTGGACTGTGTAAAGCACAAGGCCCCTCCCAGCATGGGTGTGCGTCAGTGAATCCATTAAGGGTATGAATAGATAAAAGACAGAGGACAGGAGAGTTCACCTCTTTTTCTGCCTGTTTTAGCTGAAACATTGGTTTTTTCCTGCTCTCAGACTGTGACTCACACATTCGAGTCCCCTAGCTCTCAGGTCTTCAGACTCAAACTGAACTATACCACTGGTCTCCATGGGTCTCCAGGTTACAGATAGCAGATTTGAGACGGTTTATTTTCATATAAAGAAAAAAATTACATGGTTTATGAGGCTGTTCTTGCACTGCTGTAAAGAAATACCTAAATCCAGCAATTTACAAAGAAAAGAGGTTTACTTAGCTCATGGTTCTGCAGGCTTTACAGAAAGCATGATGCTGCCATCTGCTTGCCTTCTGGGGAGGCCTTAGGAAGCTTACAGTCACAGCAGAAGGTGAAGGGGGAGCAGGCATCTTACACAGTGAGAATGGGAGGGAAAAAAGGAAGGTGGTGGGGGAGATGCCACACGCTTTTAAATTACCAGATCTTGCAAGATCTCATGCACTGTTGCAAAGGCAGAACCAAGCCATGAGGGATCTGTGCCCATCATCCAAACACCTCCCACCAGGCCTCACTTCCAGCACTGGGAATGAGCATTCAACCTGAGACTTGAGTGAGGAATAATATCCAAACTATAGCACATGCCTCCTTATCACCAAATATAACATCTTTCTATTAAACATCATATAATTCTCATCATTATTATTCCCTACATGCACTTCAAATAACATAAAGTTTTCCTATTTACCTATCTATCTATCTGTCTATCTATCTATCTATCTATCTATCTATCTATCTATCTATCTATCATCTATCATCTATCCCCTATTGGTTTTGTTTCTATGGAGAACACTGACTAATTAACTTCCATTTATATAGTTGGCATATTGGGATACCTAAAGAAAAACAAAGTAACTACATACTTAAATTTTATTTTTCTGAGATTGTGTGAGGCTTTTTGATCTTCAATTTGTAGTCTTTATATTTTTATATATCCCATTTTTCAGAGAACATGTTTAAGCCAACTGGGAGCCCATTACTGTAGTCTAGACAGGCCCACAGGCATGCAGTTTTTCAGCCAGAAAATTGTTGCCTTTTGATCACAGGATCATTTTGACATAGAAAGGCTTGCAAATGAAAACTTATATAACTTTTAGATATTCTAGAGCCAAAATACAAGTTATATATATTTTTAATCTTTAAGTCTAAGCAGGCCTAGATCTGGCAAGTAAAATATCATATTTTACTTGATTAATATGTTCAATTATATATATAATTAGATGTTTGACTACATATATAATTTATTAGATTTACTTATTATGTTTAGATGTTTGATTACATATTATATTATATATTATTTATTATAATTAGATGTTTCATTATATACAATGTATTTGCCATAACCTTATATTAAAAATAATTCTAATTTATTTTATGGTTTTGGAATATTTCTCATTTATATATATACAGTGACTAAATTTATGTTAGTTTTTCTTTTACATGTTTGTTTATTCAGTATTACAGAACACATATTCCTAATACCATATAGAATAAAACCTTTCAGAGCAGTTTATAACTTGCATGGTTTGTTCTCTTCTTAAATTATAGGAGCTTACTAGGACTGTTACAACAAAATACCACGAAGTGGTGGCTTAAACAAGAGAAATTATTTTCCCTGAGTTCTGGAGGTTAGGAGTCCAGGATAAGTTGTCAGCAGGTCTGGTTTCTGCTGAGGCAGATGGGCCTCAGCTCTCTGCTTGCAGATGGGCCCCTTCCTGCTGTGGCCTCACAGGCCTTTTTTTCTGTGAGCAAACATCCTTGGTGTCTCTGTCCAAATTTCCTCTTATGAAGAAACAAGTAAGATTAGACTAGGGCTTACCCTAATAGCCTCATTTTACTTAATCAGCTCTTTAAAGACCTTACAGCAGATATGGCAATAATCTGAGGCACTGGGTATTAGAACTTGAATTCATAAATTTTGGGGGAACAACATTCAACACATAACGTAAAGTCAATATTGTTTTACTATGTATAGACATGTGTAATATTTTAATTCGATTTTAGGTCAATCACACCAATTAGAAGAGTGGAAATCCAGGCACATACATCCTAGTGTCAGTCACTTATTAATTAATTTATTTAACATTTTCTGATATTTCAGATATTCTACAAGGAACTTTAAGAAATCCAAAAACAATACACATGTAATATTTTCTCTCTAAGCATTTACTACTTAGAAAAGAAAATAAGATACAACAGAAGTTGTGATACTTGGACAAAGTAGTGAACATCTTTGAGTTGTGCAATCAACTTCTTATGCATCATCCAGGAAAGAAATAATTCCTTGGGGAGATCAGAGAAGTCAATAGCATTGGGTTTGGAAAAACAGTCATTATGCGGAAGCTTTATTCACTGCTAAATCCAAAACTTTATACCATCTGAATGGGAGCACATGGTTCCACTATCAAAGGGACAAATGACTGTAGTGTTATACCCTTAAAGTGTGCTGAGTAAATGGCTTAAGGAAAAATAAAAGGAGATATTACCTTTCTTTATGGCATGTCAGTTTCCTGTGCTCAGGAGGCAAATGACTCTGTAGAGGGAATCCAGGGATGACTGCCTTTCGACAGACAAAAAGACTAAATGTTATATGTGTTTGTGCGTATATATACAGTTGTGTGTGTGTGTGTTTTTAAAACCAAACCCTGAGAATATATTATACAATAATTATCTTCCAGTGTTTTTTCTTATTTTTCCCTATTCTGTAATAAAATAACAAAATATAAATGAGATTGATATAACTTTGTTATTTAAGAGCAACTGCAGGTTAAGTACTTGTTGACTACACCATGGTAAACCTATAGCAGGTCATTTCACCATAGACTTCTCTTTCCACTTTGACAAATTCAGCAGTTCTTTTATTTCTTTAACCAGATTTTAAGTACCACTTAAAGTACTTTTTCAACAAAAAAGAGTTCCTTTTCATTTTAGACTGTATACTTACAATTGGCTATTATAGTTTCATGTGCCTTAACTGCCTCTAATGAGGTTGTATCATTTGCTGGAAAATAGATACTGCTTCAGGATGGTTAAATGACAAAAATTTCGGAAGAACCTGAAAACTTGAAACTGGGGGTCAATAAATCAGCATCCTAACTCTAACTGGAACTGTAAATTCAAAATGGATATTGCTTACTCAGTTTCTCTAAGTCTGCATAATCTCTTGTATATCTTTGGCCATATGTATGGCAGTCTCTTCCCTCTTCTTCTCTCTCCCTTTGTTTCTCTGCTTGAGCATAGTTCAGTTTAACTAGCAAGTCTGTGGTCCTTCCTGCCCAAGACCCTGCTTTTCTGTCATCTCTGTATTTCTTTTTGTTTGTTTGTTTGTTTGTTTTTTGAGACTGGGGTTCACTGTGTTGTCAAGGATGGACTCGAACTCTTGGGCTCAAGCCATTCTCCCACTTCAGCCTCTAAGAAGCTGGGACTACAGGTGTGAGCCACTGTGTCCAGTTCATCTCTGTGTTTCTTTGCACATTTTATTCTTATGAAGCCAGCTTGACTAACTCATAGTAGGTTGCAAGTTGATTTACCTTCAATAACAGGTTTTAAATATGGCTTTATCGTCTCATTAGGAAATGGCATAAAACATAAACATTTGTCAGTATTTAAAGGCCTTATACATATTAAGAAGCATTTTAAATTTTTTGGTATTTTCTAAGATCACTTAAATATTGATTAATTAAACCCATTCTCTAGAATATGATGACTTAACTTTGCATCTTAGGGGTATTTTATGACTGCAACTGAGAGGAAAGTACAAATGCATACACTCTCATTTCATCTAACGTTAATGTATTTATTAAAAATCTTCTGAGGACATACTGTCTCATACACCCTAGCTCATGTTCACAAAAGTCTAAAGAAAAGTGCTAAAGACAAATAATATTTTTATAGACAAATACTATACAAGTTAACAAGCTAAAAAGTATAAAGTCTGGATGGTTAGTAGCTATGAGAACAAAGACATTTTATGAAATACTCCAATTTTGTTGGAGTATTGACTATTATCTGCATTTTATAGATGGAGAAACTGAAGCTAAGGTGGAAACAGAGTATACAACTCTCAGGAAATACAAACGAAGCAAAAAGTTCGACCATAGCATTGAAATGTTCAATCAATATTTCTTGAAGGAACGTAGTGCTTGGAAGATGATTACTAAGTGAGTTGGTGGATGAGTTGTCTGATATTTAGCATGCAATTACACTTACATAAATTCTTGTCTCATTTTTCCATGGTTATACTTCCTGTAAATATTCCTTAAAATTTTGAATTTTAATAAAATCTTGAAAAAGAAAATTTTAGTAAAATACTATTCTTTAGACTCATCTTTTCAAATGGTACAATTCCTGGGAGCTACCTGTGTGATTCAAAATTGGGCCTAATTCTCTAATTAGGCCACTAATTGTTCAACTGCAATTTTTCTTACTTTCCCATACTTTGCTCAATTTCACTGACAAAATAAACAACAAAACAAACTGAATGTTCCTTGGACAGTTTTCAATCCATGCTATTCTCAGTTTTGGTAGAAAAGCTGAAAGGATAGTTAAAATAAGCTCCAGTGAAACGCTTACTCAAGGTGAAAAAAAAATACTTTCAACAACACAGAAATAAAATTTCAGCTTATAAGTCTAAGTGATGTTGCTGTAACAAACAATCTCCAAAATATAAGTGACTTAAAACAACAAAGGCTTATTTCTTCCTCATGCTATATTCATCCTAGGTAGGGGTGGCATAATGAGTTCTACTTATCCTTGTAATTTGAGAACCCATCTTCACCACCGCCAATTATGCTGGAAATAAGAGCGACCTCTGGTGGCTTTTCTACTGGTGGCTAAGTGCTCAGCCTGGGGTGGTGTTTATTACTTCTACCTTCAACTCATTGACCAGAATAAATCCCATGCTGTCATTCAGCCAGGAGGAGACCAGAGTTGCAAGCCTACTGTGTGCTAAACATTTTTAGAGATGAACCCTAATGACTACCACAATCAGAGAGATATTTAGGTAATTACTGATGGTAAATGCCTTCTATAATAGTATTATAAATACTTTTAAGTAGAGCTGTTTGAGTTACGGAGGTGGAGGGATTCAGCCCTGACACTGATGGAGCTTGGAGGGAAGAAGGGCTATGGACTCCTTTGAAATGAAAATTGCCTGGATACAATATTGAGTATTTCTGCACGACTCAGTATTAATATGTATACAACTGAATTTTCTCATATTCTTAGCTCAATAATTAAAATGAAGAATCCTGCTTGTGGATATATCTATTCAGATTCACATAGATATTCACAGTCATATATATGAGGTTGGGCTATTTGTTTGATATTACCCACAATAATGTATTTTATGGTTTCTCTGATGTTTTATAATTCACACTCTAGAGAACAGGTGCTTTAACCATATTTTTAAGGAAATAACAATTTGCTAGAAACAATTGCTGGACAGTTAATAATTTCACTATGTGTCAGATTGCTTTTCTCTGGTATTATCTTTGTTTACCTGAGAAGGAACCAATGAATAAGAAAATGAATGAGTATCTGAAGTTCATACAAAGTCACTGCTAAACCTATTTGAAAGTGTTTCTACATATATAAAAATCTATTAATAACTAGATATTGATTTTCATCATTAGAAGGCTTATGTGTAAGAATCTGAATGCACTACTCATGAAGTTGTTATGGCATGTCTGTAGTTTGTGTATATAATGGAATCTATGATTCCTGTGTGTCTTTCTGTTGACACCATGTAAAAAAGTTTTGTTTCTCATTGGACTCATTCTCTAAAATGTTATAAAATTCAATGTAACAGGATGGCATTGCTAATAAAGTGTTATGCTAATTAAACCTCCAGTAACAATCTGTATATATGAATCAACAGAGTCAACAACACTCTGCAATAACTTCAATTCAATTTTGATTATGTTTTCTCTTCCAAAATGAAGACACATTAACTTAATCTGAATATACACACATATTTTATAAATGTTGCAAAAAACAGTCTTTAATACCTTTACTCAGTCTTACTCTACCTGTCTAGTAAGGGTTTGCAGTTGACAATATATGTCTGTAGCAGGTGGTGCTAGCTGCTCAACAAATTAATATTTGCTTGGGGCTCATAATTATAGTACATATTCCAGCTACCCATGCAGTCAGGTGTGGCCATGCCACTGAGTTTTAGCTAAGCAATGGGAACAAAAGCAGTCAGTGTTCCTTCCAGGCCTGATTCACAAAACACTTTTGTGTATACTTCTTCATGGTTTTTCTCTCTTCCTATTGAATCAGATAAAGATAGCTTCTGTTACATTGAAAATCACACGTTGTGCTGCTATAAACACACATGCACACGTATGTTTATTGTGGCACTATTCACAATAGCAAAGACTTGGAAGCAACCCAAATGTCCAACTATGATAGACTGGATTAAGAAAATGTGGCACATATACACCGTGGAATACTATGCAGCCATAAAAAAGGATGAGTTCATGTCCTTTGTAGGGACATGGAGGAAGCTGGAAACCATCATTCTCAGCAAACTATTGCAAGGACAAAAAACCAAACACTTCATGTTCTCACTCATAGGTGGGAACTGAACAATGAGAACACATGGACACAGGAAGGAGAACCTCACACACCGGGGCCTGTTGTGGGGTGGGGGGACGGGGGAGGGATAGCATTAGGAGATATACCTAATATTAAATGAAGAGTTAATGGGTGCAGCACACCAACATGGCACATGTATACGTATGTAACAAACCTGCACGTTGTGCACATGTACCCTAAAACTTAAAGTATAATAAAAATAAAATAAAATAAAAAAATTAAAAAACACAAAAGAAACAAAAAAAAAGAAAATCACATGTTGAAGATGGCAAAGTCTTTGTTAGTTGTATTATGTAATGTCTACAAGGAGGAAGGCTGAGTCTACCTGAAACACTTGTCCAACATTGTTCATGTCAACATAAGATAAACTTCTGTGTATTTGAGATTTTTTTGAAGTCTATTTTTTACTCTTACTGGAACTAGTGCTGCCAATTAATGTCATAATTCGTAATTTAAGGTGAGATGAAAGAGAAAGTAGAATAAGAGTGGGGACAATAGCTTAGTGAGGAACAAGCCAAAATCCCACATTATAGTAACCTCTATACTTACTATGAGAAGATTTGGTCATAAGATGACTAGTCAAGCATGAGAATAAGAAAGTCTGACTACTAACTAAATCACAGTATATTAAAAAAACAATGGAAACAATTTCTTGGGATTATGTGTAATTATTTTGCTACTAAGCTTATCCAGGGAATCATCTTGCCATGAAACCTGAAGAAGTAGATAATAAATATGTTTCCCACAACTTTTTGGACAATACCTTGATAACGTTTCAGGGTTGTTTTAATAATCCCCAATATATATACTGATGCTATCACACCAGAGTACAATTCAGTAAAAATAATATGGAGGAGGTGAAATTAAATAGTTTAGCTATGCATCGCTCTATTGTTTTAACTTGATAGAAGGGCAGATATAATAATATGTGGAAGAGTTATAACAACAGAATTATATGTGTAGCTATTCTATGAAGGGCAGTTGAATTCACAGGCATATACCATAGCTGATGTTTCAGTAGGGTCAGCACCCTTTTATGAAAACTGAGAATTCTAGCAATAGGGGTCAAATATCAGAAGGCCTTCTCCTCAAAAGAATGCCAAAGGAAGAGTACACTTTATGGTTTAAGATATTTTTGTTTTCTTTATTGTGAAATTATCTCCCCATCACATTTCTTATGTAAATGCAATTCCAAATACCCTCACCATGAAATTTCTTATATTAATGTAATTCTATACAATAAATAATGCAAAGACATTCCAGATATTTAAATATAATATTGAAAATTCTCTGATTTTGTTTATGTTTCTTATAGTCTTGTTCTAAATAACGAAAGAAAAAACATTTGTGTTTAAATGACCTTTACATGTTGATAAAATCTCATGACTTTTGGACATTGAGGTTAGAGGGGAAAATACCCTACATCATAGGAGTCTATATAAAGTCCATAATAAGCAAATTATGTAGCTGCATGTAATTCAGAACATACAAGAAAAAAAAAAAACTTTTCTTTTTGTCTCAATTGGTTAGTTGCTAAGGAAACAGGTTTAACAACATTGATTTATTTTTATCCTCTATCTCACCTACTTTGATATTCTACAGTAAGTGATCAATTCCTTGTATTTTTGAAAGGCCACCTATCCCTCTACATACACAAAATATTAGTTAGCTCAGCTATTTGTGTGTTTGGTAATGATAGATTATATTGAAGTTGGAATAAGCGTTTGCATTGTAATGATTTCTGCTTTTTTCCTTCTTAACGTTGAACAATTTCAACTGTTTTTAAAGGGCACACAGCTCTAGCTATTTTCATGGCAGCTATGTCAGGCTCATTCCACTCAGGGTTTGGCAGGTCAGCAGTTTATTTAATGTATTGGAATGGTTTGCTTTACGTATTTGGTGCTATGTTTTCCACAGACCTGAAGTTCTAGTGCTGCTGTAAACAACATGCTGTGATTGTACAAAACTGAACAAAACAGGCAGTGATTTGGAGACTGGCATCATGCTGGAATCACAAAATTCATTTACTTATAACCAGTATCAAACACTGGAAAGATGGAATTATGTATAAAATTTTAAATAATTGGAAATGAAAATGATACATTAAATATTCATAAATTATTAAAGAATTTTTTAAACTCAGGTTGATGGCCTCCACTTAAAATCATAATTTTAATGTTTGAAATTACCATTTGATACATGCCAGACTTATATAATTTAATCGGTTTTCACAGGAAATAGAATGTTAAGCAAGAGTTTTAGCTATTAGAGCAAATTTCACTGTGATAACTTTTATCTCTCCTTCATCTGATCTTCGTTGAAGATCAGTTGTGTGGATCTATTTCTGGGCTCTCTACTCTCTTCCATTGATTTATTTGTCTGTTCTTTTGCCAATACCTCATTGTTTTGATTGCTGTAGCTTTACATTAAGGCTTTAGGTCAGGTAGATGTAGCCCTTAGACATTTTTATTCTTCTTCAATATTGTGTTGGCTTTTCTATTTAATTTGACATTCCATATAAACCTTAGAATCAGTTTGCCAATATTGACAAAATAACTTGCTGGGATTTTGATTTGGATTGTGTTGAATCTATAGATTGAGTTCAGAAAAACTGACCTCTTGACAATATTGAATCTTTCTATCCATAAATATGGAATATATCTCCATTTTAAAAATCCTCTTTGTTGTATTTTTAATTCAAATTTCAATTATTTATTGCTGGCACATAGGGAAGCAATATACTTTTATATATTAGTCACGTATTCTACAACCTTGCTATAATAGCTTATTAGTTCCAAAGCTAGTCTTCTTTATATTGATTTTGTAACCATAGTGAATTGCTATGCAAATGTTAGCTATTATTATTTGTATAATTTTTAAATAGGGATAAAATATGTCATGCAAATCTTTCAGTTTTGTAATGAAGATAAAAGGAGTCCATACTAACTTAGATAAATATTTATTTAAGGTATAATTTATCAAATGCAATATGCTAAGTGTTGTTCAATAAAATAAAAATGCACTGAATTTCATTTAAAATATTTTCAATACAGCAGAAACAAAGAAACATACTATTTGAGTTGTCTATCACTGCCTGACAACTCATCTGAAACCTTAGTGACTTAAACAACAATGACTTTTTTTTTATTAGTTCATGCATTCTTTTGCCACATGTACTAGGCAGCTGTTGAGTAAGCTGGGCTGAAATATTCAAAACACTTCTGTCATGTGTCTGTACAGTGGTGATAACTATAAGCCAGAGCACCTCATTTCTCCTCTAATAAGTCTCTTATTACAATTGTTGTACAACTTTCCAGTGTTTCCCTATGGATGCTTTTTAGAGCAGGATAGCCTGGGCATTCTTTTTGTATAACAGCTGCATTCCAAAAGAAAATTTCTCAAAAGCAAAAGCTCAAGAACCTACTACCAAGAATCTACCAAGCATCTGCTTGATAAGATACATTAGTAGGACATTTACTAATGTCCCATTTTCAAATAGTAGTAAAGCCAAGTTTAAGGTCAATGTAGAAGAACATGAATACAAAAAAAGGTACGAAGAGAATTAATGTAACAGTCAATCATATGCCTGTAACTACAATGAAAAACAATAGAGGACTATTGTTTTAGAGTGGGATTAACAGGGCAAGAGTGATTATTTCTCAGTGGGGAGCAATGTAGACTCATGATAAATATGACATTTGAAATTGGTAAGATTTCAAATTATAGGTTTGATAAATAGCATTTCAAGCACTGGTAGCATTTCAACTGGAAACACTATGCACAGAAGCATGAAAATGCAAGACCTCATTGTGTGATGAGAATGCACTATAGCCAATAAGAAATAAGTGTAAGAGTTAAGATCTGGAGATAGGTTGGGCCATGTTTAGGAGTTTGGATTTTATAATGTAATACTATTTGAGCAGAAGAGAAGCATGAGCATGCAAATGAATTAGGAAAATTATCCTAGCAGGAAAGTAGAGTTGATTGAATGATATTAATTATTTATTCAAAAATTGGAGGAAGAAAAATTCAAAAGTCGGTGAGAGGAAGTAAGAGCTATTGCATATTGCCTACAATGCATCCAAACTTGATCAAAATTTGGCAATTCTGATGTAGGAAAAAGATTCAAAATTTTCTGGGAGGCGTGGATTGGGAGAGATGAGAAATCATGGTAGATGGGTCCTGACTCCCAGTGATATTCTTCAGTACCCATTCACAACACAGTTTAGGTACTGCTCATCTTAACTTGCTTCCAGCATGACTATATGGATAAATGGAAACCTGTACCCAGGGATTCATGAAGAAGAAATGACTTTGTAATTTTTTTCAAGTAACAAAAGAGGGGCAAGATACATATTATGGTGAATTATAGCCATTTGGGAAATAAAAGTTAACAAACAAAAAGCAACCCTGTATATAGTCCTTTTTCATTTAGTGGGAGGGAGAGACCCTACAGAAAGAGAATGAAATTGCAGGGTACGTATCCAAGGCTGTTTTTCCTAGGAAATATGGGAGTGGATAGAGGAGGTGGGGCTGCATGCTCATGGAAGAAGCAAAGGGTGACTGGCTTACCAGCCTGATCTCCTTTGAGAACCAAGACTGATGTATATATTTCAAGACAGCTACAAATGCAGTTCCTAGGTTTTAGTGAAGACAATTAAGAATAGCTGAACAAAACATCTTAGAGGTTTTAAAGTTGAGCCAAGACTAACTCTGTGAGAGAAGAAAAATCAAGAGGTTTGAGTTATGAACTTCAAGATGGTTAGAGAGGACACAGATTAGATATCGTTTCTCTTTTTCATAGGATGATTTCTCACTATGCAAGAATGTCACAGGTAAAAAAGTTTAAGTATTTATACCCATTCTTCTAAAGAGAGTTGATTCCCTGAAATGATTTGATTTGCTGAGTGTGGTGTTGAGTGGAGACTTAGGAAGGTGAGAGAGGAAAAATGTCCCTATTAAATAACTGGGAGGGGCTGATCCAGATGTTGAGGAGGAAAAGAGGAACAGGCCTGATTGGGAAAAAGCTGGGGAGAGGAAGAGAGAGAAGAGAGAAAAGAGAGGGAAAGAGAGTAGAGGGGATGATAAAGGAAAAAGAAGAACTACTTTATTTGGGAGAGAGAAGGAGATAGAAAAGTCACAATTGGCATAGTGAATATAATTATGAGAGGAGGCCGGGCGCGGTGCCTCATGTCTGTAATCCCAACACTTTGGGAGGCTGAGGCAGACAGATCTCCAAAGGTCAAGAGTTCGAGACCTGCCTGGCCAACATGATGAACCCCATCTCTACTAAAAATACAAAAATGAGCCCGGCCTGGTGGCGCACACCTGTAGTCTCAGCTACTTGGGAGGCTGAGGCGGGAGAATTGCTTGAACCCGGGAGGCAGAGGTTGCAGTGAGCTGACATTATGCCTGTGAACTCCAGCCTGGGCAACAGAGCAAGACTACACTTCAAAAAAATAATTATGTGAGTAAAAAAGATGCAGGTGGGGCATTTATAGAAGTGATTTTGTATGCCATGCATTGGACCATTCTCCTCAACCTCATCAAGAAATTTTTTCAAATTACATTTGAATTAGTATTTTTATTCCTTTTATTTCTCATTTATTTTAAATGTAGCCACACAAAAATCTGGTGGTTCAATGACAGCAGGAAGTGAATGTGCTAATTTCATCTCACATCAGGGGAATCAATAGATACTATTCCAGGCTTGGCATTGATAGTCAAATAAAGATGAGTTATACCACAATTTAAACACACATGGATATAAAAATACCTTAAATGAAGAAAAGAGTCCATACATTTTAAGTAACAGAAAGAAAAAAATAACAGGAAAGGAAGTCACAGAGCAAAATTAAAGAAACAGCATGATACATAAAAGTGCATAAGTTGCATAATTGAATTAAGACATATGTCAGTTATTAAAGCAAATCTAAATGGCAAAATCACTAGTAGAAAACTGAAAACTCAGCCAGGCGCGGTGGCTCACCCTTGTAATCCCAGCACTTTGGGAGGCCAAGGTAGGCGGATCACCTGAGGTCGGGAGTTTGAGACCAGCCTGACCAACATGGAGAAACCCTGTCTCTACTAAAAACACAAAATTAACTTGGTGTGGTGGCGCATGGCTGTAATCCCAGCAAATTAGGAGGCTGAGGCAGAAGAATTGCTTGAACCCAGGAAGCGGAGGTTGCAGTGAGCCAAGATTGTGCCATTGCACTCCAACCTGGGCAACAAGAGTGAAACTCCCTCTAAAAAAAAAAAAAGAAAAGAAAAGTAAAAACTTTGAGTTTTGACAAGCAAAATATAAAACTAAAAAAAATTATTTCAAAATAGAATGGGTATATCACTGTTACTCATTGTGAAAATCTGAAAAATAAAAAAAGGACTGGTAAGAGTTTAACAAGAATGTAAACAAAACAACCCACAGAAGTTAAAATTTCTACACTAATGTCAGAAAAAGGAAAATATTAATATCAGAGAGAAAAATTTTCATTAAAAATAATTAAATGACAAAAATCATATAATAATAATAATTCATGTATTCTGTAACAATGATATAAAAGTCAGAGCTTTTCACATTTTTTGCCTTAATAATTAAGCAAAATAGTTATCAATCAAGACTTGTTTAAAGTGTAAGAAGAAATTGATAGAAAACACATAGCAATTTTAAAATTTAGCTCAACTCAATTAGATACAAAAACTATAAGTATAATCAATTTATAATTTTCTTCCGGGAAATCTTAGCCAATGTAATGGGAAATATTAAAAAGTGAAAGAAAAAATGTAAAGCCTACAAGAAATTAAATACTACACAATTCAATTACTGGAAACCCATGACAACCAAGTAAACATTAGTAAGCACCTTACAAATTGTATAACTGATTCAATAACGAAACCAGAATTTTGAAATACGTATCAATAAGCATATCTGACTTTTATAAAACAAATACAGAAAATATAAAAAGAAGATTGGAGAACCATCTTCCTTACTAAAATGACCTTTAGAACTAAATGTATTTTCCAAAAAAATTTCCCCAAGGTTTTTAAGTATAACAATATTTTCTAGAATTAAGGGATTTTAAAACTGAATAAAATGATCTAAGGTACATTTGGGAGATGATTTTAATTTTTTTATTAAAGTATCATCACTTCTTTGAACTTAAATCCTTAGAAATGACAGAGAATGAGTATTTATTAAAAAGATAAACAAAACCTATAACTATCATGATAATCAAGAATAGCTTCACATAGGGGGCCAGCAACTAGGAAAAAGCACTTGAAGCAGGAAGGTAAATGGGATGAATATGAGGAACATAAAACCCCAGAGAACTGCAAAATTTATTGCAGGGGCTGCAGAGGTGTCTCAGGTTTAGATGTGGGAGACATGGAAGCAAGATGGCGATGGCAGTGACAGGCCATCTAGAGCAGCTGCTGCCACTAATGGCTGCAGTGGGGAGGTGTGAGCAGTGGCAGAGGGAGTGGTTACAGGTACAGCAGTGGTGGTGGTGGGACCCCTGTGCACTGCATCCCCAAGACAGCTGGCTGCACTGCCCTTACCCTCACACTGCCGCCCCAGGCCCAGAGCCTCTGCCACTCTGGATCCTGGCCCACATCACCCCCTCACCTGCCACTGCTGTGGGGCTGGCACTGGGAGGAGCCAGAACTGGGCCCAGGGTGGTGCCACACTCCACGGAGCCAGTGGGAGCCAGGGATGAGTGGAGCACTCCCAGAGCCCATTGCCCTGGGGGGCTGCCTCAATGGGGCTGGGCCGAGCCACTGCCAGTGGGGAAGCAGTGGGGTCAGCCACAGAGGGGCATGCAGAGAAGGGCCCAGTGTGGACCTGGAGCACCAACCCCAGGCTGTGAGGAGGCACAGCTAGGGCTGCCTATAGGCTCCACAGAGCTGGCGGGAGACCTGCCCTCCCAGGTACAGGACTTGGAATCTCTGCAGTCTGCACCCTTGGGGGCCTGGGCAGGTCCCCACTTCCCCCACAGGCTCAGGAGTATCTGCTCACCCTCCCTGGCTTCTCCCGACTCCTGGCACCAACTCTGATCTTGGGGCGCTGTCACAGCTCAGCTGGGTGTGTGCATCCTTGGGGGCAGCACTGACACACCAACCCACTGCTGCCTTGGCCCTCTCCAGACTTTGGGTGCTGATGAGTGGTGGGGTTGGGGGAGGGGAGGGAAGCTGAGGTTTGGGGGCTGAGGGTGGCTCAGCACTGGCTTGCAGGTACCCCTTGGTGCAAGCAGCCTGGGCACCATGAACAGTTGCAGGAGGCAGACAGGCTTCTGGGTGGAAGGCAGTGGGTCCTGGTGAGGGCCCACCTTCAGACCAGGGAGGGCCTGAAGGGTGGGGGCTGGTCTGCCAGTATTACAGATTGGAGTGGGAACTTGCAGTGCCCTTTCCAGTCCCACCCATGGCCACCCATGGACCAATCAGCATGCCCTTTCTCCTCTCTGAGGCCCATAAAAGCCTCAGGCTCAGCCAGGGCAGAGCAGACAACAGGACAAACAGCTGCAGAGGAGCTATCCTCTCTGCTTTGAACACTGGACTAGACACCCTGGCTGTGGAAGAGAGCTGCCCCCTGTGGATCTCCTCTGAGCTGTTCTGTCACTCAATAAATCTCCCCTTCATCTTGCTCACTCTCCACTTGTCTGCATACCTCATTCTTCCTGGTTGCAGGACAATAATTTGGGACCTGCTTAATGAAGAGGCTAAAAGAGCTGTAACCAAAACAGAGCTAAAACATGCTCCTTGCATGCCACATTGCCAGTGAAGAGAAGGAGAGAAGAGCTGCAGCCCTTTGAGGACCCCACACCTGGGAGCTCCCTAAGCAAGAGTTATGACTCCCTCTTTGGGGCCCTGAGATTCCCAGCATCTCTAAGCTTCCAGGCACCACCACATTCCCCAGTGCCAGCTGGGGAAGCTGCTTGCAGTGCACCTGGTGCAGCCACAGCCTCACAGAGCTGGCACCTGGAGCTGCTCATGCTGTGGCAGAAGCTGGTGTATATGACTGCTTACTGGCAGGATCCCATACTTGCTCACACACCCCTCACTGCTCCACACCTGACTCACACTCTCCTTGAAGGTGTGGGATCCAGGCTGGTAGCATGAACCAAGTGCAGCCTGCCATGCCAAGTGGGTGGAACAAGCCCAGCAGGTCCGAGCAAAACTTGGGCAAAGGTGCCACCAGCCACAGATTTATAGCCAGAAAAGCAATACCCCCAAGATCCCTTAACAATGGGAATCTGGAACTGTAGGTGATTTGAGGAGAGACAGTGTGTTAAAAACTCTCTCACTTTATGTCACTGCCATTAAGGAAGGCTTTCAACTGAGATTATTTCTGTACCCTAACCTCCACAGACAGAGAGAAAAGCCATAGTTGTCTGCTCTTTAATTGAGGACACTAAAGTCTAGGAAGCTGTTTCCCAGAAATCCAGTGACACCTGGGGAAATGGGCACTCAACAGTTGGTGTTCAGATGGGCTGTTGGCTCACCCTTTCCCACAAACCTATCATATCCCTCTTCACCATCACTAAAATGACTCAGACTTTATGGTTACAAAAAGAGTAGCTGTATATTAAAATTTACAGTGTGAATATCATTAAGAATCTCTTTCTCACACACACACACACGCAATTGAAAGAGAAGCACCAAACTCATTAATTTATTACAACAAAGTAATATTGTTGATAGAACAAAAAAAAAATTTGTAAGAAATGTTGTTGGTGCATTTCTTAAATGTTCAGAGAAACAATTGAATACACATTTCACATTTCTCTAAGTCCATAATGAGTTAGTAAATTAAGCTAGAGATCTTTGGAAAGTATGGCTAATATGTTGGGGAAATCATATAGAGGATGACCAAGGAACAAAATGGTGCCTTGGCATCTCTGTCAATGAGATCATTTCTGGGCTGTGCGATAGTAAATTAACCCAGCATGGCAGTTTCTAGATTATAACAGGGTGCCATTCAGGATTGAGACTTTTTACTTTTTATGGGAAAAAATTTCTTTTGGTAAAACAAGAAGGACCCTCCAAGATCATTTAACACTTTTATAAATTGTTGTTAAAGGATCATTTTCCATTTTATTAAAGAGAAAGTCAGCCTCAAAAATCACTGTGTTAGTTAGGACTCAGAGTTAGCTACTGTAATGAAGAATGAAATAACGTGATAGGTATTATCATGGAAGACAAAGAAAAGTGAAAGAAGGTAAAAAAAATTATATATCAATTTCTCCTCTGAGGGGCAATTACTACTCTCATTCTAGTGCATTTTCTTGTATTAATTTTTCTATGTAAGTATATTTGTGTGTTAACTAAAAATTATAAACTTTATGCCTTTTATGTAAAAAGATTATACTATACATATAATTTTATATCATAGATTTTTCAAGAAATCTTGAGCATATGCATGGCATTAACATTTTTAGTAAAATTAATTTTGAAATCTATCTCATATTTCCCCCCTCAAATATACTGCAATTTACTGAGTCATCTTCCCAGTGTTGGACATTTAAATTTCATCCAACTCTTCAGTATTATTATTAATGGTACAATTAATATTTTGGTTCATAAGTCGTCATTTAAATTTGAGATTATTTAGTAGTATAGCTTCCTGGAAATATAATTATTGGTGTGGAAGATTTTATGGTTCATGATTTATATTGCTAATTTGCTGTTCTGAAAGTCTGTAGCAGTTTACACGCTCACTAGTGCCTAGCATGCTATATATTCTTCACAAACCATTAATTTAATAATATTTGAAGAATTTATTTATTGAAAGCTAAAATGGGCTCCCTTAATCTTTGGCTTTTTTACATTTTCTAATCCTTCATAAGCCAACTTGAAAATTTATATTTCTTCAGAAAATGGTACAATTGTAGATGATCCTTCTGTTTTATTTCACCAATTAAACAAAGGCTTTATTATATTTTGCTAAATGTTAATTGCTTTCATTATGTCTCCAAACATTATTTCATCACTCATTGTAACAAGTTCAGTGAAGATATGCTTATCTAATATTGTATAATATTGTTGTGTTCTGTATATAAACATGCCTACAAATGAGTTCATTTGAGAATTAAATAATTAGGTAACTGATATTTTAAAGGCTTTGTTATACAGAAATCCTTGGTAGATATTAAAGAGATTTTTAAATGTTTTGAGCTATTGGTTAAAGTTCTTGGATATGCTGAGACATATAACAATTTTTTCCATTCAAAATAAAGGAACATAGATCCTGTAATTGTTAAACCTGCTAGCACTCTTTTTGGAACAGCTTAGATGTAAGTAGCAAGAGATGCTTGTGTATGAAAGTGCTTCATAAACTGTACTGTATAAATGTAAACTACTGCCACTTTCAGGTAAAATCAGAGAATAAATGTCCCTGTTATTGGAAGAGTCCCCTCGGGATTCATCCACTCATCTAGTCCAACCTCCCCAGTGACTGGATGAGGGCACAGACTGAGGCCAGAGGCACGAGGCTCAGGATTGGAAGAGGCCAATGCAAGGACAGAATCTGCAGGCCCAACACAGGGCTCTTTCTCCTCCCCTGTGTAATTTATCTTTAAAAACACTGATCATTGTCTGGTGCTGGGAGCACCAGGCCCTTTAAAACTTATAAATTAATGGGGAATTACAGTAAAAAGAACTTTTTACCTAGCCCGCAATAAATAGTTGTTGGTGAAATTAGAAATTTGAGGTTGAATTGTTAAAGTTTGTCTTGGTCACTCCTCTCTTGTGAAGACACCCATCAACTCAGAATCACCTCCTGAACTCTAATTTTTTTCATACATTCTGGTGACTCCATTTCCTTGTCAGTCATAGTAGCGGGTTTAATGAAACAGCACAGCATGAGTTCCTTGGAGACATTAACGGAAACTCTGCTCAAGGCAGCCAGGGACATCCAACTGAAAGGCCTGCAGAGACAGCCTTCAAACTGCTCATCAACTAGCTCAATAACGACAGAATAGCTTGCATGGTAAAACGGAGGGCCTTTCCAATATAACAGTAAATCTGTCCCGTACTTGAGCCCCACTTTGGGCACTAGCCATTGCTTGGCAAGCAATGGTAGACCATGGAGGTGGTCCTGAACGTAAGCTGAACTACGGTGAAAGCTTTCCAGAGCTTCGCTATCGTTAAAGGCTCCTTCTCATAGCAAATACTTAAAACATTCCAGAGCATAGACCAGGAAGAAGACCTCTTCTAGGCTGAGCTGCAAATACTCAAAAGATCCTATATGGATTTCTTCTGCAGATTAGTCTCTTTCTTTGCACCAATTCCTCATTTGGGGCATCCTTCCTCTCGCTCACGGCACACTTGGCTTCCTGCACCAGCACGTACTGGTCAGGCCCTCTGTCCCCAGCATGCAGGAGACCAAAATGCTGGCTGCTGTCCTCACGGTGAGGGCCAGACTGGAGGACGAGAGCATCGTGTTTGGAGTAACATGCTGGGGGCAGAGGTGAAGCGTCCTCTCCCACGCTTTCCTCAAAGCCTTCTGTTGGTGGGTCGCTCCCAGAGCCCTCCTGCAGGCAGCCTAATGGCTCACTGGGATCACCCATAACAACTGACTTTCCAGAGTCCCCGTTTATCATAGAAGGTCTCTCTCCTACCGCTGTGCCTTCCATGTTGGAGACCATTCCAGAGTTAAGCTCATCATGCATTTGAACCTGTTCATTCCTTTTCACAGGGCGATGCTCAAGCGGATTCAAGTAATCCTTGAGGATTCTGCGCACCGCACTCTCATCCTGTCCCTGTCTACGCATCCGCTCTGCCACCCACTCAACACTACGCTGATACTTCTTTGACGTGATGATAGGCATGTTTGTCTTCATATCTTTCCATTTAGCAACCAATTTAGGATCTGAAACTGTGATGGTTGGACAGTTTCTTGAAAGAATACCTTTTCCAAAAGAACCTTCCCCATAGAGCGGCTCAATGTCCTCTGCATTCCTCACAATCACATTGTTGTTAATCATTCCAGCATTGAATATCTTGCTTTCTGAGGACCATGGTCCTGACCAGAAGGGATTGGCAATGGAGACTCATAAGTCTCATACACTCTTCCTTTCCTGTTTGGGGCATGGAAAACTGCTTCTGCCATTTTTCAGAGGAGCTGCTCTTTCTTGGCCCCAGGCGCTTGCCGTTCGATCCTTCATTTTCTAACTGACCGTGAATTTATTCTCATTACTGTTTTTATTAAGATGGATTAATGACTTTCATATAAAGAGTGAAACTCAAACTGTAAGAAAATAAAGTGAATATTTCTCTCACGACTAAAAGAGAAAGGAAATTATAACTATAGATAAATAAAACAAACCACAAAGGAAAATCCACATGCATGATTTAAAAATTTGTAAACTTAATATAAAACAAGTGACAATTGAAAAAACATAGGTCACTGATATGGTTAAATAATAAAATATAAGCATAAGTGTGTAATGCATAATATGTGTCTACACATCCTTGCATTTAACCCAAAGCTGGGATGTACTCATCATTCTATTTGTTAATATTTTCTTACTTCTACTTTTATTTTTACTATGTCTTTCTACTTTATCTACTTAATCCTTCATATAATATTACACAGTATAAATATATTTCCCTTTTAAGTTGAGTAGACTGTTTATACTTATCATTAATTTTACACTTATCACCAAAATTTTTCTGAACACTTCAGTGTCAGCTATCACTTGCCGGAAGATGATAAAATGAATAAACAAGAAGCAAATGCAAATTAGTAGAGAACCTAGGAAAAAATATAATTTTTTTCTCAGTCTGTTTTTGGCATAGCTGCTTATCATTTTGACTGCATAGTGAAAACATATATATGTGATCATTGTAAGCCAGTAAAACTTTTTAATGTATTTTAAAATTAAATGTCACAAAATTTTCTCATATTTCTGAAAGAGTAACATGATTTTGAGGTGTTTTGACCTATATAAACCGTTTTGAAAAATCAATATGTTGCTTATAAGATATAGCCAATATTTGGCCTTGGTTTTCCAAGATAATGCATTATTACCGTGATATGATGAGGTATGAGTTTCTGACTGCTATAATTGAATCTCTGGCTGTTCAATTCCAGACAAGGTGAGAAAAAAAATTGTGCACTTATGAAGCTTTTACAATTGCTTTTTGAATTATTACTTTTTTGGCTGACAATATTACACTGAGTAGTTCTATGACAAAAATTTCAGGGCTGTTTAAAAATATTTAACATTTTAGGTTCTATACTAAAGAATTAAATTCCAGCTATAGTATTTTGCCATGCTTATCTCCTTAATATACTACATTATTTAGAGTATTAATGAGAATTTAACATGTCAAATACGAGACTCATAAGTTATAACACAACTGACTTTTAAGTAACACAATGATAGGGTTGAAAGATAGTTTGGAAATAATCGAATTCAACTTCAGGATAAAATGGTTTAGTAGCCGTGTCCTCTAACCAAGGGCATCCTGGGGAGAAACTGCCTGATGAAGTCACCTAGTAAATGTGCTTCCTGATGCTATTTTCTGTGGAAAGGTAGTGGACAATTCGAAGCTTTAAGATGCTTTTTAGCAAGGTGTACATGCTCTGTCTGAGTTGCTTATGGCAAACAAACTAGGAAAATATGGATTTAAGAGGCATGGTCCATTGGAAAATGTCATTTATATGAGTATAAAATAGAGACGTTTCAAAATTAAAAAGGTTTTTATTGTGTAAATGATACCCTGAATGGCTCACTTAGAGACCTCATATATTAAATCTGGGCCACAATATGTAGTCTTACATCAAGGAAAGATGTAGGCATTTGCTTTAGCAATACCAGAGGTTTACATATTTGCTTATGTCTCACAGCCACCAGTACCCATCAAATTATCTGTAAAAAATGGCATTGGGTAAGGGATGTGATTCAAGTAAGTCCGATTTTAAAATTCTACCTTCTGTGTCATTTTTAACCCCTTTATTCACAATTGAGAACAGAAAATCAGGGAGGTTAAGTAACTTTCTTGTGGGTCCTCTTATTTGTGCAGCTATGAATCTCATTAAACGTGTGACCCTGAATAAGTTACTTACTCTTTCTATACCTCAGTTTTCTTATCTGTTACCAGAAATTATAATAGTACATACCTCATAGGTTACTGTCTAGATTAATGAGCTAATTTATGTTAATGTAATTAGAATATTTATTGGAGCTACAGTAAGAAAGATGTGTTCATTTTATGATTTTTTTCCAGCATATTAGATTTGTATAGTTTGGAACTTAAATTTTGGGTTCCTGGCCCATCACTGTCTTTATATACTGGGTTTCATAAGTTTCTCTATTATTGGAAAAGAAAATGATAATAAGACAAATACTTTAAAATATTCCCTTAATTTTGAAAAACAAAAAGTTTTAGAAATTCTCTTTTTTGAGACTGTACAACCAATGCTTTTGAATTATTACTGCATAGAAAAGAATTTTCAGATTCTATAATTTAGAATACACTCATTATGTTCAAATTCACTTTTGCTTCTGAATAAGTGCAATGGAATTAATAATGGTGATGGAGAGACCATCTCTATTATAACTGATTTGTAAATTTTGGCATTTATATTACATGGATGAAATGTTTTAGGAGTGCTCTGTGCCTATGTATATTAACCTTTGATTGCTTATTACATGACAAATGCTCTGCTAAATGTGTTCACATAAACTCATCTCACTCAGTAATGATGATAACTCTAGGAGATAGACATTATGATTGTGCCTACCGTGCAGAAAGACGGAATCAAGCAAGGGATGTTTACCAGCTGCTCAACTTCTTGTGCCTAACCAGTGATTTTAACTGCTATTTAAAGACCAACAGTCTTATGTGGTCACATCTCATAATTCTTACTCAAGGTACCATACTGGGCAAATAACATCCTCTTTCAGCCTCAGTTCTTTCCTTTATAAAATAGTAATAAAATTAGATAATTAATTTAAAGTACTTAATATAGTGCCTGATATACAATTATAGACGAATAAACTAATAAAAAAAAGTAGGTGGTCATATAGATAGTAAATGACAAAATTAGAAGGAGTCAATCCTGACCTATTGAAGATCATTATTGTTACAGAGTTGGAAGGAGCACTTACAAACATGAGAATATTTGATTATTTATTCATTCTGATTGATTTACTTTGTTTTAACTCTTGCTGAGCACAGTGCTTAAAAAAAAAAACCTCTTGCCATCAGAATGTCAATGATTCGCCTTTTCTCCTAAGATCTGAATAGTGGTGTTGGGGAGGATTAGTGTGGATAAAAGTGGAAATGGAGAAAGGGGGCAGAAGAATTTAAAAGACACTTCAGTTTGTTTGTTGTCATTTAGTTTTACAGTAAAAGATAATTCCATTGAAAACTACAAGAATAACATAATCTCAAAAAATGTCATTTTTATGTATTTCACGTGTATAGCTTTTGTTCATAAATTGGATATACAAAAGAAAACATGCTAGGATATAGTGTGTGCATGTTTTCTTTTTTTAATTTTACTTTAAGTTCTGGGATACATGTGCAGAATGTGCAGGTTTGTTACATAGGTATACATGTGCCATGGTGGTTTGCTGCACCTATCAACCTATCATCTAGGTTTTAAGCCCTGCATGCATTAGGTGTTTGTCTTAATGCTCTCCCTTCTTTTCTTGCCCTCCAACCCCCGACAGGCCCCAGTGTGTGATGTTCCCCTCCCTGTGTCCATGTGTTCTCATTGTCCAATTCTCACTTATGAGTGAGAACATGAGGTATCTGGTTTTCTGTTCCTGTGTTAGTATGCTGAGAATGATGGCTTCCAGTTTCATCCATGTCCTTGTAAATGATGTGAAGTCATTCTTTTTTATGACTGTATAGTATTCCACAGTGTTTATATGCCACATTTTCTTTATCCAGTCTATCATTGATGAGCATTTGGGTTGGTTCCAAGTCTTTGCTATTGTAAATAGTGCTGCAATAAATATACATGTGCATGTGTCTTTATAAGAGAATGATTTATAATCCTGTGGGTATATACCAGGTAATGGGATTGCTGGGTCAAATGGTATTTCTGGTTCTAGGGTTCTAGATCCTCGAGGAATTGCCACACTGTCTTCCACAATGGTTGAACTAATTTACACTCCCATCAACAGTGTAAAAGTGTTCCTATATCTCCACAGCCTTGTCAGCATCTGTTGTTTTCTGACTTTTTTTTTTTTTTTTTTTGAGGAGTCTTGCTCTGTCACCAAGGCTGGAGCACAATGGCGTGATCTCGTCTCACTGCAACCTCTGCCTTCCAGGTTCAAGCAATTGTCCTGCCTCAGCCTCCCAAGTAGCTGGGATTACAGATGTGCACCACCATGCCCAGCTAATTTTTGTATGTTTAGTAGAGACTGGGTTTCGTCATGTTGGCCAGGCTGGTGTTTCCTGACCTTCTAATGATCGCCATTCTAACTGGCGTGAGATGGTATCTCATTGTGGTGTTAATTTGCATTTCTCTAATGACCAGTGATGATGAGCTTTTTTCATATGTTGGCTGCATGAATGCCTTCTTTTGAGAAGTGTCTGTTCATATCCTTTGCCCACTTTTTGATGGGGTTGTTTTTTCTTCTTGTACATATGTTTAAGTTCCTTGAAGATTCTGGATATTAGACCTTTCTCCAATGGGTAGATTACACAATTTTTCTCCCATTCTGTGGGTTGCCTGTTCACTCTGATGATAGTTTATTTTGCTGTGCAGAATCTCTTTAGCTTGGTTAGATCCCATTTGTCAATTTTGGCTTTTGCTGCAATTGCTTTTGGTATTTTAGTAATAAAATTTTTGCCCATGCCTATGTCTTGAATGGTATTGCCTAGGTTTTCTTCTAGAGTTTTTATGGTTTGGAGTTTTACATCTAAGCCTTTAATCCATCCTGAGTTAATTTTTGTATAAGGTGTAAGGAAGGAGTCCAGTTTCTGTTTTCTGCATATGGCTAGCCAGCTTTCCCAATACCATTTATTAAATAGGGAATCCTTTCCCTATTGCTTGTTTTTGTCAGGTTTGCCGAAGATCAGATGGTTGTAGATGTGTGGTGTTATTTCTGAGGTCTCTGTTCTGCCCCATTGGTCTATATATCTGTTTTGGTACCAGTATCATGCTGTTTTCATTACTGTAGCCTTGTAGCGTAGTTTGAAGTCAGGTAGCATGACGCCTCCAGCTTCGTTCTTTCTGCTTAAGATTGCCTTGGCTATATGGGCCCTTTTCAGTTCCATATAATATTTAAAGTAGTTTTTCCTAATTCTGCAAAGAAAGTCAATGGTACCTGGATTGGAATAGCATTGCATATATAAATTATTTTGGGCAGTATGGCCATTTTCTTGATATTGATTCTTCCTATCTATGAGCATGGAATTTTTTTTCCATTTGTGTCCTCTGTTATTTACTTGAGCAGTGGTTTGTAGATCTCCTCGAAGAGGTCCTTCATGTCCCTTATAAGTTGTATTCCTAGGTTTTTTATTCTCTTTGTAGCAATTGTGAATGGGAGTTCACTCATGATTTGGCTCTCTGCTTGTCTTTTGTTGGTGTATAGGAATGCTTGTGATTTTTGCACATTGATTTTGTATCCTGAGACTTTGCTGAAGTTGCTTATCAGCTTAAGGAGTTTTTGGGCTGAGATGATGGGGTTTTCTAAATATAGAATCATGTCACCTGCAAACAGAGACAATTTGACTTCTTGTCTTCCTATTTGAGTACTGTTTATTTTTTTTTATCTTGCCTGATTGCCCTGGTCAGAATTTCCAATACTATGTTGAATAGGAGTGGTGAGAGAGGGCATCCTTGTCTTGGCCTGCCTTGGAATGCTTCCAGCTTTTGCTCGTTCAGTATGATATTGGCTGTGGGTTTGTCATTAGTAGCTCTTATTATTTTCAGGTATGTCCCATCAATACCTAGTTTATTGATAGTTTTTAGCATGAAGAGATGTTGAATTTTATTGAAGGCCTTTTCTGCATCTATTGAGATAATCACGTGGTTTTTGTCATTGGTTCTGTTTATGTGATGGATTATGTTTACTGATTTGCATATGTTGAACCAGCTTGGCATCCCAGGGATGAAGCTGACTTGATTATGGTGGATAAGCTTTTCGATGTGCTGTTAGATTTTGTTTGCCAGTATTTTATTGAGGATGTTTGTATTGATATTCATCAGGGATATTGGCCTGAAATTTTCGTTTTTTGTTGTGTCTCTGCCAAGTTTTGGTATCAGGATGATGCTGGCCTCATAAAATGAGTTAGGGAGGAGTCTTTCTTTTCCTATTGTTTGGAATAGTTCCAGAAAGAATGGTAACAGCTCCTGTTGATACCTCTGGTAGAATTTGACTGTGAATCCGTCTTGTCCTGGGCTTTCTTTGGCTGGTAGGCTATTAATTACTGCCTTAATTTCAGAACTTGTTATTGAGCTATTCAGGGATTCAACTTCTTCTTGGTTTAGTCTTGGGAGGGTGTATGTGTCCAGGAATTTATCCATTTCTTCTAGATTTTCTAGTTTATTTGCATAGAGGTGTTTATATTATTCTCTGATGGTAGTTTGTATTTTGGGGGATCAGCGGTGAAATCTGCTTTATCATTTATTATTTTATCTATTTGATTCTTCTCTCTTTTCTTCTTTATTAGTTTAGTGGTCTATCTATTTTGTTATTCTTTTCAAAAAACCAACTCCTGGATTCACTGATTTTTTTGAAGGGTTTTTTTGTTTCTCTATTTCCCTCAGTTCTGCTCTGATCTTAATTATTTCTTGTCTTCTGCTAGCTTTTGAATTTGTTTGCGCTTCTCTAGTTCTTTTAATTGTGATGTTAGGGTGTCACTTTTAGATCTTTCCTCCTTTCTGATGTGGACATTTAGTGCTATAAATTTCCCTCTTAACACTGCTTTAGCTGTGTCCCAGAGATTCTGGTACATTGTCTCTTCGTTCTCATTGGTTTCAAAGAACTTCTCTATTTCTGCCTTAATTTCGTTGTATACCCAGTAGTCAGTCAGGTGCAGGTTTTTCAATTTCCATGTAGTTTTGTGGGTTTTAGTGAATTTCTAGTCCTGAGTTCTAATTTGATTGCACTGTGGTCTGAGAGACTGTTTGTTATGATTTCCATTCTTTCTTTTGCATTTGCTGAGAAGTGTTTTACTTCCAATTATGTAGTCGATTTGATATAGTGGTTTTATTAGAAATTTGTATTTCTGTGTGAGGTAGGAAGGAAGAGAAAGTTGAATTTGGTCAAATCAGTAAACAAATGTAATTTATAAAATGTAACTTTTTTCATCAGAATAAGCAACTTTGAGGAGCCAAGAGTTTCTTCTTTTGCCTATTGGTGTTTTATAATTCATTACTTATTGCTTTGAATATTTCATTTTCTTGGCATATGTGTTAAAGAGGAAAATACATATTTAATTAAAGTTCAAAAGAACATAACTTTGAGAACTGCATTTTGTATTTCAAAGAATGCATCACTCTTCAATGCTTTCAATTTACAAAAGAAGATGTATTGGTTCCTGTCAAGTATGTTTTTTGTTTTTGTTTTTGTTTTTGTTTTGAGACAGAGTTTCACTCTTTTGCCCAAGCTGGAGTGAAGTGGCACCATCTCGGCTCACTGCAACCTCTGCCTCCTGGGTTCAAGCAATTCTCCTGCCTCAGCCTCTTGAGTAGCTGGGATTACAGGCACACGCCACCACACCTGGCAAATTGTTGTATTTTTAGTAGAGATGGGGTTTTGCCATATTGACTAGGCTGGTTTTGAACTCCTGACCTCAAGTGATCCACCCATCTTGGCCTCCCAAAGTGCTAGGATTACAGGTGTGACCCACCATGCCCAGCCCAAGTATGATTTGATAAGCCTTATAGATGAGGTGTTTTACACAGGTGAAACATCCATCTTCACAGAATTTCTGGTTTGGAAAAGTACAATGACCATAAGACAGCCTGCATTAAAAGTAATTTTTATAAATTACTCATATCTCACAGTTCATTTTACTGTGACTTATGTCTTTGGGTCTCAAGAAAATATGCTTAATTCATATATAAAAACATTAAGGCTCACAGAATTTTGTTCAAACAAATATATTTTGTTAGTCATTGGCAGTCAGAAATTAAAATCTGATCTTTAAATAATCAATTATGTCTTCTTTCCATTAGCTGATGCTGTCTTTTGCCAATAAATGCTAATTTAAAAGTATTATAAAGAGAATATAAAACATATTTCTTTCTTGGATTATTTATTATTTTACATTTTTAACATTATTTTGCTTATTTAAAAAAATGATAAATTTGCATCATTGCAAATGGAATGGTAGTTACACATTACTTTTGAGGTTTACATTATGGGTTCATGAAAAGTCAGGTCAAATGATTTATAAAGGTTCCTACATGGAAGTGATTAACCAGGATGAGTTAAAAAACATTACTGCTGAATTTCACTCAGTCCATCTGTCTGTCTTTAGATTCCAGTTATATTTAATCTTTTTATTCTTAGATTTGACTTTCGAATATTAGAATTTTGGAGCACTTTGAAAAATTAAAAGCATCTAAAGAATGTAAAATACAGGCAATATTTTAATATTCTGTTACATTATATGAATACCTCTAGCTTGTATAAATTAAGCGATATCAGTATTTGCTTTAGTGCTTGATGTTTTTCTCTTACTGCTTTTGAGATTTTCTCTTTGCTGTTTGCTTTCAGTATTTTTATTATGATAGGGTGTCCTCTTTCTGTTTGTCCTATTTGCAGTTTTTTGAGCTTTTTAAATGTGTAGATTAATGTTTTTCATCACATTATGGAAGTTTTTGTTAATTATATATTTGAATATTATTCCTCCTTTCCCCTTTCTTTGCTTTTAGTACTTTGTGAATATGTTGATTCACTTAATGGTGTCCCTCGTTACTGTAAAGTAGTGTTTATTTTTCTTTAATCTTTTCTCTCTCTGTTGTTTGGATTATATCATCCATATCAATCTATCTTCAAGTTTGCAGATTCTTTTTGGCCAGTTCAAATAATCTGATGAGCCCTTTTGTGTGTGTGTGGCAGGGTCTTGCTCTGTTGCCCAGGCTGGAGTGCAGCAGCGTGATCTTGGCTCACTGTAATTTCTGCCTCCCAGGTTCAAGTGATCCTCCTGCTTCAGCCTTCTGAGTAGCTGAGACTACAGGTGCACGCCACCATGCCTGGCTAATTTTTGTATTTTTGGTAGAGACGGGGTTTCACCCTGTTGCTCAGGCTGGTCTGAAACTCCTGGGCTCAAGTCATCCACCTGCCTCGGCCTCTCAAAGTGCTGGGATTACAGGGCCGTGAGCCACTGCGCCCGGCCTGATGAGCCCATTCAATGAATTTTTTTCACTTACTGTACTTTTCAATTCCAGAACTCCCATTTGATTCATTTTTGAAATTTCTATTTATTTATGGATATTCTCTAGTTAAGATATTGTCATCATGCTTTCCTTACTTCTTTAAGCACTAATTTACTTCTTGGAACACATTTATAATGGCTGCTTTAAAATCTTCATTAAGTCTGACATGTGACCCTTTTGCACGCACGTTCTGTTGCCTGTTCTTTTCCTGTGTAAGTAGGACTAGTTTTCTACTAGTCCACTTCTTTTTTGGCTTTTTGACACACAGTTTTACTCTGTCACCCAGGCTGGAGTTCAGTGGTGATCACAGCTCACTGCATCACTGAACTCTTGGATTCAAAGGATTCTTTTTTTTGTTTTTGTTTTTGTTTTTGTTTTGAGACGGAGTCTCGCTCTGTTGCCCAGGCTGGAGTGCAGTGGCACGATCTCGGCTCACTGCAAGCTCCGCCTCCTCCCGAGTAGCTGGGACTGCAGGCGCCCGCCACTGTGCCCGGCTTTTTTTTTTTTTTTTTTTTTTTTTTGGTATTTTTAGTAGAGATGGGGTTTCACTGCGTTAGCCAGGATGGTCCCGATCTCCTGACCTCGTGATCCGCCCACCTCGGCCTCCCAAAGTGCTGGGATTAAAGGCGTGAGCCACCGCGCCCGGCCTCAAAGGATTCTTTAGCCTTGAACTTCTGAGTAACTGGAACTGCAGGCATGTATCACTATGCCCAGCTAAGTTTCAAATATTTTTTGTAGAGACAGTCTTGCCATCTTGCCTAGACTTGCTTCAGACTCTTGGCCTCAAGTGATCCTCTTGTCTTGGCCTCCCAAAATGCTGGGACTACAGGCATGAGTCACCATCCACAAATTCTTTATTGAATTTGTGGCTTGTTGACGATTCTAGGTGCATGCAGGTGTCTCAGTATCAGTTCCCTGCTCAGCTGAACCCAAGGCGTCATCTCCTGTCTCTGCATGGGCATGAAATCTCAAGTTCTAGATTGCTAATTCAATATGCCCTCAGCCATCAGAGCAGGTGGAGTGTCAACCAAAATGTTTATTGCTTTGGTTTAAGCTTGCCTTTGTTGAATGTGTGCCTTTAAAATTTTTTGATTGTATAAATTATTTAAGTGTTTAAAAAAGTATAAGGTGTGCTTTTAAGCAATATTATAAACAAGTTCAGGCAGGCAAGAGTATGTATTCTCCCATTAAATATTCTTTAAAGCCCAGTGGCTAAAATAATTTACTTAACTGGAAAACTAAGCATATAACAAGTAAAGGACAACTGAAATGAATACTTATGTAACTGTTAATGCTAATATTCTTCCATGAGGAATCATAGTCTTTAAAAATAAACCTCATCAAAATAATTCTTATCTACCTTTAACTTCTCCATGTCATTTAGTTACTTCCCACAATTACCACTTTTTGTTCTACTTAGTATACAAGTGTTCTTTAATTTCACTGACCAATGCCTTAATTTTAGGGATATGCTCAAAGAGAAAGTGTTGAAAAAGTAAACCCCTCTTCATTTGTCAACTTCAAAATCAAGCTTAGCAGTCAAGCAATGGCTGATGCTCCAATAAGCCTGTTTTCCATCTGTCCAGTTTCCAGTTTCTTTGCACCAGAAAAAAATTGTCAGTTCTCTGACACTGCAAATTTGTGAAAATTGGTGAGTATTCAGAAAGGTGGTAAAAATTGCCTTTGATTTGATTTTTATAGCATACCTATCAGCTTGTTGAATAATAATTTTTGAAAATTTGCCATTAAAATTATAAATGGTATTGTACATTGTTAGTGAGGATCGCACAATGTATGCCATTGAAGATTAACAGTGTATGACACCAGATGATATGCCATTTTGTCAGAAAGATTATTTTGAGCCAAAGGCACTCAAGAAGCAACAGATGCTAGAAATGAATTCTGATCTCCCCTTTTCTTCCTGAGAAAAGTATGTAAAAACTCCCATAAGAAAGATGTTCTCCCTGAACAAATATTCTTTCATAAGGAATCACAGTCTTTAAAAACAGACCTTCTCAAAATAATTCTTATTACCTTTAACTTCTCCACATCATTTAGGTACTTCCCATAATTACCACTGTTTGTTCTATTTAGTATATGAGTGTTCAACTCTGTGACTTCGGGTCTTCCTTTTATGAGGGCTCTTGTGTCAAATTAAAACTCAAATTAGTGGGAGCTAAATGATGAGAACACATGGACACATAGAGGGCAACAACTGGGGCCTATTGGAGGGTGTAAAATGGGAGGAGGAAGAGGATCAGGAATATAACTAATCAGTACTAGGCGTAATAGCTGGGTGATGAAATAATCTGCACAGCAAACCCCCGTGACACAAGTTCACCTATGTAAGAAACCTGCATGTGTACCCCTCAACTTAAAATGAAAGTTAAAACAAACAAAAAACACCTGTATTATATTTGTAGGCTTTTCTTCTGATAATCTATCTTACGTTAATTTAATAAGGCCCAGCTGGGGACCTTATGAAGGTTGAGGTAAAGCTTTGCCTTCCCTACATCATTAATATGAATACTTTTACTTCCACCAAAGGGAATTTTGTTGCATTACATTTTTTACAATATTTACATTTTATATTACACTTATAATAGAGAAGTAACAAAAGTCATGTCACAGCAAATCTTCCATAGTTTTAATCTATATAAGACTTGAAGACATTAAAAGGATATTACGACATTTCAAAAGGGAACATGTACTTTCTACCAAAAATAATGAGTTTGAGTGTTCATATCAACATTTTAAGAAATAGATAAAAAAAACTAGATATGTTTCCAAAATATAATTACTATAAAGGTTCCATTTGGTTTTCAAAACTTGCTTATTTTATTCATTATTTATTCATATCCTACTAAATTCTTTCTTTTTGTAATTAGTGGCTATGAAACCCAAATACTGCTCATAAGAATATGAACACATCTCAAAAACTCAGTTAACTACATATTCCCAGGAAACTAAAGACAAAAGTCAAGAAAAAAGGACACTAAATATAGTTAACATCTCTGATATGAAAGTATATTAATCTTCTTTGATTAGATTCAGGACCGTGGGGTAATTATTCCCAGACTTGATAGAATAAACTTGACTCTGGTACTAGCTGTTTAATTCTGAATTTCAATATCTCTATTTTTGAAATGTGGAAACAGTGCTTTTCTCAAAGGTCACGATAATGTTATGGATGAAATTGTGTTCCCCAGAAGGGTATGTTGAAATATTACCCTCCCAGTACTTGTGAATGTGGCTTTACTTGGAAACAGGGTCTTTGCAGATGTAATCAAATTAAAACGAGGACATAGTGGGGAGGAGGGGGAGTCTTAATTCAATATGGCTGTGTCCTTATAAAAAGACATGTGAAAACAGAGGAAAGATGGCCATGTGAAGATGGAGGTGAAGATAGGAGTGATGTTGCCACAAGCCAAGGAACATCCAGGGGTACCTGAAACGGCAGGAAGCAAGGAAAGATCCTCTGCCCAGAGGCTTCGGAGGGAGCATGACACTACTAACACTTTGATTTTGCACTTCCTACCTCCAAAACTGAGATAATAATGTTTTGTTTTCTTAAACCTTTTAGTTTATGATACCTTATTAAGTTAGCCCTGGGAAACTATGATAGGTTGCTTTTATGGTTTTGACGATCTTGGAAAACATTGCTTAATTTTACTCTTACACTTTTTTTCACCATTCTATAGGATATTGATAAGTTGAAACTTCTAAGAAAATTATACTTATAGAATTTACAGAGTGTGAGGACTTAAAAGTAAATTTGAACCTCAATATCAAGCTATTCACAGACCAAAGGGAGAAAACCCTTTTCATAAAACTCATGTTTCTTTTTATGTTTTACCTTGGGAGAATGGATTGAGACAGATAGTGCTTCACTGTCTGTATCTAAAAGAGAATTTTATTCAGTTTCTAGACATTGCACGTGAGATATATCAATCATGTGAAATATGCTGTATATCTCTGAAAAGCCAAATTCCACAGACGACAAACACATTATCTCTGTAAGATATTATTTCACTTTGCCAAGAAACGACAAACTAGTCTACCTATATTACTTTTCATCTAAAATATTCATTGACTTCTCTATTATGCTTAAAAAAGATTTTTAGCATTTTAAAACCATTGTTCAAAATATAGATATCATATGAAGAGCAATAAATTTTTACTCAGGTTAATGATTTATTGAATCACATACCTAATAATACATCTTTTATGAGTCTGATCAAATAAAGTAACCAAAACAGGCTGAAATAACAAAAGCCACTCTTTCACTGGCCAGCTAAAATGGCCGAAGGTAGAAAAGAAGTCATGATAAATAAGAACAAATAACACTCCTGAGACAAATCCTTATTTGTTCCTGTGATCTTGATGTAAATTTAATGTAAAAGAACTTTGATTTAGGGAGGGGGTTGTCAATTTGATATTTCTTATATTGCCATTTCATAGTTTGTTTTTATGATATTCTTAACTTCTCCAAGCATTCTAATTTCTGTAAGATTTTCTGGCCAGTACCTGAAAGCATGACCCAGTGATATACGGTGCTTGTTAGAAACAGTTGAGTAACCAAGGTATTGAGGCTTCATTTTCCTTTAAATATAGAAGCCATTGAGAATACCCATCTGCCAGAGATACAAGTTTTCATTTCCTCTGCTTCAAAATTGTAAAATGAATAGCTTATTAAATGTGATATAAAAATAATGGACTTCACAGCATTGTAATTCTCTGCCATAAAAAAGCAATCAAATTGGTAGAGCTAACATTGGTGCCTCGAACAATGCAAGCTATTAAGTAAAATTGGAAAGAAATTGTTCAATAAATTATGCACTGTGCATTTGTGCTTGCTAGAGGCAGAATCTCTCTCACTCTCCCTCCTTTTGAAGTAAGCTTTTGTATGCTACAGTTTTCCTTTATGCACTTTGCTTTCTACGTGTTCAGTCTTGAATATTGTGTGTGTATGTGTGTGTGTGTGTGTGTGTGCAGACAAACACAAAGTAGGGGTTCACCTAAGATGAGAATAAAAGCTTAGACATCATGCTATCACTACTACACCATACATCAAATTGAAAAACAAAGCCAAAAACTCTTAGGACAGAATTCTTCAAAAGTGCTTGTGAAGACTTCAGTACATTATGTGTGTTATGAAGTCCAAGAGTGCCTCACTCACAGAGATATCTCCACATGCTTTCTAAAAAACTTTGCTAATTTGATATCATGTAAATAGTACTTCGTTGTTGCTTGATTTTGTATTTCTTTCATAACAAGGTCATTATTTTATTGCAGATTTGTTCATGATTTGAGTTCCCTTTTTTTCAGGTCTGTTTTTTTAGAATTGCCTTTTACTTTTAAAATTGGGGGTTTTGTTATTTTCTTTAATGGATTTAGTAGAGCGGATTTGATATTTATTTAATTTTTTCTTTTTGTATATACTTTGAACATATTAATATATTTTAGTTCTGAGGTTACTCTTTCATTATTTTTGTGATGTTTCTGCCATGTTGAACCTTGTAACATTTTATACTTAAATCTGTCAATTTCCCAATTTGTCATTTTTTATACATAGAAAATAACATTCATTGCAAGTTTAGATAAATGTTCACTTATAGATTTTGTAGTTCTTTCATTTAAAACAATCATAAAATGTTTCTGTAATTCATTTTATACATCAGAAATTTTTTAAAGACTAAACATGTCCATTTGCTAAATTATCCTCTCGTGATTTATTGAAATCTCATCATTATGTATATTTCATTCTATTAAGGTTAATTTTGTTACTTTCTATTATGTAATGATGATTCCATATAGTCTAATTATGAAATACCATATTAATTATTAATCAATTACTAATATGGTAATATTACCATATTAATATAATTACACATAAAAACACATAATTGTGTTTCATAGTAAGTGGTAGTAAAATCAACCTCTATTATTCTTCCAAACCAAAATAATCTTGAATATTCTTAAAATACAATTTACAATTAGTTTTTCTAGTCTCAAAAGCATGCCTTTGATACTTGCTTGAAATTACTTCCTATTTATTGATACATTTCAGAAACATCAATTACATAGCTTAATGTTAAGAGCTCAGAGCCAAGAGACAGACTACCAGGTTTAATCCTGGTATTGCAGTGAAGTGGTGAGATTTCAGCTCACTGCAACCTCCGCCTCCCGGGTTCAGGCATTCTCATGTGTCAGCCTCTCGCGTAGCTGGGATTACAGGCACGCGTCACCATGCTTGGCTAAGTGTGTGTGTGTGTGTGTGTGTGTGTGGTTGTGTGTGTGTGTGTGTGTTTAGTAGAGACCGGGTTTCTCCGTGTTGCCCAGGCTGGTCTCAAGCTCCTGAGCGCAGGCAATCTGCCCACTTCCGCCTACCAAAGTGCTGGGATTACAGGCGTAAACCATCGCGCCTGGCCCTGCCTTTCTGAACTGGAGAAAATTACCTAATCTCTCTGTACCTCAGATTTTTCCATCTGTAAGAGGTAGTGTAATAATACCTTGGGGAGAAGTCAGAAATAATATAATATTTAAATAGAATAATGTCCGGTATATTACAAGTTTTATTCAAGAATTTCTTAAATAAGCCGTGTCTCTATTTATTCAAGAGATTTGCAGAAGCATTGCATTTTTCTTATTACACTAAATTCTGGTTCCACGCCCTACCTTCCAGCCCCTGACAGTTCTATTCTTTCCTTCCATTTCCTTGCTTTAGCCTTATTGTTATTTTTCTTTTATTAAAATTAAAAATTGAATAGCGAGCATTCTTATCGTTGTTCCTTTTTACATGAACTATTTGGGGATGGGAACTTCTGTCCTGAGTGCAGCTTTGGCCACACTTGTTAAATGTTAATTTGTAGTAATTGTATTTTTTTTCCCTTTGTGACTATTGGCCAGCCCATAGTTTCAAGCTCAAATTCACCCAAGTTTAAATATGTGCAATGTTTTTGAAATTTAATGCTGATTTGGATTCTGCTATGACAATTTAATTGCCTTACCAATTATCTTCCCTCAAGCCATTTTTTTTCTATTTTTGTTCACGTGTTTGTTTTCATTCAGTTTGTGCTTACCATTTCGCCTTTTCATATTTTATTTTACAAAAGCTAAAACTTCTTGAATTCTATGGAACTATAAATTTATTCCTTGTTAAATTTTTTAAAAATATTTTTCAAATGCATGAATTTCTCCTAAAAGAGGAATCATATATCTTTCTTTTTTAAAGATATAATTCTATAATTTCACAGGCCTGTTTGTCTTTGAATTCATCTGATTAATCAGAAATCTATTGTCAATTGAGAAAAATTTTGAGACAAGTCTCAATCATTTTAGGAGGTTTATTTGCCAAAGTTAAGGATGTGTGCCCATAACACAGCCTCAGGAGGTCCTGATGACATGTGCCCAAGGTGGTCAGGGTACAGCTTGGTTTTATACATTTTAGGGAAACATGAAGCATCAATCAATATATGTAAGAAGTATATTGGTTGCATCCAGAAAGGCAGAGGCAGCTCAAAGCAGGGAGGGGGCTTCCAAATCACAGGTGAAAGACATATTCCAAAGGAGGCAATCAGAATATGTATCTATGTCAGAGAGCAGAGGGATGACTTTGAATAGAATGGGAGGCAGGTTTGCCCTGAAAAGTTCCCAGCTTGACTTTTCCCTTAGTTTAGTAATTTTGGGGCCCCCAAGATTTTCCATTCACACTATCCACAACTACTTTTTTTATTGAAAGCAGGATGGGAAGAATCAACTCAGTTTCTCGGTTGATACCTTCCAACTATTAACATCTCTTTCCAAGACGTTATACATGAAGCCTAACTGATATGCATAGACCCTAATCAACTTCCTGATATTTTATTGTCCTTTAATAACCACTGGTCTGAAACTATATCTGCTAATCTAATAATGTCATCTTGCTGTGAATTTTAACATTTCTTCTGAGAGGACTTGAAATAGTTTGTACCATTTTATTTGCTAGAAAAAATAATTAAAAATATAAATTTCCTATGATATTTATTACTGCTTCTTCTGTTGCCAACATTTTTGTTCCATAACAAAGCATCAAGTCATGTCTATAATGCAAAGATTTTTGGAAACGTAGCCCTAGAATTAATGTGCAAATGTGGAGTATCAAACAGGAAGATGGGGGACTGAGAGCTCTGGTTACCTGGGAAATCAGCACCCAGAATGGGCAATAGCTCTGTTTCCTCCTGTCTGAGACAGGACTGACCACTGCAAAACATGGGATTAGTGCATGAGGTTAGGTGGCAGACAATCAAATATACTTTCAACTGATGACAGAATATCAAATATACTTTCAACTGAACAATCATACCCATCTCTCATCTCCCTTGTAAGGGAATCCAGCCCTTAGTCATGGATCACGATTTGCCTAAGTCAGTCAAAACTATCCTATTGTCCTTTGCCAGAAACTTGATTTTCTCTGCAACCTTTCCAGTGACATATTAGGTTAACTCCTATGGGAAGCTTCTAGGAAGACTTTTGCTTGACTAATGAAAGAGACAAATGTAGCTGGTACTTTGTCTTTCTATGTTCCCTTTGCCTGGAACTCAGCCCTGATATTGCCCTGTAGCAGCCCTCTTGTGACCATGAGGAAACAAACATGATGATGAATGGACAACATAGGCAGAAATACAAGAAAAAACTCCCAGATCGGGGATTTAATGACATTGCTGACCACTGAACTATAGCAACTACCAATATCATATTTTACTTTATGTTAAAAAATAACATCTATTTAAATCACTGAACCTTGGACTTTTTACTTATATTTGAAAGCATTTCTGCTCAGAAAGATATCTGCTACTGTTTTCTCCATTATTTTTTCACAAGGTTACATCAGTATTTGGGTAGTAGAAATTCATCTTCAATCCTTGTAAATTATTGACTAAAATACCATTCAGGACATAGGCATGGGCAAGAACTTCATGTCTAAAACACCAAAAGCAATGGCAACAAAAACCAAAATTGACAAATGGGATCTAATTAAACTAAAGAGCTTCTGCACAGCAAAAGAAACTACCATCAGAGTGAACAGGCAACCTACAAAATGGGAGAAAATTTTTGCAATCTACTCATCTGACAAAGGGCTAATATCCAGAATCTACAATGAACTCAAACAAGTTTACAAGAAAAAAACAACCCCATCAAAAAGTGGGAGAAGGATATGAACAGACACTTCTCAAAAGAAGACATTTATGCAGCCAAAAGACACATATAAAAATGCTCATCATCACTGGCCATCAGAGAAATGCAAATCAAAACCACAATGAGATACCATCTCACACCAGTTAGAATGGCAATCATTAAAAAGTCAGGAAACAACAGGTGCTGGAGAGGATGTGGAGAAATAGGAACACTTTTACACTGTTGGTGGGACTGTAAACTAGTTCAACCATTGTGGAAGTCAGTGTGGCGATTCCTCAGGGATCTAAAACTAGAAATACCATTTGACCCAGCCATCCCATTACTGGGTATATACCCAAAGGATTATAAATCATGCTGCTATAAAGACACATGCACACATATGCTTATTGCGGCACTATTCACAATAGCAAAGACTTGGAACCAACCCAAATGTCTAACAATGGTAGACTGGATTAAGAAAATGTGGCATTTATACACCATGGAATACTATGCAGCCATAAAAAAGATGAGTTCATGTCCTTTGTAGGGACATGGATGAAGCTGGAAACCATCATTCTCAGCAAACTATCGCAAGGACAAAAAACCAAACACCACATGTTCTCACTCATAGGTGGGAATTGAACAGTGAGAACACATGGACACAGGAAGGGGATCATCACACACCTGGGCCCATTGTGGGGTAGGGGGAGTGGGTAGGGATAGCATTTGGAGATATACCTAATGTTAAATGACGAGTTACTGGGTGCAGCACACCAACATGGCACATGTATACATATGTAACTAACCTGCACGTTGTGCACATGTACCCTAAAACTTAAAGTATAATAAAAAATAATAATAATAATAATAAAGGTTAGTTGACTACAAAAAAAATTACATTTCCCAGTATGGGCAAAACTTTATATTGTAGTATGTATATATTTATAGCTCTGATAACTGAACAGTAAATGAAGGAAAATTAGTTGTCCATAGGTAATGAGCAGTGTAACTCCAAGTCATATTATAAGCAAATAATTTATATGACTAAAATTTCCATTCTGCAAGAGTATCACAGTTCAGGATTTTAATCTGCAACAGAGGTACAGGTTGAGTTTCTATTATTCAACATACTTGGGACAAGAAGTGTTTCAGACTTCCATTTTTATTTTTTGCATTTTGGAATATTTGCCTTATACTTACCAGTTGAGCATCCCAAATTTAAAAAATCTGAAATGCGCAAACGAGCATTTTTTAGGGTCATGTCAGTGTTCAAAAGTTTTGGATTTTAGTACATTTCAGATTTCAGATTTTCAGATTTAGAATGCTCAACCTGTACTTAGTTTATTCGCCCATATTCCACTGCCACTTCTGTTATGGGTAGACAACTTCGTGATGTATTAGAAGAAAACTCTCCTGTTAGTTTACACACTCCACTCTACATTTACCTATCAGATGTGGTATTTCCCCTTTCATGGAGGGCAGTGATTTCAACGGCTACAGAAATAGAGAAAAGATATCTGTAGAAACAACCACATACCTTTTTGTCTTTGTGGTTTTGAGTTTTGGAGACTGTATCCTGCAAAACAACTCATTTTTTTCTATAATAAAATTTATCACAATAGCACTTGACAATTTTTTTCATGCTCTAGAGTATCAACTCCTCAAAGGCAAGGGTGATAGTGCCTGGCATATAGTAGTTATTCAATAAAAGCGTACTTGGTTAATGCATGAACTACCCAGTTTTCAGACAGCTTTTTTTGAGTAGATTTTATTTTTTAGAGCAACTTTGGATTCATAGCCAAGTTGTGTAGAAGGTACAGAGATTTCCCATATATCCTCAGTCCCCACACAGGACAGTTTTCCCCACTTTTGACAACCCCCACCAGAGTGGTACATTTGCTACAACTGATGAACCTACATTAGCACATCATTGTCACCCAAAGTTTATAGCGTACATAGGGTTTCACTTCTGGCATTTTACATTATATAGGTTTTGTCAAGTTGTATAAAGACATGTGTCCACAATTATAGTATTATACAGAATAGCTTCACTGCTCTCAAAATTCTCTGATCTCAGTCTATTCATCCCTCCCTTCTTTCTAACCACTGGCAACAACTGCTTTTTTATTATTTCTATAGGTTTGCCTTTTCCAGAATGTTGTATAGTTGAAATCTTTCCATTATATAGCCTCTTGAGAATGGCTTCTTTCACCTAATAATATGCATTTCAGTTTCCACTCTGTCTTCTCATGGCTTGATAGCTCATTTCTCTTAAGTGGTAAATAATATTCCATTTGTAATGCCCAACCTGGTTTTTACTAACTCTGTTTTTAGACTCTCCCTTTTCCTTTAATCACCTAGCCTTGTTTCCACCTGAATTGACTCTCCCTTAGCTAAGAGAGCCAGACAGACTCCATCTTGGCTCTTTCACTGGCAGCCCCTTCCTCAAGGACTTAACTTGTGCAAGCTGACTCCCAGCACATCCAAGAATGCAATTAACTGATAGGATACTGTGGCAAGCTATATCCGCAGTTCCCAGGAATTCGTCCGATTGATAATGCCCAAAGCCCCGGGTCTATCACCTTGTAACAGTCTTTTTTTTTTTTTTTTTTTTGAGACGGAGTCTCGCTCTGTCGCCCAGGCTGGAGTGCAGTGGCGGGATCTCGGCTCACTGCAAGCTCCGCCTCCCGGGTTCACGCCATTCTCCTGCCTCAGCCTCCCAAGTAGCTGGGACTACAGGCGCCCGCCACTACGCCCGGCTAATTTTTTGTATTTTTAGTAGAGACGGGGTTTCACCGTTTTAGCTGGGATGGTCTCGATCTCCTGACCTCGTGATCCGCCCGCCTCGGCCTCCCAAAGTGCTGGGATTACAGGCGTGAGCCACTGCGCCTGGCCACCTTGTAACAGTCTTAAAGCCCCTGCACCTGGAACTGTTTACTTTCCTGTAACCATTTATCCTTTTAACTTTTTGACTACTTTACTTCTGTAAAATTGTTTTAACTAGATCCCCCACTCCCCTTCCTAAACCAAGGTATCAAAGTTAATCAAGCCCCTTCCTCAGAGCCGAGATAATTTTGAGTGTTAGCCGTCTCTCGGTTGCCGGCTAATAAAGGACTCTTAATTCGTCTCAAACTGTAGTGTTTTTCTAACTTGCTCGGGTACAACAGTTGGAGGCCCCAGCGAAATTTTAACGCCAGCGGGCAAGAGCCGGTCTCACTCCGGGCTCCCCCGGAAGGACGGCTGGCCTGTAGGGAAGCCGCCACCTGCAAAGACGAAATTTTCAGGTTCCCGAAGGGTGACCGTCTTCCGGAGGACAGCGGATCGACTACCGTGTGGGTGCCCTAAAATTCAACATCTGAGTCCTCAGCTTCTGACTCCGGGGTCAGGTAGGTCAGATTTGACTTCGTTCTGGTTCTGGTAAGAGGGAAGCAGCCCTGACAAGGGCATCCCTCTTTTGACTCTGCCCATTACTCTACGACGCTAGAGGGTTGAGCCTTGGTTTTCTGGTGGGCACCTTTGTGTCTTGGTTTGGGTGGGAATGGTCCTGACAGGGGCCCTCCCTTGACTCGGTTCACATCCCAAGATGCTGGGGAACTGAGCTTTGGTTTCTGGCAGACCGGTGTCTGTCTGTCTCTCTCTCTCTCTCTCTCTCTCTCTCTCTCTCTCTCTTCTTCTCTCCCTTTTTCTATCTTTCATCCTTCTTTTGTTCAGGGTGCGGTGGCTCACGCCTGTAATCCCAGCACTTTGGGAAGCCGAGGTGGGCGGATCACGAGGTCAGGAGATCGAGACCATCCTGGCTAACATGGTGAAACCCTGTCTCTACTAAAAATACAAAAAAAAAAAAAATTAGCTGGGCATGGTGGCTGTCACCTGTAGTCCCAGCTACTCAGGAGGCTGAGGCAGGAGAATGGCGTGAACCCAGGAGGTAGAGCTTGCAGTGAGCCGAGATTGCGCCACTGCACTCCAGCCTGGGTGACGGAGCGAGATTCCGTCTCAAAACAAAACAAAACAAAACTCTAATCCTTGAATGCTCTAGGAGACTAATTTGAGTAATAATAAAACTCCGGTCTCCCACACAGCCGGCTCTGCATGAATTACTCTTTCTCTATTGCAATTCCCCTGTTTTGATAAATTGGCTCTGTCTAGGCAGCAGGCAAGGTGAACCCATTGGGTGGTTACAGCAGTAACCATTTATTAACATGAAAATATTATTTCTAGAGTTCTACAAGGTAAATAGCCAAAATAATGTTATGTAAAGTTTTTTTTTCTTTCTAATGAAGAAAAGATAATTCCCATGTTCATTGCACATCATTAACAAAAACAGATATGAAAATAACCTAAATGTTTATTGGCAGAGGAATGGATAAACAAAATGAGACACACACACACACACACACACACAATGGGATATTATTCAGCCTTAATAAAGAAGGAAATCCTGCCATTTGCAACAATAAGGATGAACCTGGAAGACATAATGTTAAGTGAAATGAGCAAGACACAGAAAGACAAATACTACTGGGAGGAGTGAGTGTGCACTGGGCTGGGGCCTCGGGAGGTTTGCTCACTTTTGCAGCAAGGAAGAGCCTGGCCTCTCCTCTTCCTGGGTGGTAACCTAGAATTCAATCTGTGAGGTGGGAAACCTGCTAGCAGGACTCTTACTTTGCTGAGAGTCTCTGTTTCCATTTTTTTCTTTTTTGACCAATAAATTCCATTTTTCTCACCCTTCTATGTGTCTGCAAGCCTAATCTTTCCTGGTCGTGTGACAAGAACCCTACACTATGTGATTTCACATATATGTGGAATCAAAAAAGCTGAACTCATAGAAAGAGAGTAGAAAGGTGGTTACCAGGGTTGAGGTTAGGAGAAATGGGGAGATGTTGATCAAAAGGTAAAAACTTGCAGTTTAAATGCAAGTTCTGAAGCCCTAATATACAGTATGGTGAATATAGTTAATAACAATGTATTGTATGCTTGAAATTTGCTAAAATAGTAGATGTTAAGTATTCTCACTACAAAAAATATATATAACCATGTGAGGTGATGGATATGTTAATTAGCTCGATCATGGTAATCATTTCATATGTATCAATATATGTATACATAGATTGAAATATCACATTGTATGCCTTGGATATTTACAATTTTTATTTGCCAAGTATACCTCATTGAAGCTGGGTAAAAAAGATTATTGATCTATAAATACTTAGAATCCCAATGTCTGAACTGCATTTTCAGAGGAAATCAGCCATTGACTGTCCCAATCTGCAGTAGCAGCCATATGAACAAGGCATCAACTAGAAGCTGGATTTGTTCAGGTAGACAAATCTAGTGGCAAGGGCAGAGGAAATCATCTGATGCCAATCACAACAGACCTTTACTTTGAACTCCTGACCCATAACCTCAATCATTCAGCCACATTATAGGAGCCATGAAAGCACTGAAACTATAAATTTATATAACTATAAATTTATATAATCTATAAAGAATAACCAAATTATTCAACCTGCTCTATCCTGAGGCCAGCGTGACAGAATGAAAAGGTTGGGTCAGCTATGGCATTTTGACTTTTTTACCTTTTCGTGCAGGTACCTAGTAGAATGGTCCTCATGCAGTTAAAACAGTTTGGCTCTTTAAGAGTGCTAATTTGGTTCAATCTTTTTTTTTCTTTCTTTTTTAAATCAAATCCTCACATCTCAGATGACTGGTTCAATCTTATTTGTAGATTAGAGAGATAGACAATAGTCTAGTAGAAAATTACTGATATGAGCTCAGAAGCCATCTATAAAATAAAGCTCTCATTTATATTATGTTTTGTGGTTTTGCCTTAGCAGATCTCTATCAGCCCTCAGAGGGCATCCTGAAGGATACTAGTCAAGTGAAAAGAATGCTGAAAATGTTGTCTTAAGGAACAAGTGAGATACGTGGATGATTTTTAGGCAGATTTGGCATCAAAATATGGGCTAGGGTTCCTCTCAAAAGAATCTGAGAAATTAAGAAAAAGACCATGATTAGGGAAAAATGGCTAATATAGTGATGGATAGAAGTAAACACATAAATATGAAATAGAAAGGAAGTAAAAATGAACAAAAAATAAAAGACAATGCTCAGTTAACAAAACATAGTGTTATATCTTCTCCTGTTCTGATTTTACCACACACAGGAAAAATTAAATAAATACTGGAGTAAAACTGGCAATAGTAATTTTTAAATATGAGTTTAGAAGCACTTTAAAAAAAAAAGGTCAAAGAAATGATCAGGTTGGGCTAGTGAAGATAAATGTGATGTGTCCGCTATCAGTTTATTTTAAAGAAATTTAGATGACATAGTAAATAAGTCAAGCCTCCTTCAATGAAAAGCAGATTGATTTTTGCAACTTGTGGTACTTGGTTGGTCACAAGGCCTGTGTTACCAGGCCCAAGGTGTGCCTGAAACATAAATCCTGAGGCCACTAATAAGGAGCTCTGACTTCAAATCCTCAAGGAATCAAGCAGCAGTCCTGTGGACTGAGTCGCGTTGCCTTGGGCTATAGTTTTCTTTACAGCCTCCTGGCTGGCAGCCAGCAGAAGAACAGCATCTGAAGACAAATCTGAGAGTGACTGCTCACAGTGCCAGAGTATGGAGTGAAAATGGTGATTAGAAAGAAGGACAATTGGCCAATTTTCTGCACCTTCATTAAGATGTTTAAAAATCCACACTTACTTGTGAAAGTCAGAGATGCTCAAAAACTGCTTTCAGCATTCAGGAAAAACAAGAGAACCAGAACCAAGGAAAATACATGAAAAGGAATGGAACAATGTAATTTCGAATCTACAACACTGTTCAATGGATACTGTGGAAGGAATCTAGGAAAATGAAATGAGTTTCTTCCACATACATGTTCTAGCATAGGAAGAATTCTAATAATATATTCCTTAGAACTTGTGAGTAATCTGGAGTAATATTCATCAAAACATTGCAAGAAATGGAGGATTATTATGTTGTTCTATCACCATATGAAATAGATGACACCATTAGCAACAAGTGTTATTTCTTTTTTTATATTATTATATATTTTATATAGATATTTATATTATTTGTTTAGATTGCTCTTAGAAGCACAGCCAGATCTGTTTAAGGAATCTTATCTAAGGCTTCCAGTTAAGATATAATAAGTTAACATTTTAAATTATATAACCTGACTTTTGTTTGTTTTGCAGTTGATACGGTTTAGAAGAAAATAAGCATAATACAAAAAATAAATGCTTGAGGGGATGGTTATGCCATTCTTTCATTAATCACAATAATGATGTGATTACTTCACGTTGCATGCCTGTATCTAAACATCTCATTTTTTTTACCCCCAAAATATATATACCTACTATGTACCAACAAAAAGAAAAAATAAAAATTACTTTGTACCCACAAAAAATAATTAAAATAAATTTTAAAAAATAAAAATTATGGCCGGGCATGGTGGCTCACGCCTGTAATCCCAACACTTTGGGAGGCCGAGGTGGGCGGATCACGAGGTCAGGAGATCGAGATCATCCTGGCTAACACGGTGAAACCCCGTCTCTACTAAAAATACAAAAAATTAGCCAGGCGTGGTGGCGGGCGCCTGTAGTCCTAGCTACTCAGGAGGCTGAGGCAGGAGAATGGCGTGAACCCAGGAGGTGGAGCTTGCAGTGAGCCAAGATTGTGCCACTGCACTCCAGCCTGGGCGACACAGCCAGACTCCGTCTCAAAAATAAATAAATAAATAAATAAATATTATTTTTATTGTGATGATCTGTTGGTTATGTCTTTCACAAATAAAGTATGGTGGAGGCCTGGAGCATTGGCTCACGCCTGTAATCCCATTACTTTGGGAGGCTGAGGGGGACAGATTACCTGAGGTCAGGAGTTCAAGACCAGCCTGGCCAACATGGTGAAACCCTGTCTCTACTAAAAATACAAAAATTAGTCAGGCATGGTGGTGGGCGCCTGTAATCCCAGCTACTCAGGAGGCTGAGGCAGGAGAATTGCTTGAACCAGGGAGGCAGAGGTTGCAGTGAGCTGACATCATGCCACTGCACTCCAGCCTGGGTGACACAGCAAGACTCTGTTCCCCCCTAGAAAAAAAAAATGTATATATATAGGGGAGGGACTCACAAAACATTTAAACATTTGGCTTTTTACTTTTCAAAAATATGAAATGTTCAAAGATTGTTTTGTTAAATACAATTTATAGGAGGCCGTGGAATGAGGCTCCTGCACTAAGCCTAACACATCAAACCAATATGGAGTTTAACTCTAGCAGCTGAGGTTTAGTTAATTTCAGGAGGCACTGTAGCCAAGTTATCAATAACTGAGCTGTCTCTACACTGCACTTTTGTTTCCTGTAAATGCTGTCAGATCATGTTATTGGTTGGAGCTTTCTAAACCTGCTGTTGTTCAAACAGCTGCTGATTCACAAATCATTTTTGTTTTCATTTACACAAATAAACTCAAACTTATCTAAGGTTTTCCTTTCTTTCCATTTAACACTTCAAAGGTCTATTTTTGATAAATATTTATATAAGCAATTAGATTATTCTCAAAAGTTAAAAATATTTCACAGAATAAAATTTGGTCTGAGGGTCTTTCAGGTTAAGAATAAGGTATCTGAGTGACCCCAGCTTTCAAAAATTAGCAAAACTTGTGTAGAACATGATGCAGATTTCAATGGGTGAACTTGATAACAATTTTTTTTATTTTCATGCAACAATTACTAAATAGAAAAGCATATTAAAATATTTATTTCTCCAAGTAAATTGTCACATTAGAAATATTGGTATTTAATTAAACTTTTGTATCACTTCCTCAGAACAGTAATTATTTCGGGCAAAAAAATGAAAAAATAAACTACCTCTCTGTGCTCTGGACCTCTCTCCTGTACCTTCAGGACAATACTATTTTGGAATAATCCAAGCCAAATTGACAAAAAAAGATCCATAGCTGGTGTCATTTGTAAGTGAAGACAATCATTGACTTTTGTAAATATTCTCTATTTTTAATTATTATGTGTCAGGCCTCTGAGCCCAAGCCAAGCCATCGCATCCCCTGTGACTTGCACGTATACACCCAGATGGCCTGAAGTAACTGAAGAATTACAAAAGAAGTGAATATGCCCTGCCCCGCCTTAACTGATGACATTCCACCACAAAAGAAGAAAGTGTAAATGGCCCGTTCTTGCTTTAACTGATGACATTCCACCACAAAAGAAGTAAAAATGGCCGGTCCTTGCCTTAAGTGATGACATTACCTTGTGAAATTCCTTCTCCTGGCTCATCCTGGCTCAAAAAGCTCCCCCACTGAGCACCTTGCAACCCCCACTCTGCCCACCAGAGAACAACCCCCCTTTGACTGTAATTTTCCTTTACCTACCCAAATCCTATAAAACAGCCCCACCCCATCTCCCTTCACTGACTCTCTTTTCGGACTCAGCCCGCCTGCACCCAGGTGAAGTAAACAGCCTTGTTGCTCACACAAAGCCTGTTTGGTGGTCTCTTCACAGGGACGCGCATGAAATTTGGTGCCGTGACTCAGATTGGGGGACCTCCCTTGGGAGATCCATCCCCTGTCCTCCTGTTCTTTGCTCCGTGAGAAAGATCCACCTATGACCACAGGTCCTCAGACCAACCAGCTCAAGAAACATCTCACCAATTTCAAATCCGGTAAGCAGCCTCTTTTTACTCTCTTCTTCAACCTCCCTCACTATCCCTCAACCTCTTTCTCCTTTCAATCTTGGTGCCACACTTCAATCTCTCCCTTCTCTTTATTTCAATTCCTTTCATTTTCTGGTGGAGACAAAGGAGACACGTTTTATCCATGGACCCAAAACTCTGGCGCCAGTCACGAACTAGGGAAGGCAGCCTTCCCTTGGTGTTTAATCATTGCAGGGACACCTCTCTGATTATTCACCCAGGTTTCAGAGGTGTTAGACCACACAGGGACACCTGCCTTGGTCCTTCACCCTTAGCAGCAAGTCCCGCTTTTCTGGGGGAGAGGCAAGTACCCCAACCCCTTCTCTCCATGTCTCTACCCCTTCTCCGCATGTCTCTACCCCTTCTCTGCATTTCTGGGGGGCAAGAAACCCCCAACCCCTTCTCCTTCACCCTTAGCAGCAAGTCCCGCTTTTCTGGTGAAGGGGCAAGTACCCCAACCTCGTATCTCTGTGCCCCGATCCCTTATTTCCATGCCCCGACCTCCTATCTCTGTGCCCCAACCCCTTCTCTGCTTTTCTGGAGGGCAAGAACCCCCCACCACTTCTCCCTGTCTCGTCTCTTCTCTGGGCTTTCCTCCTTCACTATGGGCAAGCTTCCACCTTCCATTCCTCCTTCTTCTCCCTTAGCCTGTGTTCTTAAGAACTTAAAACCTCTTCAACTCTCACCTGACCTAAAATCTAAGCATCTTATTTTCTTCTGCAATGCCGCTTGACCCCAATACAAACTCGACAGTAGTTCCAAATAACCAGAAAACAGCACTTTCAATTTTTCCATCCTGCAAGATCTAAATAATTCTTGTCGCAAAATAGGCAAACGGTCTGAGATGCCTGACATCCAGGCATTCTTTTACACATCGGTCCCTTCCTAGTCTCTGTTCCCAATGCAACTTGTCCCAAATCTTCCTTCTTTCCCTCCTGCCTGTCCCCTCAGTCCCAACCCCAATCGTTGCTGAGTCTTTCTAATCTTCCTTTTCTACAGACCCATCTGACCTCTCCCTTCCTCGCCAGGCCGAACTAGGTCCCAATTCTTCCTCAGCCTCCGTTCCTCCACCCTATAATCCTTTTATCACCTCCCCTCCTCACACCTGGTGTGGCTTACAGTTTTCTTCCGTGAGTAGCCCTCCCCCACCTGCCCAGCAATTTACTCTTAAAAAGGTGGCTGGAGCTAAAGGCATAGTCAAGGTTAATGCTCCTTTTTCTTTATCCCATATCAGATAGCATTTAGGCTCTTTTTCATCAAATATAAAAATCCAGCCCAGTTCATGGATCGTTTGGCAGCAACCCTGAGATGCTTTACAGCCCTAGACCCTGAAATGTCAAAAGGCCGTCTTATTCTTAAAATACATTTATTACCCCATCTGCTCCCTACATTAAATAAAACCCCCAAAATTAAATTCCGGCCCTCAAACCCCACAACAGGATTTAATTAACCTCGCCTTCAAGGTGTACAATAATAGAAAAAAGTTGCAATTGCTTGCTTCCACTGTGAGACAAACCCCAGCCACATCTCCAGCACACAAGAACTTCCAAACGCCTGAACTGCAGCAGCCAGGCATTCCTCCAGAACCTCCTCCCCCAGGAGCTTGCTACAAGTGCCAGAAATCTGACCACCAAGCCAAGGAATGCCTGCAGCCCAGGATTCCTCCTAAGCCACATCCCATCTGTGCGGGACCCCAATGGAAATCGGACTGTCCAACTCACCTGGCAGCCACTCCCAGAGCCCCTAGAACTCTGACCCAAGGCTCTCTGACTCCTTCCCAGATCTTCTTGGCTTAGCGACTGAAGACTGACGCTGCGGATCGCCTCGGAAGCCCCCTAGACCATCACGGACGCCGAGCTTCGGGTAACTCTCACAGTGGAAGGTAAGTCCGTCCCCTTCTTAATCAACACGGAGGCTACCCACTCCATATTACCTTCTTTTCAAGGGCCTGTTTCCCTTGCCTCCATAACTGTTGTGGGTATTGACGGCCAGGCTTCTAAACCTCTTAAAACTCCCCAACTCTGGTGCCAACTTTGACAATACTCTTTAAAGCACTCCTTTTAATTATCCCCACCTGCCCAGTTCCCTTATTAGGCCGAGACACTTTAACTAAATTATCTGCTTCCCTGACTATTCCTGGATCACAGCTACATCTCATTGCTGCCCTTCCTCCCAATCCAAAGCCTCCTTTGCGTCCTCCTGTTGTATTTCCCTACCTTAACCCACAATTATAAGATACCTCTACTGCCTCCTTGGCGACCAATCATGCACCCCTTACCATCTCATTAAAACCTAATCACCCTTACCCCACTCAATGCCAATATCCCATCCCACAGCATGCTTTGAAAGGATCAAAGCCTGTTATCACTCACCTGCTACAGCATGGCCTTTTAAGCCTATAAACTCTCCTTACAATTTCCCCATTTTACCTGTCCTACAACCAGACAAGCCTTACAAGTTAGTTCAGGATCTAAGCTTTATCAACCAAATTGTTTTGCCTATCCACCCTATGGTGCCAAACCCATATACTCTCCTATCCTCAATACCTCCCTCCACAATCCATTATTCTGTTCTGGATCTCAAACATGCTTTCTTTACTATTCCTTTGCACCCATCATCCCAGCCTCTCTTCACTTTCACTTGAACTGACCCTGACACCCATCAGGCTCAGCAAATTACCTGGGCTGTACTGCCGCAAAGCTTCACAGACAGCCCCCATTACTTCAGTCAAGCCCAAATTTCTTCCTTATCTGTTACCTATCTCAGCATAATTCTCATAAAAACACACATGCTCTCCCTGCTGATCATGTCTGATTAATCTCCCAAACCCCAACCGCTTCTACAAAACAACAACTCCTTTCCTTCCTGGGCATAGTTGGATACTTTTGCCTTTGAATACCTGGTTTTGCCATCCTAACAAAACCATTATATAAACTTACAAAAGGAAACCTACATCCTAACAAAACCATTATATAAACGCACAAAAGGAAACCTAGCTGACCCCATAGATCCTAAATCCTTTCCCCACTCCTCTTTCCATTCCCTGAAGACAGCTTTAGAGACTGCCCCCACTCTAGCTCTCCCTGACTCATCCCAACCCTTTTCATTACACACAGCCGAAGTGCAGGGCTGTGCAGTCAGAATTCTTACACAAGGACCGGGATCGTGTCCCCTAGCCTTTTTGTCCATGCAACTTGACCTTACTGTTTTAGGCTGTCCATCATGTCTCCGTGCAGCAGCTGCTGACACCCTAATACTTTTAGAGGCCCTCAAAATCACAAACCATGCTCAACTTACTCTCTACATTTCTCATAACTTCCAAAATCTATTTTCTTCCTCATACCTGACGCATATACTTTCTGCTCCCCGGCTCCTTCAGCTGTACTCACTCTTTGTTAAGTCCCACAATTACCATTGTTCCTGGCCCGGACTTCAATCCGGCCTCCCACATTATTCCTGATACCACATCTGACCCCCATGACTGTATTTCTCTGATCCACCTGACATTCACCCCATTTCCCCATATTTCCTTCTTTCCTGTTCCTCACCCTGATCTCGCTTGATTTATTGATGGTGGTTCCACCAGGCCTAATCGCTACACACCAGCAAAGGCAAGCTATGCTATAGCACAAGCCACTAGCCTGCCTCTTAGAACCTCTCATTTCCTTTCCATCGTGGAAATCTATCCTCAAGGAAATAACTTCTCAGTGTTCCATCTGCTATTCTACTACTCCTCAGGGATTATTCAGGCCCCCTCCCTTCCCTACACATCAAGCTCGAGGATTTGCCCCCACCCAGGACTGGCAAATTAGCTTTACTCAACATGCCCTGAGTCAGATAACTAAAATACCTCTTAGTCTAGGTAGACACTTTCCCTGGATAGGTATAGGCCTTTCCTACAAGGTCTGAGAAGGCCACCGCAGTCATTTCTTCCCTTCTGTCAGACATAATTCCTCAGTTTAGCCTTCCCACCTCTATACAGTCTGATAACAGACCAGCCTTTATTAGTCAAATCAGCCAAGCAGTTTTTCAGGCTCTTAGCATTCAGTGAAACCTTTATATCCCTTATGGTCCTCCATCTTCAGGAAAAATAGAACGGACTAAAGGTCTTTTAAAAACACACCTCACCAAGCTCAGCCACCAACTTAAAAAGGACTGGACAATACTTTTACCACTTTCCCTTTTCGGAAGTCAGACCTGTTCTCAGAATGCTACAAGGTACAGCCCATTTGAGCTCCTGTATAGACGCTCCTTTTTATTAGGCCCCAGTCTCATTCCAGACACCAGACCAACTTAGACTGTGCCCCCCAAAAAACTTGTCATCCCTACTATCTTCTGTCTAGTCATACTCCTATTCACCGTTCTCAACTACTCATACATGCCCTGCTCTTGTTTACACTGCCGGTTTACACTGTTTCTCCAAGCCATCACAGCTGATATCTCCTAGTGCTATCCCCAAACTGCCACTCTTAACTTTTGAAGTTAATAAATAATCTTTGCTGACAGGACTACGCTGAATCTCCTTAGGCACTCTCTAATCAGATGTCCTGAGTAGTCCCAATTCTTAGACCTTTTATACCTGTTTTTCTCCTTCTTTTATTCCATTTAGTTTCTCAGTTCATCCCAAACCGTATCCAGGCTATCACCCATCATTCTATACAGCAAATGTTTCTTCAAACAACCCCACAATATCACCCCTTACCACAAGATCTCCCTTCAGCTTAATCTCTCCCACTCTAGGTTCCCACGCCACCCCTAATCCCGCTTGAAGCAGCCCTGAGAAACATCACCCATTCTCTCTCTCCATACCACCCCCCAAAAATTTTCGCCGCCCCAACACTTCAACACTATTTTGTTTTATTTTTCTTATTAATATAAGAAGGCAGGAATGTCAGGCCTCTGAGCCCAAGCCAAGCCATCGCATCCCCTGTGACTTGCACTTATGCCCCCAGATGGCCTGAAGTAACTGAAGAATAACAAAAGAAGTGAATATGCCCTGCCCCACCTTAACTGATGACATTCCACCACAAAATAAGTGAAAATGGCCGGTCCTTGCCTTAAGTGATGACATTACCTTGTGAAATTCCTTCTCCTGGCTCATCCTGGCTCAAAAAGCTCCCCCACTGAGCACCTTGTGACCCCCACTCTGCCTGCCAGAGAACAACCCCCCTTGCCTGTAATTTTCCTTTATCTACCCAAATCTTATAAAATGGCCCCACCCCTATCTCCCTTCGCTGACTCTCTTTTTGGACTCAGCCCGCCTGCACCCAGGTGAAATAAACAGCCTTGTTGCTCACACAAAGCCTGTTTGGTGGTCTCTTCACACAGACGTGCATGAAATTATGAATACATAATAATTGTACATATTCATGGGGTACATGTGATCTTTTGATATAAGCATACAATAGGTAATGATCAAATCAGGGTAATTGAGACATCCATCACCTCAAGCATTTATCATTCCTTTGTATTAGGAGGATTCCAATTCCACTCTTTAAGTTATTTTGAAATACACAATAAGTTATTGTTAACTACAGTTTAATGTGATTCCAAAATTTAGGAGATAATGGTCTTTTTTATTTTTGCCTTTAATTAGATTTTTCTGTAGGTCATGATGCTTTTGACCATTTTCTTTCTTCAAATTCTTACTTAACTTTGGCTTACATATAAGCAGACCTTTCGTTTTCCTCTTAACTCCCTGGGGTCTTTCTGGTTCTTTTCATGAGACACACTCCTCTGCTTGGCTTGCAAATATTCCTGATGTCTCAGGCTGTATCCTTAGCCTCACGCGGTCCTTCAACAATATGTTCTTCCCAGATAAACTCATTTAAATCTCTGTGGATTCTGCTGCCAATTATATCCCAGATGTACATTTGGAATCCTAATCTCCCATGCTATCTATATATCACTGCCTAATTGAAATCTCTGCCTGAGTGTATAATAACATCTAAAACCAATTGCGTGAAACCAATTTTTAACAATCCTTTATGGTTCTAGGTATTAAATTGGCTTAACTTTGGCTATTTCCCATCGTGGAAAATGTCACTGTTATCATCCCAATTTCCTAGGGCAAAATCTGGTGATCACTCATCTCTGCTCTTCCCTCATTGACTCTTCGTTTTCTTTCAAGTCCTCTTTAATCAAGTTCTCTCTCAAGTTTGTTTTCTCTATTTTCAATTTCATTACCTTAACTTGGACCTTTATTATAATCATCATTATTGTTCATATCAGAGCAAAAAAAAAAAAAAGAGCCAACTCTGCCTTCACACTGTAAATGCTGCTATAGACAACTTTTTAAATGGCAGTAGGTCATGTTAGTAGCTTAAACCTTCATGCTTTATGCTTTTTCATTCCTACCAGATACATTTACAAATAATTAAGTTTACAATGTAAGCTCTTCATTATCACTTCCTTCCTGATTCTGGGATTTCACTTTCTGTTACTTTCACACCTATTTTTGCTTCAGCTGTGAATAAATATTAGCAGTTCTCTAAATGTGTAATGTGGCTTCACTCTATCATCAACTTGGTATTTCCTCTGATTGGAATACTCTTCTCTTTTCACCTCATATTCTGTTATAATTTTTTCTCAAATTTCAGTTTAAGTATTGCCTTCTGAGAGCTTTCTGGATTCATGCCAAATCCCTTTTCTCTACCCTTATCCTTTCTATCATAATACATTGCATTTACTTCTACTACTTACTTGTTTCTTTTTTCTCAATAACTGTAGCTATTTGCAGACAAAAGCATGTCTTATTCAGGTCTATGATTTTAGCTTATGGTATCATGTCATAATGATTTCATTACATAAATATCTACTGAATGAATGACTAAATAAAGGGCCAGGGTACTACTGAGGAAAAGCAATCTTTGAGAAGCAATGCATGAGGTAAGTGGGAAGATACAAAAAACAAACTTTTCCAATAATTTTACCAAACTTGTCTTTGTCAGGTCAGATAATTAACCTATGAAAGTTCAAGATCTATGATTTCCAGGCATTGAGAATGACATATCCCAGCATTTAAAATGTCCATTTTCATTGGATAAACTTTTTTCTTATTTTCCTTGGCCCTTAATACTCAAGCAAATTTTATTTTCTAAGTAGATATGAGTTTAGGTGTCACTGTAACTTTTCCATCTCTATTTGTTAGTCTTTACATATTTTCTGATTTGTTTGAACTCATCAATCATTTTAATTGAATAAATCCACCAAAAAATCAAGATGGTAATTCAAAATGCAACTTAATAACAATTATATTTTAAAATATAATATTCAGACAGATAAGCTACTAATATTAGAAATTAACTAGTCTAACATCTTCATTCTGAAGAATCTGAGGTTTCAATGGATAAGTTAGTTACCAATCACACAGTACACTAGTGATTTAGGGATTCATCCTGGGATCTATTTAGTGAATAAATCTTTTCTCTTCATTAAAGAAATTGTCTGGCTATTGTAAGAATTAGCCTCAAATGTTATTACCAGTGTTTATTTAACAAGGTTTGAAAAACTAGACTAACATAAATAGCTGCTGTTTTTAGCATGGTCTGGCATTATCAGAATCTGTTTGCTAAAATATGTTTGCTAGATAGAGCATTTAATACGCCAAAGCATATTTTTAAAAATTTAAAAAACATGACTCTCATGCAAATATAGAATGAACACATGCCAAAGATTTTATTTTACACTGTAAGTCAAAGGGATGATGACACAAATTTGCTAATAGTCATTTCTCAAAATCCACAAGGAATTGGTTCCGGGAACTTTTGTAGATACCAAAATCTGCAAGTGCACAAGTGCTCAAGTCCCTTATGTACAATGGCATAATATTTGTATATATATAACCTACACAATCTTCCCATATACTTTAATCTCTAGATTTCTTGTAATACCTAATACAATGTAAACGTTATATAAATAGTTGTACTCTATTTTTTTAAAAAAAAAATTGTGGTTTTTTTATTGCTGTTTTTTAAATTATTTTTTTCAGAATATTTTCAATCCATGGATGTGGAACTCACAGATGTGGAGGACGGACTATAGATACAAACTGGTTAGTGCCTCACATGCTGAACAGAACGAATGCAAGATAACATAACTTCATAGTATGTGAGCTCTTCTCAGATAGTTTATTAAAAAGACATACATAGATGCTTTCCTTAATATATTTAACAACCCCAAGGCTAGTCTGTCAAATAAAAAAAAAATGAAAAGGACTCACAGTCATTTGTTTTATTTCTGAAGTTAAACAAAAAATAAAATTCTAAGGTCCACCAACCATCTGAATGAACTCCTCCTCTCAGCTACGGGCATTCCTGAGTTAACCTGAAAATCCAGTTCAGGTTATGATGACAAAGGGGGTTGGACATGCCTCACTATACCCTCCAGCATTAACATTAACACAGACCTTAAGTCTGATAAGAAACGTTTGCAATCTATTTTCTGTGAAGCCTGCTGGAGGCTTCATCTGCATAATAAAACCTTGGTCTCTACAACCCCTTATTTTAACCCAGATATTCCTTTCTACTGACAATAACTCTTTCAAACAAATGTCAGTCAGGAAACATTTAAATCTGTCTATGACCTGGAAGCTCCCCACTATTGAGTTGTCCTGCCCTTCCAGATGGAACCAATGTAAGTAAATCTTCCAGGTATTGATTGATATCTCATGTCTCCCTAAAATGTATAAAAGCAGGCTGTACCCTGGCCACCTTGGGCACATATTGTTGGGACCTCCTGAGGGTGTCACTGGCGTGTCCTTAACTTTGTCAAAATAAACTTTCTAAATTGATTGAGACCTGTCTCAGGTATTTGGGGTTGACAAACTGATAACCACGAAGGGATTCTGAGTGGAGTTTCCCCTGACTTTTGACAAATCTCCTATCGGTGCTTGGTACCAGCTTGAGATTTCCTTATGGTTCAAACCAATAGGACAATTTGCCAAGACCCAGGAGCTCCCCTCCCTCCATAGGATCCCCAATCTCATTCCCAGTAAGTAGCTGAATTGGGGACTTTTGTCTTGGAAATTATCCTTAATGACTAAAGGTTAAAATTGACAACCAGTTGAGCCTAATTTCTCCTTACCACAAGAACACTCAAAGACTATATAGTTGGTTTTGTTGTTGTTGTTGTTCTGGTCTTTCTCCCATCAGATTTGACCAACTCTACTCAAATTTGTCAAATTCAAATGAGAATCCCAGATTATGGGCAACAAGACTTCTGAATTGGCTAGAATTTCTCACAGCTTCAAAAAGAAGAAAACAACAACAACAACAAACCATGCACTTGGTTTCTATGTTTGCTTCCCTTCTTAAAAACAAAACTTTCTTTGTTTTGTTTACTTTTCTTTCACCCTATTCCTGCTTTCCCCTTTGCTGTCTTCAGTACCAAGAAAAAATCTAGAGAAGGCTTCTAATGACTCAAGCCCCTGAAAGAACTCAAAACAAAGACGCCACTCATCCCTTTTGGGGTGCTCTGTTTTCTTTGTGGCGTTTCAACAGTCGTGGGCAAATTCTTCTTATGTCTGAAGCTCTCCTATATTTTATTACCTGACCACTTTCGCTTTGTGGGTACCAGAGATGACCTTGTAATGTGAGAGGATTTGATCTTGGTGTGTATAATGGCGGATGAGAGCTACAAATTTAGGGGTAGCTGAGCACAGTTTACAGGAAGTAGTCTTGGCTGGTGTTTTTCCTCCAAGAAAGTTGTTGCTTATGATCCTAATTCTAATTTGGAGGTACATTCTAAATAGTCTTCTCTATTACCTTTCCTCCCAAAATTAGTCTTGATTGACTTCTCTGCTCATTTGCATGAGGAACTGAATTGTCGCTCTTTTTATAGATAAATGAGAGATTGAGTTTACTTAGCTCTGAAGAGAAAGGGCATTTTGCTCCTTCTGGCCAAAAGGTACTCCTTGGTGACTGGGGCTGAATGGGAGTGTCTGGGGGGTTGACCTTCCCATGATGTGCAGCAGCCCTACAGGAAACTCCCAAAAAAATTAGTTTAAAAATGCTCATCCAGGAAACACATATAGGAGCTTGCCACTCCATGTTTTGAGCCCTCTCAGAGGTGCTAGACCTCCAGAGAGAGAAACTGAGGCATGTAATAGGAGGGCAGAAATGACTCAGTGGTGACTCACTGTGGAGTCCTGGCCACAGTCAGCACATCTTGTTCCACTACACTAAACCCTAGGCCACAGACCAGTTCCTTGTTTTAAGAAAAAAAAATGTGCAAAACAAATCACCTAAGAATGAGGAAAGACAAGGAGAATGACCCACCTTGGTCAACCTGCCCAGCTTTATGGCACCTCTACTTGCAAGTGATTGTGAAAATGGAAGGACATAACAGGTTTTCTAATACTCCAGCTGGTTACAGATTAGGTCTGTTCTTGTGTACGTTTTAAACTGATGGGCAAATAACATCATGGAAAACTCAGAGCCCAAAGGTTGACCTGCAACTAACTATAATGTTCCTAAATTCTCTGTTTTCTTTTCTGCCTGATTGAAGTCTGCTGTTACTTTTCTACTAACATAAAATCCAATGTTTGCAATGTTTTTAAAATTATTATTGTTTTTGCAAACTGCTGAGTTTGTATTAATCTCTCATGGCCAGAGTTCTGAAGTAAAAACTGTAAGATCCTTGTTTGTAACAAATGCATTTGTGTGTGTTTATGTGTATGTACATGTATTTCGTTATGTGGTTTTGGCCACAAAGTAGCAAATTGGCTTGAAGCTAAAGAGTATTCATAAATTAAATAATAAGCCCACATGCTTTTCAAGTTCACATGATTCAGGTAACATCTTTCATAAATAAGCTGGTTTTAAAATTATTGGTAAAGTAGTATTAGAAATATCTTAAGAATTGTCAGCATACAGTTTCATTTGCATTTATTTATCAAGCAATCATCAGAGATTACTGTTGGAGAGGAGTTCAGCCAGGATTGGCTGAACTTGAGCGGAATACTGCCTTCCCACTCCATCCCCTTTCCAGTTCCCCATGCTGCTGAGAGCCACTTCTGCTGCACAATAAAATCCTTCACATTCACCAACCTCCGATTTGTTCATGCCACTTCATTCCTCCTGGATGATGGACAAGAACCTGGGTGCAGGTACAGGAGGCTGTCATACTGGCTCTCCACTGAGCTGTTTTAACACTTAAGCCATCCATGAATGGCAAAGCTAAAGGACAGCACTATAACACATGCCTTCTGGGGCTCTGGGGGTCCTGGGCAACCCCTGGACACTGCTGCCAGGCTACGGAATTCTACTCCTGCCAGTGCCTAGAAACACCCATCCCGGTCTCTGCCCCCTCTCACCTGCTCACTCCCACTCCCACAAGGGGTTTGAGAGCTGTGGGCTGAGTAAGTGAACCACCTCTTCATGAGTCCTCTGAAGAGGTCAAGGGAACTATCCCATCTCAATGTGGAAGTGATATTTCACCACCAAACTACATGAAAGAGCTCTAATCAATTGATTAAAAAAAAAAGTAAGTGCTTATCAGGCTGGTAGATATTTGTTCAGATATTAGCTGGTAGATATTAGCCTTTTAAGTCACATGACCTTTGTTATCTTTGGTAAGATTAATTTGGTAAATTTAATTTCAAAATTATCTCCAGTAGTTTAAAATCTTAAAGTCCTGTTGTGTTAAATTAAGTAACTTTGGTTTTTTTCACTGGGAATTTGAGTTCCTAAGATCTAAAATAATAACAGTGTAAAGGGTATTTTTGGTGAAGCTTATAAAATACAAGGATGTGTTTTTTTGCTGAAGAAAATGTAATATTTTTTCTAGTTAAGAAACTATTTAAGTCACTTTAAGATAAAGGAAAACATACAGGTAGAACTAAATGGATAAAAATTATTAAGCCAGGGCAACAAATGTTACCTCTGAGACCTGTGGTTTTCAAGAAGATAGGCAATGTGGGGGAAGGGCAAGACCAAGTAACTATTAAACTAGAGGGTATAATGTAAAGGAATTGGTCCATTTTGTAGATTGCTGTCATCAGCTTCTTGAGAAACCTTTACTATAATGAATTGTAAAAATCACTAATTTAAGGACATAATTCTTAATTTTAAATGCTGCAGAAGGAAAGAGCTTGTTTGTTGATGCAGGAACCACAACTCACTATTAAACAATCACTACTGAATAATGTGATCCCAAGGCACACGAGGTTATTCCTGCAACTAACCTATTGGACCAGATAAATGCCTCTGTACAGTCTGTTTGCCCTGAGATGGTGACTGACCGAATTTCCCTGTAAAATATCAAGTGGAGCACACCAGATGAAGCAGTTGGTATGCTTCATATGCAAGTCGTATGAGACTGACCTTATGATAACCAGCATATTCTCCCACCAAATATGCCCATTACACAGGTCATAGTAAATTTAGGGGTTAAGGGGACTCCTATTGAAACCACCATTGCAAAATTATAACTCAGCTGACCTAGCTAACAACATCTTGTTTCTGATTTCCAAACTGTCCTTGTTCACTTCTGGGTGCAGGCTGAACTAACTTTAGAAAGAACTTAGTTTATAGTTTAATCAACATGATAACAGCCTTTTCCCAAAACAAACCTCCTTCTTGTCTGGGGACTACACTGCCTTTGTAGGACTAACAAATTAGGCACAAGATTAGAAATTATGGTTTAGGAATCATGCAGCTGGAGGCTACAAGATTCTGACCCTCCCTGAATTGCTCCTAAGATCAGTGCTTAAGATATTTTACAGACCCTGCACTTGATGGATCAGCTGGCACCATCCAGATGGATTAACTGCCTCATCTGATCTTGTGACCCCCCCTAGCCAGGAACTGACTCAGCACAAGAGGACAGCTTCAGTTTCCTATGATTTTATCTCCTACCTAGCCAATCAGCATTCGTGGCTCACTGGCTTCCCCCCACCCACCAAGTTGTCCTTAAAAACTCCAATCCCTGAATGCTCAGGGAGACAGCTTTGAGTAATAATGAAACTCTGGTCTCCCACACAGCCAGTTCTGCGTGAATTACTCTTTCTCTATTGCAATTCCCCTGTCTTGATCAATTGTCTCTGTCTAGGTGGCGGGCAAGGTGAACCCAGTGGGTGGTTACACTTTTCCATGGATACCCCAGGTAACATCACTACCACAAAATCACACAACTGTTTGAGAAGCCTTATCAAATTTCCTGTCCCTCATGGGTCTTACAGATGCTTAATAAAACATCGGGGTAATTAACAACAACTACAACAACAAAAATAAAAAGGGAAAGGAAAAAGGGAGTCAAAGGACTCTCCCCAGAAGAGTGATAGAAATTTTTGGATGGGTTTCCACTATTTGCCCCCATTGGAGAACTAAAACAAACAAAAAAACAAACAAACAAAAAAAGCCAAAGTTTATAATGAGAAAGATGGCATTACCTGGGCAATGTTGAGGCAAATAAGATAAACATTAACCAAAGGGCCTGAGTGCCTTGGTCCAAACTTTTGATATAAGATCAAATCCTTTTGATGCAGTATCTTGCTACCTGGGGAATGCAAGGAGGAGAATACTCATAAGCAGGTAGCCTTTCCCCCCTACCATCGCTGATTCTAACTATATCCTCATATAGATTCTAGAGCTGTTATGTTGGACAGTGCCTGATAGACAGCTCTCATCTAACAAGAGTTGTTTGGCTTGTGGATAGTATTTCCAAGGTGAACAAGTGACATCCTGTTTGAAACCCATGCTCTGGTTAAAGAAGAGACAAGCAAATCTTTTTCTTTTGTTATTTGTAGTTTACAGCTATTGGTTGAAGTACATTTTTGTGAACAAGTTTACTTTTCTGTCTGAGTTCTCCAAAATATGGAAACTGCTCATAATCATTCTGATTTTATGACGATATAGTTATTTGCATAGGTTTAGTAAGAATCTTTACTTTTAAAATAGGACAACTAGAGACACTGGTTATTTTACCAAGGCTTTGACTAGAATAATATATTTTTAGGTAAAGTTCCAGCAAAGCCAACTTAAAATGAGCCTATATAGCCAATCAATTCTTGCTGCATTTTATGCAAATAATCAGGCCAAGCATAATAAGCCTAAAACTTACTTTGCACACAGATTGGTCTTACTGTATCTTCTCTCTAATAGAAAAGGAGGGCTAGAGAGAGAAATTGTTTCAAAGGAAAAGTGTAACACTTGTTATTTCAGCTCCGACTTTTGTTTCTGAGTGCAGATTGAATCATTAATTATTTCTTGGCTACAGTAATCCTCTAGAGAGTGCCAGATTATAATTTTTCTTCATATTTTTAGTTGGCACCCTAATGGAGTAGGTTCTTCTTTTCTGTTCTGACACACAAATACTCTGTAGAAATACGAATCTTATTTCTCCTTGTTTTACTTGCAAGGAAGCTAAAATCATGGTAATCTGAAGAGCAGAGATACAAATCTCCCTCCTTTAGCATTACACTGGGCCTAATCTGTTTTTCACTTCAAATGGCCTGCTTTTAAGACTATACAAGCACCCTCCCTCTAGGCCCAAGGACTGTCATAGAAAAGGTGGGCATGTGAGGCTGTAAGGGCCTGGATTTGAGGGATAGAATTAGGTCAAAGTTGGACCCTCCAAATCAAGGGTGGGTACAAAGATGCCTAAACAATTGATAAAACAAGGTACTTTGCCTTCTGAGCTATTACACGACACTTTTTCATCCACCCCAACTGTCAGAGGCGTTGGAAGCAGAGCGACTCCATCTTGAGTGAGGGCTAGGAAAATGAGGCTGGGACTGGCCGGGCTGCATTCCCAGAAAGTCAGGCATTCCTAGACTCTAGATGTTTACAGTTAAGGGAATAGATTGATAATATTTACTAAACATCTCGACTTGGGAGTGTCCAGATATCCTGCTATCTTGAGAACAAAGGCATTCCTAATTTTGTGATAAAGATAATAACATTGATTCTTGCAAAAGTATAGTAATTAAGAAAATTAATCCTTTATCACAAACCCTTGAAGCACAGCACATCTCCATCTCCCCATGATCCTTTTTTATCCTTTTTATACAAGCCTTGTACCTGGGCTGGACGCATTTCTCCTCTTACTCTTGGGAACGCCCTACTCTGTCTATAGAGTAGCTGTACTTTCACCACTTGACTTTCTTAATAAACTTACTTTTGCTTTGCACTGCTGACTCGCCCTGAATTCTTTCTTCTTGAGATCCAAGAACCCTCTCTTGGGGTCTGGATCAGGATCCCTTTCCTGTAATATCTTTCTGGCAACCACTGAAGGGACTACAGTGAGGAAATCCTTGACCCAAAGGCTAACTTTAGGTAAGTCGTGGGGTCCTGTAATGTCTTTCTGGTGACCACTGAAGAGCCTATAGTGCAGAAACCTTCAATCCAAAGGGAAAATTTGGGTAAGTGGTGGGGTCCGGTGATATCTTTTTGGCAAACCGGAAGTGGTGATATTGAAGAGATCCATGACCCAAAGGAAAGTCATTTGCACACACCAATTGGCTGACTTTGGGTAAGTGAGGATTGGGTTAGAAGACCCAACTTAGGGGAGTCTCTCCTAAGACAGAGAGGGTTAAAGGCTTCTCTCAATAAAAGGCAAGGACTCTTGACCAACCTTGGGTTAGAGACCTGACTTAGCAGGGTTAGAGTCCATTCTAAGATTTAGGGGGGTAGCGTGAATGCTCTCTCAGATAGAAACAAGTTTGGCACCACAGGATGTTAACTGCCATGCTCTTTGTATTAATCTGCCTTGTCCTCTTTGTGGCATGAATCAATTTCTTGTTTGCAGTCTCTGTTTCTCTGTCATTTTCAGGATACTTCATTCAACTGGTCTTAGGGATTTTAACTTATTCTTCCTATGTGTGCCTCCTGATTTCCATCCATTTGCTTGTGAAACATTGGGAACAAAAAAGGCATTGAAGGCTCCCTCTCTAAAATTGCTGATTGTGGTTTGGTATTTCATAGCCATGAGCAATAAGATTAGATACATGTGGTTATGTTTTTTTGCTGCTAGGTTATATTTTGTTGCTGCTGTTATGTTTTGTGCTAACTAGGTGTGATCCAGAAGCACTAGGATGAAAATCAGGGGACTTTTTTTCCTTGCCGTTTTGTTTCATTTTGCACACAAAAAACACTTCTTTCCTTTCTTGGATTCAAGCAAACTGGCTTTGCTTGTCCAATCCATGTTGCCACTATTGCCCAGAACCTGCTTGCCCTGGTCATTCCCATCTAAATCCTCTTCATTTCCTTTGCCTTATTCGACATTTCTATTGTTGGAGTCCATGTTGTGATATATCTGAGATTCATGGCTGCCTCATTTATATTATTCAGACACTGTGAATAAGATAATTCCATTTTTTGGCAGGGATCCCCCTCATTACTGCAGCTGATCTTAAAAACCTCTCCTATCCTTTTTAGTGGAACTCAGCCAGTGACAATACAATCTCACAGGTTTGGAACTTTACTTTCAACATCACCTGCCTCCTTCATGGGAACCATGGCATCAATTCCAAATAACTCACCACTAGGATATATTTTTGAACATTGAGACCAATTTAAACTGAATAGACTTAAGAGGAGAAAACTGGTGTTTCTATGTAATACATTTGGCCTCGGTATTATTTGGGAAAACAAGAGAAATGGCCTCCTACTGGAACTAAGGCCTTTAATACTGTACTTCAACTCGATTTGTTTTGTAAGTGAGAAGAAAAATGGGATGAAATACCATATGTCCAAGCATTTTTGCTGCTCAGTCAGGATAAAACCCTGCAGCAGGCGCATGTGTGTTTGATGAGAGGAAAGGAAGAAAAAGAACTAGACATACTAGATGATCCTGTGATGCAAGCTCCTGCAGTTCAGTAGGCATTTTTTGGTGGAGCAGAACCTTCAGCTGTGTCGGCCCTTTCTCCCTCTGGTCCAGCTGAAAGTTCTATTGAGAGCCCTTCATCCTCTCTTCCTTACCTGTCTAGTCCCACTTTATACCCACCACTCCCTGAGGAACTTAGCCCAGTGAGTACCACTCGTAGTGAAGCCTCTTCTAAACCTCTGAAAGGAAATCTTTCCTTAGAGAGGTGGCAAATGAGGAAGAAGGCACAGTGAAAGTACATATCCCCTTTTCTATGTCTGACTTGGCTCTATGTAAAAAGAAGCTCAGCTATTTCTCTGAAGATCCAGGAAAATTCGTAGATGAATTTGAGAAATTAACTCTGACCTATAGTTCATCTTATCAGGATCTGCACATTTTGTTGTCTCTGTTTTGTACAGCAGAAGAGAAACAACACGTTTTGGGAACAGCTAGGACCCAGGCAGATGAGGTATTGGCTCACAATCTGAACCATAATATATCAAGCAGGAGGCATGGCAGTTCCATCTTGATGGATCCATCAAGATCCATCTTGGTCCAGAGTGGAACTATCAAAGGGGCAGTGAAGACTTGGGGAGGAGAGATCATGTGGTCATTTGCTTTTTGGAAGGGATGAAGAAATATATGAAAAAGCATGTTAACTATGACAAGGTTAGGGAAGTTTCTCAGGGTAAAGATGAGAATCCAGCTTTGTTTCAGAGGCATTTAGTTGAGGCAATTAAGAAATATGTGAACGCTGAGACTGCCTCAAGGGAAGGGCAAACCCTTTTGGGAGAACGTTTTATAACCCAGTCTGTCCCTGATATCAGTAGGAAGCTAAAAAAAAAAAAAAAAAAAAGCAGCTATGGGTCCCCAAACTCCTATGAACAGCTTTTTGGATATGGCATTTTTAATTTTTAATATCAGGGACAAAGCAGAGGAAGCAGAAAGAGCAAGAAGAAACTCCCACTAGGTGCAGCTCTTGGCTCCAGCCTTAAGCTCACCTCCCACATGGGGTTGCCCGCCTGGGTCTTGGCCTGAACAAGGGAGGTTGAAAGGTGGAAAGCCCAAAGCTGGGTGTCTGAGTCACCAGGCCTTGGCCATAAATCAATGTGCACGCTGTAAGAAAACTGGCCATTGGAAGAGGGATTGCCCAGCGCTCCGAAGGGAGCCATTGGCACCCCAACCAATAGAAAAGGATAAAGTTCCCTTTGCCCATCACAGGGGGTGTGACGGGGAGAGGCTCACTTCTTCAGGGCCCTGCTGCTCAAACCTCTAGGGGAGCATACAGAGGGGCAGGTTGTGGGGGTCCAATCCCCTGGTTACATTTAGGGGTGGATGTTTACAGCTCCTGAAGCCCCAGTGGGCATGTGCTACCATGTGCTCTTTTAGTTTTGCTGTCTATGAGCAGCTTATGTTAACCAGCTTAACTAGACCCTCTACCTCTACCTTGTTGCAAGGACAGAGGGCTTTCTGTATCCTGAGTTCTTACCTTGGTGTACCAGAAGAATCAGATTACACGTGAGCTTGGAGAATGAGCGCAAAGTTTTATTGAGCTTGTGTTCTTCCACTGGTCGATGGCCTGTGGATGTGCTGGTGTGCTCCCCTCGATGTCCTCTTGATGTCCAGCCACTTGTGTCTTCTTCCACCGATGTGTTCCTCTCGATGTCCGGCTGCTTGTGTGTGTGTCTGCCTGCTAAGGTCTCTGAGTTTTTATAGGCACAGGATGGGGGCATGGCAGGCCAGGATGGTCTTGGGAAATGCGACATTTGGGCGCAAAGGCAGGAGAGCCTGTCCTCACCTAGGTCCATGGGCACAGGCCCGGGGGGTGGAACCCTGGTGAGGGATCTGCCCTTCTCCTTTCAGCACTTTCCTGCCCCCCTTCCTTATCACAATGATGGCCAAAGCAGTCAGGCAAGCTGAAGAGTGATGGGGCCCGAGACCTTCTGCCATAGCTCTCATTGGATAACTAGCCATAACTCCTGAGAAGCCTCAGGTAACCCTTGATGTGGGTTACCTGGAGGGTAAGAATATTAACTTCCTTCTGGACTGCTTACTTTGTTTTGACCCATTATATTGGGCCCCTGTCACTCCAAAACTATGGTCACTAGATGGACAAGCCCATAGATGCCATTTTACCTATCCTTAAGCTGCTCTTCAGGGACTCTGGTTTTCTCCTGAATACCACACTCCCTTGTTGGGAAGGGGATTTGTTGACTCAGCTGCAAATGGTAGTAGCTTTTGGAAATCACAGGCAGGTGAAAAATTGCTCCTTCTCCTTTCCTGTGAATAAATCAGGCTTTGTTGCTAGACACTCCTGATTTAAGTCTTAAAGTATGCCAGATTTTGAATTCAGCTACCTATTTGCCTGAACACACAGGCACAGGCCCCCTAGATCATTCTTGTATACAATTAGGGAATAGTTTACTCCAGCCATCTGGATTTAAAGGATTAGCCTGTAGATAGTCCTGGGGTAGAATGGTTTGCAGATGGGAAGTAGCTTTGTGCACCAGGGAAACAGAAAAGCTGGATATACTCTCATTAGTCAGCACGAGGTAATTGAATCTCAGGCTTTACCAGCTTTTACCTTGGCTCAAAAGGCAGAATTAATAGCTCTTATTAGAGCCCTGCAATTGGGAATGGACTTAAGAATTAACATTTACACTGACTCTAAGTATGCCTTCCTGGTACTTCGTGCTCATGCTGCTATCTGGAAGGAACAGGGACTCCTAACTGCTAAGGGTTCCCCTATAAAACATCACTTAGAAATTCTGAATCTATTGGATGCTGTTCTTCTGCCCAAGGAAGTAGCTGTAATCCATTGCATAAGACATCAAAAAGGAGATTCTAGGCCGGGAGTGGTGGCTCATGCCTGTAATCCCAGCACTTTGGGAGGTGGAGGCAGGTGGATCATGAGGTCAGGATTTCAAGACCACCCTGGCCAAGATGGTGAAAACCTGTCTCTACTAAAAATACAAAAATTAGCCGGGTGCAGTGGCAGGTTCCTGAAATCCCAGCTACTTGGGAGACCGAGGCAGGAGAATTGCTTGAACCCAGGGAGCGGAGACAAGATCATGCCACTGTACTCCAGCCTGGGCGACAGAGTTAGACTCTGTCTCAACAACAACAAAAATGAGATTCTAGTGTGACTAAAGGAAAGTCTTTTGCAGATGCAGCTGCTAAGGCAGCAGCATTAAGGGAGCCAGTTGGACTTGTCGGCATACTAGTACCCTCAGCTACAGTAATGACAGAACCAAAATATACTAAAGAGGAACAAGAATGGGCTAAAGGTCAGGGTTTAATTCAAGATCCTTCTGGCTGGCTTATCAATGAAAACAAACCGTTGATACCAGTTGCTAATCAGTGGGAAATAGTTAAGTATTTGCATGACTCTACTCATTTGGGAAGAGATTCCCTGTTTCAATTGATGTCTTAGCTTTTTATAGGAAAAGGCTTACTTAAAACAGTAAAGCAGGTAACTCAGGCCTATGAACTATGCTCCCTGAATAAGCCAAATAACCAATCTTTGCCTCCTCTTCTAGTAAGGCCTATTCAGCATAAAGGAACATACCCTGGTGAAGATTGCTAGGATATACTCAGATGCCCCCATGTAAAGAGATTAAATATTTATTAGTATTTGTTGACACCTTTACAGGTTGGATTGAGGCTTTTCGTACCCAGTCTGAAAAGGCAATTGAGGTTTCTAAACTCCTATTAAAGGAAGTAATTCCTAGTTTTGGGCTACCTAAGAACTTACAGAGTGATAAGGGTCCATCTTTCACAGAGACAATTACTCAAAACATATCTGCAGCTCTAGGAATTCTGTACCACCTTCACCTGGCGTTGAGGCCACAGACTTCAGGGAAAGTAGAAAGAGCTAATCAAACTGTAAAAAGGGCTCTTGCCAAACTATGCCAAGAAACATCAGAAACCTGGCTGCCTGTATTGCCTGTAGCCTTGTTATGGGTTTGAGGGGCCCTCAAGGGAAATCTGCCTCTCAGCCTTTTTGAAATGATGTGTCAAAGGCCTTTTGTAACTACAGACCTCCTAATAGACGTAGATACTTTCAAGCCACAGAATTATGTGATCAACTTAGGACACGTGCAAAAGGCACTCCCTGAATATGGAAATCAAAGACTCCCTTCCCCCACTAAGGAGGAGACTCTTGTTACAACCCAAGCAGGAAATTGGGTCCTATTAAAAACTTGGAAGGAATAATCCCTAGCAGATCAACTTTCCCCAGAAATGGAAGGGACCCTATCAAGTTCTCCTTACTTGATACCCCAATTGCAGGTAAGCTTCTGGGAATAAACAGCTAGGTCCACTTATCTCAAATTAAACCTTTCTCTTACGGAGTTCCACAGGCTGAGGAACAGAAGAGACTGATCACATTTATTCCTGTGAGCCAACCAGTAACCTCCAACTCCTGTTCAGAAGAAGCAAAAAGGATGGGTAACGTAAAGACATGGATTGGCATTCTACTTTTGGGTATAAGTCGGAATCATGCCGAGAGTAACTTGTGTACAATATCGGCTTGGTTCCGACAACTACCCAGTTCTTGGAAAGACTTCCCGTTTAGTTTACTTGGAGTGATTACACTTATTTTGCTTTTCTGTTGTGGAATATATTGTGGTCGTACTTTTTGTGTAGAAATGCAAGACAAGCTCATTCAACGCTTTCTTAAATTGGACACATTAATCTTCCAGGTATCACCTCTTGTCAGAACTCACAGCTCTGAACGAACTTCACCATGCCAATGCTTTCTGAATGAGCTTCTCTCTACCCTGAATGCAAGAGACCCTAATAGTTAGGCAGGAATATCATTGCCCCTATTCAGCCTGAAGGAGATACAGAAGATGGATCTTCATTCCTCTGCAACCCTTAGGATTAAGGGTCCTGTTTTAAAGGGAGCCGGGAGATATGTCAGAGTCTATGGAACCAGAGTGACTTCATCTTGAGTGAAGCCTAGGAAAATGAGGCTAGGACCGGCTGTGCTGCATTCCCAGAAAGTTAGGCATTCCTAGCCTCTAGATGTTTACGATTAAGGGAACAGGTTGATAATGTTTACTAAGCAGACTCCGACTTGGGAGTGTCCTAATATCCCCATATCTTGAGAACAAAGGGACTCCTAATTTTGCTTTAAAGATAATAATATTGATTCTTGCAAAAATATTGTAATTAAGAAAATTAATCACAAACTCTTGTAGCAGAGCACATCTCCCTCCTCATGATCTTTTTTTATCCTATATACACAAACATTGTACCTAGAGTGGACACGTTTCTCCCCTTACTTTTGGGAATGCCCTACTCTGTCTATGAAGTAGCTGTGCTTTCACCACTTTACTTTCTTAATAAACTTGCTTTTGCTTTGCACCGTGGACTCACCCTGAATTCTTTCTTGTGTGAGATCCAAGAACCCTCTATTGGGGTCTGGATTGGGACCCCTTTCCTGTAACACAACCATAAAGAATATACTACTTCCTATAGAATTAAAAGTAAGTAATTACTGAGAGTATAAAGATACCTCATAACAGAACCTCTTGGCTATAATACTCTCAGTTAAGAGTTTTTCAGATATATATGTATTTTTTTAATTTTCAGAAGAATGCTTATGTTTTGTATAGCTAATTACTACAAGTCTGTAACTAATACCAAGATTATAGTAGCTCAACACATAGAAGTTAAAGAGAAGTCAGTTTTGTATCCTGTCTGTGGATTTTGTTTGTTGGCTTTTAACTTAAAAAAAATTACTTAAAAAAAATTAAGGGGATAATGAATGCCTGTCTATGTCCATTCTTATCTGGCTAGACTCTAAGTCCCTTGGCCACAGGGAGTCCCATCAAAGAACAGGATGGACCTGGGGCAGGCCGCCATGCCACTCTGGCAACACTATGGGACAAAATAAAAATGTGGTGGCCATTGATGTTGCCTTTGGCAAATCTTGGCCAGAAGGGGGAGAATGTAAACCAAAAATGAAATTCTAAGGTCCCTGCAACCATCTGAATGGACCCTTACTCTCAACTAAGGGCATTCTGGAGTCAACCAGAAAATCTAGTTCAGGCCATGATGGAAGAAAGGGTTGGACATGCGTCACTATACTCGCCCCCACAGCATTAACATCAACACAGACCTTAAGTCTGATAAGAAACCTTTACAATCTATTTTCTCTGAAGGCTGCTACCTGGAGGCTTCATCTGCATGATAAAACCTTTGTCTCCCCAACCCCATATCTTAACCTAGACATTCCTTTCTACTGATAATAACTCTTTCAACCAATTGCCAATCAAAACATTTTCAAATCTATCTATGACCTGGAAGCTCTCCTTCACTCCCTCACCCCCACCTTGGCTGGAGTTGTCCCGCCTTTCCAGGTGGAATGAAATATAAGTCTTGCATGTATTAACTGATATATTATGTTTCCCTAAAATATATAAAAGCAAGCTGTACACCAACCACCTTGGGCACATGTCATTAGGACCTCCTGAGGCTGTGTCATGGTTATGTCCTTAACCTTGGCAAAATAAACATGCTAAATTGATTGAGACATGTTTCAGATATTTTGGATTCACATGAGTTTGACATAATTTAAAAATGCATATATTATAAAAGCAATATCCTGCTGCATCTAATGACACTTAACATCCCAGTTTTACATAAACTTGCGAATGGAAAGTATTTGAAGAAACTAATATCTAGTAGAAATTCTTACAGTTCCTAATATTTGATGCAAAGTGTGTGTGTACTGCTTTAATTGAATAAGAGAAAAGAGTAAAGCAAAATTATAGTAACCGCAATAGCTACCACTTATTAATCTCATTATGCAAGTCTGCCAATATGTTAAATGTTTTGAGTATATTTTTGTCACCTTCACTACAACCTTAAAGTTTAGAAATTATTTACATACAGCAGATGGTGAACTCCGATTTAGAAAGGTTAAAATCCTTTGCTCAAGAAAGCGAAAAGGGCAGATTTGAATTAACCTCCATCTGCCACTAGTTTTCATTTTCTCACTGCTTTCTTATTTTTTATTTTTTACGTCTTGGGCTTTTCTCTTTCATCATAAACCTTTGGAAGTGTGGGGGCTGAAATGGTCTAATACATATTTATCTCTTGAAATATAGTTCTTAAGGAGCCAAGAAATAATACCATGTAATTAGTAATGCCATTAGTATTTATTGAGTATGTGCTGTATTCCAGTTTCTGTGCTAATTATATAACCTGGATTAACGTATTCAGTGTTCACAATGGTGCTATATGATAAATAATGTTGAATCATAGTTGCAAGCACCTGAAAGTAGATTTTGGTTGGCAAGCAAAAAACAAATGTGTTAACATCATAGTAGACAGCTAACAAGTTTCCCCAGGTAGCGAGAATCCGGTCTTGGAGGATGCACACACAGGAATGAAGCTTGTGTATGCCCCCATCTTATGGTAACACTGGAGGACCGGTTCAGTGAGAACATGGCCAGCACTACTGCCACTCATTAGCTTCTGTGACTTCCACCACTGATACTTTGGGGATTGTTGCAATGCTGCCCAAAGAATGGAATTTTGTTGTACGTAATCGGTTCCACTCCCAGAGATAGTTACATGAGGTCCTCAGTACAGAGCAGGTGCCCCTCACTAGCATCAAAGCCTTTTAACCTTTCATTGAGGGAGGGGACTCCATCCTCCACCAAGATTCATATGATGGGGAATTTTTTCAAGCTTAAAAGAGGATTTGGATGCTGAGCAGACTTAAAGAATAACCAGTAACCACTTTGCAAGTAAGAAAACTGAAGTGGAGAAAGATTGCATAGTTTTCTCAAATATATATATATATTTTTTTGAGACAGAGTCTTACTCTGTCACCCAGGAAGGAGTGCTGTGGCATGATCTTGCCTCACTGCAACCTCTGCCTCCCAAGTTCAAGCGATTCTCCTGCCTCAGCATCCCAAGTAGCTGGGATTACAGGTGTGTGCCACTACGCCCGACTAATTTTTGTATTCTTAGTAAAGATGGAGTTTCACCATGTTGGCCAGGATGGTCTCGAACCCCTGACCTTACGATCTGCCCACCTCGGCCTCTCAAAGTGCTGGGATTATAGGTGTTGACCACGGCGCCCGGCCTCAAATACACATAATTAGTCATCAGCAAAGATGTGACTGGATTTTAAAGTCTGTATGACTCTAAAATGTCTGCTTCTAACTACTTTCTGCTCTGGTAGTTTCCTACTGTCAATTATTTGTTTTGCTCAGCCGTTCCCTCAGTGTAAGAGAGGGCACACATGGACACTTTCTGTTATTTTTTTTCTACCTGGCTGCTGAGGGGTTGCTGCTATGACATCTCTTTTACACTGAAAAGCAAAGGGGATATTCGACTTTGCACGCATGCAGACACAGTCACTTCTTCTAATGGCAGCTGTTAGTACTGTTTAGAGATTCTCCACACAGGATATTCATACACATCTCAACCTCAACCAAGTGATATTTTCTTTCTAAAGGTGAATTTTCCTTTCATGTTGTACATCACCTCCTGTAAATCCGCATACAGATCTGATGCCCTTAAGTCTTAAAGTTTGTGGGCATTCTGTATAATACTTGACTTGTTGAAATTAAATTGTGCTGGAAGACAAATCTAAAAGAAGCTAAAATGTGAGAGAAAACATTTGTAGACTGCAAACATTTTGAAACAGAGGTAGGAAGCTTTTAGGCATGCCAGTTGCTAGGAAACCATATCTTGGTTATATAGTTTCAAAATTACTGAAGAGCTCATGCTTGCTTAGGTCAATAGAGAACCAGTAGGAGCAGAAGAAAATCCGATGCAATAAAATGTTTAATGTTTTAAAAAGATGACTGCCAAAATAATTAATTGAAGAGAATACTGAACCAATAATAAGGTTCAAATTACAGATTGTTCTTTATTTGGAGACATGAGTTCAAACTGCTATAAGATTTATGAAGCTATGAGGATATTAATTAATTATTTAGCATTAGAGGATTCAGGACAGTATTTTTAAATTAGAGATGCTATTAACTACTTCACATGATTTTTCTGTAAAAATAATAGTTTTGTGATAGCATCTTGTGTAATATATGATGTGGATTAGTGTTTAATATATAAACCAAGGGTATATATTACTGCCTCTGAGCCCAGCCATGCTGCCCAAGGAATGCAATTTATTTAGCTCCTTCCTCACCCATTGTTCCATCATCATTCAACTGGGCAATGACAATAGCTTTATGACTGGTTTTCTGGTCAACAGTCCTTCTCTTAGAGCGAGCTATCTTTCCTAAGCAAAAACCTTGTCCTCTAGGGAAATTTGCTTCCATAAAAAAGATCAATTAACTTCCTCCAAATTCAATAAGCTGGACAAAAATAAGTAGAAGCAGCAGGACACAAATGGAAGAAAGGGTGCAGGTTCATTCCATACACTTTGAATATTGTTACCCAGAAACAGAATTTTCCACGAGTTGCTTGAGTGGCTCATCTCCAGTTTTCTCTGAAATAGTATAGTCTGAGAAAAGGAGTGGGCACTTTTATGAGAACTCTTAGAGATAACATAAATCTATATGGAAGCATCCAGAATAGAGATTTGGGGTGGCAGTAAGTTGGTAAAGCAGGGACATGTGCAAAACGTCAGCCACAGTCCACCATTGTAGGTGCACAGCTCTTAACTTGGTACAAGGAATTTCAGGGTTTATAAAATTTGCTTTCCTCTGCAAGAAAGAAAGAGAGAGAGAGAAAGAGAAAGAAGCCTAAGAAATTTCAAAGTTTCTGTGTCTCACAACAAAGACTTCAGAGAAAGCAAAGTCAAAAGAGATAAGAAAAATTAAGAACCAGTGGAAGTGTCCATGACCCAGAGTGAGGCTGAACAGAAGCCTCAATTCAATGCTTCTCTCTACTGCTGCCAACAACTCCATATAGGAAGCTCATTCTAAATTTTGCTAACTATTCCAACAATTAGTTAAACCTGTCCTCGAAACATTGGAAAAGAGAATAAATTGAGTGATATAAAGAATAGAAACCAAGAAAAAATATAATTATTAGCAAATTATATCACAGAAAACTTCATATTTCAAGAGATTCACTGAAAATGGAAATATATGGAAAGTAATGAATTAATACAGCTGGTGACATTATTAATATAAGCAAGTCAAAGTATTACTGGCACAAAGCTAGTAAAGATAAGGAAGTCAATTATTCACATGAAGAATACAAATAATAAAGCAAGTCATGGTGGCTCAGGCCTGTAATCCCAGCACTTTGGGAGGCTGAGGCAGGAGTATTGCTTGAGGCCAGGAGTTTGAGACCAGCCTGGCCAACATAGTGAAACCTTGTCTCTACAAAAAATACAAAAATTAGCTGGGCATGGTGGCATGTACCTGTCGTCCCAATTACTCAGGAGGCTGAGGTGGGAGGACCATCTGAGCCCAAGAAGTAGAGACTGCAGTGAGCCATGATGGTACCACTGCACTCCAGCCTTGGCAATACAGCATTTCCAAAAATAATCATGATAATAATTTTAAAAAAAGATTATGAGCAATAAAATGTTTAGTGATGAGTGTAACAAAAAATATATAGAACCTACAAGTGGATACAGCTTTTGAAATAAGGTGAACCACTTAAAAGAAAGCTTGAATAAATCAAAGAAACTGTCTCATTCTTGAAAACTTTCATATTTTAAAATATAAGTTTTCCTTAGATGGTTCCATAGATGAGATATAAACCCCATAAGAATGCCAGGATATTTTATTTTTTTTAGGGTGGGGAGTAAAACTTCACAAAATTATTTTAAAGTTCATCTGAAGAATAAAAATAGGTAAATAGCCATGGCGGGAGGGAGGACCTTGCCCAGAACTGACAGCAGTGAACACAGTCTTGCTAGTAAAATACATCCTGAGGCTAAAATAATAGGAAAGGAAAAAAATAGCTGGGTCTGTACTTAATTCTTTATGCCAGAACACATTCAACAAGTAAACCATGCACATCTGAGAAGAGAATATGCATTCATGTTTTATACATTTAACACATTTAGTATTTTTGAGAGAGAAAGCATTTTAAAAAATATGCTATGAAACCAAAAAATCAAAAATAAACAATTCTTGAAATCGACATATGGAAATTTAAGCAGCATGACAAAGAAATGTAAGTGAAAAACCTCTTTAGGGTCAAAATAAAGGGAAATGATAATGATGCTGCACTGGGGGAAAGTACTTGTCATACATAAGACAACAAATTCTCTAATACAGAACATGTGATACATCACCAGGATAAAACAATCTGGGAGAAACAATGACCATTTCCTCTAAAAAGGCATTTTACAAATATCAGCTAAAATTAAAATGTCCAGATGATATTTTTAAGAGCTTAAATTTCATTTTTAATTTAAAAATACAATTAAAATAACAATTTACCATTTTTCACTTATCAGATTAGCAGAAATTTTAGAAATCAGCTAACTCTCTTTGCGGCAATATGGAAAATAAAGATTATACAAGAAAAAATTAGCACAAGTTATCAGTAACTGCCTGTTCCACAGTACAAGGTGTGCCACCTTCCACAGGGCCCTCTCGGTGTTAATGCGGGTCTGAGCACCTCAACACCAGCACCTGAGACTCCAGCCTCCCTACCGCCCCTCCCCAAAGTCTTGGCTTCGGTAGGTATATATTTCAATCCACAAGTTGTGTTCACAAGAAATACAACTTCAATTTTCTAAATCTTGATTTCATATTTCAAGTCCCCACTTGATATCAATTCAGGGTTCTTGCCCCTTTGCCCAGGTTTGTATTGGATTCCATGTCATTATGGTGGGAGGTTTCTCATGATCAGGCAGTTTCAGTCCTCACTGACACTGGCTGAGATGCCCATTCTCTCCTTTGGCCACTGACAAGTAGTTCGTGCATGTTGCCACTATGCCTTTCTCAGTATTTTGCTAATTTTATTTTAGAGTGTTAACATCTCTTTGGACTCTGCGTAAGGTTGGGCAAATAGACTTCATGTATGCTTAAATAAAATAAGGCTATCTGAATATTCTGTTGTACCTTTTCCCATTGGGTTTGACAGCTTTGAGTTTAGTGTACCAACATTGAAGCTTCTCTTGTTTTTCTACTGCTATTCTTCTGTTAATGAAATTATTCTCTCAGAATCGGGGTATTTTTTCCATCTCTAGAGTCTCTTCAGCCTTCGCCTGAGTTTTAGAACTCATGAGCCTTTTACCTGCTCTAACGTTTCTTTCCTGAGTCAATGAATGACAAGTCGTCCAATAGATATTGGCAAACACTTAGGTAAAACAATGATACTATTTTAAAAATACTGGATGTTAGCTCTTCTTGCTTGTAACCAATGCCACCTGCAAAAGGAAGACCACGTGACAGATTGTATAATGGCACGAGGAGGAGGTGAGGGGCAGCTTGGAGAGAGGAGCTGGACAGGAAAAGCTTTCCAGTCGAGGGGCATTTCGACTCTTTTCGAAGCACATGAAATGCGGTGGTTGGGAGAAGGAAGAAAAAAATGGATGGTAGAATTACTAATATGTAAATTTAGAGGCAGAGAATAGCGTGAGATGAGGCTGAAAGTAAAAGCAGGCTCATATCATAGATGTGATGATGAAGAACTCACACACTGTACAGTAGATCGGGAAGAGCCAAAAACATTCTGACGGTGAGAATGAAATCGTTGTTGCATTTGTAAAGATCAACAGGGTGGCAATGTTTAGCATGAATTTGGTGGGAGCAAAACCAGATGCAGGCAGACAAATTCATAAGCTATTTCCATTCACGCAAGGACTTGTTACTGTTGTAACTTAAAGAAAAAAGGCTATTTGAGAGATTTTTAGGTAGTATCTTCTGAGAAATAATGAGAAATTGAATGTAAAGAGTGACTATAGCTCCTATTTCTTGACTTTGTTCTCTTGAATAACAAGCTAAAAAAGAGAAAGAGAGTAGAGGGGAAAGAGCCGTACTTTGGAGGATGCTGAGCATTCAAATATGGAGCAGAGATTTTATTTGCATCTTTTAAAAATTAAATTCCAATATATGAGCTGTAATAAGTATAATAAATATTTTTTGAGATAAAATGTTATATTGAGGGAATCCTAACGTTCAAATTGTTAAGGTTCCTTTTTAAAAATAAAAGCCATTTGGTTATTTAATTTTTTCAACCCAAATTGATACATTTAAAAATGTAGCATATGGGCTGATCAAATCCAAAGAAGCTAAAAATTATTTCATGCAAAAAAATAATCCACCTGTTTTAGTGAATTCACCGCTGTAACACTGTAACACATTTTATTGACACCAGCCCACATCAGTAAAACAGTTTTCTGCTTACTTCTGCTTTTAGAACCTGCATTATCTGGCCTCCTTGTAGCTCTAGGATTCTTTTTATATTTCTACTATTTATTAGTGCTGGTTTTTCTTTCTTTAAATCTCCCAAATTGTGAGCTCAGAAATAGTCTAACTATGAGACATTTGAGTGCTCCAAAGTTGTGTCAGTAATTTCTTTTTTTTTTCTTTTTTTTTTGAGATGGAGTTTTGCTTTTGTTGCCCAGGCTGGAGTGCAGTGGCGCAATCTCTGCTCACTGCAACCTCCGCCTCCCAGGTTCAAGCGATTCTCCTGCCTCAGCCTCCTGAGTAGTTGGGATTAGAGGCATGCGCCACCACGCTTGGCTAATTTTTTTGTATTTTTAGTAAAGAGGAGGTTTCTCCATGTTGGTCAGGCTGGTCTCGAACTCCCAACCTCAGGGGATCCGCCCTCCTTGGCCTCCCAGTGTGCTAGGATTACAGGCATGAGCCACCTCTCTCAGGCCATGTCAGTAATTTCTTAATGAAGGTAGAATGGTGCTGCAGTTTGGATGTTTGGCCCCTCCAAGCCTCATGTTGAAATTTGATCCTCAATGTTGGGGGTATGGCCTATTAGGAAGTGTTTGGGTGATGGGGGCAGATTTCTCATAAATGACTTGTTGCAGTCCTTGCAGCAATAAGTTCTTACTCTATTAGTTCCCATTACAGCCAGCTGTTGAGAGGAGCCCGATACCTCCCCTTTTCCCTCTTGCTTCCTCTCTTGCCATGTGATGTCAGCACACATTGGCTCCCCTTTGCCTTCTGCCATGCATGAAAGCAGGCTGAGGTCCTTATCAGAAGCAGCTGGTGCCACGCTTCCTGTGTTGCCTGCAGAACCATGAGCCAAATAAATCGCTTTGTTTATAAATTACCCAGCCTCAGGTCCTTTATAGTAACACAAACAGACTAAGACAGATGGCCACGGTAATCCTAGTTTGCCTTTAGTTACCACATCTAGAATTCCTGACATGGACAGTGATTGTCTATGGTCTGAACTGTTATCTAAATGAAGTTAATGAAAGCATTGGCATAAAAGTCAGCTGAGAGAAGCCTCTATGAAGGGATGACTGGAAAAAAGTACATGGAACCAAGAGAGCTATAGGATAAATATATATTTAAATATATATAAGTACATTTATATTTATATATTTAAATATATTTATATATTTAAATATATATATTTATTTATATTTATATATTTAAATATATATATTTATTTATATTTATATATTTATATTTATATATGTATATATTTAAATATAAATTTATATTTATATATATTTAAATATATATTTATATTTATATATGTATATATTTAAATATATATTTATATTTATATATGTATATATTTAAATATATATTTACATTTATATATGTATATATTTAAATATATATTTACATTTATATATGTATATATTTAAATATTTATATTAATATATTTAAATATATATATTTATTTATATTTATATATTTAAATATATGTTTGTTTATATATTTAAATATATATTTATATTTATATATTTAAATATATATTTAAATATATATTTATATTTACATTTATATATTTAAATATATATTTATATTTATATATTTAAATATATATTTATATTTATATATATAAATATATATTTATATATATAAATATATATTTAAATATATAAATATATATTTATATATATAAATATATATTTATATTTATATATATAAATATATATTTATATATATATATAAATATATATTTAAATATATAAATATATATTTATATTTATATATAAATATATATTTAAATATATATTTAATAAATTAAAAATATAAATAAATATTTATATTTATATATTTAAATATATATTTATATATATTTAAATATATATTTATTTATATTTATATTTAAATATATTTATTTATTTATATTTATATATAAATAAGTATATTATATATTAAATAAGTTAGGGAATGCCATATTATTTTCCAAAAAGTTGAAACAAATGTACACTTGTACCAGTAGAGAATGAGATTTCCTGTTGTTTCATATCATTGAGACTTGTTTTTTTCTCCCAACTTTTAATATTATGAAAATTTGTAGTTTTTTACATGGAAAAAATTAGAATTTAACCTTTTTTGCTCATTCTACTGGGTGTTTTGCAAATATTGTCTCTCAATATATCACTTATCTCTTCACTGTCTTTATGATGTCTCTTCATAAACAGCATTTTAGTGCATTAGCATGTATTAATATTTAGATTTGTAGTTTCTGCTACATAGTATGTACTCTGTTATATTTGTTACCCTTCTCTGCCTTGATGTCATAAAAAACTTTCCTAATTTTCTTCTAAAATTATATTGATTTTTCTCCTTCATTAAAGTACCTGGAATTTATTTTTGTGTATGGCGAGATTAGGGATATAATTGGGCTTGATTTTTGAGTATGGTGATATTAGGGATACTTTCCCTTACATGGATAATGTAATGCCCTAGCAACAGTTATTGAAAATGATTATTCTTTCTTTACTTACCCAATATGCCAATTCTGACATATACCCTGTACCCAGTGCAGTGGCACGATCTCAGCTCACTGCAACCTCAGCCTCCTGGGTTCAAGTGATTATCCTGCCTCAGCCTCCCAAGTAGCTGGGATTACAGGCGTGTGCCACCACACTGGCTAATTTTTGTATTTTTAGTGGAGACAGGGTTTCACCATGTTGGCCAGGCTGGTCTCAAACTCCTGACCTCAAGTAATCGGCCCACCTTGGCCCCCCAAAATGCTGGGATTACAGGCGTGAGCTACTGCACCTGGCCTGCCCTTCTTATTTAATTTGGTGAATCTATGTACTATTTATGCCAGCAAAACTGTCTTTCTTAATATTCATATTAAGTCATGATATTGACTAGAGGGAAATCTCACCTAATGTATTCTTCAGTTGTAAGTATGTGTTGGCCATTTTTGACTTTTATACATTTACCTTTTTGGATCAACTCACCAAGCTTCAAATATAATAATAGTTGAATTGTTATTGGAATTATATTAATGTTTTCAGTTGGAATTGCACTGAATCTGCTTTATTGGAATTTCATTGAAATAATTTTGGAAGAATTGAACATTTTCCAGTTCAAAGATATCCAATGCATAAATGAAATGTATCTCCATTTGCTAGATCCCCTTTCATGTTCCATGTGATTTACTTAAAAATATAAAAAATTAAGATACACAAAATACGTGACAGCAGAAGCACATGAGTACAAAAGATGTAATTACCATGAAAAGATTCCAAAGTCCTTGCAAGGGTAAATATCAGTTTTGAGAAGGCTGAGGTCTATATAGTATTTGACCTTAAAAATAATAATAATAGCATGAACACAAACTTAGGAACAATAGTATTTTATTCAAATAAGATAAAAACAAATTATAAATTTTAAAAGGCAAATATCTCAAGTATCATATACTCCAGAAAAATGTTTATTAATAAACTCTCTGTCATCCCTGTAAATATATTTTCCCCTATACATTTTGTAGTTTCTTATTTCATCATCTCCCATTGGCTTTCTGTTGAGGGGAGAAAAAACGCGATTTGCAGCATTTGCCAATTTGGGTTTTAAGTTACCAACTTAGAGCTGAGAAGAAATACAGATCATGTGGTCTTCTGAGTTGGTGCCAGATAGCTTCAGTGCACCACGGGTATGTTCGGATAATTTATTTCATTTGCCTTTTCATTTGGTACACAGTACTGATTATTTTGACTAAATCTGTGTAATATCATTGAGGTAAACGTCACAAATTTTATTTTGACGAAAAATGAATCAAAATTACCAACTGGTTGGATAACTATCCTGAAGGTTCTTTAGTTTGGAAACACCATTTTTTGTAACTTTTAATAAGTAAATCTCTTAAAAAATGTAATAATTGTAATTACATTTTTTCTTATTTTAAAATAACACTGAAATTCTTTCTTGTCTATCTGACATGTTTATATGGCAGATTTTCATTTAATTTACAAGTATTCCAAGTAAACATAAACTTCCGTGCTTTCTGGACTCTTTATGATATTTGAGGGATCTCAAAATAATTTGGCCATAGAACTTATCTGGTTTAAGTAATAAGTCTCTTTATGAGAAGAGTTTAAAACAAAATGACATTATGCAAACTTTCGTCTTGGAATAGGCTGGTTAGGCTCTCATAATACTATATTTTCATAACTAAATTTAAAACACATCAATTTGAGATGCATTAATTGTGTTAAGTGTATGTTCTATGTGATTTTTTTATAGACATTATTGGGAGCGTGATTTTGAAGGAAACAAACTGCCTTTTATTAAGACAGTTGAAAAGAATGATGGCTTATTGTAGTGAGGCATAATGAAAGATCACAGTGTGCATGAAGTTAATACATTCACCAAATGAAGCTGCTGCTGACCTCCAGATGTGCCCTATTTTTACACAAATTATGCATTTAAAAATTACTGCTTTTCTACTGAGCTATATAATTGTGAAATGAGATTATGCTTATTCTAAATACATTGCATTGTTGATGAACATGTGTGCTTTCTATCATTTGAACACTTGTTTCCTAAGGCCATTTCACGGAGCACTGTCATTGTCAGGACCAAATGTGACAGATTTGCTAAGATACAATTCAAAACCTTGGCATGAATAAAACATGACTATTCATACACAGAAATATCTTGTTTTATTACTGTGTTGACTTTGTGTCCTAAAAACATAGGAATTCTGATAAAATTTTATTTCATGTGATTCTCATAAAAATGTTTGGGGCATTTAAAATACTCTTTGTTGCATTATTAAGTGTAGCTCCACTTTCGTTGCATGCCTGCTTTAAGTATTTCTTAATTTCCTGCTGTTTTTTTGATTCATATAAGAAGAGCAAGTATCTTATTTAATATGTTTAGGTGATTTCAGGGATTTCTTATTCAATATGTTTAGGTGATCTAATCTTCAATAATTCTGGAAATAGAAGTGACGAATTAGATCATTTCCACATTCTTTCCTGCTTATGATTAATTTCTTACCAACTCTGCTCTTAATGTTATCTATTTGTAAACATAGCAAAAAATTCAGATTTGTTCTAGCAACTAAATAATTTTAGCTATTGTTTGTGTGACATTCTTTTATTTAGTACCTATGAAGAGTAAGATGTTCAAGTTAATTTTCTCTAAACACTGCTGTAATATTAATCACTAATTCCTTAAATAATTGTTTCTTTTACTACCTCTCTTCTTGTCTCGTGTACTGTTAACATTTATGTCACTAATATACAAAGAAATTAAATTACTGTGCTCAATTCATCATCACAATTTTTCATTTAGCTACAACTTTGGCTTTTATGCATCCAATTTTAACTATTGAAAAGAGAAGATTTTTTCAAAAATAAAACTCATTTTACTCATTATTTTAATCAGTATAAAAGGCACCACTGTTATTGCATTGACTTTTTCAAGTAACAAAACAATATTGTTTTTGTTAGCATTGATTATGGAATAATGGAATCTAAAGAAAACACTTTTTTAAAACCTAGGTAAGATGTTTCTCTTCACAATACTTGAATTTCTTTTAAAAATCAATGTGAGTACATAAACTTATGTACTATGACAAAACAAATTATCTTCAGTAATTAAAAACATTGATTTCAAGGTGACAGTTGAAACTTTACTTTCTCTGTGAAATTCTCCTTGATTCCATGTCTACATTGGGTTTACTGAGTCATTTTCCTTTCTTCCTTTCTCTGTTCATTTCTTTTGTGTCACCATTTATTTCAATTGCCACAATTTATATTATCCTTAATTTTGTTTTACTTAATATCTGCATCTCCATGAAATTCTAAACTGATGATATGGACACATATTTTGTCCATTTCTAAATATGTAGCATCTTGCACTACAGTTGAATGACTAAATCAATTTGATGAGCATCTACTACTGCCAGGCAATGTACCAGGAAAGCATACAGAAAAAGGAATAAGTTAAAGTACCTGCCATCAAAGAACTCACAAACTTGTTGAAAGAAATGCATTTAAAAGAAACACTGTACATAGAGCTTAGAGTTATAATTGGGGCATGAATGTATGTTACGTGAACACAGGACAGAAAGAAGCTAATACGACAAAATCAGGACGAATTTATGAGAAATGCTTAAGCTAAGATTTGAAGATGAGTTCCCATGAACTAGAAGAGGAAAAGTGATATGCAACATGGAGCAAAATGTAACGAATTTGCAGAGAATGAGAAAGTAGGAGGGATCTTAATACTTTACAGATACTGTTTCATTGTCTTTTGAGCTCCATTTGTTATTAACAACACTCATTCCTTTGTAAAAGCACTTGTTCTTTTCTCCCATCTTCCCTTCTTCCCTTATATCTCCTTAGGCAATAGCATTTATCTGGGACGGATGAGGTATTCTAACTTTTCTTCCTTTTGTATCCTCAGGCAAGTGCACCCAACTGGGATAGCACAGGAAAAGTGCAGCTTTGGAGACCTTGCTGGCATGTCTTCAAATAACTGATAGCTATTGGGGAGCAAGCTATATTTTCTTTACCCTGAGACAGCTGTCACTGTTTCACTTCCAGATTTTTTTCAGTGTCTCCTTTTCTTTTTTTCTCATTTCTCTATACCGAAGGGGCCATTCTTGCCACTTAAACAAGTACTATTTAATTAATTTTTTAATGTAGTTGAATACAGCATTCATTAGTAAATATTTTCATTATCATTATATTTCTCTACATCTTGCCTTTGAGTATGATAAGGTTTTCAAGTAGATAACAGTTGCTATTGCCAGAAAACTTAAATGAATACTGAAATATAAACTTGTCAATCCAATATAAGACAATGATATTTGTTCAATTTCTTTTGCATGCATCACAACTATATATATATATATATATATTCATTTTTAAAAGAACAGTTTAAAAGTCACATTTTCTTTTCACGTATTACCATTAGAATAAAATACCATAAAGGTATTATACCAGAGCTATAATTTAAACAGGCATTGGAAAACATCTTTTCCTAATAGTTCATGAAGATGTCGAGTTTCTCAGTATATAGAATTGTTTTTACCATCTCACACCTTTCCTGGGGTGGAACATTCACCCACCCACTCCACTAGGGTCTTGGTCCATAAAGACAATGGGAACAGAAGTTAGGGAGGTGGAAGGTAGAGGAAAGAAGCAGGTACTTTTTACATAATAATAAACTGAAGTTCAGCTACAAGAGTTGGTATTTTAGCAAGAAAAGTATTGCCTGTATTGCAGTTTTCTCCATCTGAGGCCTAGGCCTGACCAGGTAGAACCATTTTCTAACAACCTCTGAAAATCCTTGGTTTGCAACGATGTTTGGAACCCGAGGGCTCTTTTTCTTTCTGTATTTTCTCTGTGGAAAAACAACTGTGAGGCCGGACGTGGTGGCTCACGCCTGTAATCCCAATGTGTCTGGAATTGGTGGGTTCTTGGTCTCGCTGACTGCAAGAATGAAGCCACGGACCCTCACGGTGAATGTTACAGTTCTTAAAGATGGTGTGTCTGGAGTTTGTTCCTTCAGATTTTCAGGTGTGTCTGGAGTTGCTTCCTTCTGGTGGGTTCATGGTCTCTTGGCCTCAGGAGTGAAGCTGCAGACCTTCGCGGTGAGTGTTACAGTTCATAAAGGTGGCGCGTCCAGACTTGTTTGTTCCTCGCATCCAGAGTTGTTCGTTCCTCCCGTCGGGAGTTGTTCGTCCTTCCCAGTGGTTTTGTGGTCTCATTGGCTTCAGGAGTGAAGCTGCAAACCTTCGTGGCGAGTGTTACAGCTCATACATGCAGCACAGACCCAAAGAGTAAGCAGCAGCAAGATTTACTGCAAAGAGTGAAAGAACAAAGCTTCCACGGTGCGCATGGGAACCTGAGTGGGTTGCTGCTGCCGGCTAGGGTGGGCTGCTTTTATTCCCTTATTTGGCCTCACCCACCCACATGCTGCTGTTTGGTCCATTTTACGGAGTGCTGATTGGTCCGTTTTGCAGGGTGCTGATTGGTCCGTTTTGACAGAGCGCTGATTGGTGCGTTTACAAACCTTTAGCTAGACACAGAGTGCTGATTGGTACGTTTATTACAATCCTTTAGCTAGACACAAAAGTTCTCCAAGCCCCCTACCCAATTAGCTAGACACAGAGCGCTGATTGGTGCGTTTACAAACCTTTAGCTAGACAGAAAAGTTCCCTTAAGTCCCCACCGGACCCAGAAGCCCAGCCGGCTTCACCTCTCAATGGCACTCGCCGCCGCAGGACTTTGCGGCACCTAACCAGGGCACTCCGACAGGGAGCGCGTCCCCCGATCAAGCCCAGCAGGCGCTGGCCGTCCCCGCGGAGTACGGGCCTGCCGGGCCCGCGCCCACCTGGAGCCCGCGCCCACCCGGAACCCACGCCCACCCGGAACCCGCGCCCACCCGGAACCCGCACCGGCACTCCCCGCGCAGCCCTGGCTCCCGCCCGCGCTTCCCACTCCACACCTCCCCACGAGCACTCCGCCAGCCCCAGAGAGGGGCCCCCACAGCGCAGCGGCGGGCTGAAGGGCTCCTGGAGCGCGGCCAGAGCAGACGCGGAGGCCGAGGAGGTGCCGAGAGAGAGCGAGCGAGGGCTGCTAGCAAGTTGTCACCTCTCAACAACACTTTGGGAGGCCGAGGTGGGTGGATCACGTGTCACCAGGAGTTCCAAACCAGCCTGGTCAACATGGTGAAACCCCGTCTCTACTAAAAATAAAAAAATTAGCCAGGCGTGAAGACGGGCGCCTGTAATCCCAGCTTCTCGGGAGGCTGAAGCAGGAGAATTGCTTGAACCTGGGAGGTGGAGGTTGCAGTGAGCCAAGATCGCTCCATTGCACTCCAGCCTGGGCGACAGAGCGAGACTCCATCTCAAAACAAAACAAAAAACAAAAAAAAAGAAAAACCAATTGTGACTGATCCATGGCTTTATCCGGTGACAAAGAGTGAGAGGAAGTAGAGCTGTTTTGGAAAGATGAGAGTGAAGTAAAGCATGATAGAGAAAAAGCAGAGGAATGTATTTTGAGGATGAACCCTTATCTGTTCACTCCAGGTGAACTGTGTATGCACGTTGGAAGCCTGAGGGGAAAAATGAAGGATGATTGAACCATTCTCTGGATTATTTAAATATGTTTCATAATATAATATCACTGTTTTTTTCTGGGTTTGGACTCCTAATAGAATATTCAGAACAAATCTGAGATTGGGTGGCATGGACGTGTGCACAGCTAAGCCTACCTAGGCTAGGTCGCTCTCATCTTGTTTTCAAACTATTAGAGGGATGTGATGGTGCTGGGAGTGGGTGTAATCTGTGAGGGAGAGATGTGGGGAAGACAGAAGTTATTCATATCTGAGCTCCTAATTGCTAGGGCTGTAATATTCAAGAACAGGCTTTTCAGCTAGACAGTAAAGATTATACTGTGTGAGAGTATCAGAGTGATCATCTGAATAAGCTTCCTGAAAGAGCATTCAGGGTAGGCAGCTTATGGAAGGGAGATTTGCAGAACTGTGTCATTCAATGTAGAATTTCAAAACTATGTGTTTGGGAGGACTTTTTCTAATTGTGTTGAAAAGTCAGTGAGAGATGGCTGGTTGGTAGAAATAAACCATCAGATTGCAACAAGAGGGCCTTGCATTTGGTCCTGAATTTGATTTGGGATTTTTACCATGTAAATGGATGGTGGTGTATGCAGAATACAAGAACTGATTACTAGGGTCCTCAGTTATAAAAAGACACCAAGAATTGTGTATTTTAGGCTCAGCGAACTCAACGATAATTGCAAAGCTTGGCGAGAGATGCTGTTTAGCTAAACTGACACTACCAATCCCACTATGTCCCTCTAGGTTAAGGGGAGACTTGAGAGGGAGATGGAAATCACAGTTTGGCCATGTAGAGCATTTGTAAAGTATGGCTTCCCTTACCTGCAAAGGGGAGAATAGAGTGATGAGTGATGCTAAGGTCCTAAAGAGAAATGCTCTGTAAAATTTGCCATACCGCAGTAAATGGACACTAGAATTTTGTTTCCCAGGCAGATGTCTGTGAGGTACTGGTTTACTTAACTGCTTGGATACTATCAGAGAAGAAAAGGAGTAAGGACTAAAGACTAAGGCTAAAGACTGATTGAAGGAGGGTCAGGATCACCACTCCCCAACATGTTCTTGGTACCCTAGAGGAATTGAAGGTGGATTCTGCATGTGCCAGCAAGGCTAAGAGTTGGCATGGGAAATAGATAGTTTAGGGGGCACAAGTTTATTGGATACCACTGCAGAATGGGTCACTTGAATTCAGGTGCCAATTAAGTGGGAAGACAGATTTGGAAAAATAAATTTTTTGGAAATTTTCTAAAAAACAAAAAATAGAACTACTTTATTTCTCCATGAAATAAGGTTCACTACTAAACTATTTAGTTCATGTTTGTCATCAAAAGTTGTATTTATAGCTAGATAATTCTCTTAATTGATAAATCCAGCCTATTTTAGGACTGAAATAATAAAAATGAGATTATTCAGAAGCTTTTTCCTTAGGAGTAGAGAGAAATCCTATCATCCTTCAGGTGAAAAAAGAGGCTGGAAAGCAGAGGGAAAGAAATGTGACTGGAACAACTTCAGCTCAAGATAGCAGCACTGTGCTGCTGTGTAACAAATAATCTCCACATTTGCAGTTTTAAAAAACAAACATTTATTTTCTCTCACAGTTTCTGAGGAATCAAAAAGCAGCATATCTGCATGGTTCTGCTACCAGGTCTCTCATGAGGCTGTTAGAGCTGTTGACCAGAGCTAGGCTGTTGCTGGTGAATCTGCTTCCAAGTTCATTCCTATGGTTGCTGACAGGGCTCCATTCCTCCCTGGCTGGTGGCTGAAAGCTTCAGTTCCTCATCATGTGGGCCTCTCCATAGGGCTTTTCACAACGTGGTAGCTTGCTTCTCCCAGAGTGAGAGCTGAGTGGAGAGAGAAGACACCCATGATGGAAGTCAATCTTGTATCAGCTAAACATGAAAGTGACATGCCATCATTTTTGCTGTGTGTTCTTGGTCACATAGACCAACCTGATACAATGTGGAGGGGGCTACCTAAGGCTCTTTCAGGAGGTGGATCACAAGGGCTGCCTTGGAGGTTGGCTGCCACAGCTGTGCTTTAGTGACTTCCTGAATTCCGGCAAGGTTGAGACTACTTGTCACTGCCACCAGGTTATAAGTCCCTTTTTTTTTTTTTTTTTTTTTTTGGTGAATCTTAAGCTAGATAATACAAAAGATTTATCTACAGTGAATATCATGGGAACTATACATTGAAAAAGAATGAGGCCGGGCGCAGTGGCTCACGCCTATAATCCGAACACTTTGGGAGGCTGAGGTGGGCAGGTTACTTGAGGTCAGGAGTTCAAGACCAGTGTGGCCAACATGGTGAAACCTCCTCTCTGATAAAAATACAAAAATTCGCAGGGTGTGGTGGTCTATGCCTGTAATCCCAGCTACTCGGGAGGCTGAGGCAGGAGAATTGCTTGAACCTGGGAGGCGGAGGTTGCAGTGAGTGCGCCATTGCACTCCAGCCTGGGCAAACAGAGCGAGCGAGACTGTGTCTCAAAAAAAAAAAAAAAAAAAAAAATGAAAAGAAAAGAAAAAAGAGAAAGAATGAGGGTTTGGCTGTGATGGTTCACTACAGCTGTTCCAAACTATAGGCAAACTGGGTATTTCTGGAGAAATTACCAGCTCTTTTCAGGGAGCTTGTGTGGCCTGTACAATGCTATATACCAGTTTTTCTTTGATTACAAATAGAACTGGGGACTTTAGCTATTCCCTTAGAGGAAATATGTGAGGAGTTTCTTTTTGTTGTTTGTTTTTTCTTTTTACCTCTATTATGTGTTGAATTGTGACCCCCAAAAAGATATGTTGAAGCTTGAATCCCTGGTGACTGAGTGTGACTTTACTTGGAAATTGGGTCTTGGCTGGTGTAATTGAAATGAGATGAGATTATGAGGGTAGGCCCTCATCCAGGATGACTAGTGGTCTTAGAATGAAAAAACTGGAGACAAGAGGGAAAGGCACCATGTAATGACAGAGTCAGAGATTGAAATGTTGCAGCTGCAAACCAAGGAACACGAAGGATTGCTGGCAAACTGCAAGAAGCCAGGAGGAAGCAAGGAAGGATCTTCCCTACAGGTTTGAGAGCGAGCGTGGTCCCACCAACCTTTGGTTTCAGATGTCTGGCCTCAAGAACTCTGAGATCACGCATTTCTGTTGTTTTAAGCCACCCAGGTTGTGGTACTTAGTTAAGGCAGCACTGGGAAACTAATATGACCTTCATTGCTGGGCAAAGTCATACCAAAAATACATTGTTGCACATAAAGGCCCTAACCCAAAGCAGCTAATATAGAGAAGGTTAGATCAAGAGAGGAAAAAACAGAAGTTATATGTCTAGCAAATCAATGGGAGGTAAGCTACCAGAAATCAGCAATATTAGAGGCAAGTTCTGAATTCACCTCATATGTGCAAATTTTAATTTTCTTAACTTTTCTAAAACTGACATTTTGCACTGGCACAACTATTCCTGCTGATCTAATGGCTGGGAAACTCCTGGAGCATCAAGTTGAAACAGGAAACAAGGCCCTTATGCTTTTGTTGAACTTTCCCTGTGGTTTTGCTCCTCCCGCTGCCTTTTTACCCCACTCTGGGCCCCCTTAGAGGATGCGTTGTCTCTGCGTTGCTCTGCTGCCCACCTGGCCAAAGCTAGAAGCCTTCCCTGATTCCTGTCAGTGGTTAGTCGGGGGTCTCTTTTATGTGATAACCTTGGTATGGTCTACTTTGTCTCTAAGCTTTGTTCTTGTTATACAAAAGAAACACTCTTTGAAACTTAGAAAACCCCTTTTTTCTCTCAACAAAGGCTAGATTCTATACTAATGTTCCACTAGGAAATTGATATAGTTGGAAACTCAAAGCTAAGTAATGAATTCCTCTTCAGGGATTTACACTTTCAAATGCACTCTGTACATTGCTGCCTGTGATTCGATTTTACTTTTTCTCTTCTGCATTGTCCTCTGTGCCCATGGACTTGTCTGGACTGTCAGAAACACAGTAAGTGTTTCTGTGGGTCAGAAACACAGTACCACATAATGGTAACAGTGATTGAAGTCCAATCTAAAAACAGGTTGTTCCTATTAGAAACATGAATGCTGTGCTAATTGTTAATTTAACCTCGATAAACATTTCCATTGTATACAATAGCTCAAGGACAGTGTTACTTAAAAGACTCCTGATCAGTTATATGTGACCCATATGTTCACATCAGTATTCTGTAAGAGAATACTTTCAAGTGTTTCTAAGGTCAAGTTAGGTTTTCCTTTTCACTAATGTGCAGATTGCTTTGAGACACTCCAGTAAGCATTTTGGTGACTGAATGTTGAAGTACTACTATTTATTTGGATAATTCTTTACAGCCTAATCAGAGATTTGGAATTCATATTGTAGACACTGAAGAACATGGGTAATTGTTACAAATTATTAAGGATAGGATTCATCTTACTGCAGGATGCAAGTTAATTTTTGCTTCTTACAAAATTAATTTCCTTAAGTTTTTCTCCATCTTTGCCATGATGTAGGTATGTGTCAGAAAATTTCTTTGCGAGAACTTCCATATTTGTCTTTGCAAGAACTTCCATTTCATATTTGCATAGAAGAATAGGTTAGATCTGATCCTTACGCCATGTTTGTTTTAAAAGAGTTTTCTTTTTCTCCTTTTTTGGGAGTACAGATCATTTGCAAGATGGTACATTAGCATCCATTTCTGTGTGTGTGTTACATGTTTGTTTTCCCCCCTCAAGGATTCCAAGTATGTGAGTGATGACTGTATTAACTACCACATACCCTGCTCTTTTCTCTGCATCTGTTATTTATACAGGAATAATGCTACTCACCAAAACTGGCTGCCTCTTTAGAAACGGCTCCAGTTGAAGCTCAAATTGGTGGAAATAAGGCCTTATGGTATGGGCAACATCAAGATTTTTTTCAAAATAAGAAACACATATCAAGAATTAATATGAGACACGAGTGGCTTTGTGTTACTCAGTACCAAATACTGCCCAACTCCAAGACAAATAACTCAATCTAAGTTATTTGCAACCATCATGACCCCAGAGCCTATAGAATCTCAAACAACTTAAATACTCTCTAATCATTCAAAATATTAGACAAGTGGATATTTGGCAAATCAGTATCAAAGACAGGCTGAAATGAGAAAATCCTGATGACCAAAAAAAAAAAAAAAAAAGCTTAAAATGAGTACAGTTTTGCCAATGGATAGTTGTGAAAGTGAGGAAGGCGAATTTCATACTCTTGACTGGATAAGAGTTGGAGATTGTCATCAGGTGCTATATGCGTGGAAAGAGTGAGTCTTTAAAGAAAACTAAGCTACCTCTGTATTGCAAAGGAAATGTCTCTGAGTTAGTGCTAGGGAAAAGGTACGTGGGGTCGTAGGGTCTCCCAAGATGCTAGAACGAGTGCAATTTCTCTGATTTGTCACTCCTGTGGGCAAGACCTTGCCTTGCCACTTTACATAATTCTTTTTTTCATGTCTCCTACGGGCACATAATTTTACCTGATGGAGCTGCTTCCAGAAGGGGAGCAGCTGAGGAGAGCTGAGTGCAGTGCAGGGAATTCACGGCTAGCCAGGCTTTTCTGAGTCATTGAACATCATCCTATAAACAAACATCTGACTGCTGAAGCTCAAAGTCCATTTGCACTTTTATTTCATGAATTTCATTCATGTCATTTATTTGCATTTATTCTTTTTCTAGGTGAGAATGGTTTTTGAATTTGATGTATTGGTTCCAGAGACTAACTCTAAAAGTACCATCAAAGTAATACATGTTTGATTTTTACCAATTAAAAAGCCATCTTTGTTTTTCAGTTCTCCAAGATTTTGAACATAGTGAGAATTGATATACCTTGGCAATGTTAGTTGCCTTTGCATGTCAGTAGTAAAAAGTGAATTTTGGAATACAAAGTCATAGAGAGCAGTTGGAAAGGAAGAGAAAAATAACTATTTTTGTAACTATTTTTGCACTGCCACCTCAATTCAATATGATATTTACTGAATTTCAGTAAATATCTAAAACTAAAATTCAACAGAATTTATACTTACAAGTAAATATATATTTTAAAAAAATTAATGAGTCTGGCATATGTCTTTCCTTTCTCTAGCTGAATCTTTATTTTTCATACTAAAGGCCCAGGTAAATTCAGGAATCATTGATAAATTAATTATGCAACCATAAAGAATTAAATTAGAATTAACATATGCATCTTCCTAATGTCTTTTTTTGGGGGGAGGTTAACTTCTATTTTAAGTTCATGGGTCCAAGTGCAGGTTTGTTACATAGGTAAACTTGTGTCATGAGGGTTTGTTGTACAGATTATTTCATCATCCAGGTATTAAGCCTAGTATCCATAGTCTAGATCCTTTCACCTTTCACCCTCCAAAGGGCCCCGGTGTGTGTTGTTCCCCTCTATGTGTCCATGTGTTCTCATCGTTTAGCTCCCACTTAAAAGTGAAATCATATGGTATTTGGTTTTCTGTTCCTGTGTTAGTTAGCTAAGAATAATGGCTTCCAGCTCCATCTATGTTCCTGCAAAGGACATGATCCTCTTCTTTTATATGGCTGCATAATATTCTGTGGTGTATGTGTACCACATTTTCTTTATCCAGTCTATCATTGATGGGCATTTAGGTTGATTCCATGTCTCTGCTATTGTGAATAGTGCTGCAATGAACATATGTGTGCATGCCTCTTTATAACAGAATGATTTATATTCCTTTGGGTGTATACCTGGTAACGGGATTGCCGGGTCGAATAGTATTGCTGCCTTTAGGTCTTTGAGGAATCATGACACTGTCTTCCACAATGGCTGAACTGATTTACACTCCCACCAACAGTGCATGTTTCTCATCTCTACCAATGTGCACTGATTTAGTACTAGATGTTTTCCATTTAGTAGAGGCGGCAAAAAGCATAGAAGAAGGGTGTGTTTTAGGATGTAGAAATATCAAAAGCTACTTAGATTTAATATCTGTGGGCTGAAACATGGTTAAAATGACAGTTTATCATTCATATGTAATGTCTTTTTGAAAAAAATCTCCACCATAAGGATAAATGTGATCAAGTATTTATTGTGTCAAGGAGGGTAATGTAGATACAAGCTTTCTATTTGTTTGCCAGAATCTTTTTAACCACTAAGAATTGTGATATGGAGATTGCAAATAGCAAAAGCTAATTTTCTGCATTCCTTCAAGTAATGTTCTTTTATTTTATTGTTTTGTCAAAGTCAGTGAATAGATATAGTTGTCACTTTTGCATAATGGTAGATGGTATTTCTGAACTTGCTACTGCTATCCTTATAACCCTAGCAACCGAAAACAAAAGTTATAATATTTTAGCTTCTTGTATGCTGTTGAAAAATAAATATGACAGACACATAGTATTAAAAAAATGACCCACATAAGAGGACTCGTTTAGGGTCCAGAATTCTTTTTGCCTCAAAGACAAATCTGAGCAAATAACACAGCAGGTAGATCTTGCTCTAGGAATAATTATTTCTAAAAACAAAAAAGAAATACTAATCAGTGGGCTGTGGGTGGGGATGGAAATAGCATTAAAATGCTCTACATTCTTCAGAAGTTACAAACTGCCTTCGATGCTGGAAAGCACACATAGTTACATCCCATTTCATCAGATCCATTTGTATTACTCAAGATTTTCTCACAGACACACTCAGAATAATGTTTGTCCAAATGTTTGGGCACTCTGTGACTCAGTCAGGCTGACACAGAAAATTGACCATGTAAGGAGGAAAAAAAAAATGTTCTCTGTAGCAAACTGTGTTGGAATTGTCAAGGACAAAAGGGATTCATGTTTCCCACCCCTACAACAGTAGCTTCACATCCCACTCTGACTCCCATCCCACCAATTTAAACTGCTTGTGAGAGGGGCAAATCACAGTTGCATCCCATGACATACAGAGCTTAAGCATTACTCCCTTACACAAGGGTTTGCTGATGTGTTAAATTCAGGTTAGGCATGACGTACATGATTCTGATGTAGTCATTCTGTATGTTACTATGTCCACAATCACAGCAATTATTACAATTGCCTGCTACTTATCTGTGTTTTCCTTAGATGGCAAATATTAGGGGTGGTGACAAGGTCTGTATTTTCATTATGATATACCCAGTGCCTGGTGTTTAATAAGAAATGTTCAATAAGGTTGGAACAAAGGAAGGAAAACATAGATAGGTTGATCCAGAAATGAAAATGAATGTTAACAATGGCAAAAGAGCTAAGCATATGGGAATATTTAAAAATTGGTCAGAAAAATATAGTATCATTGGCTTGAGATTGGTGAATACCAAAGAGTAAGACATTATTATAATAGAGGTATATATTTTGGGAAACACAGGGAAGGAAGGATAAAATGAAAACAGTTCTTTATGAGCTGAATTTTATGGAATACTTTTAAACCTCTTTGATCTGTTCTCAAAACTAACAGACTTAATTGAATTTTGTGAACTCCTGTTGGCCTTTTGGTCTTCAAGTTTTTTCTTGATTATTGCCTCATTGTTGAATGAAGATGAACCTCCTGTCGAGGGGTTACTTTTATAATGTAGGGTATTAGAGGGGTCAGGCTTGGGTCAGAAAGATTGGTAATTGCAAAAGTATGGGCTGCTGGATTAGAAGGGATGATTATTAGAGTCGATCATTTTGAGGCGTTGGGGAAATTTTACATGCAGTTTCTAACCTCAAAATTCTTTTTAAAAATGTTTTATTATATATTGGACTATTATAGTTGTATATATTTGTACAATACAATGTGAGATCATAATCTTTAATACAATGTGGAATAATTAGATCAAGCTAATTAACCTATTCATCACCTCAAATATTTAATTTTTTTATGTTGAGAACATTTGAAATTTACTTTCATAGTGATACTGAAATGTACAGTACTCAGTTATTAGCTATATCCACCATACCATGCTAAAGATCTTTAAAAAAAAAAACCCCAAACATTTATTCTATTTAACCAATGCTTTGTACTTTGATTATTGTCTCCCCATTACCCCAAACTTCTAGCCTCTGTAACCACCATTCTACTATTTCTGCCTCGATGAGATCCCTTGTTTTGGATTCCACAGCTAAGTGAGGTCATGTGGTGGTTGTCTTTCTAAGCCTGGCTTTTATTAATTAACACAGTGCCCTCTGAGTTTATCCATATTTTTGCCAATGACAGGATCTCCTTTATTTTTTTAAGGTGAAATAGTATTTCATTGTGTATATATATTACACTTGCTTTATCCTTTCATGTTAATGAACACTTAGGGTCAATTCCATAACTTGGTTATTGTGAACAGTGCTACAATAAATATGAGCTTGTACACATCTCCTCCAGGTACTGATTTCAAATATTTCAGGTAAATAGAAACATAATGGCTAAATCATGTGGTAATGCTATTTTTAGAATTTGAGTAACCTTTATAGAATTTTCCATAATGGCTATAATAATTTACATTCCCACCAACAGAGTACAAGGGTTCTCTTTACTCCATATCTTCACCAGCTTTTATCTTTTGTCTTTTTGATAATGCAGTTCTAACAGATGGGAATTGATCTCATTGTGGTTTTATTTGAATCTCTCTAGTGATTAGTGATATCGAGTATTTTTTCATGTATCTGTTAGCCATTTTATATGTCTTCTTCTGAGAAATGTTTATTCAGGTCCCTCGCCCATTTCTTAATCAAATTATTTGTTTTCTTGTGATAGATTTGTTTTGAGTTCTTTGTATATTTTGGACATCAATTCTGTATCAGATGTATGGCTTACAAATATTTTTTCCAAATCTACATGATGTCTTTTCACTCTGTTGTTTCATTGTTGTACAGAAGCTTTTTATTTTAATGTATTTTGTCTATTTTTGCTTTTGCTGCTTGTACTCCTGGTGTCAAATCTTAAAAATTATTGTAATAGCCAATGTTGTATATATATTCTCCTATATTTTCTTCTAATAGTTTTATAGTTTAGGCTTTATGTTTAAGTCTTTAATCCATTTTGAGTTGATTTTTGTCTATGGTGTGAGATAAGGGTTCGATTTCATTCTTTTGTATATAGATATCCAGTTTTTCCAACACCATTTATTGAAGAGACTGCCTTTTTACCATTATAAATTTGTGGCACCTTTGCTAAAAATCAATTGACCATAGTTACGTGAATCTATTTCTGTGCTCTATTCTGTTCCATTGATTGATAGCTCTATTTGTATACATGTACCTTGCTGTATTAATTACCATCACTTTGTAGTATAGTTTGAAATCGGGTAGTGTGATGACTGTAGCTTTGTTCATTCTACCTATGATTATCTTGGCTGTTTGATGTTTCTTGTAGTTCTAAATACAAAATATTAATTTTGTATTCAGATTTTAAAATATGAAAATATGAATTATAAGATTGTTTTTTCTATATCTATAAAAAACAACATTGGGATTTTGATAGCAATTTTGTCAAATCTGTAGATCACTTTAGGTTACAAGGACATTTAACAATATTAATTGGGCCAGGCACAGTGGCTCACACCAATAATTCCAGCACTTTGGGAGGCCAAGGTGGCAGGATTGCTTGAGGCCAGGAGTTCAAGACCAACCTGAGCAACATAGCAAGATACCATTTCTACCAAATTAAAAATAAATTAGCTGGGTCTAGTGGCACACAGCTATTGTCCTACATACTCAGAAAGCTGAGGCAGGAGAATCACTTGAGCCCAGGAATTTGAGGTTACAGTGAGCTATGATTATGTCACTGCACTGCAGCCCAGGTGACAGACCAAAAAAGCAAGACTTTGTCTTAAAAACGAAAAAGAAAAAGAAAAACAACAACAAAAAACCACATTAATTACATTAATTTGTACAACCCACGAACACAAGATATCTTTTCATTCCTTTGTGTCTTCTCAATTTTTTTATTAATGCTTAATAGTTTTAAATGTATAGATCTTTCACCTTTTCGGTTAATTTTATTCCTGAGTGTATTTCATTCTTCTTCAATTTGCTAAGACTTTTTTTGTCACCTAATATATAATCTACCCTGGAGAGTGTTTCATGTGTGCTTGAGAATAATGTGTATTCTGTTGTTGTTGAATGGAATATTCTGTATATTTCTGTATATGTCCATTTGATCTAAAGTGTTGTTGAAGTTCAATGTTTCCTTATTAGTTTTCTGTCTGGATTATCTATTCAATATTGAAAGTGATGTATTGAAGCCCCCTACAATTATCATACTGCAATTGATCTCCTTTTTCAGATCCTTTACTGTTTGCTTTATATATTTAGGTGCTCCACTATTGGGTGCCTATATATTTATAATCAATATATCCTCTTGATGAATTGACTCCTTTTTCATTATATAATATCCATCTTTGTCTCTTTTTACAAGTTCTGACTTAAAATCTATTTTTTCTGATACATGTACCGCTACCCCTACTCTCTTTTGGTTTCCATTTGCATGGCATATTTTTCTCCATTTCTTCACCTTCAGTCTAGGTGTGTCCTTTAAAGTGAAGTGAGTCTCTTATAGGTAGCATATAGGTGGGTTTTGTTTTTGTGCATTAATTTGCTCTGTGTTTTTTGACTGGAGAATTTAATCCATTTACATTCAAGGTAATTATTGACAGGTGAGGACTCACTACTGCTATTTTGGTCATTGTTTTCTGATTCTTTTGTAGATACTGTTTCGTTCTTCCTCTCTTGCTGTCTTCCTTGGTGGTTTAAAGGTTTTCTCTAATGGCATGTTTGGAATTGTTTAAATTTTTGTTTTATGCATGCTGTATAGATTTTTGTTACCATGAAGCTTACATAGAACATCTTACATTTATAACAGTCTATTTCAAGCTGATAACAGCTTAGTTTTGATTATATACACAACTTTACACTTTTACTATCCCCCATTTTATGTTCTAGACATCAAACTTACATCATTTTGTAATATATATCCCTTGAAAACTTAATTTAGCCAAAGATTTTACTAATAATTTTGTCCTTTAGCCCCCATGCCTGGGAAAAAATTATGTTACACACCAATATTACAGCCCTAGTGTATTCTGAATATTGCTGTCTGTTACTTACACCATTAGATTTTGTGCTTTAATAAGTTTCATGTTATGAATTAGCAGCCTTTAGTTTCAGGTTAAGAAGCTCCCCCTAGCAATTTTTATAAGACAGGCCTAGTGGTGATGAACTCCATTTGCTGTTTTTGTCTGGGAAAGTAATTTCTCCCTAATTGCTGAAAGACAGCTTTGCTGAGTTATTCTCATGTTAAAGTGTTTTCCTTCAGCACTATGCGTATATCATTTCACCCTCTCCTGGCCTGCAGGGCTCTGCTAAGAAGTCTATTGTTAATCCTATTATGACTCCTTTCTATGTTTTAATTTCTTATCTCTTGCTGCTCTCAGAATTTTTTCTTTGTCTTTAATTTTTGATAGTTTATTATATGTCTTCATAAACTCCTTTATGGGTTGAATTTAATTGATGACCTCTGCATTTCCTGTACCTTGATGTTGGCTTTTTTCCTCAGATTAGGGAAGTTTTCATCTATTGTTTTTAAAATATGCTTTCTGATAATGTTTTTCTCTTCATTCTCCTTTGGGAATACCTATTATGCATATGTGAGGTCGCTTGATGGTATCCCATGGTTCCCACAGGCTTTCTTCATTCATTTTCCATTCTTTTATCTTTTTGCTCCTCTAATTGAGTATTTCAAATGTTCTGTCTTTGAGTTCACCGATTCTTCACCTTGATCAACTAGCTTTTGAAGCTTTCTATTGCATTTTTCAGTTCAGTCATTGTATTTTTATCTTGAGAATTTCTATTTTTTAATTGTTTTGTTTCTCTTTTTGTCAAGTTTCTTATGTATTGTTTTCCAAATTTTATTTAATTTTTTCATCTGCATAGTTTTGAAGTTCACTGAATTTTTCAAGAGGATTATTCTGTATCCTTTTTTGCCATTTCATAAATCCCCCTTTCTTTAGGGTTTATTGATGGGGCTTTGTTAGTTTCTTTTGGAGGTGTCATGGTATTCTTAGTTGTTCCATTGGTATTTGTGCATTTGCAGGTATAGCCACCTTTTCCAGTTTTTATAGGAGTTCTTTGGCATTAATATCATTAGTCTAGTCTATGTTTTGGATAGGCTAGCTGGTATTGATCCTGGGCAGGCAGAGCTTGCTTTTAGCTTCTCTAGATGATTGGGATGTCCCTTTGCTCTGAAATTTGTTGGGGCCTCTGAGTAGGCTCTGCCATCTGGCAAGACCACTGCCTGCGCTCTGCTTTGTAATTATGGGCACTATAATCACCTCTGATTTGGCTCGGCCACATGATGTATTTCCTGGACAGAGATACTGCTATTTTAGTTCAGGAGTTGTATAGGTTTGTGGGAGGGGACCCAAGTTTAAGTGGATTGAGATGGATGGACCAACTACCGTGCTCAGTAGAAATGCATGCTTAAAATTTGCCTTCCTCCTTGATGTGGTCTGGGGTGAGCTTTGAGTCTTAGAGAAGGGCTGATTATACTTTCTGATGTGGCAAAACTATTGTCTGCTTGTGGTCAACATTTGCCGTGGTGGTTTTCTCTCTCCCTTGGAAAGGTCTGGAGGTGGGGCTTGAGACTGCAGGAAACACAGATTTAGCTTCTGATGTGGGATATTTAGTGCCTGCTAATTACGGAAATTTGCTGCAAAGGTCTTCTCCTTCACAGGGTGGGACCCCGACCGAGATAGTGTCTGTGGCTGGTCCTGGAGGCTGTTTAGGGATTCAAGACAGGTACCACTTCCCACCTCTTCTGGAAGTGATCAGCTCGGCTTGGCAAGTAAGTTATGCTACTAGCTGGTACCTCTCGTTGAGTGCTACTGCTGGAAAGTATATACTGAGCTTTTAATAAAATCTGCAATGTTGATCTCTGTGGGCTCTTTCTCCTTGCCTTTTTCTACCTGACCCCACATAGTCTAACCATGTAACTTCCTCCTACATTTCCCATTCCCTGTGATGTGAGAACAAAGTCGACTTCCTGGGATGCATCTCAGCATGCTAAGGAAGCTGAATGTTCACCTCCCACTTCTTATTTCCCAATTTAAAAACTGTGGACCCTGAGAAATCTTCTCTGTGTGGTACTGTCACAACTTGAGGAGGAATAAGGGTTATGCAGTCAATGAAAGACCATTTCTCCTACCTTCCAATGCAGATTTTTATTCAGTTCTGTAGATAATGCAAGTGACTCAGGATTACTCCCACATTTTGGTATTTTTACCAAGGTGGTTTTGTCTGTAAATCGTTGCTAGTTGATCTTTCTGTAGGGGAGAGTGAATTCTGTGACTTCCTATTCCTCAATCTTGCTGACATCACCCTCCTCTAACCTCAAATTTATGGCCTCATATTTACAAGGTTCACCAGGAATGTTCTGGCCCTTGCAGATTTGACTCGGTATATTTGCTGGTCTGAGCCAACTTAAGGATTTAATCAACAGCCCTCCTAGAGAATAGTGTATTGCCATGGGCAGTTGAGCTTCATATCTGTTAGAGTACATTCTGAAAAAATAGCTGCTATGCAAAGTTCAAAATGCAAAGACAGAGGCCCGAATACATATTCTAACTTGGAATTGCTTAGGGAGCTTCAAGGAACTTTAACCTGATCCACAATTAGTGTTCACACTTGAATAGGTGAGGTCCTAAAGAAAGTCATACGGTAGGAAAGAAAATACAGTTTGTGAGGTAAAAACAAAAAGGATCATTATGAGTAATGAGAAAAGAAGGAGCCACAGAGGGTGAGCCAGACTAATCAGCATGGTCCTGGTTTTTGGAGGAAAATTAGATCAGTCTATGCATTGTTATTTCCCCAGTCAGATCCGGCCATCTTTTTTTTCCAAATGTTTGTGTTCATGGGAAGATGTGATCTGTGGAATAGTTAAGGAGGTTTCCAAAACTCTGGTATGAGTAACTCCTCTGAAAGAAATTGTTTACCACCAGCTCAAAAAGATTGAGTAAGAATAAGCAGAAGTCCTGGGGAGCACCTGGAGGAGTTTGGCTGCGGGGGCGGAGCTGGCAGCAGCTCATGGGTGGCAGATGCATGCTGCATATTTGGGCTCTTGGCTATAAAGCTGTCCAATAGCACCAGTGTTCTGACTCAGTTATGACATGTTCCCGACTCATTTTTAAAAATATTCATCAATTTTAAACATATAGAAGCCAATATGGTAACCACCCCTCCTTATCCTCAGTTTCTCATTTTGTGGACCACAGTCAACTGTGGTCCAAATATATTAGATGGAAAATTCCAGAAATAAACAATTCATAAGTTTAAAATAGCTTTTATGATAGTATATTTTTATAACAGTTCTATTTTATTACTAGTTATTGTTGTTAAACTCTTATTGTGCCTAATTTATAAATCAAACTTTATCCTAGGTTTGTATGCATGGGAAAAAAAAAACAATATGAGGAGGGTTTTGTACTATACATCTTGGAATGTATTCCCTGTAAATAAGTGGGGGCTACTGTTTAGTACAATGAATTCCCATGTTCCTGTCATCCAGTTTCAACAATCATGAAGTTGTAGTCATTTTTATTTCATCTATTCCCCTACCTATTTTCTTCTCTCTTATACTATTTTAAAGTAAATATGAGACAATATAAGCACTCTAAACATTTAACATGATGAAATAGCAATACATTGTTAATGTCATTAATTTTACAATTCCTGGTCAATTTCTTTTTTCATTGTATTTGTTTGAATTATGATCCAAGTTAGTTGACTTTCAGAAAGTAAGATTCTCTTGAATAATGTGGGTTGTCATGGCAATCATTTGGAATGCCTTAAAATCATAATTGAGGCCAGAAGGAAAGAATGAGAGAGAGAAATTTGCCTGTAGATGATTTTGGCCCATGCCTATGGTATTTCCAACTCTTCCTAATCTTTGCTTCCTGATGGCTTGCCCTATAGACTTTGGACTTGCTTAACCAACCCTCCACAATTGCATAAATAATTTCCTTGTAATAAATTAAGGCTGGGTGTGGTGATTCACTCCTATAATCCCAGCACTTTGGAAGGCCCAGGTGGGAGTATCTCTTGATGCCAGAAGTTCAAGACTAGCCTGGGCAACATAGAGAGACCCCATCTCTACAAAAAATTAAAAACCATTGTCTGAATGTGGTGACACATGCCTGTAGTCCCAGCTACTCTGATGGCTGAGGCAGGAGGATTGCTTGAGCCCAGGAGTTCAAGGTGGCAGTGAGCTATGATTATGCCACTGCTCTTCAGCCTGGGTGACAGAGTGAACCCCTATTGCTTAAAAAAAATTCTCTGGAGGAATATTAACTGAATTGACTGATATAGATTCTTTTTATGTTCATTCTGTTTCCTTGCAATTCATCTGCAAGTCATTTGTCATGTATAGTTTTTATAACCTCGATTTTAAGATTGTAACAGCTGGAGACCTAATATTTATAGCATTTTTCTTCAATTTCTCATCCTTTATTTCTTTTGCTCTCAACTATCACCTCAGTTGGCCATGGTTATTTGCCTGGTGAAGTAACTTAAACCTTTATTCTTGGAGGCTCTGTGCCATTAACAGTCCTGTTAAATTAAAGTAGTTATAACTTTGATTGATTTTTATCACAAGTCATGAAAGTACTACTGAGAGCCTTAGGAGACTTCCCAACATTATAGACACACTTCTGACTCCTTCCGTGTAGTAGGAACCCACGTTCCCCTTGATAGAATCAAATCACATCAGTCAACACTCTGTCTTAATTGCCTATTGATTTGCTGCTTAAGGAGTACCATGTGGCCAGGTGACAGCCTGAACTTTCAATTAAATGTAACCATTTAGATGTTTCCTATAAAAAGAAATATTCTCTTGGGAAAGAAAACATTTAGGCTGGCAGAACCCAAAATTTTGAGAACAGGATGAAGAAATGATGCTAGTAGTTCATTAGCGCTAATAGTGAGAAGAGAATAGTATTCCCACTGACTTTCCTTGATTCTCAGATCTGGAAATCTTAAAATGGAAGAAACAGAAGTTTCTTGGTATAGAATCAGTGATTCAGAATATATAATATATCCTGAAGAATAAGATCCCAACCCCCATTTCAAAGTATCATCACTCAATGGACATAGATACAGAATCTTTGAACTGCATTATACTAATCTATCAGGCAAGCTGCTTCAGTGTAATAGGAAACATGACAAAAAAATCGGTGAATTCCATTAGCCTGAGCCTATTGCCATACCTTATTTATTTAGGGGAAAAAAGAGAAATTTCCTAGTGAGAATAATGCTATGTAGTGTACCTTACTTTTGAGTAAGGCATTCTGTAAATCCATAGATGAAGCTTTTGGTGAAAGAACTATGAGCAGGGAAAGCAAATTCATATTCGGGGTACTACCCATTCCATGATGGAAGCATTCAATATAATAACCAGTGGCTGGAGTGTCCCCATACAGAATGATGCCATATAGGGAGCTCAGTGTTGAACTCTGCTATTGGCCGACACTTAGATCAGCTATCATGAGAAAAGTGCATGTTGTTGTGCCCATGCGTAAGCTCCATCCCTGCTGCTTTGGCTGCATAGTCCATGAGTATTGGGCAAGAGCAGGGTTGGCTGGGGAAAGAAGCAAAATAGGTCATCTTGTTCAGTTCGTTAATAAGACCCTCCTCTTCTATGGTTGCTCTTTAGATGTATTCGTATGTCTCTATATTTCTTCTGCAGGCACCCAAATCATCAATTTTGCAATCGTGCTTCTTCCAAGTCTCTAAACATTTAACCAAATTATTAGCCAGTTCTCAAAGATCAGGGCATAATGTTCTTCTGGTCATCTCCTGTTCAATGAAAAATGAACAAACAGTTGCATTATGCAAAATTATATTTTCACGAGTACTTGCCTGGACCACTCCTGAGTGAGGTTAGAGTGCTGTAGCCTTTCTGCTTTGAGATGGTGCCAGCCATACCACGCAGGGCCGTCTGTAAACCAGGTCTGTAATGTGTCTTCTTTTTTTTTTTTCTTTTTTGAGACGGAGCCTTGCTCTGTTGCCCAGGCTGGAGTGCAGTGGCGCAGTCTTGGCTCACTGCAAGCTCCGCCTCCTGGGTTCACGCCATTCTCCTGCCTCAGCGTCCCGAGTATCTGGGACTACAGGCGCCCGCCACCACGCCTGGCTAATTTTTTGTATTTTTAGTAGAGATGGGGTTTCACCGTGTTAGCCAGGATGGTCTCAATCTTCTGACCTTGTGATCCGCCTGCCTTGGCCTCCCAAAGTGCTGGGATTACAGGCTTGAGCCACCGCGCCCGGCCAATTGTAATGTGTCTTCTGTCAATTTGTCATGGGATACAACCCATGCTACAGATATGGGTTGGGACAGAGTGGGTAATATAACAGGAGTAGGGACCATGAAAGTCTGAGCTATTAGCTAATAGAAGGTACTTGCGCCTTCGGAACCTACTCAAGCCCAGTTTCACATATGTCACTTCCAATTAATGATAGACTACTGCGGTATGTGTCCAACTTCATGTCATTATGGGTCAGACATAGTCAGTTCAGAATACACAGCTCAGCCCACTATGGTACCCTATATCAAGCATTTAGTCTGTAAAAGAACCCAGAAGCATGCTAGAAACTGCTTATAAGAAAATAGTAATCTGTGAAGGATTACATATCTTTACTCCAAAATCACAAATGTCACTGTTGTAATTCAATTATAGCTGTCTTTAAAAATCCACTAAGAGTATATTTAACTTTTACAACATTTCATCATAATGCCTTCATAGAACTCAAATGGCAGAGTAGCTTTAACAGCAGCCTGAACCTGATGCAGGGCCTCCTCGAAGTCTAGGTTTCATACAAATCTAGCAGCAGTTCTAACCACTGAGTAAATAGGTGGAAGTAGCACCCCAAATTGGGATATGTATTGCCTCTAAAACCACAGTGCTCAGTAGGCATTGTGTCTCTTCTTTATGACAGGAGAGAACAGATACACTTGTTTTTTACCTTGAAAGGATGTCAGCATTCCCCAGATCAGTCAGATCTTAGAATTATCATTGAGAAATCTTTGCACATCTTTGAAATTGTCTGTTATTTTTTTCCCCACCCTCTGGCATGCATGTATCATATTGCAGTGCTTAGGATTATTACCGCTTCCTGTAATTATTATGATGTCATTGACGTGGGCTAATTTGATGTTCTGTGAAATGAAGAGATGATCAAAGTCCTTGCAGATTAGACTATGACTGAGAGTTGGAGAGTGATATAATCCTGTGGTGAGAAAGTATACTGTCATTACTAAGATTCATAGGGAAAAGTATTTAACAGATTGATGGCTGCTTTTCAAATACCAAGGGATATGTTGATTTTCTCCAGTAACTAAACCAACCCTAAATCTAAAGCAATACTGCAATTAGAATCTCCACTTGATAAAATTTATAATAATTCTTTCTCTTTTCCCAAGACCCATCTGTGTTTTGTTTCAGCCAAAAAGGCAAATTTTATAGAAGAAACGATTAGAATCACTTAACTGGATGTTAGCACTAACCTCTGCAATCCTGCCAGGAAAACACAGTATTGTCTTGCCTTTAGTATTTTAATAGGTAGAAGCAATTTTTCTTTCTTTCACTTTGTCTTTCCTAGTATATTAAAGTAGCCCATGGGTCTATATTAGTGTGGAAACTAGTGTGGGCTTATGCCGGTTGCTTTGTATGTCTATTCCAAATATACATCCTAAAATTTGGAAAATCATCATGGGTAGATGCAGACACACAGTGCTCACTGTGAGATGGACATAAAACACAACTCTATTAATCTTGGCAGGTGAATAATGCTAGTGTTGGGTCTTCAGAAAATAGTGCGCTCCAAACAACGAGTAATCCCCAAATCCTAACTACTTCCCCTAATGCACAGTCATCTGGGAAAATGACTAGGGGTTCCTTGGGGAAGGCTGGGGTAAGATGTATAGTATAAATGTTAACAGTGTAGCAGAGTCCTTTCATTTTTGTGTTCCACTCACAATGTGTTTTTCAAAGCATCAATGCAGAGAATGTCTTCTGGACTCTCACAATGGAGACATAGTTATGGGCAGGAGACCAGCTATCATGTAATAAATCCACTCCAACTTTCTAATCTCTGTAAGCATTTGGATAACTTTTTCTATAACAAATGAAGAAATTTGGCACTTAAGTTTGTTCAGTATAAACTACCTATGTTTAGTTCCAAATTTCAATCAGCCACCCAAGCAGAGTAACTCCTGGCCTCATGAGCTAACTCATTTATCCAGGATGTCTGCATAGTGCAACTGTATCAATATATTTGACCCGATGGAAAATTTTTACCCAGATCCCAAACACATAGCATTCAAGTTTTGTGGGCAACTTTACATCTACTTTTATTGTGGATGTTATATATGGATTTTTGTGATTGTTGTTTGATTTGACTTTTTATAGAGAGATATGAGAAGCCTTAAACATTTTATGCCACTGCTGCTGTAAATTTCCCAACTTATTTTTCAAACAAGTTATTTATTCAAAGGTAACTGATTTTCTGCTTTTCTTACTAAATACAAAATTGTGCCTTTTGAATAATATTCTATTTAATATTGTATATATGTACAGATAATACATAATGTTGACTAAAATGAGCTTGATTTTGCAACTTGTGTTAGTAATTTCAAAAGAACAAGAACATAAATTGAAAAAAAGAGATACTTGTTTACTTATTCATACTTTATATATTTTAGTGTAGATGTGCACTAAAATTAGTGCAAATCTAAATGTCAACAATGCATATAATACTATAGCAAGAAAAACAGAAATCCCGCACAAGATCAACTCTAAGAAGTAAATTAACACTGTAGTCATGGAAACAGGTGTTCTCTTTTTTCTTTTTAACTAAATATGCACATTTGACTCCAACAAGGAGACTGGGGCTTCTGCATGTTGTATCTACAGTAAGAACTTTTCAAAAAATGACACTTGTTTATTAGAATTATTTAGGGACTATGTTGGATCACAAAGACTACCTGAGAAGAAGAACCCTCTCTGGCAATTATCCTTTGGGGTCAGCGCCTCTGAGTTGCTTCTGCATTCATAGCCTCTTCCCTTCCTGTTCTGACTTAACCAGTTCCTTCACAGCTTCAGACTTTATTCTCAGTGTCTCTCATAAAAACAGCAGCCTTTTGTGAACTGGTGGTGAGGAGAGGAAGTATGTGGGAAGAGTTTTTATAAAGGATTTATGCTCCCTTAATTTGCTGTTGAGTTCAGAGCTACCTGCTCATTAAAAATCTCCCTCGTACTCCTAGCCCCATCCACATTTAGCCTGCCAAAACAATCAATTGAATATTTAACTAGCATGAAAAATAATTTTCCTTTTAGTATAGTTATTTCATTTATGCTACCAATGTAAAGCACATAAGGTGATCAAATAAAAATCAAAGTTGCCACATTTAGTTTTGTTTCAGTTTAAGTCAAGGGAAAGTGTATATAGTAAATATTTTATTTTTAATTTCATTAATCTCTAAAGTAATTGAATAGCCTTTTCTTTCATGATCTCTCTGTCTTCTCTCTCTCTGTCTCTGTGCGTGTGTGTGTGTGTGTGTGTGTGTCTATTTTAAGAGATTTTCTGCAATAAGAAGGCGCTTTTAATCTCGGGTGACATTCTCTAGTTCACTGAAATTATTTTATTTATCCAGAGACTTTGGGAAACTCTTTTTTCATAGTAATGTGTGTAATAATTTCATACAGAGCTTATTTATTTTTTCCAAATTTACTGCTCTTTATGATATAGACTAATTTGGTTTTCATTTTTTTTGCTTAGTCTTATATTTTTCATTATTTCAGCCTCTGAAGAATAATGTTTTTATTAACACAGTTTCATCTGGAACTGTACTTCCCAAAACAGACAAAAAACAGAAACTCCTATTTCTGTTGAAATTCTTCTGTCCTTAAAGGTCAGCTCAATTGTGTTTTCTTTCTGCGGTTTTTCCCAATTTCTTGGGTCTGAAGTGTCTTTTCTATTTTGTATGATTCTTGAGCACATTGCAATACTAAAAACAAAACAAAACACTTTTTATGTAATGACATTTGACATCTAGGAAAAGTACATATGAAGGCTTTAAAATCACCAAATGTGTAAACACAATTTAGTTTACAATTTTTCCTTTCCCAGCTGTAAGAATTGAGCAAACTATAAATTTTCCTTTTTCTTGTTTGCACATAAAATAATGTAAGACTCATCCATAGTCTTGATCAATTTACCATTTAGCACTTTGTTTCAAACTTCTATTTCCTGGTAAAAGTTGTACGTGGGAGAATTTTTTTTAAATATCTACTTTTTCTTCACGTCTATCGCAGCACTAGAAGCTCCTCGTTGAAATGGGTATGCTGCAGAGATGATCAGGATTCACTCACCAGATGAATTGTTCCTACACACAAGTTAATGTAGAGCCAAAAAGTGGTTACACATTGTAAAGTTTTGAAGCTATTAAAATATTCAAAAGGAAAATTGGTGAAGACTAATGGTCTTTGAAGATTACTTAAATCCCTTAGTGGATTAAATGTATATTTAAAGAACAATCTTGTGTTGATGAACTTTTTTGTCTTTAAATGCAACACAGTGCCTAGGTCAGTGTTTACACAAAAGTGATTTTGCAAAAAAAGAAAAAAAAACAGGTGAATTGATTATAATACAGTACTTGCTGGGAAGATTAGGGGAAGATAGAGAGTGATAGTTAAGAGCCAGCACTTTGAAATCAGATATACTTTGGTTTTAGATGCCAGGATTTTTGTTCTCTTATTAGATTTCTCACCTTAGAATTTTTTTACTCTATTAATGTCTTGGACAATTTCATCCACAAAGTGGAGTAGAAAATAATGGTAGACACTTTTCAAAATTCTCCTTATGATTAAATGAGGTAATACAGTCATTGTAGGGGATTGATTCCAGGACACCCTGCATATGCCAAACTCTACAGATGCTCAAGTCCAGAAGCTGGCCATGTGAAACCTGGGGTTATTGTATTTTGGATCTGAGATTGATTTAATTGACAGCTGTGGAACCCAGGGGTACAGAACCCACAGAAAGGGAGGATTGACTACATTTAATTTTTTCTTCTTCTTTTTTTTTTTTTTTTCTGGAGACAGAGTCTTGCTGTATCACCCAGGCTGGAGTACAGTGGTGCAATTTCAGCTCACCACAAGCTCCACCTCCCAGGTTCAAGTGATTCTCATGCCTCAGCCTCCTGAGTAGCTGGGACTACAGGTGTGCACCACTACGCCCAGCTAATTTTTATACTTTTAGTAAAGATGGACTTTCTCCATGTTGGCTAGGCTGGTCTCAAACTCTTGACCTCAGGTGATCTGCCTGCCTTGGACTCCCAAAGTGCTGGTGTTACAGGCGTAAGTCCCCGTGCCCGGCTGACTATATTTAGTTTAATTTTACCAGTAAAAAGCATTCAATGGAGAATATTCATTTTGATCTATTTGAATTATATATTTTTTTGTTTTCTGTAAAAATGTGCATGGAATGAAATGCTAAGAAATCATTGAACTGGCAGAAAACTAAAAACAATGGCAAGTATTCTTTACTGAGATAAAACCTATTCTGAGGGGCTCAAACATAAGCATAATGCATGGATCCTTAGTAACTAAAAAGAGTACAACGTTAGGTTGTTGTAAAATACAAAAATGTTAATATAGAAATGCTTTGCACAGAGCAACTGCTTTCTCTTAGCTGAATATCAAGAAATGTTTTCTTTTTTGTGATACCAATAGCTCTTGAGATATAGGATGATGCTATTTCAAAAATTCTGGTGGCTGAGAAGGAATTACTGCTCTCTCTATTTTGTTGTATAGTAAGTCTTCACTAGGAAAGCTACTTGTGAATGCCAAATAGTTCTTGTGGAGAGATCTGTAATGATTCTTCTCTTGCTAGGATCCTGGACCTTCATAGCAATGCCACAGCAGACCACCTGCACTGAGATTTTGAGATTCCTTGCCTTCAGTTATATCAACAGAAAATTATATTTGTCTAACTCCATTGCTCTGCAATGTAACCTATTTTTATGCTCAAACTCATTGAAACATGAGCTCACAAAAAAGCAATAGCAAAACAAACACTATCATAGTTTCCCATCATAAATCTGTCTGGTTAAAAATAGAGAAGACACTTTTTTTCTTTCTTTTTTTTTTTTTTTTTGAGACAGAATCTCTCTCTGCTGCCCAGGCTGGAGTGCAGTGGGATGATCTCGGCTCATTGAAACCTCCACCTCCAGGTTCAAGCGATACTCCTGCCTCAGGCTCCCGAGTAGCTGGGACTACAAGTGTGCACCACGATGCCCAGGTAATGTTTATATTTTTTGTAGAGATGAGGTTTCATCATGTTGGCCAGGCTGGTCTCCAACTCCTGACCTTAGGTGATCCACCCGCCTTGACCTCCCAAAGTGCTGGAATTACAGGTATAAGCCACCATGCCTGGCTGGCAAGATACTTATTGAAACAATAACTCTTTATGTCATAGAACTGCTTCTATATTTGGACCCGTGTAATAAAAGTCTAGAATGTGTCTTGCTTTTTCCCACTAAAAATGTAAGAGGATGTGCCACAGACCCCTCCTTCCCCCGACTCCAGATTTTGGTCTAGCAATATGTTTAAGGGAGTTAAGTTCAGTGATATAACTTGTATACGTTTTGTGTCCAACAAGCTTTCATTTTAAATCATTTTCAGTACAGTTCATTGTTAGAAGCATTTCTATCATTCAAGTGAATTGCTGTACTTCTGGGATTAGAATGTAGAGAAAACAGCATTAACTTTAAGGACTCAAACTTCTCATGAACTACTTCTTTTTTCTTTTTTTTGAGAGGGTCTTGTAGTAGAGCACATCCAATATTTTGAAAGATTTATGTTTTGGTAGCTGATTTTATTGATCTACTGATCCATCCACCCATCCATCCATTAATCTACAGGCCCTGGACACATAAACATAGTTTCAAGGATGTAATAGTCTATGATAGAGATAGTCAATATAACAAGCAACGGCAGGCACAATCAAAACTCATTTGCAGGCATAAGTGCAGGAAAGCCTAGCGCAGAACAGGGAATCAGAGGAAGCTTTGGGAGGGCAATACATTTGTGTTATTACATGGAAGATGAAAACATTTGTCTCCTAGTGATCTAGCATGGGAATACAGCATGTCAGACTAGAAGAACCAGTATTAAAAAAGGATTCATTTTTTACTTTTTACCCAAAAGTATGTATATGTGTGTGTGTGTGTGTGTGTGTGTGTGTGTGTGTGTGTGTGTGTGTGTTGTGTACCCTCAAAATTTGAGACTGGTCTCAGTTAATTTAGAAAGTTTATTTTGCCAAGGTTGAGGATGCTCACAGGTGACACAGTCTCAGGAGGTCCTGACAACATGTGCCCAAAGTGGTTAGAGCACAGTTTGGTTTTATATATTTTAGGGAGACATGAGACATAAATCAACATATGTAACACGAATGTTGGTTCGGTCTAGAAAGGTGGGACAACTCAAAGCGGGGAGGGGACTTCCAGGTCATAGGTAGGTAAGAGACAAATGATTATATACATTTGAGTTTCTAATTAGCCTCTCCAAAGGAGGCAATCAGATATGCATTTATCTCAGTGAGCAGAGGGGTGACTTTGCGTAGAGTAGGAGGCAGGTTTGCCCTAAGCAGTTCCCAGCTTGACTTTTCCCTTTAGTTTAATGATTTTGGGGCCCCAAGATTTATTTTCCTTTCACAGTATGCATATATTATTAATATATATGTGTATTTTATGTCTGTGTGTGTGTGTGTGCATGTGTGTTTATATACATATATGGAGGGAGAGAGAGAGATTTGTTTTAAGGAACTAGCTAATGTGATTATGAAGGATGGCAAGTCCAAAATCTGTAGCATAAGCCCACAGACTGGAGAGTTGGCATGGAATGTTGATCCCAAAGACAGTCTGGAGGCAGAATTTCCTCTTCATAAGGGATCTCAGCCTGTTTTTTCTTAAGGCCTTTAAGGTAATCTGCTTCCCTCAACGTCTACTGATTTAAATATTAATCTCATCTAAACAATAACTTCATGTAACATCCAGACTGGTGTTTGACCAAATATCTGGGTAATGTGGCCTACTAAAGTTGACACAAAGTTGATAATCACATACCCCCTTACATTAATGAATGGAAACATCTCAAAGAAGGGAAACTGTGAGTATTCATAACATAGATAAAGGCCAAGTTACTGATGATCGAATAAGCCAAAGGCAATTCTCAGAAAATAATTTGTCAGATAACCAATTTGGTAAATTAGCAAAAACAACTATTAAACTATTTTTATAAGTTTACAACATATTATGTGGAATGATTTTTTACAATATTTGTAGACTTCTATGAAGCTTAAAGAATGGTTTTATTTTGTCTTTATAGTAGCATGTTAAGAAATATTATATTGGTTTTAAATAAAGGGGTAGAGAGTAGCTTAGTCTCATAAATATACTGAATATTCAAAGTAGTATGCTCCATAATTAATAAGCAACATTTCAGCAATTCATATAATATACGTATTTATCTTGATTCCTTTCAAATAATATATAGTTGCTGTTTTGTCAACAATTTTATTATTTCAAAATTATTTTCTTCAGTTTTTAAAGAGCGTACCAACCGTACCATACTGTGTTGATCACGATAGCTTCATAATATAGTTTAAAGCCATTTATTGATAACTTCTAGTTAATTGTACCTAAGATTTAATATGTGTTATAGTTTATCTTGTTCCTAAGTGCATGTCTTACACTAGCAGTATTTTAGAATGGTCAACTATTTGCTTCTGTTTTTCCTTCAGAAATTGTACTTGTGTTAACGTGTCACATTTGTTATGATAATCATATTATTTATTTAAAATCTCTTCCTTGCATCCTCACTTTTTTCCTTTTGTTTTGTGTGGCCCCATGCTTTCATGATAATTTTTTTCCACAAAATAAAATTGCTCCTTATTTTAAAATTTCATTACTGATTACAAAATATACTTCTCTGAATGGAAAACATGCTTTTAAAACTTTAAATTGTCTTAGAATCTCTCATTTAAAAAACCTGAACAATTAAAAATATGTGGGTATGTAGAAAGAGGTAACTAAATATAACAAAAACTTTCAAAAGTTAAGAAAACCAAACTGATACAAATATGAACAATTAAAATAGATTTTGAAAGTTGAAAAATGCAGTGAGTTCTGAGATTTAGCCTTTTAGTAAATTCTTTTTTTTTTTTTAGCAATTGTCTTTTGATAAGTGGATTTATAGTTTGTTTAGAACTTATCACGTACTTAAAGCACAAATATTGTTTATTTAATTTTGAAAATTCATGAAGTCTTCAAAAATCTTATAAAGACCTTTAGAATATCTAGATATCCAACTTTTCTGACACCATTTATTGAAGAGACTACCCTTTCCCAATTTTGTATTCCAGGCCTCCTTTTCAAAAACTAGTTGACTGTATGTGTGTGGGTTTATTTCAGGGGTCTCTATTCTGTTCTATTGATATATGTGTCTGCTTTTATGCCAGCACCATACTGTTTTGATTACTATAACTTTGTAATATACTTTAAAGCCAGGAAGTATGATGTCTTCAGCTTCATTCCTCTTTCTTAAAATTGCTTTGGCTATTGCAGGACTTTTGTGAATCCATATGAATTTTAGGATTGCTTTTCTATTTCTGTGAAAAATAACTTTGGAATTTTGATAGGCATTGATTGAATTTGTAAATTGCTTTGAATGGTATGAATATTTTAATGATATTAAGTCTTCCAATACATGAACACAGGATATCTTTCCAGTGATTTATGTCTTCCCCAATTTATTTCATCAGTGTTTTATAGTTTCAGTGTACAGCTCTTTGGACCCCTTGGCTAAATTTATTCCTAAGTACTGTATTTTTCTGATGCTATTGTAAATGGTGTTATTTTCTTAATACCTTTTTCAGATAATTTATTGTGAGTTTGTAAAAACACGACTGATTTTTCACATATGATTTTCTGTCCTGCAAATTTACCGAATATATTTATTAAATACGATAGTTTTTTAGTAGAGTCTTTAGAGTGTTCTATATATAAGATCATGTCATTTGCAAACAGAGACAACTTTCTTTTTAATTTGGATGTATTTTTTTTTGTCTAGTTGCTCTGGCTGTTAATTCCAGCATATGCTGAACAGAAGTGACAAGAGTGGGCATCTTTACCTTGTTTCTGATCTTTGAGGAAAAGTTTTCAGTTTCTAACCATTGAATATGACAGTAGCTTGGGCTTTATTATGTTGAGGTACACTCCTTATATACATAATTTGTTGAGCATTTTTATAATAAAAGAATGTTTAATTTTGTGAAATGCTTCTTCTACATCTATCAAGATGATCATATTCTTTTCATCTTTCATTCTACTAATTTGACATATCACAGTTACTGGTTTGCATTTGCTGAAAGATCCTTTCATCCCAGAGATTAATCACACTTAGTTATGGTGTGTGATCTTTTAAATGAGCTCTAAGATTTTGTTATTTTGTTCAAGGATTTTGTATCTATGTTCAGTAGGGATATTGGCTGTAATTTTTTTTCTTGTACTGTCCTTGCCTGACTTTGTTATCAGGATGATATTGGCCTTGAGAAGTGAGTTTGGAATCTTATCTTCAGTTTTTTTGGAAGAGTTAGAGAAGGATTGGAGCTAAATCTTCTGATGTTTGATAGAATTTACCAGTGAAACTGTATTATCTTTGACGTTTATTTGCTGGGAGTCTTTTGATTATTGATGACCTCTTACTTGTTACTAGTCTATTCAGATTTACTGTTCTTCATAATTCAGTCATGGTAGGTTGTATATTTCTAGGGATTTATCAATTTCTTCAATGTTATCCAACTTGTTGGCGTGTAATTTTTCACAGTAGCCTCTTATGATGGACCTATATCTTACACCATGCATAAAAATCAACTAGAAGTGAATTAAAGTCTTAAATATAAAACCTGAAATCATAAAACTTCTAGAAGAAAATGAATGAAAAACCTTGATATTGGTCTTGGCAATAATTTTTTAGATATGACACCAAAATTCCTCACAACAAATTTTCTTGAACAAATTTTCTTTGAAATAAAAATAAAGATTACATCAAACTAAAAAGCTCCTGCACAGCAAATAAAGCAATCAACAAAATAAAAATACAATCTACAGAATGTTAGAAAATTTTTGAAGCCATGTATCTGGTAAGGGGTTAATATTTAAAATACATAAAGAACTTCTACAACTCAGTTGCCAAAACCTCAAATAACTCAACTTTAAAACTGGGCAAAGGATCTTAATACACATTTCTCAAAAAAAAGAACACCATACAAATGGCTAACAGTTACATGAAAAGATGCTCAACATCATGAATCATTAGGGAAGTGCAAATCAGAAACACAGAAAACTGTCATCTCATACCTATTTGGTTGGCTTATATATATTTTTTAAAAAGATAGCAAGTGTGGATGTGGAGAAAAGGGAATGCTGGTATAGTAATTGTAGGAAGGTACATTGCTGCAGCCATTGTGGAAAATAGTATGGAGTTTCCTCATACAATTAAAAATAGAATTACAACCTACCATGAATGAATTATCACGAAAAGAAAATCTGAATAGACTAAGAACAAGTAAGTAGTCATCAATAGTCCAAAGCCTCTCAGCAAATAAATGTAAAAGACTATGTGGCTTCATTGGTGACTTCTATCAAACCTTAGAAGAACTAGCCCCAATCCCTCTCAAATTCTTCCAAAAAAATTGCAGATAAGATGGATAACCCATCAATGCCACTTAAGGGCATTTATCCCAAGGACTTGAAATCAGAATTTTGAAGAGATACCTACCTACACTCCTGTTTTTATTGCAGCATTCATTATTCACAATAGCTAAGATATGGAAAAAAAATCTAAGTGTCTATTAATGGATGAATGGATATAAAAATATGGTACATACATAAAATTAAATATTATTTGGTCTTAAAATAGAGGGAAATCCTTCCATTTGCAACAATATGGATGAACCTGGAAGACATTATGCTAAGTGAAATAAGCCAGACAAAAAAGGGCAGGTACTGTGTGACCTCACTTATATGTGGAATTAAAAATAAACTCACAGAAGCAGAGAGTAGAATGATGAATGATTACTAGGCACTGGTTGGTGGGGGATGAAATACAGAGGTGGCAGTAAATAGATAAAGTTTCAGTTATGAAAAATAAATAAGTTATGATGATCTACTATATAACATGGTACATATAGTTAACTATATTGTGTACTTAAAACGTTCAGAGAGTAGATCTTATGCTAAATGTTCTTAGCACGAACACATAATAATAATAATAATAATAATAGGGCCAGAGGATACGCTGGGAGGTGATGGATATGTCTATAACCTTGTTGGTGAAGGTTTCACAGGTGTAGGCTCATTTCAAACACATCTGGTTGTATACATCAACTATGTACAGCTTTTTACATGTCAAACATACCTCAATAAAATGTTATTTGTTTGTTTGAGAAAAAGACCTTTGGAGTAAATAATTTGGAAGATGTCAGCGTTGATTGGAAATAGTCAATGTTGGCCACAAACATGCCAAAATTATTTCCGGTAATTTTTAGTAATTTAATTTGTCTTAGTATATTAGTGTAAGAAACCAACTTTGCAAGAAAATGGCCAGTTCTCAAAGGAAGTTGGGGTAGTGTTAAGGACAGAAGACAAGCCTTAGAAGTGAATCATTTCTCAGATCTCCCTATGCCTTCCTCATCTTAGGGATAACATTAAATATTATATTTGTTTCTTATCTTAAGAGATTACATTTCTCTGCTGATTACTATATTCCAATCACTGTTCTAAGCTTTTTATATGTATTCTTTCATTTAATCTCAAATTCCTGAGAGGGATACTATTATGATTCCCCTTTTCAAGATGAAAAAAGGGAGGTAGAGAGGGGTTAGGTAATTACCTGAGAGGTAACACAGCTGTATATGTTGGTGGTGGGATTTCACATGCTCAGAGGGTTATAGAGCTGAGCTCTTAACCTACTACACTCTGCTTGTTTTAGCCAGGACAAAACCACCCCCGCCCCGCCACCTGCCGCCAATTAAATATGTCCACATTCTTATTCCTCCAAAACTATGAATATGTTTACTTCAAATGACAAAAGAGACTTTGTTGATATGATTACATTAAGAATTTTTGATAAGGAGATAATTCTAGATTACGTGGGTGAGCCCAATGAATGACAAGGAGACATGACAAAGGAAGCAGGGATCCAAAGATGCCACTGCTGAAAGTGGGCCACGGGCCAAGGGATTCAGCAGCAGGTCGTCTCTAGACCCTGGGATAGACAAAGAATGCATTCTCCCCTTAGCATCCCCAGAAGGACGCAATCCTGCCAAAACTTTGATTTTTGCTCAGTGAACCCCAGTGGGCCTTCTGACCTCCCGAACAGTAAGAATAAATTTGTGTTGTTTTTAACCCGTTGCATTTGGAGTAATTTGTTATAGCAGCAATAAGAAACTAATACAATTTTTGGAACCCTTTTTTTCTTTCACTCAAATACCAGATAACTACCTTTATTTTTTAATGGCTCACATTTCACATCCCCAAGAGAAACTTGGGCACATTCAGATGCCCAAGAGAAGACATCTGCGTAGTTGTATTAGTTATTTTTTCTTAGGGGTGGAATTATTGTCCAGGCAATCTCAGAAAACTCTATCTGCCCTATACATTTTTGCCTATAAACTGGGCTTTAATTCTGGGCTGTTCATTCAGGTATGGCAGACTCTTACAGGAACACGGGTTCTTTGTGTGTTTAGTGATGAGAGTGGCATGGAAGTCACTTGGAGCTTCATAGCTTTCTTTCTAGGGTACTGTGACTGTTACTGTTTTTCATTTCAAACCAATTATCTATTTAGTGTAACCAAAATCTCTTTGCACCTTGCATCCATTGCTCTTGGTGTGCATGATTAAAAAATTATAGCATGTGTCCTGTGTCATTTGGCAACTGTTACACTTTCTGTACTTCATTAACTTCTATGTAAATAATATTACATAATAACAGGCGATTTTTAATTGTTGTGACAGTTTTGAACTTCATTCTAATGAAATATAATGGATTGTGAAAGGCATTCTCCTTCCTCTTAATCTAGTGGTTGTTATCACAGACTCTGGTGTCAGACTGCCTAGGTTTGAATATTGGCTCCCAAATGGTTGGGAAAGCTTATTGTCCTTGCTTCTCTCAGTTTCCTCAAGTATAAAATATAGATGATAATAGTACCTACCACATAGGATTATGGTGAGAACTAAATATCTTAATGCATTTAAAGTGCTTAGAACAATATCTACCACAGAGTAAGTGCTTAGTAAACATTAGCTGCTATTATTACTAAACATTTTAAAATTAATTCGGATTTAACATTTCTTTGGAAATAAATTGGTCTTGTTGCATTTATTTTCATATATTATAGAGCCTGAATTCAGTATGCTCTTTATAGGTTTAGAACAGAGCTGTTTATTTTTTCTGCTCTAGATATTCTTTGTGAGTATTTGAAAATGCTCCTTGTTATTAATGTTAAAGTTTAGTAAAAAGGCACAAGGATAGATCAGCATTAAGACTTGGAATATATGATGTCCCGTTAGTCCCCACATGGCTGCCATGAAGCCAGTGTTTAGAATCTACAGTTCTATAATCTAAGCAGCAATAATTTATAATGTTGTTTATTTTCCCTTTTGAAATTTAAGTTTTTGAACAATGCATGACTTTAAGGAGAAGTATTTCCTCAGTATTTACAAAGCTGACCAGGTGCAGGCAGATCTTTATTATGACATGTGTTTGCAAGACAAGCATTGTCAACACCACAGCAGGGTCCTTGACATGACTATTATTTTTGCTAGAATTAAAGCTTCCCAATATAGAAATCTCAGGAAACAGCAGCCTTTCCTTCCCCTTTTTAGTACATTATGGTGTAGTATATTTTTAGCAGCAAATCTTTTAGTCAAATATCACACAGAGCCCATTGATTATCTCCAGTGATGGTCCTGAGACATTTCCATGGAGACAGTGGTACTTTCAAGTTTGCTCTTAACTAGAGATGTTAAGAGCTTTGCTGTCTCATAAACTTAGTAAGTTAGTAGCCTTTTCACGTTGGGAAATTCTTATAAATCTTTGCCTGTTTCACCAAATTTAAAATGGGAATGATGACCTGCTTCTATAATTTTATTTGGCCATGATGGGAACAAATAAGATGTTTGCAAAGGAATATTTATGAATAAAATATACTAAACGTAGGTAATATATTGTTTTTATTTTTGTGTTACTTTCTCCATTAAACAGCTCTTAGAAGCATATGGTAAGATGAAAATTTCAGGTAATATATATATTTCCAAGTAAATTTTTTTAAATTAAACTTTTCATTTTGAAATAATTGTGGATTAACATATAGTTGTAAGAAATAATAGAGAGAAATGCCATAAATTCCTTACCCAGTTTCGTAATGAGAACATCTTACAAATCTAGAGTATAATATCGTAATCAAGATATTGAAGTAGATATAGTCAACTTACAACATACTGCTTCTCGACCTGTGGTGGGGTTATGTCCCTATAAGCCTATCATCAATTGAAAATATAGTAAGTCCAAATGCACTTAATACTTTAACCTATGAAACATAGCTTAGCCTAACCTACTTTAAATGTGCCTGGAACACTTAATATTAGCCTATAATTGGGCAAAATCATCTAACACAAAGTGTATTTTATAGGCTATTTTATAGCCTGTTTTATAAAGTTATTATTAAAGAATTTTGAATCAAAATTTAAAGTATGGCTTCTACAGAATGAGTAACACTTTTGCATTGGAAAGTTTAAAAAGTCGTAAATTGAACCATTATAACTCACAGCTATCTGTATAATACATACATAGACAGGATACCACACGTTTCCATCGTCACGAGGTTATCAAGTTGTCCTTTTATAGCCACATCTACTTCTCTCCTACCACACACCCTCTTTAAACCTTAGCAACCACTAATATGGTCTATATTTCTATAATATTTTCATTTTAAGAATGTTATATAGATAGAAGAAAACAATAACTTTTTCATTGTTTACAATGTAATACATTAATTACAATGTAATTAATTTTTTTAACTTAGCGTAATTCTCAGGTGATTCATCCAAGTTGCTGTGTGCATCAATAAATAGTTCATTCCTTTTCTATTGCTGAGTGGCATTTCACGGTATGGTTTTACCACAGTGTGATCACTCAGCTGGTGAAGGATATCTAAGTTGTTTCCTGTTTTGGCTATTATGAATAACTCTGCTATAAACAGTCATGTATAGATTTTTTTTTGGAACATAAGTTTTAATTTTGTGGGATAGATGCCTGGGAGTGCAATTGCTTGATGGTATAGTAGCTGCATGTATAGTTTTTAAAGAAACTGACAAACTTTTCCAGAATAGCTGTACCATTTTATATCCCCCCCAGCAATGCGTGAGTGATCCAACATCTCTGCATCCTCACCAGATTCTTGTGCTGTCACTATTTTTTATTTTAAACAATTATCTATGTGTGTAGTGATATCACATTTTTGTCTTAGCAGTTTCTTTTTAAAAATTAATTAATTTTTTTTTCACTTTAAGTTCTGGGATATATGTGCAGAATGTGCAGGTTTGTTACATAGATATACATGTGCCTTGGTGGTTTGCTGCACCTATTGACCCATCCTCTAAGTTCCCTCCCCTCAACCCCGTCCCCCAACAGGCCCTGGTGTATGTTGTTCCCTTCCCTGTCTCCATGTGTTACCATTGTTCAACTCCCACTTATGAGTGAGAACATGTGGTATTTGGCTTTCTGTTCTTGTGTTTGCTGAGAATGATGGCCTCCAGCTTCATCCATGTCCCTGCAAAGGACATGATCTCATCCCTTTTTATGGCTGCATAGTATTCCAAAGTGTATATATACCACATTTGCTTTATCCAGTCTATCATTGATGGTCATTTGGGTTAGTTCCATGACTTTGCTATTGTAAATAGTGCTGCAATAAACATATGTGTGCATGTGTCTTTATAGCAGAATGATTCATATTCCTTTGGGTATATACCCAGTAATAGGATTGCTGGGTCAAATGGTATTTCTGGCGCCAGATCCTTGAGGAATCGCCATACTGTTTTCCACAATGGTTGAACTAATTTACATTCCCCCCAACAGTGTAAAAGCATTCCTATTTCTCCACAGCCTTGCCAGCATCTATTGTTTCTTCACTTTTTAATAATTGCCATCCTGACTGGTGTGAGATAGATCTCATTGTGGTTTTGATTTGCATTTCTCTGATGACCAGTGATGTTGAGCTTTTATTCATGTTTGTTGGCTGTGTAAATGTCTTCTTTAAAGAAGTGTCTGTTCATATCCTTTGCCCACTTTTTGACAGGGTTGTTTGTTTTTTTCTTGTACATCTGTTTAAGTTCCTTGTAAATTCTGGATATTAGACCTTTGTCAGATGAGTAGATTGCAAAAATATTCTCCCGTGGTGTAGGTTGCCTGTTCACTCTGATGATAGTTTCTTTTGCTGTGCAGAAGAAGCTCTTTAGTTTAATTGATCCCATTTGCCAATTTTGGCTTTTGTTGCATTTGCTTTTGGCATTTACTTATGAAGTCTTTGCCCATGCCTATGTTGTGAATGGTATTGCCTAGGTTTTCTTCTAGAGTTTTTATGGTTTTGGGTTTTACATTTAAGTCTTTAATCATCTTGAGTTAATTTTTGTATAAGGTGTAAGGAAGGGGTCCAGTTTCAGTATTCTGCAAATGGCTAGCCAGTTTTCCCAGCACCATTTATCGAATAAAAGATCCATTCCCCATTGCTTGTTTTTGTCAGGTTTGTCGAAAATCAGTTGGTTGTAGGTGTGTGGTGTCATTTCTGAGGTCTCTGTTCTGTTCCATTGGTCTATATCTCTGTTTTGGTACCAGTACCATGCTGCTTTGGTTTCTGTAGCCTTGTAGTGTAGTTTGAAGTCAGGTAGCATGATGCCTCCAGCTTTGTTCTTTTTGCTTAGGATTGTCTTGGTTATATGGAGTCTTCTTTGATTCCATATGAAATTTAAAGTAGTTTTTTTCTAATTCTCTGAAGAATGTCAATGGTGGTTTGATGGGAATACCATTGAATTTATAAATTACTTTGGGTAGTATGGCCATTTTCATGATATTGATTCTTTCTATCCATGAGGATGGAATGTTTTTCCATTTGTTTGTTTCCTCTCTTATTTCCTTGAGCAGTGGTTTGTAATTCTCCTTGAAGAGGTCCTTCACATCCCTTGTTAGCTGTATTCCTAGGTATTTTATTCTCTTTGTAGCAATTAGGAATAGGAGTTAATTCATGATTTGGCTCTTTGCTTGTCTATTGTTGGTGTAAAGGAATGCTTGTAATTTTTGCAGATTGGTTTTGTATCCTGAGACTGCTGAAGTTGCTTATCAGCTTAAGGAGTTTTTGGGCTGAGATGATGGGGTTTTCTAAATATAGAATCATGTCATCTGCAAACATGGACAATTTGACTTTCTCTCTTCTTATTTGAATACGCTTTATTTCTTTCTCTTGCCTGATTGCCCTGGCCAGAACTTCCAATACTGTGTTGAAAAGGAGTTGAGAGAAGGCATCCTTATCTTGTGCTGGATTTCAAAGGGAATGCTTCCAGCTTTTGCCCATTCAATATGATATTGGCTGTGAGTTTGTCATAAATAGCTCAATATTTTGAGATATGTACCATCAATATCTAGTTTATTGAGAGTTTTTAACATGAAAAGAAGTTGAATTTCATCAAAGAACTTTTCTGCATCTATTGAGATAATCATGTGGTTTTTGTCGTTGGTTCTGTTTATGTGATGGATTACATTTATTGATTTGCATATTATGAACCAGCCTTGCATACCAGGGATGAAGCCAACTTGATCATGGTGGATAAGTTTTTTGATGTGCTGTTGGATTCAGTTTGCCAGTATTTTATTGAGGATTTTCGCATTGATGTTCATCAGATATGTTGGCCTGAAGTTTTTTTGTTGTTGTTGTGTTACTGCCAGGTTTTGGTATCAGGATGATGCTGGCTTCATAAAGTGAATTAGGGAGGAGTCTCTGCTTTTCAGCTGTTTGGAATAGTTTCATAAGGAATGGTCCCAGCTACTCTTTGTACCTCTGGTAGAATTTGGCTGTGGATCTGTCCGGTCCTGGTCTTTTTTTTTGGTTGGTAGGCTATTAATTGCTGCCTCAATTTCGGAACTTATTATTGGTCTATTCAGAGATTCAACTTCTTGGTTTAGTCTTGGGAGTGTCCATGAATTTATCCATTTCTTCTAAATTTTCTCATTTATTTGAATAGAGGTGTTTACATTATTCTCTGATAGTAGTTTGTGTTTCTGTGGGGTCAGTGGTGATATCTCCTTTATCATTTCTTATTGTCTCTGTTTTATTCTTCTCTCTTTCTTCATTAGTCTAGCTAGTGGCCTATCTATTTTGTTAATTTAAAAAAAAAACAGCTCCTGGATTCATTGATTTTTTTTTGGAGGGTTTTCCATGTCTTTATCTTCTTCAGTTCTGCTCTGATCTTAGTGATTGCTTGTCTTCTGCTAGCTTTTGGATTAGTTTGCTCTTGCCTCTCTAGCTCTATTAATTGTGATGTTAGTGTGTTGATTTGAGATCTGTGTAGCTTTCTGATGTAGGCTTTAATGTTATAAATTTCCCTCTTAACACTGCTGTGTCCCAGAGATTCCGGCACATTGTCTCTTTGTTCTCACTGGTTTCAAAGAACTTATTGATTTCTGCCTTAATTTCATTATTTACCCAGGAGTCATGCAGGGCAGGTTGTTCAATTTCCACATAATTGTGTGGTTTGGGTGAGTTTCTTAATCTTGAGTTCTAATTTGATTGCACTGTGGTCTATGATTCTGTTATGATTTCAGTTCTTTTGCATTTTCTGAGGGGTGTTTTACTTCCAATTACGTGGTCCATTTTAGAGTAAGTGCCATGTGGCACTGAAAAGAATGTATATTCTGTTGATTTGGGTTGGAGAGTTCTGTAGATATCTATTATGTCCACTTGATTCAGAGCTGAGTTCAAGTCCTTAATATCCTTGTTAATTTTCTGTCTCGTTGATCTGTCTAATACTGACAGTGGGGTGTTAAGGTCTCCCACTATTATTGTTTGGGAGTCTAAGCCTCTTTGTAGGTCTCTAAGAGCTTGTTTTATGAATCTGGGTGCTCCTGTATTGGGTGCATATATATTTAAGATAGCTCTTGTAGAATTGTTCCCTTTACCATTATGTAATTCCCTTCTTTATCTTTTTTGATCTTTGTTGGTTTAAAGTTTGTTTTGTCAGAAACTAAGATAGCAACCTCTTACTTTGTTTTTGCTTTCCATTTGCTTGGTAAATTTTCCTCCATCCTTTATTTTGAGTCTGATGGGCCTCCCTTTGTAGCTGACCTGGCCTTTCTCTATGGCTGCCCTTAACATTTTTTCTTTCATTTCGACCTGGGAGAATCTGATGATTATGTGTCTTGGGGTTGATCTTCTCATGTAGTATATTAGTAGTTGTCTCTGCATTTCCTGAATTTTCATGTTGGCCTGTTTTGCTAGGTTGGGGAAGTTCTCCTGGATGATATCCTGCAGTGTGTTTTCCAGCTTGTTTCCATTCTCCCTGTCTCCTTCAGGTACTCCAGTCAATCATAGGTTCGGTCTTTTTACATATTTCTTGGAGGCTTTGTTTGTTCCTTTTCATTCTTTTTTCTCTAACCTTATCTTCTGCCTTATTTCAACAAGGTAGTCTTCAACTTTTGATATCCTTTCTTCTGCTTGGTCAGTTCAACTATTGATACTTGTGTATGCATCATGAAGTTCTCCTGCTGTGTTTTTCAGCTTCATCAGGTCATTTATGTTCCTTTCTAAACTGATTATTGTAGTTAGCAGCTCCTCTAGCCTTTTATCGACGTTCTTAGCTTCTTTGCATTGGATTAGAACATGCTCCTTTAGCTCAGCAGTGTTTTTCATTACCCATCTTCTGAAGCCACTTCTGTCAATTCATCCATCTCAGCCTCTGTCCAGTTCTGTAACCTTACTGGAGAGGCAGTGCACTCATTTGGAGGAGAAGAGGTACTCTGGCCTTTTGGGTGTTCAGCGTTTTTTTATTGATTCTCATTTTCATGAGTTTGTCTAGTTTCAATCTCTGAGACTGCTGCCTCTTGGATGGGTTTTTTATGGGGACTTCTTTATTGTTGATGTTGCTGTTGTTGCTTTGTTTGTTTTTCTTTCAATGGTCAGGTTCCTCTTCTGTAGGGCTGCTGTGGTGTGCTGGGTGTTCGCTTCAGGCCCTATTCATCTGGTTTGCTCCCACGCCTGCAGGTGTCACTCAAGGAGGCTGGAGAACAGCAAAGATGGGTGCCTGATACTTCTTCTGGGATTGCTGACCTTGAGGAGCACCAACATGATGCCAGTAGGATCGTTACTGTATAGGGTATCTGACAACCCCTGTTGGAGGGTCTCACTCGGGTTGCATGGGGAGCAGGACCCATTTAATGAAGCACTTTGACTGTCCCTTGGTGGAGGGGCTGTGCTTTGCCTGGGGGGAAACTCACTCATTTGAGCTGCCCAGATTCCTCAGAACTACCAGGAGGAAAAGCTAAGTCTACTGGTCCACAAAGACTGCCGATGTCCCTCCCCTCAGGGGCTCAGGCCCAAGGAGATCCGGATTCTGTCTCTGAGGCTCTGGCTGGAGTTCTTGGAGTTCCTGTAAGGATCCCCCACCCTGTGAGGAAGGATGGGTCAGGGTCAGGCCTGAAGAGGTGCTCTGGCCACAGTCTACCACAGCTGGTGTGGTGGGCTGGGACCAAGCCATCAGCCTCCCTGGCTCCAGCAGGGGAAAAGCACAACCTGGAGCTACAGAGATGGATGCCACCCTTCCCCCGCCCAGGGAGTTTAGCGTGTTAGGTACTTAGGAGTCCCAATGCTGACTGCTGCCCCTCCCCCAGGGAGCTCAAATAGCTTAGACAGCAGGTGGCTGGAGGTGTGGTGCTGGTCACCCCTCCCTTCGGGAACTCAGCAGGCTTAAGCAGATTCTAGCTGAGAAGCTGTTGAGAATCTGCGTGGCTCTGGGGTTGGGATCCTAGGCCCTGGTGGCATGGGTTTGCAAGTGGGATCTTCTGATCCACGGGTTGCACAGTCGTGTGGAAAAAGTACAGTTTCCCTGGCTGGGTAGCATGTTCACTCACAACCTCCCTTGGCTTGCAGGTGGGGCCTCCCCTACCCTACCCTGTGTGGCTCTCAGTTGGGCTGCCACACCACACTGCTCTTGCTTCCTGTCTGTGGATCACGTCAGCCACCTTGTCAGTTCTACTGAGAGAACCCTGATACCTTGGTTGCAGGTGGAGGATTTACACGCTAATTATGGTTCTTTTTGATGGGAGCCTCCGATCATGGGTGCTTCTAGTCAGCCATCCTGGCACCACCCCAGTTAGCAGTTTGTTTGTTTTTGTTGTTGTTGTTTTTATTTTCTTTTTTTTTTTGAGACGGAGTTTCTCTCTTGTCACCCAGGCTGGAGTGCAGTGGCCCGATCCTGGCTCACTGCAACTTCCGCCTCCTGGGTTCAAGAGATTGTCCTGCCTCAGCCTCCCGAGTAGCTGGGACTATAGGCGTGCAGCACCACCAGGCCTGGCTAATTTTTCTCTTTTTAGTAGAGACGGGGTTTCACCATGTTGGCCAGGATGGTCTCTCGATCTCTTAACCTCGTGATCCGTGATCCGCCCACCTCGGCCTTCCAAAGTGCTGGGATTACAGGCGTGAGCCACCGCACCTGGCCCAGTTAGCAGTTTCTTTTAACAGCTGATGATGTTGAACTTTTTAACAAGTGCTTCATTGTCATCTGCTTATCCTCTTCAGTGAAATATCTTTCATATCTTTTTCCCACTTTTCTATTGAATTGCTTCCATTTTTTACTGTTAAGTTTTGAGAGAGCTTTTTATTTTCTAGATACTAGTCCTTTTTCAGATATATAGTTTGTAAATTTTTAACAATCATGTTTTACTAGGCATAGTGGCTCATGCCTATAATTCAAGCACTTTAGAAGGCTAAGGTGGGAAGATTGCTTGAAGCCAGTAATTTGAGACTAGCCTGGGCAACATAGTGAGACCCTGTCTCTACAAAAAATTTTTTAAAAAATGAGCCAGGTATGGTGGTGGGTGCCTGTAGTCTCACTACTTGGGATGCTGGGTGGGAAGGTTGCTTAAGCCTTGGAGGTTGAGATTACAGTGAGCCATGATTGCATCACTGCAGTCTGGCCTGGCTGACAGAAACAGAAAGAGACGTTGTCTCAACTGTGTATGTGTGTATATATACACATATATATATATATATATATAATATATACTTTTTCTGTATATATTTTTCTACATATGTCTATATATATTTTTCTATATATAAATATATATCTCCTATATCTCTATATCTACCTATCTATCTATCATCTATATCTTGTCTTTTCATCCTCTTTCCAAAGTCTTTTGCAGAGTAAAATATTTTAGATTTAAGTCTAATTTATCATATTGTTCTTTTATAGATTTGGCTTTTGATATTTAGTCTGGAACTCTCTGGCCCTACATTCTGAAGATTTTCTTCTTCTTTTCCCCCAGAAAGCTTATGGTTTTATACTTAAGGGCATGATCCATTGTGAATTAGTTTTTTATAGGTTGTGATCCTTAGTTTAAGTTTCTTCCTTTTTTTCTTTTCTGTTTGTTTATTGCCTATGGAGGTATACTTGCTCTAGTACCATTTTTTTTAAAAGCTAATTTTTCTTCATTGGATTCCTTTTGCACTTTTGTCAAAAATCACTTTGACATATTGTGTGCATCTATTTCTGACTTCTCTAGTCTGTTAACCTATGTGTATATCCCTGATATTGAGAAGATGGGTTCTTTTTATTTTATTCTTTTTTCCCTCACCAAATTGTTTTAGCTATTCTAGTTCCCTTTTCTTTCCTTATAGATCTTAGAATAATGTTTTCTATATCTGCAAAAAAGTCTTACTACGATCTTTTTGGTAATGTGTTAAACTTCTATATAAATTTGAGGAGAATAAATATATTTTCTATGTTAAATTTTCCAGTCCGCAAACATAGTATATCTGTCAATTTACTTAAATCATCTTTGATTTTTTCTTCAGCATTTTGTAATTTTTAACGTACAAGTCCTGTGCATGTTTTATTAGATTTATGCCTAAGTATTACATTATTTTTAGAATCATGGGAAATGATATTTTACTAATTTCATTGTACATGGGTTCATTGCTAGTATAACATGATGGTTTATTTTTGTATGTTCATCTTGTATCCTGCAACCTTACTGAACTCATTTATTACTTACCAAAGTTTTGTTGTTGTTAATTCCTTGGGATTTCCTATGTAAATCATCATGTCATATGCAAATAGAGAGTTTATTTCTTTCTTTCAGATATGTGTGCCTTCCATTTCCCTTCTAGTCTTATCAAACTGGCTCATATTTCCAGAGCAGACATTCTTGCCCTTCTTTTCTCTTTTCTTTTCTTTTTTCTTTTCTTTTCTCTTCTCTTCTCTTTTTTTTTCTTTTTGTTCCTTTTATTTTTTTTTTTTTAGACAAGAGTCTTGCTCTGTTGCCCAGTCTGGAGTGTGCAGTGGTGTGATCACTGCAACCTCCGCCTCCTGGGTTCAAATAATTCTCCTGTCTCAGCCTCCTGAGTAGCTGGGACTACAAGCATGTGCCACCACGCCCTGCCAAGTTTTGTATTTTTAGTACAGACAGGGTTTCACCATTTTAGCCAGGTTGGTCTTGAACTCCTCAGGTGATCCACCATCCTCGGCCTCCCAAACTGCTGGGGATTACAGACGTGAGCCACTGTGCCTGGCCTCTTGCCCTTTTCTTGATCTTAGGAGAAAAGTGTTGAGTCTTTAATATTAAGCCTAATATTAACTATAGAGTTCTTAGAGCTGCTCTTTAACTGGTTGAGAAAGTACCCTTCTGGCCCTATTTTTCTGAGAGTTTTTCTGTTTAAATGCTAAATGAGTTTTGAACTTTGTTAAATATTTTTGTGCATAAATTGATATGATCATATGATTTTCCTTTTTTGTCTGTTAATATGGTGGGTTCCATTGATGGATTATCAAATTCTGAACTAGACTTTTATACTTGAAATTAACCTAACTTTGTCATGTGTATAATTCTTTTTACGTATTGCTGAATTATATTTACATATATTTTGTTAAGGATTTTGCATCTATATTCACAAGGATGTGCATCTGCAGTTTTCTGTTTTGCATGGTCTTTGTCTGTTTTTTTGTATCAGGGTAATAGTAGCATCGAATAATAAATTGGGAATGGTTTTCTGTATCCTCATCTATTTTTCTGGAACAAATTGTGTAGAATTGATTTTTTTTAACATTTGCTAGAATTCTACAATGAAACTATCTGAAAATAGTAATTATTTTTTTCTTTAAGAGTTTTTAATTTATGACTTCAGTTTCCTTAATAGTTACAGAAGCTATAGAATGATTTAAATTATCCATTTCTTACTGAATGAGTTGTGTTAGATTTCCTCTATTTTGTTTTATTGATGAATAACTCTGTTTCATCTAAGTTGTCAAATTTATATGTGTGAAATTGTTCTTGGTATTCGATTATTATCTTTTTCATGTCAGTAGAGTCTATGGTGATGTTTTTTGTTTCATTCCTGATAGTAGTGCTTTGCGTTTTCGTTTTCTTAGTCTTGCTGGAGATTTGCCTACTTTATTCATATTTTCAAAGAACCAGCTGTTTTTAGATTGTCTTTACTGTTTTTCAGTTTTATTGATTTCTGATCTTATTTTTATTATTTCATTCCTTTTGCTTACTTTTAGCTTATGTCACTATTCTCAGTTCTTGAAATGGGAGCTTAGATTATTGATTTGAGGCTTTTCCTGAATAATACATGCATTTAATGCTTGTCTTCCCTCTCATCAATGCTTTATCTGTGTCCAACAAATTTTTTTTTTTCTTTTTTTTCTTTTGAGATGGAGTCTTGCTCTGTCACCCAGGCTGGAGTGCAGTGGCGTAATCTTGGCTCACTGCAAGCTCTGCCTCCTGGGTTCACGCCATTCTCCTGCCTCAGCCTCCCGAGTAGCTGGGACTACAGGCACCCGCCACCACGCCTGGCTAATTTTTTTGTATTTTTAGTAGGGACAGGGTTTCACCATGTTAGCCAGGATGGTCTCGATCTCCTGACCTCATGATCCGCCCGCCTCAGCCTCTCAAAATACTGGGATTACAGGCTTGAGCCACCGCGCCTGGCCTGTGTTCAACAAATTTTGATGTGTTATAATTTCAAATTAGTTCAGCTCAGTTTATTTTTAAAATTTCCTTTAAGACTTTTTATTTGAGCCATGTATTATTTAGAAGTGTGTTGTTTAGTTTCCAAGCTTTTGGAAATTCTTCTATTATCTTTTTATTATTGCTTTTAGTTTCATTTCATTGTAATCAGAAGACACAACGTCTGTGATTTTAATTCTTTACATTGGTAGAGGTTTGTTTTATGTCCCAGTATATGGTGTAATTTGGCATATGCTCTGGGGGCACTTGAAAATAATGCGTCTTCTGCTGTTGTTCAGTGAAGTGCTCTATAAATATTCATTAGATTCTGTCAGTTAATGTTGTTATTGAGTTTTATATCCTTTCTGATTCTCTGTCTATTTGTTCTATTAATTGTTGGGACAAGGATGTTGATATCTCCTAATATAAATGTAAATGTTTCCTTTTATTATTTTAGTTTTATTTACTGTTGCTTCACAGCATGTGTTACTTGGTGCATGCCTGTTTTGTACCTGTCTTACTTGGTGCATACTTGTTTAGAATTGTTATTTTTTTTTGTTGGATTGATTCTTTTTTTTTTTTTTTTTTTTTTGAGACAGAGTCTCACTCTGTCACCCAGGCTGGAGTGCAGTGGCACTATCTCAGCTCACTGCAACCTCTGCCTCCCAGGTTCAAGTGATTCTTCTGCCTCAGCCTCCCAAGTAGCTGGGACTACAGGCATGCACCACCATGCCTGGCTAATTTTTGTATTTCTAGTACAGACAGAGTTTCACCATGTTGGCCAGGCTGGTCTTGAACTCCTGATCTCAGGTTATCCACCTGCCTCGGCCTCCCTAAGTGCTGGGATTACAGGCATGAGCCACTGCACTCGGCCTGATTCTTTTATCATTATAAAATATTTTCTTTGCTTTGAAATATACTTTATCTAATGTTAACATAGCCATTCCTCCTTTCAATTAATATCTGCATAATGTATCTTTTTCCATCCCTTTACTTTCAAACTGCTTTATATTGAAGTGAGTTTACTGTAGACAGCATATACTTGGTTATGTTTAATAATTTGTTATGCCAATAGCTGTATTTTAAGACATTTGCATTTAATGTAATTGTTTACAGGGCAATTTTGCTTTTCATTTTCTTTGTTGTCTCTTGGTTTTTATCTGTCTGGTTACTTTTTCCTGCTCTACTGTGAGTTAATTAAATATTTTCTTTAGAATTTTATTTTGATGTATGTATAGCATTTTTGTTTGTCTGTTTGTTTTGTGACAGAGTCTTGCTCTGTTGCCAGGCTGGAGTGCAGTGGTGTGATCTCGGCTCACTGCAACCTCTGCCTCCTGGGTTCAAGCAGTTCTCCTGCCTTGGCCTCCTGAGTAGCTGGACCTACAGGCATGCGCCACCACGCTCAGCTGATTTTTGTATTTTTAGTAGAAACAGGGTTTCACCATGTTGACCAGGATGGTCTCAATCTTTTGACCTCGTGACCTACCTGCCTCGGCCTCCCAAAGTGCTGGGATTATAGGCATGAGCCACCGTGCCTGGCCATATGTATGGTGTTTTTGAGTCTATGTGTAACTGCCCAGTGGGATCACCTTGCTTGCTGCCTAGACAGATCCGATTTATCAAGACAGGGGAATTGCAATGGAGAAGGAGTAACTCATGAAGAGCTGGCTGTGCGAGAGACAGGAATTTTTTTATTATTCAAATCACTCTCCCTGAGCATTCGGGGATCAGAGTTTTTAAAGATAATTTGGAGGGTAGGGGCTTGAGAAGTGGGGAGTGCTGATTGGTCCGGTTGGAGATGGAATCATAGCAGGTCCAAGTGAGGTTTTCTTGCTGTCTTCTGTTCCTGAGTGGGATGGCAGAACTGGTTGGGCCAGATTACCCGTCTGGGAGAGGTGTCAGCTGATCCATCCAGTGCAGGGTCTGCGAGATATCTCAAGCAGTGATCTTAGGTTTTACAATAGTGACGTTATCCCCAAGAGCGATTTGGGGAGGTTCACAATCTTGGAGCAAGAGGCTGCATGACCCCTAAACTGTAATTTCTAATCTTGGAGCTAATGTGTTAGTCCTGCAAAGGCAGACTGGCCCCCAGGCAAGAAAGTGGTCTTTTTGGGAAAGGGCTGTTGTCAATTTTGTTTCAGAGTTAAACTATGAACTGAATTCCTTCCCAAAGTTCAGCCTATGCCCAGGAATGAACAAGGGCAGCTTAAATGTTAGAAGCAAGATGGAGTCGATTAAGTCCGATTTCTTTCACTGTCATAATTTCCTCAGTTATAATTTTGCAAAGGTGGTTTCATATCTCTTTGTGTAACCCTTTTTAGGGTTGTTCTATATATCAGATTATATACGTAGCATATCATAGTCTACTGGTGTTACCATTTTACCCTTTAAATTGATGCACAGAAATCTTACCTCCTTTTTATGTCACTCTATCTTCTTGTACTTATAAATAATTGCCTAATATTTTCTCTATTTACATTTAGAACTGTATTAGACAATGTGATAACTTTTGCTTTAACCATCAAACATAATTTAGAAAACTCAAGAAAAGAAAAATATGTATTGAAATTCAGTATATTTTATATACCCATATTTTTGCTTATGATGTTCTTTCATCCTTTCTGGTGTTCTAAGTTTTCTTCTTTAATTATTCTCTTTCTGTTCAAATAACTTCTTAGCCATTCTTTTAAGGCAGTTCTGCTGGCAAAAAAATTCTTTTCAAAATTCTTTTCATTTTTCCTCATCAAAATAGGAAAAGGTTTTGATTTTCGTCTTAATTCTTGAATAATATTTTCCTGGAGGTAGAATTCTGAGTTGACAGTTCTTTTATTTAAACATTTGAAAAACATTCTGGCATTTCCTTCTGGCACACATTGTTTCCGATGAGAAATCTACTGTCATTTGACATGTTTTTCACTTGCTAGTAAGGTATTGTTTCTCTCTCATTGTTTTCTTTGCCTTTAGTTTTTAGAAGGTTTACTACAATGTGTCCAAGTGTAGATTTCTTTGGGTTTATTCATTTAAGGATTCACTGAGCTTTTTTGAATCAGTAGGTTCATGTCTTTTGCAGACTTTGGGAAATTTCCTACCATTAATTTAGATTACTTTTTTTTTTTTTTTTTGATAGAGAGTCTCACTCTATTGCCCAGGCCGGAGTGCAGTGGCATGATCTTGGCTTACTGCAAACTTCACCTCCCAGGTTCAAGTAATTCTTGTGTCTCAGCCTCCCAGTTATCTGGGATTACAGGCATGCACCACCACAGCCAGATAATTTTTGTATGTTTAGTAGAGACAGGGCTTCAGCATTTTGGCCAGGCTGGTCCCAAACTCCCTACCTCAGGTGATCTGACTGTCTCGGCCTCCCAAAGTGCTGGGATTACAGGTGTAAGCATTTTTAACCCCACTGTCTTTCTCCTTTCCTTCAGGACTCATAACATCAATGTTGTATCATTTGTATAGTCCCATAGATCCCCGAGGCCATGGTTGCACTCTCTGTCTCTCTCTCTCTTAATTTCCATTTATTCTCTGTTGTTTAGGTTAGGAAATTTATATTGTTTCATTTATCAGGTTCAATGATGTTTTCTTCTGTCTCATCTTTTCTGTTGTTGAGCCAATAACGAAAGCTTTTTCATTTTCTATTTTTCCTTTCAGCTATATATTTTCCAGTTTTATAAATTTCATTTGGTTCTTTTTTGATTTTTCTATTTTTTTCTTTATGGTTTCAAGCACAATAGTAATTGTTAAATTATTTTAGTAATGGCCGCTTTAAAATTTTTGTCAGATACTTTTACACTCTGACATCTCAGGGTTGGCATCTTTCAATTATGTTTTTTCATTCAGTTTGAGTTCTTCTTGGTTCTTGGTATGACAAGTAACTTGCAATTTAAATGTGGACATTTTGTAGATTATGTTTTGAGTCTCTGGATTTTACTTAAATCTTTTTGAGCATGTATTCTCTGATGCCATTCTGGTTGGGGAAGACTGGTGTGCTGCCTTTTTATTACCAGATGTGGGCAGAAGTGTAGGCCCCCCATTTGGCCACAATTGACAGTTGAGGTGGGTTCAAACACTCACTGACAACTGCTTGAACACAGGAGTTCTGGCTTTCCGCTAGGCCTCCACTGTTACCTCCCTGGCTGTGATGCGTAGTGTCTTTTTGCTACACCCTCTGTCCACCATGGGAACTATCCACTAGATAGTAGTGGAGGTCCTGACTCTTCACTATGCCTCCCGTGGTACCACCGTAGAAGGAAAAGGGAGGGGCATCTTTGTACTGCTGGGTTGAAATCTGGGCTCTTCACATGGTCTCCACTAACACTGAGGTTGAAAGGGCGTCTCATTACCCTCCCAGCAGGGATGAAAATATCAGCTTTTCACTTGGCCTTATCTGATAACACCTTGATGGTAGCAGGGATGGGAAAGGGGAGTTGGGACTCTTTGTTACAACCCGGCTATGATGAAAGCCTAGACTACCCACTGAGGTTCAGCTGGCCATAATGTTTTCTGTGTTATTTGGCTGTAGTAGAGCAATCATTGTTTAAAAGTTTTCTGGCTTGCTAGGCTGACTGTCCCTTGTCAGTCAGTCTTTTTTTTTCCCCACCGTTCAGAATCTTCTTGTGGTTGTACTATGTACAGTGTTCAGGGTTTTTAATTGTACTTAGCAAGAAAAATTGAGACAAATATTTTGACTACATCTTCCCAGATGGGAAAAATCCACTAGTTTTAAGTACATAGAATGTAGCTGCTTAAAGATGTCTACATTTCTGTGATCAAGATCTTATCATTGTCACCAAAGGTTACAGTGAAGAGCCAATAAACAAACATGGGTGTTTAACAACATCAACAGTATTGATTGAGGATACACAATTCTTTGTTCACAGTAAGCCAAATCAATGCATCCTAGTCCTAGTTGTACTCCAAAATTAAGAACCTGAATTTTTTGAAATCTAAAGTATAAATATAATATTTTTTCTGTATTATTTTTGCATTCTATTATTCATTTAACCAAGGAAGTCTGTAAGGTAACATTGAATTCTGTGTGGTCGAATATGTACAAACCATAGATTGAAAACACAGTTCTATTACTATTCTCATGTCTTACAAGTGATGTTTAAGCATGATACCCTGGGACTCGCCAAAACAAATAAACTATAGTTGTATTATGCTTGTTTAAAATGCAGACTAAACATGAATAGCAAAGGCATAGTAAATAGGATAGGGACCTAGCTCTAAGATAGGGATCTGCAAGAGACTAATGAAGGAACTTGAAGAAACCTGTAAATGTGGGGTGAAAAACTTCCATTTTCAGATGATGACATTTATTTTTTGACTTCTTGTTGAGCTTGTTCCTGACATCACTCCACACGATACAGAGACCATTGGAATCAAATTATACTTTTTGGTAGTGTACCCATTTGAACTATTCAAAGTCACATTTAAAATGACAATTGATTAGGCTAACCCTGATTAAAAGGGCAAGACTAATCTATCAGCAACTAATGCTCAAAACTGAATGCCAGAAATTCATGCTGACCAAGCAATAAATGTCTCATAAATTGTCTAACACCCCCACAACAGTGTCCCCACGTACTTTTCTGGATGATCTACCTGAAGCATACTCCATGGCTCATAAAATGTTGTATAAGAACCCCAAAGTGTTAAAAAATGGAAGAAAGCAAACTATGGCTTAAAATCTGAACAGTGGTTTCTGGGCAGTGTATGCAGAAACTCAGAGCCGGGCATTTTGGTGCTTCACAAAGTAGGATTCTATGGAAAATGGACAGGTGCCACTGCTTGGCATTTGCTGGGGCAAGTATTAACTTTCTACAATATTTCTAGTAAAAAGATGTCTAGATAAAATGTAAAGAAAAGGTTAAAAATCTGACATGTTTTAGTTCCATTTCCTTTTTTAATAATTATACCTTTAATGTACTTTGAGAGAATGGTGTTTCTTTTCCTTTCCAAATTTATTCAAGACCTTCAATTTATATTTAAACCATAAGGTTAAAAAAGAAAAAGTAAAAGAAAAAGGTATGGTTAATTTCTTTCTTCGCCCTTGCAGTACCCTCCCACTTCCTTGCATTTAGTTTATTTTTTACTTACTCATTTTCCCAGCCCATAGCCTTGGGATCCCTCCCTCCTACCTGGAAGAGAAAAGAGAAGAAAGGGCTCTGGTAATTCCATTGGCTTTTTTTCTTTCCCTGTGGGAGACCTGATTGAAAGTACTCTTGACTTCAGTTTGTAAAACTGTTAAAAGAAAGGAAAAGAAAATAAAAGAAGAAAAATTCTCTCCTCTTGTAACACACACAAAAAAAGAGACAAAAAAAAATCAGTGGTGAGAGGGGTGCCCAACTCTTGTATAAAAGTCCTGCTTATGTTATCACATGATGAGCATGGTCTGTGAGTGATGGAATTCCATCGTGGCCCCAGTCTCCCTGCAGCTTCCCTTCAGTGACCACTCATCCTGCGCTGAAGGGAAGGCGTGTCAGCCAGAGAACTGTGTTCACTTGTGTTCTGAGTTTCTTGTTGGCAGACAATAATCTTTTTTTTTTTTTTTTTTTTTTTTTTTTTTTTGGAGACGGAGTCTTGCTCTGTCCCCAGGCTGGAGTGCAGTGCCGCGATCTCGGCTCACTGCAGCCTCCACCTCCCGGGTTCAAGCGATTCTCTTTGAACCCGAGTAGCTGGGACTACATGCGCCCGCCACCATCCCCGGCTAATTTTTGTATTCTTAGTAGAGACGGGGTTTTACCATGTTGGCCAGGATGGTCTCTATTCTTTGACCTTGTGATCCGCCCGCCTCATCCTCCCAAAGTGCTGGGATTACAGGCGTGAGCCACCGCGCCCGGTCGACAAGAATCTTTAGACTAAAACTTGGCACTTTTTCCTATAGCCATTTCTGATGACGTGCTAAGTCATTAGAGAGCAGGCTAGCACAGAACGTCTACTTGAAAGTGTCAAAGCTTATCTGTTCTCACCCTCCATCTGAATGTAGGAGCGTTCCTGGAGTCTGTTCCAACTGCTCAGCGCACCAGCCCCCATGTAACCCCCAGACAGGAAATGGTGGGAAGTGTTTTAACTGCCTTTTATTGTAGAAGTTTTTAAAAAATTGTTTTAGAATGTACAATCAGGTGTACTCTCAAGAATGTGTTAATGTATTTTCAAAGCAGGAAGGACAATCGCTGCCATGATAACTTTGTAATGGGCAATTTAGCTAGGCTGAGCTACAGTTACAAACTACCCAGTAAAACAGGAGTCTAGTTGCTGCTGTGAAGAGATTTTGCAGATTTCAGTGAAGTCCCTAAATTAATCTAAAGGGAGATCATCCAAGCAAGTGAGCCTTCTCAGGCAGCTTCAGGCCTTTCCTGATCTCATGGTCCTTGGGCTTCAGCCTGCTGTTTCCTTCTTTTCTGATCACCTTTGGCCTTAAAGCCTCAGCTGGGTCTTACAGGGTTCCGGCCTGCTTTTGATCTTTCCTTCCTGAGCACACACCTGACTGATTTTGGACACAAAAATCAATCGTGTAAAGCAAATTACTTGTAGTAGGTCCTTTAATATATACTACTTCTTGAGTCTGCTTCTTTAGTTGAACTCTGACTGAATTATAAAGAAGCATTTGTCGTTTATATGCTATGAGTAAACTGAAATCATGCATCTGAGCACTGTGGTATCATGGATTGTTTTCTGGCCTCTGAGAGCTTTCTTTCTTGACCATCTGAAGAACTAGATACTGTCAAGAAAGTAGTTGAAACAACTCTTGTATATTTTGATTTTAGTTCCCCCATAACGAGATTGTTTTTTCTGGGTCTCATGATTTATAAAACATTTTGCATCTTTGCATCTTTTGCATACAAATGTGAGAATTAATGGAGGTGAGAGGTGGCATACACATTGTGTTATTGTCCTGGCACACAGTCTCAATAATGAAAATCAATGTCAGCTTCCTTAGTTTTAGGAGTAGGAGAAACAGGTTTCTGGAGACTCCTAGAAGCATTTCTAGATCCATCTCTTCATTAGCAGAAAATTAACAGTTGACTTTCTTTCCCTCACACTCAAACAAATGTGTCACACTTGCAATAAATGACATTCTGTCAGAATTGTCCGTAGCTTCTTCCCCATGCTATCGAAACAAAACATCATTTGTTCCTGTGGTTTCTTTGAGACGATCTCATTGCTTTATATTTATTCCAACAGTAGCCTCTGCCTGCCTGTCACCCTCCTCACTATTCTCAGTATCAGTGACAATGAAGGCACCATCTTTCTGCAGCTAATGAGAGTACTGCTGTAGCCACTGGCATTGGGACCCTGGAGTTTGCCTTTGCTGGCCAGAGGTCTGGCTCTCTGAGAGTGTCTGGCTGTAGGTAGACCCTTCATTAAGCCTGGGCTGTCTGATTCTTACCAGAACCAGGAACCCAGAAACATATATTTCATTTCCACACCCTCAGAGAAGACTAGCAGCCTTAATGTGTCTAAATCAAAAAGCTGCATCCCACTGTGAATGGGCAGAGGTACTGAGTAGCCACTGCTGCCTTGTTTTGACGCTCCTGCGCCATGCCTGTGTGCTTGCAGCATGCTGGGTCCTTCCCCCCCCTCGCAGCCCTCCTTTCCCATCACTGGGGAAGAACAGGCATTTTGAAATGCTGCATTTTCTTTCTGGTCTCCTTAATAGAAACAATAAAAAAATAAAAAAAGAACAGATCGATATAAAGTAAGCCAACCTAAATTACTTTGCTATTAGAAAACTTAGAATTCTGCATTTTAGAAATCTTGCAAAATACTACCTAAAAACAAATATTGGAATAAATTTGGGCTCACAGACACTTTTCACTTGGTCAGCTACTAAGGCACATAACTGCTTCCTATTTGAAGTACATGGTTTATGCCTTGAAGGACTATAATATTTCAACCTCTGCAGCCAAGAGTGGAGGAGGTAATCAGGTTCAAAACTCGTTTGATTTGGGGGCATTCAAGTCATTCGTATGAATTGACTGAGACTTGGAGGCACAAAACAAGCGACTGGGTGACGAAGGAACTGATGAACAAAACAATAAACCAAAAATGAGTGTTGACAATAAATAAATGAATCCAGAGCCAGGATTGGAATGGCTTGTTGTTTGTAGGGAAAGCTGAAGCATACATCCATGTGGCATCATTTTTATTATCATTGGCCTCCATCTCTCTTCCTAGACAACTATATATGTCCACATAGATTAAAACAAAAGTGACACAAGATAGTTCACAGTTTCTGTATCACATAAGAAGAGCTGTGATTCTTTTCCTGAATGAACTCTGTGCTGTAAGTGAATTTTCAATAAGAGAAAAATGCCTTTGGGTAAATGAACAGGTAGAGAGCAAGAAAAACGCTTTGCATAAAACTTTAGAAATACCACTTCATCATTGTGTGACTATTTGCTTGTGGAAGTGCATTTTTATTTAAAAGCACAATGATTTATTCATATATATTCTTTTTAAAGTTTGCATACATGTTTTTGTCTGTGTCACTGAATTTCTCTAGGATTTGTCTTCTTTCAGGTTTATCTTGACCTACCTTAGTCTATTTTATTTGCTAGCATTTGGGAACCACTAGATTGTTTTACTTCACTTAAAATTTATCTGGTGTTTTATGTTAGTGTTGGCCAATGTGAAACAAATGCAGAGGAGAAAGGTTATGAGGGTGATTCATTCATTTATTTATTTGTTCAATACATATTTATATTGTATGCCAGGCACTGTGCTATGGGCTGGAGCAGTGGCAGTGATCATGGCAGATTGCAGGACTGTTATCTTTGAGTCTGAAATTCACTTGAAAGTTTAGAAAAGGATAGATCTAGTTAAAAATTTGGATTTATTCTCTTAGCTTAAAACAAATGATGATCAGCAGGGAACATTATCATCTTTACCACATAGGACAATTCTAAAAGGAGCACTTTAAATACATTATAGCACTAAATGTGCCCCTGTTTTGAATTGTAAGAGGAGATGTGAATTCTAAAATGTCATTAGCATTCAAAAAGCCTAAGAAGTAATATTATAAATGTTTGTTTTGTAGATAAATTACTAGGCAGGAAACATAAAAAATAAAAACATGTTTACTATCAATCACATGTATACTTTCATAATTTGGGTGTTGAGAAAAATTCTAATGTACTTTACGTTGGCTGTTATTAAAGTTTTGTAAATTTATTAGTATGGAGGATACATTAATCTCTGATACGACCAGTTTTTTTTTTTTAATAAGATCTGGCATTCTAATTCTATTAGAACTTAGCTTAAACAGGGTCCACAAAAAAATTTCTTCCTCCTGACAAACAAAACAAGTGATGGAGCGGACTGTACTCTTACCAATTCAGAGGAGACACAGATAATCAGCACATTTACAATCACCTGGTAGCAAGGCTGAAATTATCCATATTCCTATTAAGCTAAAATGTAATGAGACGTGGTAGATAACTTCACGGTCACACTCCCACAGTCACCACAGAGAAAATGATACCTCTTGCTAAAATAATGAGGAGAACAGAATAGACTCTTTTCCACAAGCTATATCTTTTTTTTAAAAAAATTTATTTGCTTTCACATACTGAGAAGAGACAGAGAATGACTTGCTTTGTTTCAGTTTGCTACTGCAGCTGCTTCCAAGCAATACAAATACACACTGCCTCTCTCCTACTCAAATCTCTTAGAGTTTCTGGAAAAATTCTAGGACATGTAAAATGGTTTTTATTCTGCCCTCTTCAATTTCTTCTGTCTTTCATGTCTGCACAGATGCAGTGGTTAACCAATCAAGCAAGCACATTAAAAAACAAAATAAAAGAAAACAAAACTAGTTGAATTCAAATGACACATTACTTTGAAAATAAGTTAACAAATGGATAAAAATTATATATTTGCTTTTTAAATTTAGTCTTTTGAGCAAATTTTTAATCATTTGTATGAAAAATAATTATATGTATTAGAACACAAATTGAGCATGAAGAGTGTCAGAAAACTCTAAGAAATACCTAAAAACAATGATTTTCTGGGAGCTAAGAAATTAAATATGTTTAGGAAAGCGGAGAAAGAAAAAAATGAAGGAATTCCATTGAATATTTTAAAAATGTATCTTTTCAGTATACTATATCTTGAAATATTTTTGACCTTTTCTCTCATTTTGAATTTGAAGATAAGAAGGCAGCGTGAAATTTGGAGCAGAACCATAGCAATGATATTGACATTTACTGTTACACTTCTTCAAAGTCAAGAGTGTTAGCCAGCTAAGGCTGAGATGCTTTTAATACCCATTCTGGAGATTTTCTGATTGTATCTTCCAATTTGCATGGGGCCTGTGTTATGGACTAAATGTTTGTGTCTCCCTAAAATTTGTATGTTAAAGCCCTAACACCTAATGTGACTGTATTTAAAGATAGGGTGTATGAGGAGACAACAGGATTAAATGAAGTCAGAAGGGTGGGGCCCTAATCTGATAGGACTGGTGTCCTTACAAGAGGAAGAGACACCAGAAATCTCTATAGGCACAGAGACAGTGGCTATCACTAAACCAAGAAGAGAGGCCTCAGGAGAAACCAATCATGCTAACACCTTGATCTCAAGCTTCCAGCTTCCAGAACTATGAGGAAATAAATTCCTGTTGACTAAGCTACCCAGCCTGTGGTATTTTGTTATAGCATTACCTACGGTAGTAACACCAATGAAGATTTTGCTACAGGTGGCACATTCTTGTAGAGAAAAGCTTCCTTCATTGCAGTGGGACCAAGTACTAGTCACATCTTAAACTTGTAATCTCACATGAACCATTGCAACAATAAGATATTCTAGAAGGTCAAATAAATGAGTGGCTATAAAATGCTACAGTTGTCATCTAGGCTAACTGCTGTCAAAATCACTCCCTTTCTATCACTTCTAAATCAAACAGAAAATAATATTTTTCTAAGTAAGAACAATGTAAATATGATCACATTTTAGACAACTTTTATATATTATTATTGAGAATCCCTCAAAATATTAACGCACATGCAAAAATAAAAGTAAAAACAAATTGTTATTTACATTTTAAGCATCTGTAGTTTCATTTATAAAGTTTGAGGGTTCCAGAGAGTTTTACAACAAATTGATTCTTCTTTTGAATATAGAAATTACGACTTGCTATGTCTAGGTAAAGTCCACTTCTAAATTTTTTCTTTTTCTATTATGTTACGAAAGTATAGGTAAATACATGATTTTAAAATTGTTATTAAAAAATAAGTTTATTAGTAAAAAAATGACCATTTTTAAAAGGACACTGTTAGAAGTTTGATATACTTTATAGAATATATATATCTCACAAATATATGCACACATATATGATACATTTATACAAATAATTTTTTAAAATATGATCTTATTACATTAAAAAAGCATCACGCTTTTTCACTTTATATTATATCCTGAATATATTTTCATGTCAGTAGATATAGATGTTCCCCAAATTTGTAAAGGGCTGCATAGTATTTCATTATACATAATAACCAAAAATGTATTTAACCTTTCCTCTTTTGATACACAATTGAGTTGCATCAAATTATTAACATTATTGGCTGAAAATATTTAATAAAATTATACTATAATAGCCTAACATTGACATTATCAATCATTTAAGATTTTACTAATCCAATCAATACAATTTTTACTGTTATTTTTTAAACTGGAAATTTAAAACTGTACCTTAGCCATTGAAAACAAACATGCTGAAGTCAGACCAAACTGTGACTCTTTCATGCTTTTGCTGTAAGAAGTTGGTAAAAATACTATAATTTTAAAAATCTCATTGATCTTATCTGTAAAGTGGAGATAATAATACCTATGATGTTGCAATAATTAAATGAGTTTATGCGGTGGCCGGGTGCGGTGGCTCACGCCTGTAATCCCAGAACTTTGGGAGGCCGAGGTAGGCAGATCACAAGGTCAGGAGATTGAGACCATCCTGGCTAACACACTGAAACCCTGTCTCTACTAAAAATACAAAAAATTAGCTGGGCGTGGTGGCGGGCACCTGTAGTCCCAGCTACTCGGGAGGCTGAGGCAGGAGAATGGCGTGAACCCGGGAGGCAGAGCTTGCTCAGTGAGCCGGGATCACGCCACTGCACTCCAGCCTGGGCAACAGAGCGAGACTCCATCTTAAAAAAAAAAAAATGAGTTTATGCAGAAAATATGCTTAGTACAATGTGAGACACTAATACACTTGAAATATAAATTTAAACCAAACAGCAGTAGGAATGGTAATAACAGTAGTTTTATGTCCCTCTTTCATTATTGGACTAATCTTCTTTACTTGTTTTAGGGGCTACTTTTTGGTAAAGTTCTTGTCCACATCCTTCACTCCTATGCTGTTATTGAGCATAAGTGTTTTCTTACTGATTTAAGGTGTTGCTGTGGAGAAGAAATAAGGCTTTTTGTAGGGTGTGCAGGTATCTTTTCGTTTCTTATTGTCATCATAGGTTTTCTGGCCTCTCGGGACACTTTTCTCTCTGTAGAGTCCAACGTAGGAGTTTCTTAGTGCAGAAAACCTATGAAGAGAGTCTGTCTCCTAACTGAATCTTAGAAAGCCAGTCATCTTGTGTGGGTGTGGCTTTGGTCAAGCCAGTGTGGCTGATTCCAGTTGCCTCTACTTGCAATTGCCTAGCTTTGACCCACTGCTTTCTCAGCTCTCGCTACTTCTAATCTCATGCCATTGCTGTAACTCATTGTGGTTTTCTATGTCTTCCAGGGTTGTTCTGGATTTAATTTAACTTCTGTTTCTTTTGTTTTGTTTTGAGACAGAGTCTCGTTCTGTCTCCCAGGATGGAGTGCAGTGGCACAATCTCGGCTCACTGCAACCTCTGCCTCCTGGGTTCAAGCAACTCTCCTGTCTCAGCCTCCTGAGTAGCTGGGACTACACGCACATGCCATCATGCTCAGCTAATTTTTGTATTTTTAGTATAAATGGGACTTCACCATATTGGTCAGGCTACTCTGGAACTCCTGACTTCGAGTGATCCACCTGCCTCAGCCTCCCAAAGTGCTGGGATTACAAGCATGAGCCACTGCTCCCAGCTGGATTTAATTTAACTTTTATAAATAGCCTTATCATCAAAGGAATTTTTAAAAAAGAGAATGTTAAAAGCAGTATTTAAATAAGCAATATTTAACTGAAAAAAATATTTATTTAAAGAAAAACAACTATAACAACAGCAACAACAACAACAACATAATTTCTAAACCTTTTAGGGCCATGGCCCGAGGTGTTGACAAATACATCCATGAATGCTCCAAGGCGAGGAGGGATGATTCGAATAAAGTCCAAGCATATTCAGAGGAAATCAGGACTGAGAGTCTTCATGGCCAATGCTCAAATTTGAGGCTGAGGTAATGATTTTTAGGTGAGTAACCAAAAATAATCTAAGGGATGGATATTTTGAGATGTCTGGAAAAATAGACCAGGTGTGGGAAACTGGAAAAGTAGCAGCTCTGCAGTTTACTCTCCTTCTTCCTGCCTCTTCTGTGCCACCCAGTCTGGACTGGTCCTGGGGAACAAGGGCTGGTATATGGCAGTAGCTACCTGAGGAATAGGAGGAGGAGGTCTGAAAGGGCAGAGAGAAAATGGGGAGTTCCCGTGGCCACCTGCTTAGATCAACCAGCTTCTTGTGAATTTGAAGGTATTTAAGTAAAAAGGAAACATGATAATTAACCCCTAAATAATAACTGCGAGTATATGCCTCCATTCTTGAGGAAGGCATAGATTATTGAATGAGCTGCACAGATTATTCATTGAGCTGCAGTGATTCAGTTTACAATATCAGTCATTTGAACAACACATTTACACTTCTATTTTCATGAATCATTTACATGAATCATGAGTAAGAATATAATGTAGTTTACCATCAACGTCTTCTGAATTTGGAAATCCTTGTCCTTTAATGGTGCATCTTATTATTTTGACATATCAAAAATACATGGAGTTGAGTTAAAGAATAGTGTTTTGATCATTTTACATTTCCTTGTATGCCTAATAAATTGTCTATGGAAACAAGTCTGACTGAAAGAGGTCCTTCAGTAATAGAAAATGTGTATGATAACCAAATACATCTCTTAAGGTGAGATGCATAGCTTTCTCTTCTGTGCTCTGCCTGAAGGTTAGTGGGCATTCAATAAGCATTAAATGAGTAAGAAAAGGGAGAGAGAGAAAGAAGAAAAATAAGGGTTATGAAAAAGAGAAAGAAGACACAGACTAAGTAGTGGTTGATATAATTATGTTACTTTTCACATTTTACAAAGCACTTCCCTGTACATTACCAGAAGAATATAAAGACTTTGGAAAACCATATTATTTTGTGATGTGTTTGGTTTTATTTAGCCTAACTTGGTTTTTACTCTCATGCTTAGTTTAACTTATAGATTCAGTTTTTGGTACTTTAAAAAGATACATAGTATCTTATAGCTTAAAGCAAAGTATTACTTGATTTAGATTAGTAGGATTTTTAAATTTTGTGATTGAATCTGTTTAAGGAGAAACAAGAAGTGTGATGATTTAATTCCATCAGAAAATGTCATTTATCTTATTTATGGATATGTGAATCTAGTTAAAGAATAGCAAACATACAGCAGCATTGTTTGCCATTTAATGTTGCTTTCTTTGTTTCCTCTAAAATATAGTTCAACTTGAACATGGTACTATATTTATTTGTTTATTCATCAGTTTTTGTTTGCTTAGACAGAGTAAATGGATATAAACAAACATTTGCATGGCTTCTTTTTCAGATTTTTCTTTCTGCCTAATTCCCAGCTCTTTCTGGTCTGACTATAGTCCTGAATATAAAGTATACCAATTACTGCAAAGCTCCACAGATATAGGCACTTTATATTCTTTATTGGTAATGAAATTCCATAAAACATATATAGTTTCTAGAAGTTAAGAAAAATAGAGTGTTTATCATGTGAAAGATAGTAATGGGGACTGACCATTCCAATATGTGCATTGTTCACAAGACGAGTCAGTGATTTTTGATGTTGATAAATGTTACCCTTGGTTTTATTTTTACTCAGAATAAAATTATATGAAATAACATAGATAATGTTTGTAAATTTACAAGCATCTTGGGCAAAACTTTTTTGGAAAATTGAACTTCCCTTTCTAAAATATTCACATTATTTCCCTAAAATCTGAGATGTGTTGGATTTAGTTGAAGTACTTTTGTGCACATTTCAGAATAGTTGCATGTTTCTATTTTTTTCATGATAAAAAATGAAGGGTCTAAGGCATTCATTTTACTGAGTATAAGATAACTTATGCACATTTAAGGTATTTAATTTGTTTTAACTTGTGTAACAAGAGAAAAATAGCCTCTTTTGCTACCTATGGGTTAAACAATACATAGCTTCACCTGCATCTACTACACTGCAAAATTTCATGAGTATCTACCCTTCTTATAATACAGAAAATATAAAATATTGATTGATTTCAGTGGAGGAAATAAGAAATATAATTAGATTTTTGTGTTATCATACTAGCTCAAAGGTGCATTAAGCCCCTTATGAAGTTTAAACTTTCCCATGAGTTTATTATTTTGATTTCTATTTTACAGATGTCAAATATAATATCTGTAATATAAAACTCTGAGAGATTAATTAGCTAGCCTAAAATCACGCAACTAGAAAGTAGGTGAATCAACATTTGCATTCAGATGTATCTGAAACTAATGTCTCTGGTATTGCTGCTATATTATACTCTCTCTCTTTTTTCTTTACTTTTTTGTCATTTATCAGCATGATGACATATATTCTAAATATGTTATTTGCATTATTAAATAATATTCCTAAAGGAATGAAAGGGAAAATGAGAAGGAAAGAAGGAGAGAGCGAGAGAGAGAGAGATAATAGACTGTAGGTTTTTTTTTTTTTTTTTTTTTCTTTCAAAAGGTAAAACCAGGACTGCAGTTGACTTTTATTTTTTCTTTGCTTTGGGCTAATTTCTTCAGTCACTTTGAGTAAGATTTACTGTCCACATATTTCTAAAGCCACTAAAATGCCCTTTCTCCTAGTATATATAAAAAAAATGCCTTTGGTGATGCTTAAATGGACTTAGGGAATAGAAAGAAGCTCGCTTGTAACCATCTTTTCTGAAGTTTGTATATGAATACCCAGTGACCCTCTCTGAAGCTTCTCAATGCCTTTGCAGAAAGTTCCTCTTTTTCTCTGAGGCAATATTCCATCAAGTTCTTACATTATCTATTCCAAAATTTCCTTTTCATTCTTTTCTTGTTTTTCTCATTTATTTTTGTATGGATAAGAACTATAACATGAAAAGAGTTTCCCTTATACATTACCAATTTAGATTCATGTACAAATCCACCCGACAGTGTTTTAGAACGTTTAATTAAAATGGCCGTATATGTGCTAGTCCTTAATATAAAGCCATGCTTATCTAACTATCATTGCTTATCCAGACCGCAGAGATCTTGTCCTGTGGATGTAGTTTTTCAAGACAATTTCAACCGTAGTGATTTCAGTTCTCTCTGAATTTCAGTGGTATGAACTACACCCTAAGTATTCACTTAGGGTGTCTTCTCTACTTCCTTGAATTATTATTTATACTCTGACTATTAATACTTATCTCCTAAATGAAGGTAAAAGCTGCCATTTAGTGCTTTCTTATGCTCTCCTGACCCATCCCACCTCCAAGCCTAACCCTGCACCTAGAAATGAGTATGCAATTAGCAAATATTTTCTTTAGTATTTTTTCCTCAATCCATACTTGAAGAGTGATAATGATGTCAGAAGATAACAGTCTGTTCAGCAATTCCTTAATGATAGTGCATTGAAAACATTATTAGGTTTAGAATAGTGTGACTCAGTAGAAAAGTGTTAATTAAAGAATCCTAAGGATCTTCACTGTACTAGTCTCAACTTAACAGTCAACTCAGTCTGTGTCTTTGGTTATGTCATGTAACCTCCCTGGAGCTTTTCCTAATATTTAAAAAGAGAATGTGGAGATGGATATTCTTTAGTTTCCTTTCTGGCACTAACCTTCTAAAAAAATCTTATTCTATTCCTTTGTCTCTAGATAGTGTAAATGTGGTTGCTGTCAATATGTAGACAACATATATTGCTCTTTCCATACTGTATGGATTTTCACACGGGGTCAGACAGGTTGTGACAAGGCAACTCTGCATCTCTGGCTATTGTTGACAGGGGGATTGGGCTGTAAAGTTAATGTTTTCTTAGAGTTTCTTAGAAGGATGTTAAGGAGCAGCTGGTGTGCTTAGCCATTCTCAACTAGTCTGAGCCACCAGATACTACTTCACAGCTCTCACTGACAGATAGAACAGGCAATAAGAAAGATAGAAGGATTAGGAGAAAACTAATGTAGAGGAAACATTAAAAGGATCATGTTGCCTAAACTGTGGGGCTGGATTTTTCTATCCCGTTTTTCATCACAGAGGTTAGCTCTCCCCTGGTTACTATGTTCAAGTCAGTGGTAAGGGACTCAGACATAACGATAACTTTCTGTATATTCTGTTTTTCTTGACTCTTCTGAACAGGCCTATTTCAACCTCATGCATTGAAATGGGAGAGTGGAGTTAAGGAATTAGGAAGAAGCGAAGAAAAATCTGGGAATTTCCTATTTTAGCTGGAGTTTATAGAGCACCAGCACCTCTGGTAGATGCAGCCGTCCCTGTGATAGATGAGAAGGTTATGGGAGGGGTACAGGTGGTGGAGTGGCGGAATCAGATGGGAGATGATAGCAAAGAATCCACTGGCTTCCCAGGGCTCATACATTCTCCTTGTGCCCAACAGAAGTTCTTGGGAGTATTAACCAGCAGCCATGAATGAACCCTAGAAAAGTGAGATGTTTCTGGAGTGATTTGTGGGAATATGAAGCGAGATAAGGGAAATAAGCAGGGATGAGCTTACATGTGAATGAAGAGAAAATATATCAGATAACTCTGTAGTAACCATACGCTGCGTTCTTGCAGGCTGCCTATGTGGAGAAGCCATACCATAAACTCAATAGATGCTTGCCGGCATCATGGATTTATTCTGGGTGACTAACCAAGGCTTGCTAACATGTATAGGTTAACTCTGACTAATCTTCTCTATAACTTAGCTAACTCTAAGCACATAAGTGTATTCTTGGGATGAAGAAATGGTGGAGTATGGTGATGCATTCCCTTAGATGGATTTGCTAAATCATGCTGTGACTAGGACACAAGACTTGAATTTTCCAAGATGTCAATGTCTTGGCCTAAAAATTTAGAGTATGTTTTCTGACATCCAAAGAAATGAAGGTTAAAAATGAAGAAAAATACTCAGGTATCAAGTAAAATTTTATCTTGCTCTAGTTCTATTTTACTTTTGTAATTAATGACTAATTTATACTGTTAAAATGTTATAGTAATGAGTCTCAGTCACTGCAATGTCTTTCTTAAATGAAATATTATTTATAAAAATGTTCTACAAACTATGATGATGTACAAATTCTACTTTCAGTGTTACTTGTGATTTAGGGTCTATATTGCTTAGCAAAAAGGATTGGATGCACAGGAGACATAATTGTATCCACAATATCTAAAATATCATGTCAATATATGCATAATTTACTGGCAGATTGAACAGGCAATGAGAAAGATGGAAAGATAATGTATATTTAAAAGGATGAAGGTAAATATTATTTTAATAAAGATGATATTTAAGAGACAAAGCCCTTAAAGATTAATTCAATAGATTGTCTTAACACCCTATTCCATAAAGTTTCACTATAGGAAGCAGATATCTGGGGACATAGTTTAGTCTAAAGTTGTCTGGAACAGCAGGGCAATCCCTTAGCTTATTCCAACTCTCTCTACAATTGCTTAAGCTATTTTCTCTCTCCAGAAAGTGGAGATGTGGTAAGAATGGTAATGTAATAATGAACACCTGGGGACTTCTGAAGCTTCTAATGGACTTGAACAGGTTACTTGAGAGTCACTTCAAAGTGTGAGGAATTCTGTTGGCTGCCTAGAATTTTTATTTCCCTGAAAACTGTGTTTTTATCTAAAAATGAATGCAATTCATATAATGCAGATGAAAATATCCAGTACCAAACTAAGATACTAAATCTAGAAAACATAATACCTTCTCTTGTTTTTTCTACTTCTTACCTTTTTTCTATTTACCTTTCCTTTTCCCTCCCAGCTTCTCTTCATTTTTATTATTATTTTCCTGTATTCATAGCCTTTATTCTCAGAATTCCTATGAGGTAGAAAATTATCCTGATTTGTGCATTTTGCCCTATTTCTCATAGGCTCCAAATAATAAATTGAATTGAGAATGAGGACCTAAGACCTTGAAAATGGCATATCCTTTGTTATTGTCTTGGTGTCTTTAGTCATATACATATTATCTTAGTATTGTTTTTAACCCAAATAAAGAACACATAACCTAAAATAGGTAGAGTATTTTATAAAGATTAACATTCTTTTGTAAAGAAATTCTCTTCCATTTTTCTTAAAGAGTAAAATTATTTAGTAATTATTCATGCTTATTCTTTATTAAATGTAATATAAATGAAGCAGAATTACATCAATAAAATGTATTTTCCCTTATGTGGTATAGATAATTATGACAAGATCTGATTTTTAAAGTTAAAGTCCATTTTATTATTCAGAAGTTTCCCACTGTTCAACTTCACATCAGATTCTGTAGCAGCGGGAGGCAATTTGGCTGTTGGCTCTTTGAATTTACATCGTTAAGCCAAAAGAGAAATACATGTCATTTTTCATTTATTACATTTACTTCTAATAGTTTTTATCTAAAAAATATCCATTAATGCATATTAATTACATGACCAGAATTAAGCCAAGTATTTCAAAAGATTCAAAGAACCAAATAATCGCATCCTTGGCACAAATAGATTCATATTCAAGTTGGGGACATACACTTGCATACATGCCATCATTAAGAAGTTAACAAATTGTAATAAAAATGTCATACATATTAAAGTTTCTCAGTTACTTGTGAGGTCAAGATGATTTGTAATGCACATGTATTAGTTCATTTTCACACTGCTATAAAGAACTACCTGAGACTGGGTAATTTATAAACAAAAGAGGTTTAATTGACTCACAGTTCCCCATGTCTGGGGCAGCCTCAGGAAACTTACAATCATGGCAGAAGGTGAAGGGGAAGCAGGCACCTTCTTCACAAGGTGGCAGGAGAGACAGAGAGCGAGGGGGAAAGTGCCACTTTAAAACCATCAGATCTCATGAGAACTCACTCACTATCACTAGAACAGCATAGGGGAAACTGCCCCTATGATCTGATAACCTCCCACCAGGACCCTCCCTCAATACGTGGGGACACATTTCAAGATGAGATTTGGGTGTGGGCACAGAGCCATACTGTATCACCTCAGTACCTCAGACAGACAGACATTGAAAAAAATAATAATTTAAACAGAGTTTTGCTCACTGCGCCTTTTCCCATGGCAGTTCATACAACTGAAGACAAATAACTGGCTTTGAGTGATTCTGATAAAATTCTCAGTATTAATTCATATTTCTGTCATGTACATTATTCAAAATGAGCATTTCTATGGCTAGTCTTTATAATTCTTTCTAATTTTCCACATGACTAAGCCTAATATGATATGCAATAATCATCAGTGATGCAGTTTTGTTCTTGACTGTAGCACAATAGGATCTTCTCTTTTTTTCATGCTATTTCTTCTACATAGATGATCTTACACACACATACACACCCATGACTTCAGTTACTGTCTCTACATTAATACATTTACAACTCTACCCTGTGAGTCCTCTTTAACATCTTCATTGTATTATCTCATTCAAGTTCACCACATTAGAAACAACACTCAGGATCCTCCCACTTCCACCCATCATCCCGAAAGCCAGGCTCTACTCCAGTGTTTCTCATTGGCTGTGATGGACTCCATCTTCCATAAACAGACAGGCTGGAAACGGTTGGCTAAACTGACCCTGACATTTCTCTAACTTTTACCACCTTCCACATCGTATACATCACCAGGTACTCACTAATTTCCTTTCTACATTCCCTTCAATTCCATATTCTTCCTATCTCTATCATCACCATCCTATTTCTAATTACCATAGTTTCTTAATACTACAACTGCTACTATTAACCAGACCCTTCTTGTTCAGTCTTCTTCCTGAAAACAAATCTCTACTCTACAACCAGTTTTTTTGTTATTGTTCTACAACATATAACTAGTCATATCAATTATGCCTAAAGCCTTTTATGCCTTCCTATGATTGTAAAGAAAAAGTCCCAAATTCTTATTGTAGCCGACAAGATCCAGCAGAATTTGATCCCTGCTTGCTTCTCCAGGCTCTTTTTTTTTTTGTCACTTTTTTTCTGTTGATTCTTAGTTTTCTTTTTTTTAATATAAGGGATTACACATATAACTATGCAATACCTTTTTCAGCCTCCCTTTTTTTCCCTCATGCTGAACCAGGAAACAACTGCATCAGAAGCATAACAAATATTTAAATGCATATTTCTGGGTTCTATTCCATAATGACTAAATCAGACTCTGTGAATAGAAATAGGACTACATGATATCAGTTACTCCAGGGAAAGTTTATACATAGAAATCATTGAAAACCTTTATTCTATAGGTTAGGTTTCTTTATATTTGGTATAAAGAGGCTTCTTTTCTCAATCAATACTCTTAATTTAGGTAACATCATCTATTACCTGACTTCCAATAACTAGATGTCAGAGAAATTCACATGTAAATCTCAAGCTTCTCTTTTGACTTAAGACTTAGACGTTTAATTTCCCCCATGACATCTCCACCAGATGCTCACATCCCTCTCAAATTAGACAAGAATGCACTAAACTCCTCATGGTGTCCCTGCAAATCTTTTCCACCTCCAGTGTGTGTCATAAAATATCCATCCAGCCAGTGGCTCTTGCCTAAAATTATTTCACTTCCCACCAATTCACAACAATAGCCTGTCCTCCCTAAAAAATGTCTTGCATCTATTCACTTTTTCTGTTTAAAAAGGCAGCTCTCTTGGCCAACCTATCAGCAGTTTTGTCTATGCTATTGTGAAGGCCTTCTACCTGAATTCCCCACTTACATAATTACCTCCCATACCCACCTTAACAATTTTACACATTGCAGCCCGAAGGAACCTGTTGCGTCACTATTTAGGATCCTTCAAAACCTTCCCACTATATTAGGATAAAATCTAAATTCTTTGATGTAGCTGGTAAAGCTTTGCATAGTCTTGTTTTTTACTCCACCCTCATCTTCCTTCCTGCTTGCTCTCTCTCTGTTCAGCAGCCACACTAGCATTGTGTCAATTCTTTCTGGCTGAGACTATTTGCATCTTCTGTATCTTTATTTCACCCCACCTCCCCTCAACTGTGCTTATCTAAATCCTACTTATGGTAATGTCCCTATGTGTATGTGTGTGTATTTTATATAAATATATATATATATACACACATATATACATATCTATATATAATATATACACATACACACAGATATACAATACACAGTTTTATGTATACACACATGTGTATATATAAACATTAACATGAGTTAACATGAATAGAAATTATTCATATATGTGAAGCTTTCCCTGAACTGTAAATCTAAATCATACTGCTTTATTTTGTTGTAATTTACTTTTCTTCTAAGAATATATCCATCATTTTTAATTGTATAGTTGTATAGTTGGTTTGAAGAATCATTGATTTAATATTAGATTGTTGCAAAAGTAATAACAGTTTTGGACCATGAATTTTAAATCATTATAACTAGACTCAAACACATCTTTATTAATCAAAATAGGAGCCACTACAATCAAAACATTTTTGCCAATGAGAAATAAGTTGTTTATTCCTGTCGCATAAAAATCCATGCTTTGGGATTTGACGAACTCATGGAAAGCATTTTCAGCATTCTGCTGGTTTTGGAAGTGTTTTCCCTGCAAAAAGTTGTTGAGATGCTTGAAAAAGTGTTAGTCTGTTTGCGAGAGGTCAGGTGAATATGGCAGATGAGGCAAAACTTTGTAGCCCAATTTCTTCAACCTTTGGACCATTGGCTGTACGGCGTGTGGTTGGGCGTTGTTGTGGAGAAGAATTGGGCCCTTTTCTGTTTACCAGTGCTGGCTGCAGGTGTTTCAGTTTTTGGTGCATCTCTTTGATTTGCTGAGCATACTTCTCAGACATAATGGCGTTGCCAGGATTCAGAAAGCTGTGGTGGATCAGACCGGCAGCAGGCCACCAAACAGTGACCAAGACATTTTTTTTGTTGCCAGTTTTGGCTTTGGGAAGTGCTTTGGAGTTTTTTCTCAGTCCAACCACTGAGCTGGTCCTCACCGGTTGTCTTATAAAATCCACTTTTCATTGCACATCACAGTCTGATCAATAAATGGTTTAATTATTGTCATGTAGAATAAGAGAAGATGACACTTCAAAACGACAATTTTTTTTTTTTTTGCTCAGCTCATGAGGAAGCCACTTATCAAGTTTTTTCACCTTTCCAATTTGCTTCAGATGCCAAATGACCATAGAATGGTCAACATTGATTTCTTCAGCAACTTCTTCTGTAGTTGTAAGAGGATCAGTTTCGATGATTGCTCTTAATTGGTCATTGTCAACTTCTGATGACTGGCCACTACGCTCCTCATCTTCAAGGCTCTCACCTTCTTTGCAAAACTTCTTGAAGCGACACTGCACTGTAGATTCATTAGCAGTTCCTGGGCCAAATGTGTTGTTGATGTTGCAAGTGTCTCTGCACTTTATAACCCATTCTGAACTGAAATAAGAAAATCACCCAAACTTGCTTTTTATCTAACATCATTTCCATAGTTTAAAATAAGTATAAAATAAACAGCAAGTAATAAGTAATTAGCAAAAAAAAAAAAAAGCAAGAAGTGCTCATTAAAATGATGTATAACCACATTTGTTGAAGAATGTATTCCAGTATCAAACGGCAAATTTCAACAATGCAAAAAAACAACACAATTATATTTGCGTCATCTTCATATTGTTTTTAATCAGATGGTAACTTCAGCATCTTACAGGGACATTTGCTCTTAATTCATATCATATCCCCAATACCTAGTCCAGTGTTTGGCATATAATAGGCACTCAATAAATATTTACAGAAGGAATGAACAAACATGTAAATAGAATATCTCAATACAAAACTACTGAATTTTTTAAAAAAAGAATCATTTCTCATCTTGATTGTTTCTCTTGTTATATGATTAAACAATGCTTTAGGGTAAGGAAGGAGTAACTTTTATATCAAAATTTCAGTGCAAACTCAATTTATTAGATATTTAGGAAGTTGTGGATCAAGATATTTATCAGGTTTCTTGGTGAAAATTCAGTCATTCTGGACAAAACACTATGCTGGTGGAAACATATCAGGAAAACAAAAATTAGCCAATATTGAAAGTAAAAAAAAAATAAAAAGAAAAAAGTAGCTAATAATGTCAAATGTCAAAATTATAATTAAAAGGGGGAGCAAACAACTGGTTAGGTAATTAGAACAATAGACTCATTTTGATAACATAAATATACAGTTAAAAATGTTTATCTTATAGTTGATATGTCCCTTAAACTACCTGCGATGAATATATACTTTATGAGCACACAAACTTCTCTCATGTAAAAAGTTTTACTAAGTCAATAATTTACATATTGGGCCAGGTGGGACTATGGAATGCTTTTGGAATACTTAAAATTTCCAAGCATCTGCATGGAAAAGTAAGACCATCAATGGTAATGTCACTGGTACCAGATTTTTTTCCAAGTACATATGAGACTGCATATGGTTTTTTCACAACAAGCAATATCAGTGGCACTGCTCATTGATTCCAGAGTTGACTCTGCTAAGATGGTCAAATTATTATACATAACTTTATATTTTAGTTTCTTCCCCCACAGTTATTGGGGTAATTGAGAATAAATAAAAGATTTTAATCCCAGACTAAAATTTATCTCAAGCCATCATGATTGCATCTTACAGTGGTAGACAATCTGAGCATTTATTTTATTAAACTTCAGCATAGGTGAACTGGCTTGGGGAATCTACCAACATAAAATGTAAAAAGTGCAATATAACCTTTGCTATTTTGCCAGCAGCAAAATTATGCATCATGGCTTACCTTAAAAGTGATGTTTTGGACTGCACTGAAAAGAGAAATCGTGTAGAGACAATATTCAAATATTTCATATCTGTTAAAGCACAAAATGCTGTACAAACATTTTCTTACTAATTTCTGTATACAATTTATGAAATACTTTCTCTGAAGGCATTTTCATTTTTTAAGATATGAATTATACCCCTTAAATTGAGATATGGCTATTTGGAAAGTAGTGGAATAAATAGTATATGGGCAGAAACATGATTTAGATGAACAAAAATCTAGAGTTTTTAGTTCATTTCATTATTTCTTCTGAAAAAAGAGTAGTCATTATCTAAAATGATTTTCAGTTTGATGTAATTTTTTAATAATTTTTATAACCCCTTTCCCAAGCCCTGAACACAAGGATCACATTTGAAAGATTTTTCTTTTTTTTTTTTTTTTTTTTTTAGATGGAGTCTTGCTCTGTCGCCCAGGCTGGAAAGCAATGGCGCTATCTTGGCTCACTGCAACCTCCGTCTCCTGGGTTCAATTGATTCCTCTGCCTCAGCCTCCCAAATAGCTGGAATTACAGGTGCACATCACTACACTGGCTAATTTTTGTATTTTTAGGAGACACAGGGTTTTACCATCTTGGCCAGGCTGGTCTTGAACTCCTGACTGTATGATCCACCCACCTAGGCCTCCCCAAGTGCTGGGATTACAGGCGTGAGCCACCATGCCCAGCCTTAAAAGTCTTTCTATGACATCGCCCTTCATCATCACTAATGTAAACTCTGCATTTCTACAGAATTATATGATTTTGGGGTTAAGTCCATGTGGATAAAATGAAGTCTACATTAGCATTTGTGTAATTATTATTATTTTCAGTTTTTTTCTAGTAGTGTCCAATGAAAACAAGATAATATTGCGCCTTTGCTTTTATTTAATGCATATCATTTAGAGATATTCATGTATTATGAATCTTTCATTGGGTACTTTATTTCTTTTATTTATTTTTTAAAAATTTCAGTAGTTTAAGAGGTACAAACAGTTTTTGATTACAGGGATGAATTGTGTAGTAGTGAAGTCTGTCTGGGCTTTTAGTGCACCTATCACCCAAATAGTGTATATTGTAGCCAATAGTTACTTTTCATCCTTCTTCCCACCCTGCCTTTTCCTTTCTTCTGAGTTTCCAGTGTCCACTATATCACTATGCATGCCTTTGAGTACTTGTAGCTTAACTTCTACTTATTGGTAAGAACATGAGATATTTGGTTTTCCATTTTTGAGTTACTTCACTTAGGATAATGCCCTCCAGTTCCAAGTCTCTGCAAAAGACTACTTTATTTTTTTCATGGCTGAGTAGTATTCCACAGTATATAAATATATAGATACAACATTTTGTTTATCCACTCATTGGTTCATGGACACTTAGACTGATTCCATGTCTTTTCAGTTGTGACTTGTGCTGTTATGAACGTACAAGTGTAGGTGTCTTTTTTATATAATAACTTATGTACCTTTGTGTTCTTACTGCATAATTCCAGTAGTGGGATTGCTGGTTTGAATGGTGGATCTACTTTTAGTTCTTTGATAAATCTCTCTACTGTATTCCATAGAGATTTTACTAACTTACATTCCCACCAGCAGTGTACACATGTTCTGTTTTCACCATATCTACACAAATATCTATTGTTTTTTGACTTTTTAATAATGCCAATTCTGGCTGGAGTAAGGTGGTTTCTCATTGTGGTTTTAATTTGCATTTTCCTGATTATTAGTGATGTTGAACATTTTTTAAACTTTTTTTGGCCATTTGTATCTCTTCCTTTGAGAAATGTATGTTCTTGTTGTTTGCCCAATTTTTAGTGGGATTATTTTTTTTTCTTGCTGATTTGTTTGAGTTCCTTGTAGATTCTGGATATTAGTCCTTTGTCAAATGTCTAGCGTGCAAATATTTTCTCCCATTCTATAGGTTACCTGTTTACTCTGTTAATTATTTCTTTTGCTGTGCAGAATATTTTTAGTTTAATTTAGTCTCATTTATTTATTTGTGTTTTGTTGCATTTGCTTTTAAGGTCTTAGTCATAAATTCTTTGCCTAGGACAATGTCCAGAAGAGTTTTTCCTAGGTTTTCTTCAAAAATTTTCATGGTATCTGATCTTAGATTTAGGTCTTTAATCCATCTTGAGTTAACTTTTGTATGTGGTGAGAGATAGGGGTCCAGTTTCATTCTTCTACATATGGCTATCCAATTTTCCCAGCATCACTTATTCAACAGAGTTGTTCTTTCCTCAGTATATGTTTTTGTTTTTGTCTGCTTTGTGAAAGATTAGCTGGTTATGGGTATTTGGCTTTATTTCTAGATTCTCTATTTTGTTCCGTAAGTCTGTGTGTCTACTTTTATACCTACATCAGCCTGTTTTGGTTACCACAGGCTTACAGTATAATCTGAAGTTGGGTAATGTGATGCCTCAAGATTTGTTCTTGTTGATTTGGCTATTTGGGCTCTTTTTTGGTTCCATATAAATACTAGGATTATCTAATTTTGTGAAGAGTGATGTTGGTATTTTGACAGGAATTGCATTGAGTCTATAGATTGGTCACTGTGGTCATTTTCACAATATTGATTCTTCCAATCCATAAGCATGGGATATATTTCCATTTGTGTCATCTATGATTTTTTAATGGGTATTTTGTAGTTCTCCTTGTACAGATCTTTCACCTCCGTGTTAAGTATTTTCCTAGTTATTTTTTTTCTTAGCATTTTAAATGGGATTGAGTTCTTGATTTGTGTATATTGATTTTGTAACTTGAGACTTTACTGAATTTATTGATTAAATCTGAGTCTTTTGGAGGAGTCTTTAGCATTTTCTATGCATAAGACCATATCATCTGCAAACAGGGATAGTTTGACTTCCTCTTTTCCAATTTGGATGCCTTTTATTTCTTTATCTTACCTAATTGCTCTGGCTAGGACTTCCAGTGCTATGTTGAATAGAAGTGATGAAAGTGGGCATCCTTGTCTTATTCCAGTTCTTAGGGAGAATGGTTTCAACTTTTCCCCATTCAATATGATGTTACTGTGCATTTCTCAAATATCGCTGAATATTTTAAAATATAAGTAATTTCAAGTTTAAAAGCACCTAACCTAAATTACTTTGAAATAGCATGATATACTATATTCAATGATTATCTTTTAAAGATTATTGAAGTATATATTTATCTTATGAAATTGGTACTAAGAAATCAAAGGAGGAACTGTAGCCTCATTTCTGCAGTAGTATCTGTTAACTTGTATGCTATTATTTTAAAATACCTTAAGACAAGTTTAAATAATAGTACAAAAATTTGTCACATGCATTAAAAGATGATAAACTGGAAAATGTTTTAAAATAATATCATTTTATTGAGTTTTCTTTTTCTCGATTCTTTTTAGGTGAAATTTTTACATGTATGAAAAGATAAAAACTAATAGCTCTGGTATATTTTATATTTCTATATTTATCCTATTACAAATTGGATTGAAGTGGCACTATTAGAACATATATTTGTATCTGTGACTCTCCACAAATCTTTCTTAAATGTGTATTAATAAATGGAACACTAAATAAAAGAATTAGAAACACTAAAAAAAAGAATTAGTATAAAAGATGTATTTTACATACATCTCAAATTTCTGACACTTGATTTTTGATTTAAAATATAAGTGGTTTCAAAATAATGGATTTAAATGTAAAAATTAAATAATTCAAGTATTAGCAGAAAACTAGTATGCATTTCATTTTTTTGTTTGTTTGTTTGTTTGTTTGTTTGTTTTGAGATGGAGTTTCACTCTTGTTGCCCAAGCTGGAGTGCAATGGTGCAATCTTGGCTCACTGCAACCTCCGCCACCCAGGTTTAAGCGATTCTTCTGCCTCAGCCTCCTGAGTAGCTGGGATTGCAGGCACATGCCACCACGCCCGGCTAATTTTTTGTATTTGTAGTAGAAACGGGGTTTCACTGTGTTAGCCAGGCTGGTCTCTAACTCCTGACCTCAGGTAGTCCTCCCGCCTCTGTGTAAATAAAAGTTTTCTAGCGATGACTTGAAATCCAAATGTAATTTTAAAAGTCTGATAGAAAATCGACTACATATTTTAAAAAGATAAAAGTTGCATAGGAAAAGAAAAGCTTTAAGTAAGTTCAGGAGATTGTTAACAAGAGATGATATTGGGACATATGGGAGACAATATTTGCAACACATCACAGATTAAGAGCTAATGGTCCAAATAAATAATGTTGAGTTGAGGACAAGACCAAAAGTCAGATAGAAAATGGGAAACAAACAAACCCAAACGGAAAGCATATGTCTTTGCTCGTTTGTACAAAACACATACAAGCACAAATCAGAAACTAATGAGATTACTTATTTAGAGAAAGTAGGTGGGAAACGGATAGAGAAGATAAGAAGATTAGAACAGAGGAAAGGCTGTCAGCAGGACACTTCTTTGAGTATACCATTTTTAACATTCCGCATTTGGGGATCATATTAATATTTCACATACACACAAAATGAATTTAATAAGCAATTATGGGGAAAGGTAATAAACAATTAAGGGGAAAGTAAATTCAACTAGAAACAAATGGGCCTGACCATGTTTCAAATGCACAACACAAACAGTGAAGGGAAAAAACAAAGTACATTTTGTATATTTTTATTTAATAAGGAGCTAAGAGAAGTGAAATCAAGTGTATTTTCTGCTTCCTGCCTACAGTTTAAACTTAACTGAGAGTTAATGTTTGCTTTGAATTGAAAGCAAATTGATCATATTATGGCATTTAGTTGTCTCTACGGCTAGCATTTTATTAACATTTTAATATCACAGTGGAAAAGTGAGAGAAATACTGAAAGGCTATTTCTAATACCCTTCTCCCTTGCTATATCCCACTTCAAATAATAGAAGATGAGATGTCCAGTTTCCTGAATTATTTTGCAACTGGGGTTAACTGTGTGCCCCTGTTCCAGCCGATTGGACATAAGTGGAAGTCTTATTTTCTTGTAAAGACAGATGCAGCTGGTACCACTGCTTTCCACAAGACTGATGCCTAGATTTGCATCTGCCAAAAATAGACTACACCTTATTTCTTGCTCTAGACCATGAAAAATATAAACCTAATTGTTTAAGCTACCCTTAGTGTGTTCTTCCGCTAAGTGAAAATGAAACATCCCTCACTCACATACAGATCTTCATGCTCAGATCTTGCCCTGAAGCTAGAATTGCACTAATAAAATGCTTTTAGGTAGAAAAGATAAATTCATTCTTATGTATATTAAAACTTTATATACATTTGTATACAAATGATCTCATTTAACCTTCAACATGCTTAAAAGCAAGAATTATGATACCAGTTTTATATGTGATCAAACTAAGGTTCAGAGATTTTAATTATAACACCCAAGACCATTTAGCTCATAACAAAATCAGAATTCAACAGTAGGACTTTATTAATTAATTTCACTATGCTCTTCAGTCCTACGTGACAGATAAATCCAAAAGAACTTTCAACAAACCAAAATCATGATACCACTTTGGAGATAAAATCCAGATAAGTATAAAGTATAAGTCTTGGTAGGTACTGCTTTTGTCTATTTTTCTGATTTACAGCTAAATTCTCAATACCTCAGAGCTATACATGTGATTACAATGGGCTTTGAAATTTTAAGTTACATTACAAGATCAGATAACTTAATATTTGCTTTGCTAATAAAACTAACTCAATACATATTGCGACTGCAATTTTTCCTGAGTAGACTTTAATAAATTCCTGATTCTGGGCAGAACAATCTTCAACATGATTATTTACTCAAATTGACTATGCCACTGAGAAAATTATTTCTCCTGAGTGTAAAACAAATGACTAAATATTCTGCTTTCTTAGAACCTATGTATAGTGTTTGAGGGATAGAAGTATTCAAAGTTCCCGTTGTAATATGACGAACTCACTAGTACAAACGTAAGTAGTAGAAAAATATTTGTAAGATTAAAAAGCTGTATTAGGATTCAAAGACTAAGTATTCTAAATGCCAATTTTATTAATTAAGTAGATGATTGCATGCTACTATGGATCAGCTAGTTTCTTAATTCCTGAGAATACAAAAAATCCATATCTGGCCCAATGAGCTCAATGTTCCGTAGGGCAGTCTTAGAACAACTACTGAAAAAAACCACTATAATGAGGAGGTAAATAAATATGGATATTATATTCCCAAAGTGGTGATATAAAAAAGCAGTTACCTTTATTGTGGAACGTCATCTCTGATGAAGGGCCATTTGCTCTGGACTTGACATTTTTCTGGTGGGAGAAGTTGTAGGGATTTCTGCTCAGAGAAGGAACAGCTGACAAGGCAAAATAACGAACAAGAACAGAACATTTGGGGAAGGCAAGAGAGGTGTGCTGGAGACAGTTTATGAAACACTTAAAAAGGAGTTTTACTGTAATAAGTGAAAACCTTTGGGGGATTTTAAGGAGAAGAAACTTGTAAATTTTTACTTGCCAGATCTATTTTTGTTTTTTGTTTAAATTTTATCTTGAAGTGAAAAGAAATGGATTCCTCTGCTATCAGTTATGTTCCTGGGCTTTTGAAGGTTTTTTGTATTTATACTTTATTTTACTTTGTATTACGTTCCTTCAATTTAATAGTAAGAATCATTTGGAGAATTTTAAATCTTCCTTAGCTAAACCAAGGGGAAATGGAATTGATATGCACCTAGTGAAAAAGCCCTCAGAGCAATAGTAAGAAGCAAAGTAGAGATCACAAGGAAAATTACATCATAGAAAGCTGTGCCTACTTACCCTTTCCTCTGTGGTACTCTATAGAAGGAAATATTTATATAAGTATTTATTACCCCATACTTTTCTATTCTCAGTAGAAAAATGCATTCAAAATAAACACTGTTACAATCAATATGTGCAATTCAACAGTTACACAATTGAGCAAATATTTTCAACTTCTCATGTTTTTAGTATGTTCTTTCTCCAGTGTTTTTTACAGTGCATAAAAGCATTAAGGGCTTAGAAATAGTGTAAACTGGGCTTATATTACTGCCTATGCATTGCATGATTATGACTGAAGCCTATAAACCTTTGGGGATGTGTAAACTTGTCTTGCAGGTCTCCCCACTGCCCCTTCCTGGTGCTTAAAAGAAAAATCCTCTTATTTCTCTCTGGCTTAGGGAGAAATTCATCTTAGGAACTTGCCTCTGGCTCTTGGATTGCTTATCCTAAGCTTGCTTTGTTTTATATGGTATTTGATGCTTAAGACATATACCTCAATTGAATCTTAACTTATTTGGTTTTCTGAGCTCAGTTAACTTGTTTAGACAAAACAATTGAAGAAAGAAATTGCCTAATGAATAGATGAGATTTATGAATGAAATGCTGGTAGCTAGCATTTTATTTTTTATTTTGCACTAACAGAAGATGTCAAGATTCTTATGAAGTTTGAATTTATTTATTTTATCATTTGTATATTTCCTGGTGCAATATAATGCTAAAATAACTATATTGTCAATTTGCTGTATTTATCTGGAATATTTAATTAATGTAAATAGCTTATGAATTCTGAGTCTCTATGAGAAGATACATTCATATGTTTAAATTGGACTGTGTTTTGAGAGACTATAAAGAGCTAGGATACCATGGCATGGAAAATTAAAAAAGGAAATGGGGAAATAAGAAATATTAACATATGGTTTTGCCATAAAAATAAGATAAAGCCTTAGTGAGCTTTTCCCCACAAAAATGCAACATGCGGGGCAGCTATGCCTGCTAGAGATGAACGGGTAAATTGACTCTAAGCTTTCTTACAAGGGAGGAAGCAAACAAGATCAGTTACACAATACTTAATGTCCATAGAAGAAAGGCAAGCCAGTTTTTCAGGAAAAGTACAACTATTTCTGATTTTTATACCTGAAAAGAATTTTCCGCAAGGGTCCTTTTAAAGTATATGCTGTGATGTGGCATGAACTCACTTCCAAAAAACACCCCCTGGAGTGGTATTTTCAGATTTCACAGCACAGCTCACATAATGATCCTTCACTTCTGATGGTAGTAAAACACCAGAGCGCAGTTCGTTGAAAGCTGCTCTGCCGAGGGCACCTGGAGGACACTGTTCTCAGGACCACCGTTCTTCCTGGGTTCATTGGTAGCACAGCATCAGTTTTGCTCATTCACTTTGTGCTCCATTTTTATAGTGAGACATCTGCTTCTGAAACCATTTTTGATCATTTAAAGCTATTGTCAATACAGTATCATATAACCATTGCTAGTTTTAGGATTATTCAGCAAATACTAAAGTTTTTTTTTTTTTTAATTGTTTGTTTTTTCTCTACAAATTTTTGAGACAAGCCTTGTTTGGTGGTTCACTAAACAGCCACCAAAAGTAAGGTGTGATTGAGATTTGATTTTTTTCCACTCTGGACCTAATTGTTGATTTTGATTAGAGTAAGATTTGATGTTTTTCCACTCTAGACCTAATTGTTGATTTCTAATAAAGATGATCTCCTCCCCATGAGGTACATCAGGAATCTGGAGCTGTCTACCATAGTGAACTGATTTAACCCTTCAAGTATATGCTAATGATGCAAAAAATACTCTGGGAATATGTGTTATGCCTGGAGGATTGTCTTCCTTACTCTGTGAGATGGTGGCTGAGCAGGTCAGTGGGTGGCCTTCCACTATGCAGTTGTCCATGTTCTAGAGTGACAGAGGTTCTCTCTCTCTTCCAAATGGTATTGGGGGCTATACTCACTCTACCTAGCTGGAAAGGGATCAGAAAAGAGATTTGCATTGGAGTTTTGTGGCCAGGCCTGGGAGTGGTGATCATCACTTTTACAACCACTCTACTTATTGAACCTTGGTCAAATATGCAGTCAAATACATGGCCAAGATCTAATGGTAGCCCAAGCTAGGAAGCATAGATTTGACGGGATAACCATTGCTTAGTGAAAAATCCACACCATTGAAAGGGGACCTTGAATGTTGGATGTATAGCTAGCCTGCTTTAACTAAACTAACCACGTCGCTCACAAGTGCAACATTATGCAAATGCTCATAGAATAGACTCAGAAGCCTAACTGACAGAAAAAAAAAATGTATAAGGCATATTAAACAGCAGTTATATAATTCTCAAAAGAAAAAGCACATGGCACCTGAAAAGATGGCAATGGATGTAATCTGTCCCTTAATAATTCATGTTTTAGAAAGTTAATTTGGCAGTATTTAAGCATTAACCTGTGCTTCAGGAATGGATTCAAATGAACCGTTTTGTCAAAGACATCTGTACACAAATTTCTTACTACTTTAAAATTTACATTGATGAATGTAAATGCTGAGGGGACTTGGTACGTACAGTCTATCCAGAAATTTCCATAGGAAATCCGTATACTCTGCTGATATTAAGTGGCACTGACTTTAAAGCTAACACTGTTTCACGAGTTCATTCATTCATTGAGCAAATATTTTTTGAGCATTTTCTTTTCTTTTTTCTTTTCTTTCTTTTTTTTTTTTTTTTTTTTTGAGATAAAGTCTCGCTCTGTCGCCCAGGCTGGAGTGCAGTGGGGTGATCTCGGCTCACTGCAACCTCTGCCTCCTGGGTTCATGTGATTTTTTTGAGCATTTTCTATGTTCCAATTTCTAAGTAGGCCTTTAAAAACTGGTAAAGGGCAAAATGTCCGTGGACCAAAGAGCTTGTGGTATAATTGGGAGATAGACAAATATAGAAAAGTGATTTAATCAAAGAATAATTTCTGGCTTTCTTTCACTCCTGTAGGACACTCAGAAAAAAAATGAAATTATGAGAATTGTTTTCTCAAATCCTTTTCTACTGCAACCTTCCCACCATTACGAGCATAATGAAACTCAAATGTGAGTCCAAGGAATTATTATCTTCATTTTTCTACTGAGGAGAACTATCAAGACTTCTAATCACATGGAATAACTCATTCAGGAAATGAGGCTGGGTTGCTGATGATGGAATGAGGGAGTTGGAGGGATTAGAAATGACGTATCCAGAATAGACAATGGAATCGGTGACAGACTTCCACTAGTGGCAGCAACCTGTGCCTCACTCCTGCACAAATCCAAAAGGGTTTTTGAGGCATTTGATGGCATGTGCCTGTGAAACAAGTAGATATTCTGTCTTGGGAGCTTGAGAAAAGGCCAGTAGCACTGTTCTAGTAGCCTAAAGGCAAACACACATTTAAATAGTGGTGGGGTTAGTAGGCATGGGATGATGAGTAATGAGCAGCTCAGAAATGGTCACTTTAAAGATCAAAGGTCATATGCCCACATTTTCTGAAATCATGCCATTTGGAATCATCTTACATCCCTAAGAATAAAAATGTTCCTACCAAAATCATTTAGAAGAAGTTTTCTCTGACAACTCACCCTGTTAAAGGTCAACATGAGATTTTATCATTTACAAAAATAAAAACACAATGTCCTCTGACTATGATTCTAAATTAATGCAAATCCAGTACACAGGTGAACAGGTCATTATAATACAGTGCGAGGAGTGCTATGAGTCGCGACCCTGTGAGATTATACAGGAGTGTCATTCAACCTTGTTCTTAAACAATGGCAGGTATCAGGTGCCAATTTTTGAAAATAAATGTATGCGTCTGTTCCAAAATAGGGAAAAATGAGTGCAATTATATAGTGAATTTTCATAAAGCTAAGTGTACTAAATTTAGATGAGTTATTCTGTGTTTATGTCCTTCCTACTGTTTTAAAATTAAAACATTTCTTACTTTATAGAATTTGGGTAGCATTCATATTGAGTCTTTTTTTTTGAAAAAGAAAAAACTCTTTCAAATGAAAATAAATCAATATTATTATGCATAAATGTTCCAAAAAGACCCCTTGCATCTTATCTTTATAAAAGGAAGCCATGAAAGAAGCTTTATTTTACTAAAAAAAAAACTGCATGAGTGACATGGATTTATAACAGTTACGTGATTTGAATATTTAATGTATTGGGCTAAGATAGGCGGAAATGTCCATTCCTGTCAGTATTAACATTTTACAGATGTCACTGGTACTAAGGTTTTTCTGTTGTTGAATCAGCAAACCTCATCCCATGGATAATGTTTATATAAGCACTGACAAGTTATCACACTGTAATTCTCAAATCTATATATCATTTCTTTGGCTAACTAAACTTACCTTTTCTTTTGATTGAAATATTTGTTCCTTAAAATGTTAATGTTGTATGATTAAATCTTGCTGGTTCAGGAATCAATAAATCTCTTTAAAAGTAATTCTACATATCTCTTCTCCAAAAATTAGGTTGAGATTATAATTTTTTTTTTGACAGAGTCTTGCTCTGTCGCCCAGGCTGGAGTGCGGTGGCGTGATCTCCACTCACTTCAACCTCTGCCTCCTGGATTCAAGCAATTCTCCTGCCTCAGCCTCCCGAGTAGCTGGGACTGCAGGCACACGCCCCCACGCCCAGCTAATTTTCTGTATTTTAGTAGAGATGGGGTTTCAGTGTTGCCCAGGCGGGTCTCGAACTCCTGAGCTCAGACAATCCACCCACCTCAGCCTCCCAAAGTGCTAGGATTACAAGCATGAGCCACTGTGCCCGGCTGAGATTACACATTTTTAACATTTTTATTTTCATTTAAATTTTCACTTAAAAGGAAATTTCAATCCTTTAACCTACTTCCCAAATCTAATCCACTGACTATGACTGAAGAACAGGGAGTGCCTGTGTTTCAGGCCTTCTTCTCTGTTGCAAATCCTTCTGATGATCACCTGTGTTCCCAACAGTGCCTTCCTAATCAGCTCTGCCATTTCTGAATGATACATTATTATTTATGAAGACCTCAATGACTCTAAAGTCTACTCCTCAAATGCATGTATTTATATATTTTTTGAAATGTATATTGACAACCAAATATGTACCTTGTTTCAGGTACTGAGTTAACAACAAATACATGACTTCATGAAGCTTACATTTTAGAGTGGTAATATGGCATTTAAAATGAGTATGTAGGCTGGGTACAGTGGTTCGTAACTTTAATCCCAATACTTTGGGAGGCCAAGGGTGATGGATTTCTTGAGCCCAGGAGTTTGAGTCCAGCCTGCACAATGTGGCAAAACCTTGTATCTACAAAAAAATTAGAAAAATTAGCTGGGTGTAGTGGCATGAGCCTATAGTCCCAGCTACTTGAGAGGCTGAGGTGGGAGGACCACCTGAGCCCAGAGAGCTTGAGGCTGCAGCAAGCTGTGATCATGCCATTGCACTCAGCATGGGTGACTGAGGGAGACCCTGTCTCAAAAAAAAAAAGCCAAAAAAACAAATAAATAAATAAAATGAGTATGTAAATATGTCGTGTTAGATGATGTGTGTTTCAAAGAAAACTAATGAAGAATAAGTTGGATATGAAGAAATGTCACAGAGATGGTGTTACTTTACATAAAGGGGTAAGTGAAGGCTTAGTAGCATTCATATTTGAGAAGACACTCTTACAGCCCCACCCGGTTCTTCTTGCCTGCTGCACAAGAAAAGCCAATACAGGGAGACAGCAGTTGTTGCAGCAGAGAAAGAGTTTTAATAATAAAGGGCAGCTTGGCAAGGAGATGGGAGATATGTCTCAAAGCTGCCTCCCCCAAGTTTTGCAGGTTAGGGTTTTTAATGATGGCTTGGTCAGCAGGAGGCTAGGGAGTGGGTACTGTTTATTTGTTGGGTGAGGGATAAAATCACAGGGGTGTTGAAATTTTTTTTTTTTTGCATTGAGTCAGTTCCTGGATGGAGGTCACAGAACCAGTTGATTCAATTTCCTGGTATGGGTCACTAATCCAAGTGGCATCAGCTGGTTCAGTAGAATGCAAAGTTTGAAAAATATGTCAAAGATGAGTCTTAGATTTCTCAGTAGTGATGTTATCTATAGGAATAATTTATAGAGTTACAGGTCTTGTGATCACTGGTTATGTGACTCCTGAGCAGTAAGCAATTTTAAAAACATAAGCGGCTGGGCACGGTGGCTCACACCTGTAATCCCAGCACTTTGGGAGGCTGAGGCGGGCAGATCATGAGGTCACAAGATCAAGACCACGGTGAAACCCCGTCTCTACTAAAAATACAAAAAATTAGCCGGGCATGGTGGCGGCGCCTGTAGTCCCAGCTACTCAGGAGGCTGAGGCAGGAAAACGGCATGAACCCGGGAGGCGGAGCTTGCAGTGAACTGAGATCACGCCACTGCACTCCAGCCTGGGTGACAGAGTGAGACTCCGTCTCAAAAAAAAAAAAAAGGCAAGCGAGGGGAACAATGATTGTTTATCTTTAAACTATGCCTACATCTTAGCAGCACTCAGGCCCCTACCACAATTCTAACCTTGTGACTTTTCATTCAAGTTATGAAGGTAGTTTCAAGACCTGAAAGAAGTGAGGAGACAAGACATGTTTATGCACTTCCCCAAATTTACTCTGCCATAGTTTTCTGCGTAAAGCATCTGATAACCCTCGAGAAAGATTGCCTAGTGGGGAAAGAAAAATAGCTCAGAGCAGTCTGTACTGTGTGAAGTATGCAAAATGTATCAGGCCTAGAGAGACTTGAGCATTCAGTCATGCCTCCAATACCTGCTCATGCCTGGGGCAATTGCATAAAGACATTTTGTTCTTTTTCTTCCCTATAGTTTTCTGATTAGCTGCCTCATCCATTATGTTCATGTTCCCAGAATTTGTGTTACAAACAACAATGTATAGCCAATCAATATCTTCTATTATTTTAATAGTAATTCATAGTAAATAATTTAGAAACAGCCTCCTCTCTTTTATTCTTTAAAAACCCACTTGTAACTGCTGCTAATAGAGCATATATTTAGAGCAATTTGAATCTATGTGTTCAGCACTATAGTCCTCATATTTGGTTCAAATAAATTCTACTTATATTAATTTTAACCTCCTTTTTTTATTTTGGTTGACAATGGTATCAACCACATTTTTATACAAAACAGATATGAGGTTTTCATCTTTGTTAGAGAGAATCATTGAACACCACCATTGCCCTTCATGGCTGTGTCTGGGTCATAATGATTCTGCATGCAGCATTATCTGAGGATATACAGAGGACTTTTCTCCTGACCTGGCATTCCATTCAATATTAGTTCAGACACATGACCAGTGTAATGGCATGGGAGATGTAATAATATTTTTTTAAAAGTATTCACAGTCTTCTATTTTGTACCATATAACCCAGAGGCAGCTCACCTAGTAGAATAGAACCAGACTGTTAAAAGCTCACCTATGGTGCTACATTAGGTTTAATAGTGTATCCTTCAGGGTTTAATATCTTCATTAACCCAATTAGCCATCTATGGTGCTGTGTCTTAAGAACTGCCATACATCAATCCAAGAACCAAAGCCTGGAAGTAGGATTGGTTCCTTTCACATCATTCCTAGTGGCCAGTCATGAACTTACGGTTGATGATTCTGCAACTTTAAGCTTTGTCAGGTTAGAAGTCATTTCTTTTGGGGTAACACATCTATCAGGAGATATAATATGTATTACACTAACCTGAAAGCAGCTGCTACTATGCATTTAGATGTCTTAAACCAGTGGATTAACAGGTAAAAAGGGAATTACTGTACTTTGAGTAATTGACCCTGACATAGCCAGATTTTATTGAGCCTGAAGCCTACAAAATGAGGGAAGAGACTCTTCATAAAAAGAAAATAAAAATTACTAATAAGAAATTAAGTAGAGGGCTTTAGAGGAGGCCCTTGTAAGTTAAAGGCATTGGATCCTAAGATTAATTAGCTTGCAGCAAACATACCTCTAGGAGCTAGTATTTCTGTTACACAATGGGGCATGCAGGAATATGTTCAAACCTCAAGGGATTTTTCAAGGTATCTTTTGAGGCATTCATTTTCCATAAGAGTTATGACCCTGCAGATTTTTTGAAAACTTGTCAGGCATGCAAATTAGACCATACACACATTTCTGGATGAAAATCAGGGGAATTTGGAATAAGAAGTTGGAGGAGGTAGACAAAGATTAATTGTGGCCCCAGGAGTAGCTGTTGTCCCAGGAATTGTAGTTGCCTCATTTTTATTGACTTGTATTTCCTCTTTAGGTAGAAGAATTCAGGGAATCTTAGAATAAAATGTAAGAGAATGTATGTGTATCATGGGTGGCAATACAAGATTCAATGCAGGTATTGACCCAAATTGTTTAGCCATGATTTTCTGTTCAGTGGAATGAATGAACTTAGGAAATGTAAGGGCGTTGCATTTCTATGGGTTGAAATTTCAATAATGAGAGACATAAAGGAGCTATCAACTAAATTCTTTTCCGTCTTTCCTCTGACAGACTGCCTTAAAATGCAATGTATCCATATGACCTCTTCTAAGACATATTGCACAGAAGAGCAGTCAGCTGCATTTTTCAGCAAATCTGTCACCAGTTCAGTCACACATCACATTGTATTTGTATTTCATCCTTCCTTGACCTAATTCTCTTTTTCCCATACTCTTGCTTTCTTGAAATAGCAACAACCAAGAAATATTTGGTTGTAAAATATTCTGGTGGGCTCTGTTTTCTAGTTAACCCACAAGAAGATTGCTCAAGGCTGTGGAACAGTGAGTACAAAAGCCTTGGGTCAGTAGAATATTCAAGGAGCAGCAAGGAGTCCAGTGTGTCTGGAGGTTAATTAATGAATAGAAAAATGTTTAGAAATGAGTTGAGAAGGTAACCAGAAACTTGGGTATATGAACCTAATTTGATCTTTGTAAGGACTTTATCCTTTTTTTCTTGAAGAAAACAGGCAGATGGTTTTGAAGACAAAGTAAAATTTTCTTCTTATGCATTAAGAGGCTTTTCCTGGAAATCATATACAAAATAGGCTGGAGGGAAGACAAGGTGAGATGGAATTTAGGAACTTAGATGGAATTTAGATGGAATAATAGTCGCTGGGACAAAAATGGTATTGGTGAAGGTAGTAACAATTGATCAAATTCTGAAGAAATTTTGAGGGTAGAACTGACAGAATTTACTACTGGATTGGATTTGGCATGTGAGAAAAAAATGGTCTAAAGTATAATAATAGGAAGAATAGAGTTGCCATTACTGAGATGGGGAGACAGTTTTGGGAATTCATTTAGGGGAAGGTGAGGTTGTTTTGGACATTTTAAGTTTAAGATGTCTAAGATATTTGTGCATCTGTACACACAGAGAATAAGCATATCCCCAAATCCCCAAAATTAGAAATTCACAATTGATAGTGAGTAGCATGTTAATATTATTTAAAGTCTACATGAGATCACTTTGGTTGATACCAAAGAGAAAGGTTGCACGGATGGAGCTGAGGATATCTTAAGTTTAAAGGATGAAGGAGCAAAGAAGCCTGAGAAGCAGCAGCAGAGAGGTATTAGGAGAATGAGGGTGTGGTGTCCCAGGAGCTAAATGAAGGGAGTGTTTCCAGAAAGAGGGAATAATCAGCTGTACCATGACATGTTAAGTTTCCATGTGGTAACCTGGAGGTTATCCATCACAAGACAACCATTGTTATAAGGAAAGAAAAGAGGATGTGTTTAATTCCTCTTCAGATTAAGCCCCCTTTCCCTCCTGATGATTTGCTGTAACTTCACTACTGCCTTTCACTTTTTACTAGTGTAAAGGTAAAACAGTTTGAGATACTGAACTGTCATTCCATCATCCCTAAGACCACCCACCTCTCTAATTCCCTGACCCAGGGCCTTTCTCCATATCTCTCATTGTCATCAGAGAAATTTCTGTAATTATGTCTTTGGGAGGAATGTGGACATATGGAAAAAAGAAGTGAAGTCTTTTCTTTATATTCCAAAATAAGTCATTGAAAGCTTATGATGACAGCGTAAGAGAAAAGAGTCTTTGAAATCTCTTTAAAGATAGAGAACTAAAGCCTGGGGGAATAAGAGCCTTAAGTTTAGACTATAAATGACAAAATAGGGAAGACTGCAGGGTTCTCAGGGAAGTTCTTTCTGCTCTAAGAGACATAAATTCAGCAGGGTTATGGGAAGAAGAGGCGACATGGAGGGACATGATGAGATTTTAAATGTTGGTTTCTTGAGTAGCATCTTTTTGGCAAGCACCCTCCTGTCACCACTGTCCCAGACCTTTATTAGTGGAAACCATAAAAAGGTAATGGAACCCACAGTAATTTTGTGAGCTCCAAAGCAAAAGGCTCTGTGGCAAGCCCTGTAATCATGATGATGCCTGATGGTAGGTTAGCAGTGAGGTTAAGTCTTTAGACAGAGGGGGCTGACTCACAAAGTTTCCTTAAGGACTGTGTGGTAACAAGCATAGCCAAGTGTTACTCAGGCCCTGCAGAAATGCTGTGTGAGCCCAACAGATACGCAAAGGTCTGTGGTCCTAGTGAAAAAGATGCTGAGTACATGGTCCTTGTAACAGGAGGCCATGGGGATCACAGCACACATCCTCACACTGACACATCCTGTCATCCAACTATAGCAGATGTCAGTGAATGACAATGGCCACAATCAGGCAGAAGCAGTATCCTTGGTGAGCTCAGCTGCTCTAGGCTTGTGGCCACTAAGAATAGATGAGGTGACATGGGACAGAAACACCTTCATTGCTGCCAAGGCATAGAGAAGTTCCTAAAAATTTAGATCACTTTAGAGGTAGGGAATGACAAGAACTGAGATGACCACATTTTAATCTAGAAGGGGCATGATTATGGTCAACTGCAAGTTGGTATTCTGCTCACAACAAAAATAGGACACATAGATAAGTTACATTTATCTTTGAAGAAAGACAGTTCTCTCATTGCACAATTGACCTTCATAAACTGAAAGTTTAAACTTACATCACTGAGGATACTCTATTCCCCAAGGACATATACTTCCTTCACTCTAGGAGTTGGGATAACAAGTTTGGCCAAAATCATTGACCCACAGTTTCAACTATTATTTGTGACATATTAGGAAAAAGTAGATGGCTCCACAGAGTAACTAACAGATGCTTGTGAAAATATATGAGAACATTTTGGGCTCCACTTTCCCATTCTCTGAACAGTAGGGAGTAGAATAAATGGCAGCCTTTTTTACCCTATATAATTTACATTGAAAAGAATAATGAAGAGACAGTGAATAATATATCTAAAACAATGACCAAAATAAATGACAGCTTCTCAAACCATGAGTCTACAAAAGTAACCCCCTTTTTATTGGTTACTTATTTCTTCCATACAGTAATATGATAATATCTATTTTGCAAAATCATTTTGAATTATTCAGGCATGTGTTTTAGGAATTGGAATTAATACATTTGGTCTTAGGGTTCAAGCACTTTATTTTCTCATTTCCCATTTCTTAATGTGTATAGAGTATAGTGTTTATAGAGTAGGACATCTTTACCCTACAATATTTTCTGGTAAAAAAAAATGGTGGCTGGTAAATATACAAAACAAAACTCAAAGCTGTGCCATTATATTTTATATGCAAACAAACCTGAGTTAAGCAGAGAGGCATCTTGGCACAGGAAAAATTGATGGGCATTGATGTCAGTTAGACCTATGTGTTCAGTATGAGATCTGTGACAATGGCTTCATGTCTCTGAACTTCAATTTCTCCATCTGCTAAAAGGGATAAAAATGATACTACATGTTATGAAGAGGATTATATGAGATTATATATGTAAAGATTTCTATTATACACAGTTAATATTAGTATTTCTTGGAAAACTAAACTACTTTCTCAGTTAAAATAGGCACTGCCACTTAAGCAAATAAAAGTTTAAAATTTACAAAGTGTTATCAAACATAAGCAAATGTAAAAAGTAAAGACAAAGGAGAAAAATGATTATAAATGATTTTATTCTAACTCCTCAGATTTCAGCTTAAAATAATAGTTTTTGCTAAGGGTTGATAAATTTAATTACATAAAAACTTTAAAAAGCTTTTGCATATAAAACATCCTTAAAATTACAATATACTGAGACAAAATTGTAACCCATATGGTGGACAAGACAAGCTAATTTCAGCAGTTTATAGAAGGCATTCATAGACTATTTTTTTAAGGCTAACAACTATTTGAAAAAGATGCAAAGGAGATGGATTTTCATTGTACAATAAACAAATTCACATAGGCAACAGAAATAGAGAAGGAAAATTAAATATGTTATTTTTCTTCTGCAGAGGGGCCCAAATTAAGAAATTTAATAACTTTCTTGTTTTTGAGAATTTGGGTAAAGCTTCTCAACTAGCACTGTGGGTATGTAACTGGTGCAACCACTTGGAAAGCAGTGGACTTTCTAGTAGTCAAAAGTTAACCTGCATGTCGTCATAGGCCCAGCGACTAAGCTAGAAGTTTCCCCCATGAGTATTCTTTCCAGCCTTCCAAGATATATATACAAGAATGCTTTTTCAACTCAATAACAGTGAAAGAATGGAAATGACCTAAGTAATTACCAATATAAAATTGGTTAAATAAAATGCTTTCTGTGCCTAGAATGAAGCTATCAGATGCAATGAGGATTTACCTGTACTGGTGATGGAAGATATCCAAAATATATTATTAAGTGAATAAAACACTACAAAAAAGGGTGCATCTAGTACAACCATAATTGTGAAAATAAATGAGTGTTATATATATTATTTATGCATACTAGATATATGCATTTTAATAGAAATATCAAAAATTCTTTATAGAATTTAGCTTCTTGAAAAGGGACTGGGACAGGGACAAAACTTAATTTTTTCCAGTCTCAATAGTTTAGGTTTCAACCATATGCATGTGCTGTGTTTATTTTTAAAATAAGTTGATAAGCTTTAAAGAAATCAGGGTAGTTCTTAGTATAGATCATTTTTTAAAGCAAACATCACTTTTTGAAATATTTTAATTATTTTATTTTCCATTGTGCTTCTGTAGGGTTAAACAACTCTAGTGATATTCCCTCTTGGAAATATTCCAGAATTGAGAAGGGCAATATTTGGTTCCAGTGTTACAGAAACTTTATAACCTGTTTTTTCTGCATTCTTTTATTTATTTATTTATTTATTTATTTATTTATTTATTTATTTATTTTTGAGACGGCGTTTCGCTCTGTCACCCAGGCTGAAGTGCAGTGGTGCCATCTCACCTCACTGCAACCTCTGCCTCCCTGGTTCAAGGGATTGTCCTGCCTCAGCCTCCTGAGTATCTGGGATTACAGGTGCCTGCCACCACACTCGGCTAATTTTTGTATTTTTAGTAGAGACGGTATTTCACCATGTTGGCCAGGCTGGTCTTGAACTGCTGACTTCAAGTGATCAGCCTGCCTCGGCCTCCCAAAGTGCTGGAATGACAGGCATGAGCCACAGCACCTGGCCATTTTTTTCTGTATTCTTAACAGTCTCTGTTAGATTAATTAGACACCAACGAAAAAAGAAGAGCCTGGCCTTTTCATATCTCTTCACTGAGAAAGAATAGAATTTGCCAGCTCCCTGTCCCATACGTAGATTTAGAAAGAACATGGTCCGATAAAGCTGTTTCCCTACTTTGGTAATCATCAGTCAGATAAAGGCTATAACATGGAGTCATAGAATGTAGTTGAATGGATTGGCCCAGAGAGTTTATTTGGAAAGAACCATTACAGTGATATGATCCCCTGCTCCGTTCCCTAGAAATGGAGGGGTCGGGACTATCTTCTTGCCCAAACACAGGCAAAGGTCTTCCAGTGGAACAGTCACAAAACTTTGAAATACGTTTCCTGCACATGAGGACTGGTGCCCACTCCATATCTGATGAAGACACAGCTGAATGAGGACCAAGGTTTCAGTCATGACGAGGGAACCAAGAAGGTGAGATTAACTTCTTTGATATTGGAGCCAGAAGAGTACTTTTGGGATTCATATGGTCTTCTCAAATATACTCGAGCCAGAGTTGCTTGAGTCTTTTGATGTACTGTACCTGGAACATGCAGGAGAGAAAGCCTCTTGGGTCCTATCCAAAAAGCCTGCTTTAGAGGATAGCTCAGCATAAAGAAGATGGGGATAGATAGTGCCGTAGTGCTATAGCAGGTCTCTGTCATCCCCCTGGGTCAAAGGAACTACAGAAGAGAGGAATCCAAAGAGGAACCTCCATCTCCAAAGAGCTCAAAAGAGCCTACAAGAGAAAGGATCTGCTTTTACCATTTCAGAAATCAAAAGCCCAAAGGCATACAGCTGTACAAGAACTGGCCTATCCCATTACATATCACTTCCCTCTGCACAACTTTGCATGGTAGCTGGAAGGAAGGGAGAAGACTTTGACATTAAATCAAGTTCAGAGTTTTTACTGGCATTCTAATTATTGCAGGCATTCTAATTACTGAAATGAATTACTTTTAATGACTAAAGTGACAAGAAGACTTTTTTAATTATCTTAAGGTGACCAGAGGAATCAGGGGCCTTTTAGATTTTTAATTGAGGAGGATGGTAACACTATCCCTACTGAATAAAGTTGTGATCACAGTTAAAGCGACATGATTGTTCCACATATGGGTTGACGTTATTTAAAATACTTGCAATGTTTTAATCCATCCTGTGGTTGCAAGCCTTGGGTATTTTCAGGCTTGAATTTGAGGAACAGCTATTCCTATGACTGGGTGATAATAGGTGACTTACTTAACTTCTCTGGACCTTGGATTGTTTGTTAATGTATTTAATAATAAAACATTCCAGATATGCAGAAATGGACAAATAGAATCAGCACACTGAAAAATTCCAGGTGGCCTCAATCACATCATAGTCTATATGAGTATCTCCCCCAGTCTCCACCCCAGAGCCCACTGAAGCACTCAGCCGTGCCGCTGTCTATGGTATCATTGCTTTCAGAGAACAGAGATAACACCACTTACTTCAAAATATTTAAAATGTGACACGTGTTCTTGTATTTGAAGATTATTAAATGTTCTTTATTTTTCTTAATTTCGTATTGCTGCATCATAGATCTACATATTTAGGGGGTACATACATGTCTTCTTTAAGTACATTTTAAGGAATAAAAATTACTGTTAAAATATTACAGTTATAGCAAAGGCTTTGTGTATCTCTCAATCATATTCCTTTTAGCCTGTCATTTTGTGTCCATAATTCTTTCATATATATGTAATATTAATAAAACCAATATATAGTCTTACTTATAGGTTTTAAAGTTTTATGTATGTGGGGGCTCTTGCTGTGTCTGTCTCCTGATGGAGCTATTTCCCCTCTGGTACCCAGGCTTTCTAAACTCTGAGTCTAAGGTGGGGCTGAGTGTCACAAATTACTCAAGCAGTCACTGGGAGTGATGGTAAGAGAAGCCATGCCTAGGACCTTCCCCTTTCTTCCTCAGACCAATCTGTTCCATGTATTGGAGCATGGGATCCTATATTAGTCATCGCTGCAGGATATAGACTGCAGCTGGAAGGGTATTGTTCTCTTCTCAGGTTGTATTACTTTTAAGCTGGCACTTCAGTTACATCTTTCAAAAGCTGTTCCATCACTTTATCTGCCTGGTCATAAGGTGATCCTATCCTATTAGTCCAAGGTAAAGATAGACACCAATGTAGCAGTGGCAAATGACGTTGTGGGGAATGTCTAAGCCACCTCTTCATGAAGATTATTTGTGCATTTTCTCCCTGGTCAGGCTTGATAGTGGATGAACCACTTGCAGACTCAGTGGATTGCTACTATGTGACCATAACAACCTTACGACTTATTGGATCTGATAGATCCTTAGACATGTTTGCTATCTGGCCGCAAAGTGAGGTGTTCTCTCTTCTCATGGAACCAGCAGCTGTTTTTCTAAGTCAGTAGATTTCTCTGATGCAGATGGTCTGTATTGTGACTCTCCCACTGGGGTCAGCTATGACCTGCATATGCATTCTTTTTCCACCTGTGATACCTGTAATGCCATAAGGTCTGCTGGGTCTTATGGATCAAGTGGCAGGGATGTTAACATTGCAGCCTGAACCCACTCCAGAGCCTTTTCCTTTTCCAATCCTCACTTGAAGCCTTCCGTGTCACTTGATAGATGGGGCAGGCATTATTTCCCAATATGGAAAAGTTCCTTACAAAATCTCGAAGACTTCTAGCTATTGAGATTTCTTCTGAATGATGAAAGATGCAAGATGAAATAATTTGACCTTTTCTATAGAGCAGATGTCATGGTATACAACAGATCACTGGATCCCTGCAAATGTCACCAGAATTTTAGTAGAATTTATCTCCTGTCCTGTGGAACATATCTGTTTAACAAGGTCCCGAGTGTGCTTCTTATCAGATCCTTTTAATACAATGTTATACATTCAGTGGACTATTTTGATGTTCTGTAGAAAGACCAGGCAGTCCAGGTCCCTTTAGTATCTATGTAGGGAGATACTAATGGGAGAGTCAACGTGGCTCTTACATAAGAGCATACGTAAGTAGGAACTTTTATCTCCTCCATATAAATGAGAACTGCTTCTGGTACAGGTCCTGAGAGAGATGAACAAGAATGAATTTGTCAGATCAATGGCCACACTGAGGTCATGCTGTTTAGCTCTAGCAAAGACATAATATCTGGCACTGAAATTATAGTTACTACCTAGCTAAGTTTAGACCATACAGTATTATTTTCTGTGTGAAGAGAGGTGTTCTCTCTTCACACAGAACCAACAGCAGTTTTTCTAAGTCAGTAGATGTCTCTGATGCAGATGGTCTGTATTGTGACTCTCCCGCTGGGGTCAGCTATGACCTGCATATGCATTCCTTACCCCTATTTTTGTTGGAGATAGGCTACGCCCTTCTTTCTTTAAGTCCTGAAGGATGATAGTAATTTCTGTCATTCTCCGTGTGTGTGTGTGTGTATTTCATACACGCAGGTGCATCTGTCTGGGGATGGGTAAGTGGGCAGGGCAGACTTAGAGGCTTCAACTTGGCCTTCCCCACTGTGATAGCCCTTACTCCATAGTCCAAGGAAAAAAATATGGTGGGACTGTCCATTTCCAAGTATACTCATTAAAATTATACATTTATAGGTTGAAGAAATGACCCCTGGTTTGGCCTGTGGCCACACTGGAAGCCAGAACTGGACCAGGATTTATTAGTTATGCGGCCCTAATATGCCCGTTTTCCAGCTGAGAGGAAGCTTGATGACCCTTCAGAATGAATGGCTAGTGTCCTTGTCAACTCAAATCCTATGTTCAACTTTCCTTGAATTGTCTGAGTATTCTTCTTTCCTTTGTAGTGTATTGTTACTTAAGTAAATGACCACAGGTTCTTTTGGGGAAGTATGGGAAAAATCAGGACCACAAATATTTGTTGAAGTGTATGTGTTCGTCTGTGGACCCAGTCTCTCCGTGCATCACTGTGTTCCAGGTTTGAAAAACTGGCTCTGATCTGGACATTGAGAAAGGCATCATTACTTCTTGGGGCAGCTGCCCTCAACCTCCTGATCATCAATCCTTGATTTATTTTAGACATATTGATTGAGCAATACTCTGAATATCTGTCCTTCCATTTTCCTCTAGGGTCCCTAAGGTTTATGCTACTTGGCTACCACTCAAAACTTGCTGTCATTGTGATAATTGCACCAGCTTGTTTATTTCAGGATCCTATGATGCCCATGACTATTAAGAAGTCCGCTTCTGTAGCATTACCTATTATATTTAACTCTTCCCTACTGAAGACAACCTATTAGCTTCTCAAAGATGATGGGGCTCCCCTCACTGTTCTAATTCTTATCATTTTAGTAAACAGAGCATTAACTTCCTCCCTTCTCCTGCCCTGGACATAGATTTCTGCAATTATGTAGTAGGTCTACAACAACGTGATTACTTCTTTGAGCTTTTATATCTACTATTTTACCATCTGCTATGGCAATTTTTTCATTCCTATTCCATTACTATCTGTTTAACAAGACCCAGTGTGCTTCTTGCTTATCATATCCTTTTAATACAATGTTATATATTCAGTGGACTACTGTGATGTTCTGTGGAATGACCAGGCAGTCCAGGTCCATGGATATTTTCAATTTTTTAAGAATGCCATCCTAGTAGTGGGTTTATGTCTTCTTCCTGTGCGCTTACCAGTATATTAAGGCTTGCATCATAAAGATGTGCTACCATGTCAATATACTGTCCCTTATCCAACTTCTTTACCCTCCACACTTCATCTCTCTCTCTCAGGATACAATACTATGCAAACTCTCACAGCTCCTGCAGGAATGTTGGCTCGGTACTATCAAGTCCTTTGGGCTACAGTTCCTTTTTACTCGTAGCAGGCCTAGCATTTTCTTAGTCAGTTTATGTTGTATCTTGGCACTTGGTATTAGCCTAGTGGCCAGAAGGGGAGGTGGGATAAGTCTTTAGGGGGATGATATTTATTGTACAAGCAGAGCCCTCTGCATCATCTTCAAGCAAGAAAGGACAGCAGAACCTTATCAGGCAGGAGTGGGCCATTTGTGCAGGCCCCAGTGTGTTCAAGGACATTAATTCAAATATCCCTTTCTCAAATCCCAGGCTTCCAGTCTTTCCCAGATAGGTTCTTGGAATAGCAGACTTGCTTGATATGAAAATTCAACCTCCTCTGAAGTGCTCTACCTTTCTAATTATGTCCTGGGCTTACTCCTCAGCTTTTCTCGCCCTCTGGCTACAGTGAATGAGAATCTTTTATATGCCTCCATGGAGGTCTTCTGACTCTCAGACCTTGTTTAAAATAGGTCATTGATCACTCTTAGCCTTTCCCTGTATTTCACAATGCATCAGTAGTACCCAGTGGCAGTATTCAGATTCCACGCTCCTTATAACTGCTACTGACTTCCTTGAAACTCAATTGCCTGAGTGATTGAACCATCAGTGCCTTCCCTTTCACCATGGTTCTATTCTAATTCACTACTGGTGAAAATTGAATGACTGTACTGCTATAGCATGTCCAGGCTCTCAGTATCTAGTGTCTGTGATGTGCTCTTCTTTGCCATTTCATTGTGGTCAGTGGGTGACTCAGCTTTACAGTAACCTTATAGAGTATACGTCATAAGATCACTCCTGAAAACTACCGTAGCATCTTGGATTTAAGGAAACAGACTCTAAATAGATACCTGTCTTCAGGGTGTTTATATGAGAAGGATCTCAGAAGCACTACCTATAAAAGAAGAGGAGAAGCAGGAGCAGAAAAAGAAAGAAGTTGACTTTTGATGTAGCTGCAAAAGAGGCCTGTGCTGCTTGCATGAGGAGCTCTGGCACCAAGATGGGCCTTCAGAGATGTCCCATGTTGAGGCAAGGGCTGAGCTTCTGCACCACCACACTGGCTGCATTTGATGGCCAGTGGAGGCATAACCTTGGGCATGCCATTTTGTTCAGGTGAAGCCAGTTCTCATGGAGAGAGTCAGCCTTCAGCAGCTAACATTCTTGGCACCCAGCAGAATGATTGCATCAGTCATGAAACACTGTGCTACATTCTTTTTTTTTTTTTTTTTTTTCTTGAGACAGAGTCTTGCTCAGTGGCCCAGGCTGGAGTGCAGTGGCATGATCTCCGCTTACGGCAACCTCCACCTCCCAGGTTCAAACAAAGGGTCTCCTACCTCAGCCTCCTGAGTAGCTGGGACCACAGGTGCGTGCCACCATGCCCAGCTAACTTTTGTGTTTTTAGTAGAGATGGGGTTTTGCCATGTTGGCCAGGTTGGTCTTGAACTCCTGACCTGTGATCCGCCCGCCTCAGCCTCCCAAAGAGTTGGGATGACAGGCGTGAGCCAGTGTGCCAGGCCTGTGCTACATTCTTTACAAATATAAACTCACATAATTTTTATAAGGACCCTTTGAGGTAGATTCCATCATTTTTCATATTTTACAGGTGAGGAATGCACAGAGAACTTAGGTAATTTGTCCAAGTGGATATGACTAAGAATTGTGGGAGCCAGGATTTGAATCCAGGCGGTTTAGCTCCCAGTTAACTGCAATATGTTTCCCTTAATGATTGCCTTTAAATTATTACATGGCATTTTGAGGATAAATTGGGATAACATATGTAAAGTACAGTCTACCATGCTTCAATATTCTAGAAGGTTAATGACTAGTAAATACTTATTTCAGTGTTCTACATTAACTTGCTAATTTTCTTGGTATAATATGAACAGTGAGCAGAAACTCTATTAAGGTGTGGGTGTGAAACAGCATTAGGGAATGGGCAGAAGCCTCATGAAGAGGTTTTTAAAATATACGCCTACCTGTTAAGTTTCAGCTGTGTTTCTCCTTGCACACTTGATTAGAAAGATGCAGAACTACCTATTTGTGGTGACCTGAAATAAAGACAGAGGCAATAATTGTTATCTGAAATGCAATGGATGATTATATAAGCTGCTGATTCTTGCTGTTGTCTACACAAAGAGAAAAAAATATTTTCAGGAAAAAATTTAAATTAAATTTTATTTACTTTCATAACACTTTTCATAGTTTGCTGTACTTCATATATGCCAAGTATTTTTTGTTGTTGTTGTTTTAGAGACAGAGTTTTACTCTTGTTGCTCAGGCTGGAGTACAATGGCACAGTCACGTCTCACTGCAACCTCCACCTCCAGGGTTCAAGTGATTCTCCTGCCTCAGCCTCCCAAGTAGCTGGGATTACAGTCGTGCACCACCATGCCCAGCTAATTTTTGTATTTTTAGTAGAGATGGGGTTTCACCATGTTGGCCAGGATGGTCTCGAACTCCTGACCTCAGGTGATCTGCCCACCTTGGCCTCCCAAAGTGCTGGTATTACAGGTATGAGACACCGCACCCAGCCTTTGCCAAGTACTTGACTGATATGCTTAATATAAAAAAAGTTACTGTAGATATAACATTTAGAACAGGTATAGAATGCAGTAATGGTGAAAAAAGCAGATTTGTAGAACTCAGTTATCGTTTCTAGAGGAACTATAGATTCTGTGAGTAAACAGGTAAAAAGTGTTCCAATTAGAAATTGTGTTGGAATGCTTCACTGGAATTACTACGAAGTTTTAACAATTTATTTTAATGTGTATCTAAGAGTAACATTTCTGTTTCACTTGTGGCCAGTATTAGATCAATGGTGAAACTGCTAAAAGTTAATACAAATACAAAATCTAATATGGCCATAAATATAATACACATTTGAAATATAATAAAAATGACTTTTTTGTCATGCACAAATTCACCATCCTAAAAATGTCCAAGTGGCATTATTGTTGACAAAAGAAAAGTACATTGTTCACAGTAATGTCCATTAGAACTTTCTGCAGTAATGGAAATATTTTGTAATATGTAGTCATTTTATCATAACACTATATCTAACAATAAAATTTTATTTAAATAAACACATTTAAGCATCTCTGTGGAATAGCCTAGCTGGAACAGTCATTACTACTCAAAGAGAAGATTAATCTGTTGGAAATGGAGAAATTATAAAATGTAGACATGAATTTTCTTATATAAGATCACAAGTAAGGTCTTAAAATGTTTAAGTTTATTTATATTGGGACATTATCGTTGTCAGTTATGTGGCATGATAAGCTTTGAAATGTAAGTCTCAGTGTTTGTTTATCTGGGTCTGCTTGTCTGATACAATAGCTGATAGCCACTTATCTTTATTTAAATTTAAATTAATCAAAATTAAATAATATGAAAATATCAGTTCCTCATTTGCATCAGCTACATTTCAAATACTAAATACTAAGAAAGTAGAGCTATCTATGGGCTAGAATGTCCTGATATTTGAAAGAAGTAACTAGTAAGGGGAAGATGTGGGGTTATTTGTTTATTTTTCTTATAAGGTGGAAGAAATTTGAGGATGTTTAAACATTAATGTAAAGCAGTGAGCAGAGTGCAAGAGGGTTGTCAACACAGAGAGAGAAAGATCAATGTAATAAGGTTCTTTAGGAGGTGGGAAGTAATGGGTGGAGCACAGATAAAAGACATTAGACTTTGGGCCAGGTGTGGTGGCTCACACCTGTAATCCCAGCACTTTGGAACGCCGAGGTGGGCGGATCACAAGATCAGGAGTTCAAGACCAGCCTGACCAATATGGTGAAACCCCATCTCCATTAAAAATACAAAAATTAGCTGAGCATGATGGTGGGCGCCTGTAGTCCCAGCTACTCAGGTGCCTGAGGCAGGAGAATCGCTTGAACCCAGGAGGTGGAGGTTGCTGTGAGCCGAGATCCCCCCACTGCACTCCAGCCTGGGTGACAAAGCGAGACTCTGTCTCAAAAACAAACAAACAAACAAACAAACAAAAAACAAGACATTGGACTTTGAAAAGAGAAGGGGGATTTTATTGCAAAGGAGAGAAGGAGGAAGGACAGGGAACTGAGGAAGTTTTTGTAATATCGTCCCTGTTATCTTTTTCCCGATCTGAATAGAAGAATTTCCTTGCACCCACAGGGAAACAGAGGGCTCAGAAGTTAGATATGGTGGAAAACGTAAATCAGGGGATGAGCAGAGGGTGAACCAGCAGGGCTAAGGAAGAAGGAGCAGGATTGCTGGCAATGTTGAGAGGTCACGTGAGGTTGGTCTTTGTCAAATTGTAGCTGCAAAGGTCTGGATGGTAGCATCATTTTCCTACACCTGTTGCAGCCCAGAGTAGACTAAGGAGGGAATGAAGACAGCTGGGTTCCTCCAGGACTAATTTTTTGAAAAAATGTTTTTTTTTTCTTTTGTTTCCCTCCAGATGCTCCATAATACTAAATTACAGATTTGGGAAGAGTTGCAACAGTGTGGGAACATGGGCAGGAGGAGCTCAGCTGAGCTGGAGAGAGAGCTGAGTAGCCAGGTGTCAGAGTTGCACATTAAAAACAACAAGCAGAAAATCAGAGTGCCAGTGAAGCTTTAAATCACTGACCGAGATCGTATAACTAAATCAGAGCAAGCTCTGACTTCTGGCTCCCACTCTCAGGTTGCTCCATTTCCCCATGATTAGGGGTCAGGTACATCGACACCAAAATGTGGGTCATTTCCTTGCTTAGGGAGCCTCAAACAAAAGTTTCCTGCTGTCCTGGTGTTTTACAGAGGGTATGTGGAGAGGGGAGAGAGAGGGGAAAGAGCGAGTCATGGAATAGTGCTGAGTACTGAGCCACAGCAAAGAAAGGGTCTTCAAGTTTCTTTCATCTTTCCTGTAAGAAGATTTTGACAAAAAGAAAGGCCTTTATGGAAGGCCCGAAATACAGAGACGCCTGGGCTAGAAACGCAGATATGCAGAAGAGTTTGGTTGGCCTGGAGGACCTGAGTCCTTGACTACAACTCCCTCCAGAGATTGCAATGGACTTGGTCTTACACCAAGTCTGGTGTGTAAAGGGCAGCTTTTCCCAGTGAAGCCTGCCAGGTAAAGCCTTTGTAATTGCCTATAGTCAGGCCTGAAAAATTTCACATCATTATTTTGGCCAGGAGCTAGACTCCTCAGGAGAGTTATAAAACCTGCAGAGGACTCTCTGTGCTGGTAAAAAGGTAATACATTGCAAATGCTATTTTAGAGTGGAGAAGAGATACGTGATCACAGACAAAGAGTCATTTCCAAACAACTCTCTCTGTGATTTTCAAACTGCAGTTAAAAAATCACCTGAGGATTTGTTATGAAAGCAAGAATCTTTCTAAGTCTCACCCAGAGATTTAGATTCAGTCATTTTGGAATGGGCACATAAATCCCCATTTAAAGCAAGCCTGCAGGTGATTTTGTTGCCAATAGTTTTAGAAAAACTAAGTATGGGTAGCAAATGTGGAGTAAAGATAAAAATCCTCCAACGTTTATATCATCACCTGTGTGAGAGGGACAAACTGATACATAGAAAGCAAAGGAAGTGAAAGAAGCCTTCCACCAACAGAGAGGGAAAAGCAATGGAGGGGTGTAATTACTGATGACATTAACAAGAGTAGATGACATTTGCTGGCGGCTTTTCTACTTTCTAGTTCAACATTAATAACATTATTAGTGGCATTCTCTGGATGGCCATTTTTAAATTCATTTTACAAAATGGGCCATTGAGGCTCAGAATTTTAGCAACTGGACCAAGATTGCTATAGCTGGTTGGAAGCCTTCAACTTTGCCTGGTATGTTTCTTATTATACTCAACCTTGTCTCCAGGTCACCACTCAGTATGTTACCAGCAGCGAATCCACAAGGGTCTGAAGCACACTGGATCCTTGTCTCCTTGGAGGAAAGAATTAAGCCGAGGGGCAGAAGTAGGTTTAAGGCAGAGGGAGAGGCCAAGGCAAGTTTTAGAGCAGGAGTGATACTTTGTTAAAATGTTTTAAAGCAGGAATGAAAGGCAGCAAAGTACACTTGGAAGAGGGCCAAGCAGACCATTGGAGAGATCCAAGAACACCATTCAGCACTGGACTTGGGGTTTGATACATTGGCAAGGTTGCAGGGTTTGCTTTTCTCCTCCCTTGATTCTTCCCTTGGGGTGAGCTGTCCACATGCATAGTAGCCTACCCGCACTTAGGAGGGGCCACATGTGCAGTGTGTTTACTGAACTTGTGCACATGCTCACTTGAGCATTTTTCCCTTACGAGTCAAGCGTTTCCAGAGGAAGGTCATACGCAGGTTAAACTCTGCCATTTTGCCTCTGAATGCACATGCTTGAGCCGGCTCACCTAACTCCTGAGTTCTTATTGGGAAACAGCTGATCATCAGCTTCAGGTGTTTTCTCTGTTTTGGCAGACTGTCTTCCCCAGGCACCAACTGCAACGAAATATCGTTTCAGAGAGACCGTTTAATAACCACCGGACCATCACCTGAGGGTCTCATGACATTCCTTGAGGGGAGAGGGGGTCTCCTACCCTGCCCATCTCTGCCTAGCTACCTACTCTAACAAGTGCAATATCTCTTCCTTCCCTACATACTTCTGATAGAACAATTCTCACAGAGCAGAAACCTAGAGGTCCAATTTGAATCATTCTTGCTGATTTTGCCTTGCTTTCTCCTTCTTTTTCTCCTTGTTTCTACTCTAAGGCTTTCATGCAGTAATATCCCTATTTTAGCTTGATTTCATTTTTCCATGTATCCCAGTAATATTGATCTTCTCTTCTGACCTCTCTTGTTAGCAGATTCCAAGTGGCCACATTAAACAAGCAAGACAACAAATACTGGAATAAAATACTAAAATCTATCATGGAATAAAGTTTTAATGTCTCAGTTTAATTTTTTATTTAAAATAAAAGTTGTTTATTTCTAATGAAAACCTAAACAAAGCTGAAAAATTGATAAGACTTTGTCACTCCCGGCTTTAAAATAACAATCAAATTTATCTCTTTTGAATGTTTAAAACTTCATTACTTATTTTGAAAAGTCACATTTTTTTTTTGTCTCTCTAAGATTTTTCTAAATTTCCCAAGGGATTTGTCACCTACCCAGTAACCAATGAATGCCTTCTATTGTATAGATTTGTAAAGATTTTAACAAAGAAAAGTAGGCCATTTATTTTCAGATTGACACAGTCAATTCAAGAACTGCATAAATTAATTTTTACATCCCAGTTATTCTCAGAAAATTAATCTAAAACTGCATTGTGCCAAGAGTAAGAAAATGAGTTGGCTGGATGCACACTGAAATAAATCTTTATCCTAGCCTAAAGGTATTTGCTTACTTGGTCCTAAAGTAGCTCCATAGCCAACAAATTGAATTTCAGATTGCTTTAACTTCAGCAAATAGACATTCAATTGTCTGCCCCAATAGAGAGGAAATGTTTGCAAAATATTGTTTATAAAGCTTCTCAAACAAAAGTGGTTTCTTTTTTTAGCAATATAACTTATTTTGTTTTTGGAAACTGAACCCTTGGCTTTATTTAACCAGAGCATTAAGTGGGCTCTGCTCAGCTTTCAGAGGGCAATGCATGATATTATTTTTTTCCCTGTATGGATTCAAGGATACTCTAAAGCTGTTAAATTCATGATTCTCAATCACTTTATACCTTGGAATTGGGAAATAGTGTTGATGAATAAAACCAAACTCTGTAAAATATTCGAAGATATTTATTCTGAGCCTCAAATTTGAGTGACCATAGTCTGTGACACAGCCTCACAAGGTCCTGAGAACATGTGGCCAAGGTGGTTGGGTTACAGCTTTTGGCTTTACACATTTTAGGGGAAGAGAAGTTACAGGCAAAGACATAAATCAATACATGTAAGGTATACATTTGTTTGTCCCGGAAAGGAGGATTCAAAGAATTCCTGATTGGCCATTGAAAGAGTTAAGCTTTTCCTGAAGAGTTGAAGTCAGCAGAAAGAAATGATTGAGTTAAGATAAGGGGGTTGTGGAAGCCAAGGTTCTTGTTATATACATGAAACCTTTAAGTAATAGGCTTCAGAGAGAATAGATGGTAATTTTCTCTTATTGGACCTTACAAGGTGACAGACTCTCTGGAAAAGACCTAGTAAGGGAAGGAATTTCTTTACAGAATACAAGTTTCCCCCACAAGACACAGCTTTGCAGGCCCACTTCAAAATATGTCAAAGAAAATATATTTTGGGGTAAAGTACTTTGATTTCCTTCAGACCATGTTATGCTATACCAGGGTCAGGTTGAAGGTGGGTATCATTGCCACAAAGAATCTGTTTTGTGAGTCTTATTTCTATTTTAATGTTAATGCTTGTCAGTTGTGCCTAAACTCCAAAGAGAGGGTACAATGAGGCATGCCTGGGCTGACACTTCTCATCATGGCCTAAAGTAGTTTCTCAGGTTTCTTTGGGACCCCCTTGGCCAGAAGGAAGGTCCATTCAGTCACTTGAGGGACTTAGAATTTTATTTCTCATTTACAATAGTAATCAAAGTTTAGAATATTTTTTAACTTTTATTTTAAGTTCAGGGATACATGTGAAGCCTTGTTACATAGGTAAACTTGTGTCATGGGGTTTGCTGTACAGATTATTTCATCACCCAGGTATTCCCATTAGTTATTTTTTCCTTATCTTCTCCCTCCTCCTACTTTCTACCTTCTAGTAGGCCCCATTGTGTGTTGTTCCCCTGTATGTGTCAATGTGTTCTCATCATTTAGCTCCAACATACAAGTGAGAACATGTACAGTATTTGGTTTTCTGCTCCCGTGTTAGTTTGCTAGGGATAGTGACCTCCAGTTCCATTCATATTCTTGCAAAAGATATGATCTCGTTCTTTTTTATGGCTACATAGTATTCCCATGGTATATATGTACCATATTTTCTTTATCCAATCTATCATTGATGGGCATTTAGGTTAATTCCATGTCTTTGCTATTGAGAATAGTGTTGCAATGAATATACATGTGCATATGTCTTTATAATAGAATGATTCTTTTTTTTTTTTTTGAGAAGAAGTCTCGCTCTGTTGCCCAGGCTGGAGTGCAGTGGTGTGATCTTGGCTCACTGCAACCTCCGCCTCCCAGGTTCAAGCGATTCTCCTGCCCTAGCCTCCCAAGTAGTTGGGATCACAGGCGTGTGCCACCACACCTGGCTAATTTTTTGTATTTTTAGAATGATTAATATTTCTTTGGGTGTATATAATCCCGGTAATAGGATTGCTGGGTTGAATGGTATTTCTGTCTTTAGATCTTTGAGGAATATTTTTAAAGTTTGGTTTCTTTATCTGTAAGGAGTTCATAGAAACTGCAGAAAATAAAATGGCTAATATTGACAATAAAAGGTACAGTGGTGCTTTCAGGTGAGATCCTGAGACTGAAAATTATACCTAAATTTTTAGGCCTCTTATTATTTTACTGCATTGCCTGTCTCTTCAGTTGCAATTACCCTCTGCACCACCAAACTCTTAGAGGCACAAAGGAAATCTTTAAAACATAGGATTGATGAATGCCAGTATGTTACTATGGAATGCATCTCCGATGAGAAACGAAAAAGGACTTATAACTTCAAAAACAGAGTTGTCAGTCATATTCATCCTTCAGAGAAATTTAAACAAACAAAAGCATTTTCTCTATAGTAAGGACTTGAGTAGTAAGCTCATGTAATTGCTTCTTTGCATTCAGATGCCAGTCTATTCAATGACGTTTTCCCTACACATTGTTTAATCACCTGCTAATTAAACAATACAGACATTAGTAATCAAACAATTTTATCACCACTTTCTTTTTGGGAGTACTTGACTATATATGGTAGACTCTAGAAGAGACACACATTTCAAATTGTTAATTTATATAAAATGAAGTTATTGATATCTAACAACCAGAAAATTTGATGAAATTTCCTGTTTTATAAAGTCTCTATTTTAACATCTTTGGTCATAGAGAATTATCAGAAAAGGTTAAAAAACAACCATCAATTGCTTTTCCTGTATAAGAGCAATCTGTTATTTTTGGCTACATATAGGTATGTTTCCTCATTTGAAAGAGGATCAAAACAAATACTGTAGCTAATGAAAAAGTTGGTTTATATCATTTGCTTATCAAAATGATACACCCTTTTGAAGACAAAGAAAAGAGAAGATTGATACTACTATTGTTGATCAGGTTATTGCATTTAGATTGGATCTAAAATTAGAAAACTGGTCACTGTTCTTGTTTTTTGTTTGTTTTAGTAAAATTAGGCCATACTATAAGACTTGGCAAATTACAATCTTTGTTTATTTGATTAGTGCCCTGAAGATGTCAGCTTCATACTTTTATCTTGAAATCTTCGAGAAAAGAGTTTTGAGGAAAAAAACATATGTACATACATATATTGTCAGTATTTTTAAGTAAACAATTAAGATATAGGTAACTGAGATAATTCAGCCTGAAATGGATTTGAGATCATTGTCATGAAATTTGTGTAGAAGTATCTCCTGACTTGGAGTCATAAAACATACTTTAATTCCAAAGTCGTCAACTTAGTTAGTTATACATCTATAGGTAACTCATTTCAACTTTCTAACTCAGCTTACTCATTCATGCTATAGATATTATAGTATTATTCAGAGGCTTATTTTTTTAAATATCTCAAATTGTGTAATTAAAGACATATAGCAACTCTAAAGCATCGTATCTGTAAGAGCGTAATATGAAAGTGAAAGATACATGGATAGATAAGTAGATAGATAGATATTATTATTTTAAAAATATATTTGCTTTTATTTCCCAGTGGGTGAATACAAGGTAAGCATGATTCTCTTATTGAGCGTACTGAAAATAATTTTTCATTTTGTTTCAAAATAGACTGAAGAAAGAGGACAGGTTAATTGTATCTCTTCTGAGCTGGCTTCTCCTCTGTACAGTCTTAGATTGAGGGGCAGAACAAAAGTTGAGGGGCAGAACAAAAATAAGTATTTTGGAAGAATGTCACACTGGGACCCAAGTATAACATGTACGTATGCAACATTACATAAGTGTTACATCTTTAAGATAATTCTTAGAATTGATATTGCCAAGTCAAAAGTTAATTGCTTCCACAATTTTGGTAAATGTTGCTATATTGCCTTTGATACAGATTATATCAATTTATATCTTTTCTAGTCAGATATAAAAATGCCTTTTACAAACATCTCTGTTGATGTGCAATCAAATTTGAGAATCTTTCCAAATATACTAATTGAAAACTGATATATCAATGTAGTTTGTTTATTTGTTTGTTTGTTTGAGATGGAGTCTTACTCTGTCGCCCAGGCTGGAGTAGAGTGGCATGATCTCCGCTCACCGCAACCTCTGCCTCCTGGGTTCAAGAGATTCTAGTGCTGTAGCCTTGCGAGCAGCTGGGACTACAGGCATGAACCACCACAGCTGGCTAATTTTTTTTTTTTTTTTTGTATTTTTAGTAGAGATGGAGTTTTATTATATTGGCCAGGATGGTCTCGAACTCCTGACCTGAAGTGAGTCGCCCACCTCGGCCTCCCAAAGTGCTGGGATTACAGGCATGAGCCACCACACCCAGCCTCAATGTAGTTTTAATTTAAGCTTACCTTATTATGAGATAATTTTTAAATGTATAAAAGCCTATATGTATTTGCTTATTTGTGAACCATGTGTTTTTCAAATAATTATTTCCTTATCCCATCTTCATTTTCCATTTGTCTTTTGATTTTTAAAAAAATTATGTTTAAATGGAACATATATTTGTACTTAAATGTATCGATCTTTTCTATTATAGATTTGATGTTATTTTTAGAAAAGCCTTTCGTAATTTTAGGTTAAGGAACGTGTCATGATTTCTTCTAGTGTTTTTATATTTTCATAGGTTACATTAAATCTGTAAACAGAGATTGATTCTGGTAAAATTTATGAAATATAAATATACATTTATTTTCCAGGTGGTTAACCAGTTACTGCACCATTATTTATTGAAAAGTCTATTTCCCTCATTCATTTTAAATGGCAAGATTATTGTATGCTAAGTTTTCACATATTTGTGCCTATTTTGAGATTTTCTATTATGCCATTGTCTGACTCTTATATCACTGATATCGCATTTTTTTGATGATTAATGGGTTATACTGTGCTATCAAATATGTAGTCGCGCTAGACTATTGTAGTTTTGTAAACTTTATAAATTAAATTATGGATAATTGCTATCTTTATGAAGTTTGGTATACCTGTCCCTGTTATGTCTTTTATTCACCCAAGACCTAAAATTACGTATATTTTCTTTACACAGTACTTGCATATTTTTCAATAGAGTTAAAATACTGTTAGGTGATCTAAGTGCACAGATGTTAAGGGCATGGTTTCGTGAATAGAAAAGTGCATTCATATGTATAGCTACCATCCCAATCAACATAAATATTTTCATTATCCCACAAAGTTCCTATTATCCACTTACAGTCAAGGCCCACCAGCCAGAGCCAACCACTGCTGAATTTCTGTTGCTATATATTAGTTTTACCTGTCCTTTTAAAAATCTTTTGAGATTCACCTGTCTTGTTATGTACCTCAGGATTCTTATTGCTGAAATATATTCCATTTTATGAATACATGAAAATTTTCTACTTATTCTCCAGATTTATGAAGATTTTGGACAGTTTAAACATAAGTATTCCTTTGCCAGTTTTTTTTTTGGTGGACCTAGTTTTTATATTTGCTTTGGAAATATGGAGCAGTGAAATTGCTAAATCACATAGTAGTTGTATCGTAATGTTATTATTTCGACACTACCAAATGGTTTTCCAAAGCATTTGGAAATTTTTATAATCCCTGCAATATACAAGAGTCCCAGTTGCTCCATGCACTAGCATTTATTGTTTTCAGATTTTAACTCATTTGTATGGGCATGTAGTGATATCTCGTGGGCTTAATTTGCCTTTCTTTCATTATTGTGGATGATATTGTGTACTTTTTAATGTAATTATTGGCCACTTGAATACCTTCATTTCTGAAAAATCTGCTCAATTCCTTCCTGTTAGATTGTTTGCTTCTTAAAAATATCATTTGTGGGCTGGGCGCGGTGGCTCACGCCTGTAATCCCAGCACTTTGGGAGGCCGAGGCGGGCGGATCACGAGGTCAGGAGATCGAGACCATCCCGGCTAAAACGGTGAAACCCCGTCTCTACTAAAAATACAAAAAATTAGCCGGGCGTAGTGGCGGGCGCCTGTAGTCCCAGCTACTCGGGAGGCTGAGGCAGGAGAATGGCGTGAACCCGGGAGGCGGAGCTTGCAGTGAGCCGAGATCCCGCCACTGCACTCCAGCCTGGGCGACGGAGCGAGACTCCGTCTCAAAAAAAAAAAAAAAAATATCATTTGTGTTCATGTATAACACATATAAAATGCATGCATTTTAAAAATGTACAGTTCGAGTTATGAAAAATTCATGTTACTGTAACCACAACTAAAATTAAAACAGAATGTTTTCATCACCTTAATGGTTGCCTTTTGCCTCTTTGCACCAGTCCTCTTACTTGACTAGTTTCATACAACCCTGATATGCTTTCTATAACTGTAGATTCATTGTAACCTGTTCTAGAATTTAATATAAATGAAATCATGCCATATCTACTTTTGAGTATCTGGTTTATTTGGCTCTGCACAATGTTGTTAAGATGCAACCATGTTGTGACATCTTAGCAGTTAGTTTGTATTTATTTTATTTTATTTTTTGAGACAGAGTTTTGCTCTTGTTGTCGAGGCTGGAGTGCAATGATGTGATCTCAGCTCATTGTAACTTCCGCCTCCTGGGTTCAAGCAATTCTCCTGCCTCAGCTTCCCGAGTAGCTGGGACTACAGGCACGTGCCACCATGTCCAGTTAATTTTTGTATCTTTTTTTGGTAGAGACAGAGTTTCACCATATTGGCCTTGATGGTAACAATCTCTTGACCACGTGATCCACCTGCCTCAGCCTCCCAAAGTGTTGGGATTACAGGCGTAAGCCACCGTGCCCGGCCCTGTATTTATTTTTAATAGTATTATTTTATTATCCGTATTTATCAAAAATATTTTTATCCATTTACTTGTTGATGGATTTTGTGTTATTTTCAGTTTCTGCTATAATAAGCATACCTGTTCTTAATATGTGTCTATAATTATTTGTATGAACAGATGATTTTCACTACTTTATAGGAAGCATATGCATAGTTGATATTAAACTGCCAAACACATTTACATTCCCACCAGCAATGTCTGAGTGTTACCAGTTGCTCCAAATCTTCAAAAACTCTTGGCATTTTCAGTCTTTTTAATTTTAGCCATCCTAGAGTGCGTGGTATTTCATTGATGGAGTTTCTAGTTCATTGATGACTAAACTGCTGTGCACCTTTTCATATACTCATTGGTCATTTCAATAACGTATTTAGTGAAGCATCAGCTCAAATCTTTTGTACTTTTAAATGTTTTCATCTTCTTATTATTGAGATGAGTTATTTATATATTCTAAAGCCTCATTCTTTGCCAGGTACATGCATTATGAATATTTTCCTGTTTGGGGTTGTCTTTTCACTTTCTAAATAGTGTGTTATGAAGATCAGAAATTTAAAATGTTTTTGAAGTACAATTTATCTGGTTTTTTTCACAGTTTGTAATTTTTTTGACCTAATAAATTTTTGCCTACCCGAAGTTTGTAAAGTTATCCTATGTTTCTAAAAGTTTAATCGTTTTGCCTTTTACAGTTAAGTATACAATCTATTTAGAGTTAATTTTTAGCATGATTTGAGGCAAGGTATGATATTCCTTTTTTTCCTTATTCAAATGAATATTCAGTTGCTCTAACACAATTTGTTTAAAAGGCTATTCTTTCTCCATTGAAATACGTTGGCACCTTTTGTCAAAAAGCTATATACCATGAATGAACATCTGGATCTATTTCTGTGATTTCCATACTTCCATTGATTTCTTTGAATATATTTTTACCTATACCAACATTACCTTGATTACTATAATTTTATAGTAAAACCTGAAATCAGGTAATATATATATCATTCAACTCTTGTTCTTTTAAACATTATTTTGGTTATGCTGGATCTTTTGCATTTCTATTTAAAATTCAACTTATCAATATCTATAAAGAAAGCCTGTCGGGATATTGATTCGAGTTTTTATAAATCTATTGATTAATAAACTAAGAATTGACAACAAACAATTTTGTCTCCAAATCTATAACTATAGTTATCTCTTACTTATTTAACTAGGTTTTGGTCAATTCCTCTCAGCAATATTTGCAGTTTTAAGTGTATATATTTTGCATCTATTTTGTAAAATTTGCTTTAAAATCTTGAAATCAAATATTTCAAGATTTAATGCTATTTTAAATGGTGTTGTCTCCATTCTAAATTCCAATTGATATATAAAAATACAAATGACTTTTTATATTTAGTTTTTATCTACAACTTTGCTAAATTCATTCAGCAAAGTGAATTTATTAATTTATCTAATAGTATTTTTGTAGATTCTTTGGAATTTTCTATTTCTATGATTATATCTTTTATAAATAATTTCAGCTTTGTTTTTTCCTTTCTAACCTGTAAACCTTTAATTTCTTTTTCTGGACTTATTTCACTGGTTAGTATTGCAGAGACATCCTTTCTTTGTTCCCATTCTTAGGACAAATGTGTTTAGGTTTCATTATTAAGCATGTCGTTTGCTGTAGGCAGATCCTCTTTATCATAGTGAGAAAATTCTTTTTTACTTCATGTTTGTTAATACTTTTTTGGTATCTATTAATCATATATTTTTTCTTTTATTTTAGTCTGTTAATATGATGAAGTACTTTGATTGCTTTTAAAGCAGCCTTGGATTTCTGGAACAAACTCCACTTAATTCTGAAATCAATATCTGCTAATATTATTAGGGACGTTTTTTCAGGTTCATGAGAAATAGTGGTCTCTGTTTCTTACTCAAAGTTGTTTCCTGGTTTTGTTATCAAGATGGTGTTGGTCTCATAAAATGCAGTGAGAAGTTCTTCCTTTGTTAATTTTTTTTTTTTGTCAGGATAAGCATTTTTTTCTTAAATATTTAATAGAACTCACCAGTGATACCTCCTAAGATGGAGCTTTCTTGGTGGGAATATTTTTGATTTTTTGCTTCATTTTGGGCCAATTCTAGAATGTTATTTTCAAAGAGAATTTTCTATGTCACGGAAAGTGTGAAATTTGTTGAAAAAAGGCTATCAAAACATTCTTTTATAGCACATTTAGTACTTGTAAGATTTATAGTAATGTTTGTTCCCTCACATATGCCTAATGTTGAACAATTTTTCTCTCTTTTTTGTATTTTGAATGTATTTCTAAGGATTTTATACCAATTTCATTAATCTTTCTACAGAACCAACTTTAACTTTGTTATATTCTCTGCTTAACTGGGTATAACATTAAAGGTGATTTTTTTCTTCATAGTACCAGATATTTTTTTCAAAATTTCCACAATGACTGTGTAGTTTTTGATCAGAAAGAGAAAACAATTTGCATTACACACATTAAATTTGAAGAAATATGGTTAAATAATTGTAAAATGTATCAAATGAGTAGAATGTTTATTAGATGTTTAGATATAAATGCATTGCTTACTAAAATATAAATAAAATAATGAAAATGAGTAGTCACAAATAGACATTACTTGAAAATAATGAGGAACCTGTTCAGAAAATAAGAAATGCCTGCTTGTCTGTCTGCCTGTCTTCCCTGTTCTCCCCTCCCTAACCTCCTTGCCTTTTGCTCAAAAAATGTAGCATTTAAAAGAAATCTCATCCAGTAAGGATGGCTCAAGCCTGTAATCCCAGCACATTGGGAGGCTGAGGCTGGCAGATCACTTGAGGTTAGGCGTTTGAGAACAGCCTGGCCAACATGGCGAAACCCCATCTCTACTAAAAATACAAAAATTATCCCAGGGTGGTGGTGTACTTGTAGTCCCAGTGCCTCTGGAGGCTGAGGCAAGAGAATACCTTAAACCCTGGAGGCAGGAACTGCAGTGTGCTGAGATCGCACTGTACTGCACTCCAGCCTGGGCGATAGAGCGAGACTGTTTCAGAGAAAACAACAACAACAATGAATCTTATTCAACACTTTTGCAATGAAATTGATACAAGCTTTAATTTTAGAGACATAATCATCACAGTATATTCTTTATCCTCAAAATAATAGAAAAATATTTCCTGGTTTGTAGCCGTTTTAGAAAACATGCTATTTTTATTATCCATCTTCTCCATTTCATCTAACTCTGTTTAAGAATGTCACTTTCTAAAATTCTTTTGGGTCCATAATTTGTATTAGCACTAATAGTACCAGAAATAGGTACACCAAATTTATAATATAAATGATAGGAAACTATGAAAGTAGTAAAACATTGAATGTGAACTTGTTAACAACTTACATTTCAGACTGATTAGCTGATAAGTATTTGACAGTCAACTTCAAGTTAGATTTCATTTCCATAACCTGCTGTGATAGTTTATTCTCTATTATTTCAAAGTTGAACACTCTGTTCTTGCCTTCTGCATAACTTGCTTTCTCCATATTTCATCTTTTTCTTTCTTCAGTAACTATTAGAATTATGTTTTCCTCTGGGAAATCTAGTGCTCTTTATTCTTGAGTCCTATATGCTCCTTGCCCATTAAAGCTCATAGCCATGCGAAAGGCATGGATCTAGTTAACAACACTGCTGCAAGATTCTGAAATTGGGTGCAGTCTCTGCGGGTACACTTGCCAGTCAGTGACAGGGTCATGTTTTCTTGACTGTAAGCTATTTGAAAGGATCATTTCCTTTTTTTGCATATGTGTATTCATATGAAATAAAATAAGGATTGTAATTATCAAAGTAAATTTTAACTTCAATTGCTATGTCAGGCATAGTTTGGCCTGCTGAGAGGATACTGATCCTATTAGGAAGTAGAAATGTTGAAGTATGTGCACAGATAATAGAATGGAGTCTGTAATTTGCTGAAACAAACGGTTATTTCTTATTATTGTTTCAAAAGCTCAAATAAAGATTTTACATATGACCACACTTAAGTGCAAAACAATAGATACTTTAGACAAAACAATCTTTTGTCTGACTGGATATTATACTGATATAAATGGTTTGGGTTTGAGTAATCTAACATGGATTTTATCCCATACGTAATATTCAACAAAATATTATTCCCTAGTTTAATATTTCTGTCCCAGTTTTTTTCCAAAGTAACTTCAGATGCAAAAGTGCAGCATCTGGGTAGACTTAATTGGCTGGATGGATTAGTCACTTTCTGCTAATTTCATGTTATTGTGCATACAATATTTAAAAGAGCATAGCTAAATCTAGATATAATTAACTATCTGGAAGTTCTACAAACACAGCAGATTTGACTTATCTAAGTGGAAATGCTCCTTTGTTTTTCATAAAGTGATTTGGACGGATATTAGCATACTAAAAACGCAACAGTGGAAAGTGCTGTTAATTTGAATGAACTCATATTTTTATGTTCAAGGTTATATCTGAACTTGATTCCCTCTGAAGAGGATCATTTTTTATATACCATCATTTTTCCTTTGCTTTTTTTTTTTTTTTTTTTACCTCCTGCCCCATGAGGGTACCTATTAAAGAAATTGTTCCAGGATATTCAAATTCTACAGATGATACCTGTTTAGCATTCAAAGACATAATTCTCACAGTCAAAAGAGGGAGCGAGTTTTCTATGCAGGAGGCAGTAACATAAAGAAATCAAAATAACAGAGGAGCTTTTCCGAGAGCCAGTCTGTCTGCCTTTTAATGGAGACCTTGATAGAGAAACCAATGGTCTCAGTTCCCTGAAAGTCTACAAGGTAGGCTTCCTCTAAGGTCATAAAGTCACAATTGCACTTTGGATATCTTTGTACAATATTTTGTCTACCTCTTTTAGTGAAACTCTGGGATTTATTCCATATTATCTGCTTAAATAAAAGAATAAGAAATGAGTGATAATCTTTAAATGGAATAATGCTAGTACCAATTGTTTATTTGTCTCCTTTTGAACAAATATAATCTCTGAGAACCCCATTCTTCAGTATCGTATGTAAAAACTGATTAGCAGTAACTCATACAGGGAGTTTGCATGTGGAATATCTTGGCCATCTCTATTATGATATTGCTTTAAGAATGATGAATGGCCAGTTAATTAGGAAAAGGGTAGATATCTTCAAGTATCTCAGGCTAATGAGACCATCTGTCTTATAAAATTTTAACTCTCACTAAGAAAGAAAACGTAGTTGACAACCATTTATTTAGGCATAAAAGGGCAGTCAGTATTTGGGAGCTAAATGTTCTTATACTTTAAAGAATTCTTACACTGACCAAAGGGAATGATTGTAATTATTGTGAAATATCGGAACTGAATTAAGGTCAGCATCTACCATGTTCCAGCTAAATGAGCATGTCTTGGGTCATTTATTATCTGGAATATATTAGTGGCAGGAGAAAAGGGAGACTTTGTGAAAAACAGAGAGCAAGGGGTTGGATGATGAATGTTTAAACTTCTCAGGCAAATTTATTTGAAGATTTAGCAAGGAACTGTGAGATGGAGGAGGGAATACTCATTTAGAAAGTGTGCATTTCTGGCTGGGTGCGGTGGCTCACGCCTGTAATCCCAGTACTTTGGGAGGCTGAGGCGGGTGGATCACAAGGTCAGGAGTTCGAGACCAGCCTGGCCAACATGGTGAAACCCCATCTCTACTAAATATACAAAAAATCAGCCAGGCCTGGTGGCGGGCACCTGTAATCCCAGCTACTCAGGAGGCAGAGGCAGGAGAATTGCTTGAACCTGGGAGGCGGAAGTTGCCGTGAGCCGAGACTGTGCCATTGCATTCCAGCCTGGGTGACAGAGCGAGACTCCGTCTCAAGAAAAAAAAGAAAGTGTGCATTTCCTCAGCCACCCTTGAGTGAAGGATAGCGTTCCGAGGGATAGCCCTGTTGTGCACAGCTGCTATGCATAGGGCAATTTGCAACTTAACAGTCTCTCCTTATATCCTTATTACATCTCATTTTTTTTTTCTATCACTTTCCTAATGTAGGTGAGACATCCTATTTAATGGATGGCCACACCATTTTCTGTGGTAGAGCAGTCCTAAAAATAAGGTTGGGTATCTCAGAGGCTCTATAGTCTTTCTACCACAATACACCAAACAGGATGTTTTCCATACTCTGTCCTCCAGGATTGAAATAGATCCCCAACCCACAGTTTAATATGCACGGCAATTTTCTATTCAAGCATCCAAAGTGGAGGCTCTCCCCACAGCTAATTCATCCCCTAATTGAGAGAGTGCAGAATATGCTAGTCTACAAACTTAGTGTAGGCACATTCCTCAGCAATCTAGAAATGACTGAACAGATGCTGTGTCTACTGAGCAGAATGCAAAGGTGGCAACAAGGACAGATAATTTGTGGCTTCCTATGAAATTGTCATGGAATACTTGCCTCATCTCCCCAGAAGGACAAATGTTCATGCAAGTAATTTCTCTCCTCTGTTTAGGAACAACTATGTTCACTATGGTTTTTTAAAAGCCTAATATTAAAAAAGTTGTTGATAAGACTTAGACGTCTTTAGGTAAATATTGTTGAAGTTTATGTAAATGTTTGAAACAAATAGGTAATGAGATACAGTATGGAACTGATATTCTGGTTTATTAAAAATATTTACAACATGAATTACCAATGTAAAAAATAGACTTTTGAAAAGCCAGTGCAGTGGCTCACACCTGTAATCCCAGCACTTTGGGAGGCCAAGGTAGGTGGATCACCTCAGGTCAGGAGCTCCAGACCAGCCTGACCAACATGGAGAAACCCCATCTCTACTAAAAATAAAAAAAAGACTTTAGCTGGGCGTGGTGGCACATGCCTGTGATCCCAACTACTCAGGAGGCTGAGGCAGGAGAATAGCTTGAACCTGGAAGGTGGAGGTTGCGGTGAGCCAAGATCACGCCATTGTACTACAGCCTGGGCAACAAGAGCAAAACTCCATCTCAAAAATAAATAAATACATAAATAAACAAATAAATAAATAGACTTTTGAAAATTCTTAAGAATGATTTATCATGACTTTTTAATAATCCCAATTTAATCTTTGTTTGGTAAATCCTTAAAAAACCTGAGGATTCTGAAGTGCACTGACAATGTCCTTATCAATATTATCATTATGTAGTTTTATGATACAACTTCTGGCTCTTTATATTTATTTATTGGGGTTCCGGAAGACCTGCAGTTTTCTATAGCATGCTATATTTTTATTTGTGCACTAATTCAGCTGATATTTATAGGGAAGCTAGGATGTCTCTGGCCTATTTTCTAACTGTAGCATTTTACTACTCTGGAGAACAAATTATCCCTGTTAGGCATATTTTCCTGACCTCAGGGAACATTTTAAATAACAAGGTACATAGGGAATGCTGACCCCGTGTAGATCATCAACTCAGATATTTCCCTTAAAATGCCTTTAGTAAATACAGTTTCCAATTTTTGTCTTTGGAATAATATGGCATTGAATATTATTAAAGATATGAGTTCACTGAAGCTACACCAAAATTATTAGCATTCATGAGACAAAAATAAATTAAGATAAAAGAAGAAATCATGATAAAAGTGGATGTTATATCTTCTGATGTTTTCGCAAAAAAAAACAAAAAGAAAGGCTTTCATTTTCATTTTTCAAGGATTTAAGGATTTGATACTCAGCACCAATTTAAAGTAACCTTGCCTTGGATCTTGATTTAAATATTCACTTAGGTGTTCTAACTGATAAAAGTAAAGCCACTAAACAAACTATTTGTAAGTTGTACTTTATTCTATAAACTATGAGTCTTAGGTCCATGACTGTCTTGTTTCCTCCTCTCTCCCTGATATCCAGCCTTGGTCCTGTTGAAACTTACATGCTCAATGTATTTCTTACGTTATGACATGTATTATTACCTGTATAATATGTACATATACATATTAATGATATCTGATATCAATAAGACTGATTATAAAAATGACCAAGTTACATGTCTGGGGAATTTTATATAATTCTTAGGAAGAGTAGCACATAAGTACATTTCAAAATTAAATTCCTATGTCCTTTCTCATTTCAAATAGACTTATAGGGAGTTTTCAGAAAGAATAAGAATGAAAGTAGGAGTTGGTTGCAGTGGCTCATTCTGGTAATCACAGCACGTTGGGAAGTAGAGGTAGGAAAACGGCTTGAGGCCAGGAGTTCAAAAACAGCCTAGGTACACAAGACCTTATCTACACACACAGACACACACACACACACCCACACACATTAGTCAGTCATTGTGGTGCCTGGCTGTGGTCCAGCTACTTAGGAGGCTGAGGTGGGGAGGACAATTTAAGACGGGAGTTTGAGGCTGTGGTGAGCTACAATCACACCACTGCACTCCAACCTGGGTGACAGAGCAAGACCTTGTCTCTAGAAAAAAAAAGGAGAAGAAGGAGAAGAAGAAGAAGAAGAAGAAGAAGGAGAAGGAGGAGAAGGAGAAGAAAAAGAATGGAAGTAGGAAGAGAAAAACAGTCACGAATGCATATAGGAACATATAAACCAATGATAAAGATTGCCACAACCACAGTGATTAAAGGTGCCTCTAAGATTTGTGGCAGTCAGAGTAAGACGTTAAAATCTTTTTTTCTCATTATCAAAAGGGAGAAAGTATGTCAGCTCTCAGAGGAAAGCAAGATGTTCTAGGACAGTGTCAGTTAATAATAGTGGTTGGCTATTAGTAGCAGACACAGTAGAACGACAACCTAACACATCAGGGTTTTTTCTCACACAATGAGCTGTGTGGGGAGAGGCTGTTGTGTTGGTTCTGGGGATCAGGAATGTCAGGGTCAAGCTTTCTGCCATTCTCTTGACTTTTTCTTCTGTTCCCAAATAGGTTGCTGAGTTCAGCATCCTAACACCCAGGAGATCATGGGAGAGACCCTAGAAGTTGGTATAGTGTTTAAGAAAAGATAGTATTATTCAGAAAATTCCTATATGTAGAAACTGGTGCTCGAATGGTAGGGCCCCAAATTCAGTCCGATTGAGTCACTAGCCATAAGAGATCTGATTCATGCAGAAGGGACAAAACTGAAATATTTTGTGAGTCGTGATATAGGAACTTGTAGTCTGCTCACAAAGAACAATAAAGAAGCCAGTGCTTTGTGCTACAAGTCCAGCAGGGCTGAATATAGAGAGCCAATTTTAAGTCTACAGCTCCCTTAACATTTGCTAGCCACGAGATTTTCCCCAGAATGTGATGTGAAATCAAGTGTACAAGTAGATTTAAATTGTGAGATAAGGAACGCTGAAGGAAAAGGACCTACGTGTGTCTCTATATTAATTCATAGATGGATATGAGAGATGTTGGTACAAAATTTATCATTGATAAAGAAGTAGAAAATAAAGGAAATACATTTTGTGCAGAGGGAGCAGAAATTGTAGGACATAGATTCAATAAACAGACTAAGTCCAGTGCCCCATCAAACATCATTCATGAATGTATTTCTTCTTATACAATATTTAAACATTGCAGCATATTTTCAGAAGAATTTGTGCTTCTTAACTCAACATAGTAATTACACATAATAGTACTTAGAAAATGTTAAACAAGTTGACTCACTCAATCTAATTGTATTTACAAATGCATTTAAGTTTAAGACTATTTTATTTGGCAATACCAAAATAAGAATAACTGCAACAAAATTTATACTCATGAAATTATGTATTCTATTTTGACATTTTAATCTTGAAAAGTGAAGTCATTAAGCTTATATACAAATCAATTCTTGAAATCTTCTCTGATTCTTCCTTACATGAAAGTCCTAACATGAAAATCCTAACATGAAAGTTTACATGAAAATCCTAACAATTCTAAAGCCACTATTGTTTTGAAGCCACTAAGGCCAAAACCTCATATCCTAGAATTTTTTTAAAAAAGCTTCAATTTTATTTTGTAAAAGGCTTTCCCTTAATTTATATCATTGTGCATTCGGATGAAATGTTAATGATAATGGACAGCTGTGCTTTCCATCTGAAAAGAACATCTGTGTAATGCTAGCATTGTGAAAGTGGAAAACATAACTACATATCATTAAGCTAAAATTACAATGGAGATGTAACTGAAGGAAATTGTTTTAAAACTGAGATTTTTGGGTTTTCTTGTTGTTATAATGAGTTGGAAAAGGTCCCTGAAGAAGTTTCTGAATTATATATACCAAAATTTAGACAAAAACTTTTTTGAAATGCCTGGCACCTAATACTTGTATCTTGTTGTGTGATGTGAAAATAACTTTTAAAACAGTAAATATGCATTTTAATGAACACTGATTTTCACACTTCTCACTAGAAATCTCCTTAGAGATACTGTAGGATTGCTTCTGCAACAGCTACTCCACTGGGAATACCTCCCACTGCACTCTAAGAATCAGGAAAGTCATTAAACTGAAAACAGGGAGAAAACTGGGTGCCTCAGGGGTAGACTTAACAGGAATGAGGAATGAGTTTTTTGAAGTAATTTTTGTCCTTGCCATGGCTTGCCCCTAAGCACAGCAAATTAAATAATGCAAACAAACGGAGGTATAATATTGAGTAAATCTGTGTCAGTATGGGGTAGAAAGACAGTATTTTTAAACACATTTAATTAATTTTGAAAATAAGAAAAGTCTCTCTAGAGTAAGTTATTTGCCTGGTGAAACTAAATACCTTGATTCAATTGGGCTTTTTTAATAGTTTACATGAATATGAAAAGTCCTTCCTCATGTGCTTTTGCCTACAGTGTTTGAAACAAGGAAATCTGAATGCTATAAAAACAACACCAAGCATTCCCATGGTTTAGTGCAATTAATTTTCCACTCATGTGACAGTCCAGTGGAATGTGTAACACCTGCCTCCAACCTGATGATTCAGGGAGCCAGCATCTTTCCCTTTTGTGATATTGCCATCTCTTAGGACATTAGAGTCCTTTGCTCCCAGCTAGCAAATAGAAAAAGAGAACAGACAAGGCAAACTCACTTCTCAATTGTGTCAGCCTAGAAGTGTGACATTTGACTTCTCATTCACAGTCCACTGGCCAGAACTGTATGCCCATTATACAATTCCCCAGCAAAGAAGTTAGTGTTTCTTTATTTTTTATTTTTTTAGAGAGGGGGTCTCACTGTGTTGTCCAGGATGGTCTCGAAATCCTGGCCTCAAGCAATCTTCCTGCCTCGGCCCCGCAAAATGATGGGATTATACGCATACCACTGTGCCCAGCAGTGGTTGGGATTTATAGACAGGCGGAGCAGTCACTTTGCAGTCACAGCTCCATACTATGGAAGGAGAGTGGTATTTTTAGTGGATAACTAACTGATCCTAGAAACCAAGAATTATTTATTTTGATTTTACATCCCAATATCTTGGTGGAAGATCAGAGCTGCTTGAGAATGAAGATCTTGTCTCAGGAGGATTTGGTTTAAAAATGCATTGAAAGCACAAATCTTTTCTTGGAGATTAAGAAGTCAGCAGCAAAAAAATAAAGTTCAATATGAGTACTCATAGTGTCACACTTCTAAATTACCTTTCTAGGTTTTATCATACACACACACATACACACACACACACACCCCACTGAAGGCATGAATTAATTTTACATTTGCTAGGTATAACACAGCATGTTAAGTGAATCAGAATAGACATATGGAAGGCTCTTACAGAATTCCATATCTAACAGTCCTACTTCTTTCCATTTCTTCTAAGTGATACGTGAAACCCTTGATCCATATGTAAATAAGCAACGCATGGCCATGCCTACAAAGTTACTGAGATGATTTCCTTCCACGTTATGTAAATTGAGTCATCCACAACGGATAGAGTGTTCAGCCTCGTAATTTGGCACGTTCTCTGAGTGTTCAAATGAGGCTCATTTCATGTGACTTGTTTTCAGAGTGATGAAATTTAGTTTATGCTCTTCAATTTTCTGACTTCAAATGCATAGAATATTAGACATGAAACATTCTTCAAGATTATGTACTCCATCCCCACTTTCTTTGCAAATGAACAAACAAAAATCCAGAGGTGTATACTTGCTTTACGTTAAATAGCTAAGTATTGCAGAGCCGATACGAAGGCATATCGCATCATGCCTGGGTGCCTGATTCAGGGATGCCTTCTAATTATTTTCTCATTCTTATCAATAAAATCATATGAATGCTAACTTTGTTTTATTTAATTAATATCAGCTGAAAGAATAAATCTAGACACTAGCATGATTTTTCTTCATTATAAGCACATTCTTTTGAAATCTAACCATTAAAAAATACCACGATGAAAAATTGAAATCAAGATGCAATTGATTTTTTCAGCCAGCTGTTGAAAGGGTGTTGAACTACCAGAGAAGAAATAATTACAGCTATTCTTGAGGCATGAAATAACCACAAGTTAATGTCATTTATTCCTGAAATATTTTGTACACTTTCAGAAAATCAAAACTATGTTTCAACAATGGTGGAAAAGTGCTTATCCCCAAAACTGAAAATAACTAATTCAAATTAGGAGAGTCTTTGGGTGAATGCTTTCCTTACTGTGTTCAGAAGGACACATAACATAATTCAGTGGGGAGTTTATATTCATCTAGTTTATTCATTCATATTTCATTGATTATTCATTTTAGAAGAACATAAATATATAGATAAACACAAAATGATATATGTCTCCTTAGGGCTATTTAAAGAAAATGTTGTGAATTTACAATTAATCCTGAAAAGACTTACGGTATTGAACATTAATGTGAGAATCTCGTAAGAAAAAGGAGATTTTGAAGTCAGTAACTCACTACCTCTGCTGTAGGAGAGATGAGATGTATAAGGAATGTAAACTTTCACTTCTTAAAATTTACTTATATACAGATTCATCAGACTTTACTTCAAGACAGCATTAATTTCTTTAAAATAAATTTATTATAATTCAGGCAGAAATTATAAAGTGGAGAAGGAGTTAAGAAAAAAAAAGTAAACCCTTACTATATAAGGGGAAAACCCCCTGTCAATTACATGAAAGGAATTATGCTCTAATTTGATTGAGAACGAAATTCTACCTGAATCACAATAGTGGGAAAGAACTACTTTTATAGATGTTCTTCAGTTTCACTTTTGACAAACATAAGGAAAGATGTAAGAAGAGGGATTTATGAAGTGGGATTAAATTATATTAACTATTATTATCAAAGCCATGTTTCATTCGAAAATAATATTCTGTGACAAAGTACTTCCCACATTTCTGCGTTTTATAAATACTGTTTTCTATATATACATTTTATGGATAATTGCAAAGGAGAAGAAAACATTTTGATATTTGATGATAAGAAGTCTTTGATAAACATGGACATACAGGAGAAATATTTGATCTGGGGCCTTCTTGTTGTTGCCACAAACTGGAGCACTTCTGAGTCTGAATTTCTGAGCAATATGAATGCTCTAGTTTTAATGTACAATTATTGCTTCCTAATTGGGCTCTTTAGCAACATACTCTATTCTGTGATTCTGATGCCTTTTGCCTTTGTGTGTTCTTTTCTAGGCAGACTTCCCATTCCACAACAGAAACTCAGTTATTTCAATGAGATTGTGAATTCTTGCATTGAAAATAAATTCCTTATGAAAGATTTTAGAGAAGGAAGAAAGCTAAAGACTGAGAAATGTCTGTGGTATTACCGTAAGAGTATATTAAGACAGTCTCATTTTATACAATGGAGGTACTTAAACACTACAAATTATTTGTAAACCACAAAATCTTCAATAGACATCAATTTTCCTTGACAAATAATTTTATCCAAAAAAATTAAAAAGACGGAAGCAAAAAGGTAGAGTATATAATGATTTCTTAAGGGTTAGTTATGGGAAAGGAACCAACTTAAAATTACAAAGAAAGAAACCAATTTAAATCATTCCTTGAGACCATATATTTATATATATGTTTTCTATTATTAAGGTGAACTTGGAATTTGTTTTATTGATTTATAATTTATTAAAACTGAATTTCTGAGAAATTTGCCTATATTTGATATGGTAGGTCTGTTGATCAGGTTTCCTATTAAATTGGTTCCCTCAGTCTTGCAGAAGTGAAAATCACTGCAGGCTAAGATTATTCCAATGAAATAATTAATTTGAAACTATTTATATTGAATTGTTTTGTTGAAAATGCATAATTTGAAGATACTTGCAATTTTTCAACCGAGAACTAATGGATTAATAAACCAATAGAAAAGGAAGTAATCTCTGCCACAATGTGGAAACCATCATGGCTAAAATTGAAAGCTCTAATCTCTGAAGTAAGCGCACTGTCAATCAACAATTTTCTTTTGAAATGGATCTGCTTGCTTTTTTTTTTTTTTTTTTTTTTTTTTTTTTTTTTTTTTTTTAGACGCAGTCTCGCTCAGTCGCCCAGGCTGGAGTGCAGTGGTGCCATCTCGGCCATCTGCAAGCTCCGCCTCCTGGGTTCACGCCATTCTCCTGCCTCAGCCTCCCGAGTAGCTAGCTGGAACTACAGGCGCCTGCCCACCACCACGCCCGGCTAATTTTTTGTATTTTTAGTACAGACGGGGTTTCACCGTGTTAGCCAGGATGGTCTCGATCTCCCGACCTCATGATCCGCCCGCCTCAGCCTCCCAAAGTGCTGGGATTACAGGTGTGAGCCACCGCGACAGCCGCTAAATTGCTTTTTGAACCATATCTAAGTCTCTTATCATTTCCTTTTTATTAGAACAGTGCTTGATATAAGCACATTTTGTTGTTTAGTAAAAAGCAAATACTAAAATCTGAATGAAAACCCAGCATAGCCTCTGTATTGGTTTACTAGGGTTGCCATAACAAAATACCACAGGCTGGATGGTTTAAACAGCAAAGTTTGTTTTCCCACAGTTCTGTAGATTAGACGTCCTAGATTAAGGTGCCGGCAGACTCCGTTTCTGGAAAGGGCTCTCTTCTGGGCTTGCAGATGGCTTCCTTCTCTTTGTATTCTCACATGGCCTTTTCTCTGCGCACAGGGTAGGAGCCTCAGGTGTCTCTTCCTCTTCTTGTGAGACCATCAATTCTGTGGGACTAGGGCCACATCTTTACGTCCTCATTTAATCTTAATTACCTTTCAAAGACCCTGTCTTTAAATACAGTCACATTGGGATTTGGGGCTTAAAAATATAAATTTGGGGAGGTCAAAATTCAATTCATAGTAGTGTCTGATATCATAGATGTCATAGAATTCGGCTTATTTTTCTCCTGACTCTTAGAATGCTGCTCTTCAGTAAATTGACTTCTCTTTTTTCATGACTACCAGTTTCCCTGATTACCTGGACCTCATATCTTCCTCTACTTAATGCCCCATCTTGCCACTTTATGTCTTGCGTATTGTAAAATAGCCATCATATATTTTGTCATTTCATGAACGATTATTCTTCCTTGCTACTCCTGTTAAGAAGCAATTTACAACTTCTGTTCTTCCTTTATTTCTGCTTCTGCCTTGGTTCATGTTCCAATGCCTGCAATTAATATCTCACTGTATCACTCCTTCTCCGTATTAAGTATCTTATTTTATGGATTCTGTTTATTGCATACTTTTTTGATGTCTCTTTACTTCTGTGATTCTTTATTATCTATGAAAATCTCCTTGTGTTTCATATTCAAGAGATCTACTTTATTAGAGTTTACTTTGGACTTTGATCCAATTATCTATGGCCAGGATAGCAGGAGCACATGGGGTCACTTACAAGAAAAAATACTTGATAGATCGTCACAGAGTTTTGGGCTTTTTTTCAGCACAATTTGGGGGCCCTAAGTAATAAATGCTGAAGATTATTTTCACCTGACTCCTCATTTTTTTAGCCATTTTATCACAATTAGCTACACTTATTTACCATGTCTCATTACATACTCTGGCATTCTAAATATCAACAAAGAACTATGCCTTAAAGATACTGGATTTTGGCTGGGCATGATGGCTCACGCCTGTAATCTCAGCACTTTGGAAGGCAGAGGCAGGAGGATCACGAGGTCAAGAGATCGAGACTATCCTGGCCAACATGGTGAAACCCCGTCTCTACTAAAAATACAAAAAAAAAAAAAAAAAAACTGGGTGTAAAAATACAAAAAAATTAGTAGTCCCAGCTACTAGGGAGGCTGAGGCAGGAGAATCGCTTGAACCTGGGAGGCAGAGGTTGCAGTGAGCCAAGATCACACCACTGTACTCCAGCCTGGAGACACAGCAAGACTCCGCCAAAAAAAAAAAAAAAAAAAAAGATGGATTCTTTATTGTATGGTAGAAAACACATAAGCTCAGAGTGATAAATGCCTGTTCTATGTTACACAGTGAGATAGTATGTAGAACTGAGGTTATATATCAAGTTTTCTTACTCCTGTCTGGTAACCTGTTACACCTATTACCTATGATATTAGTCCATTCTCACATTGCTATCAAGAACTACCTGAGACTGGGTAATTTATAAAGGAAATAGGTTTAATTGGCTCATGGTTCCACAGCCTGTACAAGAAGCATGGCTGGGAGGCCTCAGGAAACTTACAGTCATGGCAGAAGATGAAGAGGGAGTCCCATCTTACATGGCTGGAGCAGGAGGAAGACAGAGTGAAGGGGGAGGTGCTACACACTGTTAACCAACCAGATCTTGTGAGAACTCACTTACTATCTCAAAAACAGCAAGGGGGGATATCAGTCCTCATGATCTAATCACCTCCCACCAGGCCCCTCCTCCAACTTTGGGAATTACAATTTTGACAGGAGATTTGGGCAGGGACACAAATCCAAACCATGTCATATATGAATTTTTGAAGTTGTAGAGTTAGGGACCTCACCCTTTATTTATATAAATCTTGAATTAACAAGTTTTGCAAAAATTAGTTCTTCCAGGGTTGAAACATATGCTTTAAAAATCTTTCTAAAACAATAACAATAATAAAAAATATTATTTAAAATTAATTATTTCACAACCTCCCTTACCCAACTTTACTCCATGATGTAGTCAAAGTGAGATATGTTTAAAAGCAAATCAGATTAAGTCACCTCACTCCTTAAAACGTGTCCCAATAATTCTACTATCTTCTGAAAAAGTTCAAATTTCTGTTCGTTTCTGAATGGTCTTTTCTGAATGTGCTCCATTCACATTCTTAGTGAAATTTAGTTTTGGTGGAGAAAACACACCCTGCCCTCCAAAGATGCTGAAACCACTCACTCAGGGCTGCCTTCTGCTTCCTCTTCTGTCTTCTTTCTCTAACTAAATTGTTTTCATGAACATTGTTCTAGTCACTTATTTACATATACTTACACTACATATAAACTAAGACTGTGTGCCTCAGAAAGGCAGGACAGTCAGCACCTTTTTTACCGATAGTTTACAAAGAAATAAATCAAAAGCAAAAAATTTCCATGAAGCCAGGATGCTGAGGAGAGGGGTACAAGGAAAGGGTAGAAAAGGGTAGTCCTGACCTCCTAGGAATCTGCAGCTAGAAAAGCTCTGAAACTTTTTGAAATGCAAGAGGATCTATGTCTTAGGAAAAAGGAGAAGCATATTTTAATAATGAACAGAAGAGTTTAAATATTGGAAACAAGTTTTAAATTCAAAAATAATACTGGTAAATCAACAAAAAGAAATAGATTTATTTGCATTTGATTATGATTACTTAAAAGTGGTTAATTAGAATTTATGACATGAAATTTATTGGGACAAAATAACATAATCTGAACATTCAAACCATGTATGAAAGTGATTGAATTAGCAACATCCTTGAAATTAATCTAAGTTCACTTAAAATCTAACTATATACATCTATAAGAAAATTTCTAATCTCCTTCCTGTTTCTTCTACTTTATATACTTTCAACAAAATTAATTTGCATATTTTCTGACAGCTTTTAATTTTTATTTCATTTGATCATACTTTCCTACCTTGGCTAAATACATATTTCAAAACTAGCTCAAATATAAAAATATTTCTATTACAGAAAAATAGCATCAACCATATTGTGTTTTGAATCTAGACTGTTGATTATTTATAACAACTGTTTAATTAATAGGGTCAAAATTGTTTAAGAGACTGTATGGCAGCAAACATATAGCAGACCTGTTGAGACCAAAAATTTCATTTACAAAATATATTTGGGTTTAAATAATGACATAGAAGAAATGAAAGTCAAAAGATTAAACCAGAAGTCTATGATAATTATGTTTAAAGTGCTCTGCAAACAGTCCAGAAAAGTAAAATGCACTGTCATTTTAAAAATTTCAATAAGTAATTCCTTACTGAGATAGGACTTTCAAATGTATGGGTTTGCTGCAAGTTTTATACTGATTCAGTGTTTTTCCTAACAGCTGGATTTTGATTTAATAAAGTAGTTACATTTGAATTTGTTCCCTGAGCTTTCTTGGATTTATTGAGGAAATGCAATTATTAAAATGACACTGAGTCATAGTTTTTCCTTATTAAAATGCTATTTCTTTTTTCTTCTTCCTCTTCTTTTTTTTTCCTCTTTTTTTTTGGAGAACGATTATCTTTGCCTAAATGCCAATAACCCTTAATTGAATGCTGGTTTTTAAAATGTCAATTTTCACTTTTTTTTTCTACAGAAGAAATATTATATGTCTGTATTAAAAGCTTTTTTATTAATAATACATGACACAAAGTTGGCAGATAGACTTTTAATAAAGTATTTTCACTTTTTTAAGATGTTGACAATTTTGTTTTATAATTACTTTTAATTATATAGAAATATCTGTGTGTATATATATATATGCACACATATGTGTTTGTATAAATGTGCTTAAATATATATGTATTAAAAGTCACATATATGTGTATATACATCTCTCATTCTGAGGAAGGTTCTGGGAGCATCAATTGGCTTCTGACTTAGCAAGTTTGTGGTTGGTGGAGATGCTTCCAAAAGGCTTATGGTTCTAGTCCACCCATTGCTACCTAATGGTTTCATGGTCTTTCTGTAAATTTTGTTTATAATTGACATATGATACTTCCTATAAATGGGGTACACTTTGGATACAAGTATACATGATGTAATGATTGAATCAGAGTAGTTAGTATATCCATTGACTCATTTCACTGTGGTAAGAACATTCAAAACCCTCTCTTCTAGCTATTTTGAAATACACGATAGAATATAGTTAACCTTAGTCACTCTACTGTGAAACAGTAGACTCTACTGTGAAACAGAACACCAGAACTGATTCCTTCTAGCTACCTACAACTTAGTCCCCGTTGATCAATCTCTCCCCATGTCCTCCTTCCTCTGACCCTCTTCAACCTCTGGGAACTTGAGGAGGATGAGATCATGTTGAGACTCATAAATAATCACAGTGCTAGCCAGAGCTAAGTTAACATAAACAGAATCAGTATGGAGAAAATTCCAGATTCAGTGTGAGCAGTACCACCCACCACCAGCACAAGGCAATCTCATGGGAACTATATCAGTGTTCAAACTGCCCCAGCTCATGGGAACTATATCAGGTTCAGACTGCCCCAGCACCTGAGACTGTCTAACACTGCCAATGCCAGAGAACTATGTTAATTGTCTTTCTTGTGGGCATCTCATGTGGAACCTTCATAAAAATAGCTAGTATACAAACTTTTGGTACCAGGAAGGGTATCTCTCTGTAACTCCAGGTGTGTTCAGACCCTCACTGCCAACATGGGAATAAGGGTGATAATCCCTTTCATTGGCTTCAGACACTCTTAAGATCTCTTGAACTGGGTGGGTGGGTTGATGTTTGAGTGGTATGTGGTGTGGACTGAGATGAGCTAACCCCATAGCTATGTTAGCGTTGGATTGAAAGGAATCTATAGGGGTCTCTCCAAAAGCCTTAGTTCATTTTATAAGCATAAGATATATCCTCTAAAGGCCTTAAAGACAATCAAGGCAAGTTCTCAAGAAACTTAATTTATAATACATGCAAACTTTGATATGAGAGAAAACTAACTTAGTAAATATTTATGAAACAATTACAACCTTACATTTATATATATAAATAATATATACATAATATATATTTATATAATATAAATATATAAATATAAATATATATTATATATAAATATATAAAAAATTTATAAATATAAATTATATATAAAAATATATAAAAAATTTATAAATATATTATATTATATATAAAAATATATAAAAAATTTAAATATATTTAAAGAAAAGGAAGAAACTGTGCAGGACCTAATTTGGATGAACGAGTCAGTGACGGTTATGGATTAAGGTTGAACTAAAATATATGCATTTGCCATTTGGTGTATTCAAGGCTCTCTCTCAGTCTTATTCTTCTAACACTAAAGAAAGTATTGATTGTGGAGGCTTTCCCAAACCTGCAGGACTTTTGTGCAGCATAGACAGTCTATTGGCTCCGTGGTAGGAATTTTTTGGAGATGGTGCAAGGAATGCTATTCTATTTTTATTTTTTATTTATAGAGTTGGTTTTAGAAACTTAAGTTACTTGTATTTGCTGACATTCTTTTTATGTTTGTTACAATGCTTCACTGAAGCTGGTATTATATAAAATGGTTTAAAATATGAACATTCTGAAAACTTTTTCACATTTGTTATATTCAAAGAGTTTTGCTCCAATATGAATTATTTGATATAAAAGAGAATGAGCTACAGAAGATGATAGTAAATGCCTTATAGTTCTTAGGATGCTGCTCAATATTTTATACCCACATGGATACACAAACATAAATATAAAAATATGCATATAAAGTATACATAATGAAATCCATACATATAGTAGATTCTACTTTTCTTATTTTAACAGCTCAAGTGATATGATTCTGTGTATCTTTAAATAACCTTCTTAATGCAAAATAACATACATCTAAATTATTCACTGTTTTCTGTTTTATATTTTACTTTTGGTTTTTATGATACAAAGGTCAGTAATTTGTATATTGAATTTAAATAATAACATTTAGAATAATGACTAAAGCTTTCCAAATGTTGCATGTTCATAAAAAAATCAAGGCAATACAAATGTAGAAAGAAGAAAGTAAAAAAAAATTACAAAAACATAACTCTCACTCTCAAAATCCACACCAGCAATAACTATTATTAGCGTTAAATGCACATCATTTTATGAATCTGTCTACACATATTCCAATAGAAGAATGGGAAATACATGCATACAAATGGATATAAAATTAAAGTTGAACGCAGAATTACATTGTTAATCCTATTTTTCGTTTAAAATATATTAAGCGTAAATGTCCTTGAATTCCAAATAATAAAAGCAACTGCCTGAGGTATTACTAAAATTGTTTTCAATACTTATATCCTCAAGACACATTAATTTGCAAAATATCTTCTAAGATATAAAATATGCAAATTATAACATCACATTTAAGTTTTAGATAATTTATTGGGTCCATTATGAGAGATGTGTGATTTAATATGCTTATATCTCTTTAGTTGTTTTCTCATACTTTTTGCTAGTTATAATACTATTATTAACATAATTATTGTGATTAACTCCTAATCATCTGTATCATTTACATTTCTAAATTTAAAGATAATTCCCAGCGAACTTTATAATCTGTTTTTAAATGGACTTGGGGCTCTTTGCTGCACTAGTTCTTTTTATTTTGTCTTCTTTTTTCATCTTTTGGCAAATATTCAAATTAATTTTACTTAAAAAATATTTTTATGTCTTACATTCCATAAATTCTCTTATGGTTGCTAGTTTTCTTTTTTCTTTTATTTTACTATGCACATTAAATCAGATTACATTATATTACATCTCTGCTAAAGAAATACCACCCAGCCAGGTGTGGTGGCTCAGGCCTGTAATCCTAGCACTTTGGGAGGCCGAGGCAGGTGGATCACCTGAGGTCAGGAGTTTGAGACTAGCCTGGCCAACATGGTGAAACCCTGTCTCTACTAAAAATACAAAAATTAGCTGGGCTTGGTGGCAAGTGCCTGTAATTCTAGCTACTTGGGAGGCTGAGGCAAGAGAATTGCTTGAACCCAAGAGGTGAAGGTTGCAGCAAGCCAAGGTCGTGCCACTGCGCTCCAGCCTGGGTGACAGAGTGAGACTCCGTCTCAAACAAAACAAAACAAAAACAAAAAACAAAACAAACAAACAAACAAAAGAACTACCACCCAAGAGGCATTTATGTGCAAAGATATCCATTGTGGCATAGATTTAAATGTAAAAAACCTAGAAACAACTTAGATGTCCAAAACTAAGAGAAAGATAAATGATAGATGAGAACAATGTATAGTGACTACAAGTGAGTAGAGTAGTAATAGATTGTCCCTTAAAATGGTACTTTCAACATATGATATTATGATAAAATAAATTTGAGATAAGATCTATAATTATATTTACATCTATTAATATTGGTATTAAATTGAGATGGGAGGCATTTCCTCCCTTGTCATGACAGAACATCATTTCAGAAACATTGACCAACTGTTGAGTTTCTAGAAGTAGGTACTCAGTTGGTGACATGTTTTGAACCTGTGCATTTTCAAGATTATGTGAAATACCTAGAGAAGATAAGGCTGAGAATGTTAGGAAAGTGGGAGGGCTAAATTTAATGACTTAATATCATTAAAGCACTGTACTTCTCTTTCATGGGTATTTGCAAAGATCAAAAAGAGTCCTGCTTTAATACTTTCCCACCTATGAAAGTATAACTCCACCACCTTGTAGTCCAGTTAAGCACAGCTAACTAGACAAGAGATGGACACCTAAGAGGCGACAATCGTATTCTGTCTCAGAACATGAAGCCTTTCTTTGCTGCTAAGTAGCCTGAGGAGAGAATTAGAAAATAGAAAATAGAAAAGAATGAAGATCGTGTACAGAAAGAAGCTGTTTGGTGTCCTTGCAACTTTTCAATTACTAGCTCCAGCTACTTCCTGCTAGGTTCCTGCCTCGGGTTATATTAAATGTATATGAATTCCAATAACAAATTCCACCTTCAGCAGCACTTTAAAAATTCATGAGAGTAATAGAGAATAGACCTGCTTTATTTGCTCCAGAGATCACAACAAAGGCCAATGATGGATTTTTCAGGAAGGCAGATGTTGAAATATTTAGATTTTTTTCCCTAGGCAGATAAAACTTTAAAAAAGCAGAATAGGTGATCTTGTGAGCCTTACCCTCACCAGCAGGACTTAACAAGAGGCTATGTGACCTATTTTTTTTTTTTTTGCATTTCATTCTTAATTTAATGTTTATGAGGATTTTTTTAAATTATACTTTAAGTTTTAGGGTACATGTGCACAATGTGCAGGTTAGTTACATATGTATACATGTGCCATGCTGGTGGGCTGCACCCATTAACTTGTCATTTAGCATTAGGTATATCTCCTAATGCTATCCCTCCCCCCTCCCCCCACCCCACAACAGTACCCAGAATGTGATGTTCCCCTTCCTGTGTCCATGTGTTCTCATTGTTCAATTCCCATCTATGAGTGAGAACATGCGGTGTTTGGTTTTCTGTCCTTGCAATAGTTTACTGAGAATGATGATTTCCAATTTCATCTATGTCCCTACAGAGGACATGAACTCATCATTTTTTATGGCTGCATAGTATTCCATGGTGTATATGTGCCACATTTTCTTTTTTTTTTTTTATTATTTTTATTATACTTTAAGTTTTGACAGAGACATCCAGAAGACTGCTTTGTTAAGTGAGAGGATGGGCTGGGTACCTGAAATCCCTCTTCCAACAGCTAAAGTTGAAGAGCGGGAAAAAAACAATGTATCTGATGAGACTTTTGTCATAGTCCTGTGTGTTAACAATGTATTAGTAGGTAAAGTTTTTAATGTTGCTGACGAGTCAGGTGGCATAGATAATGCCACTGTAAAATATTTTCAAGAGGGCAAAATTTTTGAGAAGGTAATTTTAGTAATACATTTGATAAATAATTTTGCAACATCACATTGCCTTGAAGGTCATGCAACTTCACATCAATGAATTGGAGACTAAAGATTGGAAAGAAATACTTGGCTGGGTGCCATGGCTCACGTCTGTAATCCTAGCATTTTGGGACACCAAGGCAGGCGGATCACAAGGTCAGGAGCTCAAGACCAGGCCTGGCCAATATGGTGAAACCCCGTCTTTACTAAAAATACAAAAAAAATTAGCCCAGCGTGGTGGCAGGCACCTGTAGTCCCAGCTACTCGGGAGGCTGAGGCAGGAGAATTGCTTGAACCCAGGAGGCGGAGGTTGCATTGAGCCGAGATCATGCCACTGCACTCCAGCCTGGGCAACAGAGCGAGACTCTGTCTCAAAAAAAAAAAAAAAAGAAAGAAAGAAATAGTTACAGAATGGACATCATACAAGAATATAAGTTCTAGAGAAGCCCTGCAGTCAATATCATGAATTGATGTTGAGTAGGAAAAACCACTTTCCCTAAAAAGCTTTAAATATTTTAGTAGTACCTTTGGCTTATTATGGCAAATAAGTAAATAATTAATTTTGTAAATGTGTTAGTCATGGTTTTAAGAAAAATGGTAATACTTAGAGGATTAAATTAGAAACCAGATTTAGAAATAATAAGTGCCAAATGACAATTCTATTCTTTGACAGGCATTGTAGAAAACATCTCATTTATTCATCATAATCTCAAACAAGTATTATTATCCAAGTATTATAGATGAGAAATCTAAGTCTCGAAAAGTTAAATTTCTTGACTAATGACAGAAAGGTGTAACCAGGATTTAGATTCAGATATAGCTGGGTCAAGATGAGTAATGCTGGCTATTGTAACCAATGACTCAAAAATATAAGTGGATTAAAATGACAAAGTATCATTTCTCCCTCATTTCACAGTTCAATGTGTCACAGTGAGATTTTCTGCATTTAGTTAATCAGCAAAGGAAGACTGAGAATCTGGAGGACTTGCTAGTTTGGGAGTCAACCTAGATATAGCATACATTGTTAAGGTAGGTAGTTGGTCAGACATGAGCAGGGCAGAAAAAGGCTCCCCCCATCCCGACACACACACACACCAGCAATGTCAGGTGACCTTCAGGTGATGGTCAGGCAGTTGTTAATGATCTCTCTAAAATAGTAATTAGTCACAGCTGGACCAGGGAAAGGCAGTCTCCCAACAGATAGAAAAATCCTGAAACTGGTGATCAGCAGTTTCTTGATAAGATCTCAGGAGTTGGGTGAGCGGCTCAAGCACTCGCACTAAGAAGCAAAATGGAGCATTTGACTGGTAAGGGAAGAACGTGTCAAGTGAGCGTGTGTATACCTCCAATAAACACACTGCGCTTGTGGCCCCTCCCAAGTGTTAGCAGGCCACTGCGCACACGAACAGGACAGCGCAGCCCAAGGGAAGAATCAGAAGGAACACAAGACCCCAGAAGCATGCCTACATATAAAACCCCAAGTTAAAGGTCAAACAGTGCTCTTGATCTCTCAAGTCTCCCACTTGACACTCTTCCAAATGTACTTGACTTCCTTTCATTCCTACTCTAAAGCTTTTTAATAAATGTTCACACCTGCTCTAAAATTTGCCTTGGTCTCTCCTTCTGCCTTATGCCCCTCAGTCAATTTCTTTCTTCTGAGAAGGTGAGAATTGAGGTTGCCACAGACCCAGACATATATGAATTGGCCACTGCTAACAACATCACTTTGCCTGGCCAGAGCCCTGTTACACAGGGGCTGGGGAATATCTATTATACCCCTGGTATGCACAGCACCAACTACCTATCTTGAGTATTTCATTTTATAATTAATCATTATAACCACCTACATGTATTGTGTTGTAAGCAGTCAGGCCTTTATTCTTTTTATATAGGAAAGAAAATAGGAAACAAAAAAGCAATTATTTGGTCTGACACAGAAAATTAAGTGGATACACTCAGCCCATGAGGCTTTTAAAAAACAAATGACCAGAATACTAATCATTCAAGGTTTTTAAAAGTAAAGAATTGGGTTCTTTGTCAAACCCAAAGAAAAAATGTAAAAGGATAACATATTCAGGTTATTTTGTCATATATTGCTATATTGAAGAAATTTAAAATATTTCATTGTTTTATTTAACTGTGACTTATTTCATAGCCTTAAATTAGTGAGTGGGTCATCCCACACTTCATAGACATTTTCATGAACTGTTATCAGAATGTTTGAACATTTCGATAGTGTCTTGCGTGTATTGACTTGCATAATGAGAAGTAAGAAATATATTTTTATGGTACATGGGAAAAGAAACCACGTAAGATAACTAAATTTCTTAGTTTTGTCTTATACATTATTTTAAATATTTTTATTAAAGTAATATTTATTTATCATAAAAATGCTCAACTTCCACAAAACTGACAGTGAAGAGACATTCTGGTAATTCCAAGACTTGTACAAACTATGCACAATATGTATTGTATTTGGAAAAGAGGAAGAGTTTATATAAGTAGCAGTGTTTTAAAAATTAACTTTTTTTCTATTATCCACTACACATTAACATACACACATCCACTGAAAATAAGCTACAACCATACTGTCTAGAAAAGCATTTTCTAGATGGATTTTTTCCACATTTAGTGTTTTACATAACTGCTAATACTTAACAAGTACCATTAACAATAACATTTGATTGCCTTTAAACAAAGATGAGTTTTTTTTCCTCAAAGTAAATTTTAGATATCAAAACCTACACTTATAAAATTTAAAACTTCGGACAGTTTAAATATTTCCAATGAAAACCATTGAAAACTTCCCAGATATTCTTTATATTCCAAGTCCATTTTCTTAATTATCCAGTGCAAACTCCTTCCAAGATTTTCCGGTCTCTCTCACCAGTGGGCCTTTCTGTGGGGCTGACCTCATGCTTGTCTTTGCTTGTTTCGTTGCTGTCTCCATTATGCTATGCTGTGGCTGACTGTTATCTTGGCATCAGATCCTCTGTTTAAAGCCCTTCAACCTATTCCTTCCTCTTCCTTTTTGTTTGTACTTTTCTCACCCCAATCTTTGTTTTTATTGGCTTCCTCATGCTGACTATGTTTAGTGAAGGATTTATTCAGCACTTGTGTAATCACAGGAAATCCTTCACCAACCAATACATTCTTAAAATTTCTACAGGCATAACTTGTTTTCTTCTGCTTCACTTTATTGCACTTCGCAGATATCACTTTTTTTTTTTTTAACTAATACAAGGTTTGTGACAACTCTGCATGGAGCAAGTCAACCTGCTACGTTTCTCCAACAACTTGCACTCACTTCATGTCTCTGTATCACATTTTGGTAATTTTTGAAGTATTTCAAACTTTTTCACTATTATTGTATTTGTTATGATGATCTGTTTTCAGTGATTGTATGAGGCTGCTATTATAATGGCTTTGGGGCATGGTGAACTGCACCCATATGAGACAGCGAACTTAATTGAAAAATGTGTGTGTTCTGACAGTCCCACTGACCAGCCGTTTCCTCATCTCTCCTCTTCTTCCTGGCCTCTGTATTCCCTCAGACACAATGGTATAGAAATTAGACCAATTAATAACCTGACAATGACCTCTCAGTGTTCAAGAGAAAGGAAGAGTGGCATATTTATCATTTTAATTCAAAAGCTAGAAATGATTAAGCTTAGTGAGGAAAGAATGTCAAAAGCTGAGATTGGCTGAAAGCTAGGCTTCTTGTGCCAAACAGCCAAGTTATGAATTTAAAGGAAGAGTTCTTGAAGGAAACTAAAAGTGCTACTCCAAGGAAGACACAAATGAAAAGAAAGTGTAACAGCCTTATTGCTGACAGGGAGAGAGTTTTAGTGATCTGGATAGAAGATCAAACCAGTCAAACATTCCCTTAAGCCAAAATCTAATCCAGAGCAAGGCCCTAAAACTTTCTTCAATTCTGTGAGAGAGATGAAGCTGTAGAAAAAAAGTTTGAAGCTAACAAAGGTTGAGTCATGAGGTTTAGGAAAAGAAGCCATCTCCAGAACATAAAATACAAGGAGAAGCAGCAAATGCTGATGTAGAAGCTGCAGCAAATTATCCAGAAGATCTACCTAACATCATTGATGGCAGCTGCACCAAACAACAGATTTTCAATGTAGACAAAACAGCCTTATATTAGAAGAAAATGCCATCGAGGACTTTCATAGCCAGAGAGGAAAAGTCAATGCCTGGCTTCAAAGCTTCAAAGGACAGGCTGACTCTTTTGTTAGGGGCTAATGAACTGGTGACTTTAAGTTGAAGCTGATGCTCATTGACCATTCTGAAAATCCTAGGCTTTTAAGAATTAAGTAAAATCTACTCTGCCTGTGCTCTGTAAATGGAACAACAAAGCCTAGGTGACAGCACATCTGTTTACAGCATGATTTCCTAACTATTTTAATCCCACTGTTGAGACATTACCCGGACAAAAACATTTCTCTCAAAATGTTACTGCTCATTGACAATGCACCTGGTTACCTGAGAGCTCTGGGGGAGGTGCACAAGGAGATTAATACTGTTTTCATGCCTGATAACATCCATCTCCAGCCCATAGATCAAGGAGCAGTTTTGACTTTGTTCAAGTCTTGTTATGTAAGAAATACGTTTTGTAAGCCTATAGTGGCTATAGAGTGTGATTCCTCTGATGGACCTGGGTGAAGTAAATTGAAAACCTTCTGGAAAATATTCACCATTCTAGATGCCATTAAGAACATTTGTGACTCATAGGAGCAGGTCAAAATATCAACATTAGCAGGAATTTGAAAGAAGTTTATTCCGACCCTCATAGATGACTGTGAGGAGTTAAAGACTTCAGTGGAGGAAGTAACTGTGGATGTAATGGAAATAAAAACAGCGCAAGAATTAGAAATGGAGCCTGAACATGTGAGTGAATTGCTGCAATCTCATGATAAAACTTGAATGGATGAAGAGCTGTTTATTACAGATAAGCAAATAATATAATTTCTTAAGACAGAATCTACCCCTAGTGAAGATACTGTGAACATTGCTAAAATGATAACAAAGGATTTACAATATTACATAGACTTAGTTAATAAAGCAGTGGCAGGATGTGAGAAAATTAACTCCAATTTTGAAAGAAGTTCTACTTTGGGTAAAATGCTGCCAAACAGCATGCTATGTTACAAAGCACTATTTCATGAAAGGAAGAATCAGTGTGTAAACTTCACTGTCTTTTTTTAAGAAATTGCCACAGCCACCCCAACCTTCAGAACCACCACCCTGATTACTCAGCAGCCATCAACATGGAGGCATGACACTCCACTAACCAAAGGATTGTGACTTGAAGACTCAGATAATCGTTAGCATTTTTTAGCAATAAGGTATTTTTTCATAAAAGTGTATACATATTTTAGACATAAAAATTTGTATACATATTTTAGACATAACTTTTACATGCACTGGTCAACCAAAACTTTCACGTGATTCGCTTATTTCGATATTGGATTTATTGCAGTGGTCTGGAACTGGAACTTTTTTTTTGAGATGGAGTCTTGCTCTGTCACTCAGGCTGATGTGCAGTGGCACAATCTTGGCTCACTGCAACCTCCGCTTCCTGGGTTCGAGCGATTCTCCTGTCTCAGCCTCCCGAGTAGCTGGGACTACACACGTGTGCCACCACACCTGGCTAATTTTTGTATTTTTAGTAGAGACAGGGTTTCACCATGTTGGCCATGCTGGCCTCAAACTCCTGGCCTCAGGTGATCCACCTGCTTCGGTCTCACAAAGTGCTGGGATTACAGGCATGAGCCACTGTGCCCTGCCCTGCAACTGTTAATACCTCCCAGGTACTGGAACTGTTAATATCTCCCAGGTATGTCTGTCTCAAATATTGTAGACTTTTTCATAAGTACCTGACTAACTTTGACTTGTTATATTTCTTTTGTGTTCTCATAATCTCTCTGTGATTTTGAACTTGTTGCCTGTATTGTTGCTTCGATATATCTGTTCCCATCAAGACTGCCAATCTTGAGTGAGTTTTTCATGTAGTCATGTATCCTTGGAAGCTGAGACTCCATTGATACTTCTTGTTCTTCTGGCTTCTTCCTTTGTCTTTATTTTGCTGCACAGTTTCCATTTGTTCCTATTGCATATGTTTTATAGATGCTGCTTCTTTCTTATGTTGGCCTATCAGAATATTACATCTGTGAATAGCCCGAATATTTTTTCATCTTTTCTCTTTTTCTAATTTTTTCACCTTCTTGATCGTCTCTTTCTCCTTCAGAATCAGATGTTGAGATAATTCTTGCTGAGGTAATTTTGTCACTTATTATTCAACTTCTTTCTTCCTTTATTTGAGCTTTTTCTTGGCTTTTCTTCTTCCTTCTGCCCTCTTTATCCCTTAAGGTGCTTTTCTCTTGACCTTTTTTTTCTTATTTTTATCTTCCTCACTTGCCATGCTGCTCTCTGAAGGACAGACCATTCACTATTTCAGGTTTGCCTTTGATTTTGGAGCCTTGACTTATGTAGTTGCAGTTTTGCCTGTTTTTGATTCATTTTTAGATTAAGAGATGTTTTCACAACTCCTGCATCCTCATTTTCTACTTGTTTTCTGTCTTTCTATTCTGGAAGCTCTCAGAGTGGTTCTGTCAATTACTTTAGTCATATCCTTTTTGCTGCCTTTTTCTTCATGGTCAATATCTTCCTTTTAATCATTAGTTCCTTTCACTTCAACTTCAATATCAGATGATGTGCTTGATTGTTTAGTTGATGTCTATGGATTTGAAATTTTTAACTTTGGATTGTTATCTTTCTGCCTGAAGCCTTCATTAAAACCTGTCCATTTAATTGGTTTGCTATACTTTTCCTTTTCTGAGTAGGGAAATAAATTCCTTGGTCCTAAAAGAACAGTCTCATGAGTTGCACAAAAGAAAATGGGTAATTTATTTGTGCATGGCCTTGCAGCTCCATCAGGAACTTCATCTAAAGTTGACCCTTGATGATAACTTTCTTCTTCGTGAATATTAAGCCTCCAGTTTTGTAAGTGTGAGGCATATTCCAGCAACAGGTGTCCAACTCCAGGAAGAAGCTGTGGAGGTGTGGATATAGAGGGGATTGGGTGAAGTGGTTAGGTGTGAAGAGAGACAGCAAGCCAGTTTGTGAGCCTAGGCCTAAGGAGGGGGAGGATGATAATTTGTATGTTAAGTTGCTGACATCCTTGTCATCATTCTTATGATTTCACTATATTTGTAGATGGTGCATCCAATAATATGCCAGTTCCCAAATTTCCAAACTGCTGAAAAGTCCCTCTTTTTTCACCTCAGCCACCCACTTCAAGATCATAACCTAGATTTTATCAGTACCAATAATTGTATCATTTCCAAAATCTCAATTTCAAGCATCCCATTCCCTGTTTATAAGCTCTTAATTTCCTATCTCTGGTTCTCCTAGTTACCCAGCTCTAATAATTATTTGGACTTTGTCCTGCAGTGGGGTTTACCACCTTTGGATTGTCATTCCTCATGGTCTTCCTTACCTAGCTTAGGTTTCTTTCATCCATCCTTAACTCTCTTCTTCCTCTTTTCATTCATTGAACTCACTCAGTTCTTCACTTACATATGACTGCATTCTAGACTCTAAATGAGAAAAACAGAGAACCATGTTTACTGTTGTCATACAAAATTCAAGACAAAAACCCTCAGATGTGTCCTCAGTGTTACCATGCAATGCTCTTTCATTTCTCTCCCACCTCACTGGGTAATCCTACCTCTGCTTTTCACATCCTCAGCGAATGATATTGTTTTTCAATCACTGTGAAAATACAAGTGAATGGGAAAATAATTTCCATTCTTTTACCAATATGCCTACCACTTACTTTAATCCATAGCTCTTTGCTGCCTGCTCTTCTGTCACCTTAGATAAACTACCTATGCTGCACAGGCCACTTGGTTCCATCACATGTATTTTTTCCAAGGCTTCACTCTTGCAGTTGTCTCTTTCTCTCTTGCATGATCAATTTCCCCCTTCTTACTAGAACATTGACAGCAGCGTTTAGATAAGCCATATTTCTCATCTTAAAACCATTATTCTTGACCCCCGAATTTCCTTTGATATAAGTTCACTTCACAAATAAGTTGAAAGTTATGTATGTTCCTCTAAATTTCCATTTTCACAAATTCTTTGAATCTCAGTCAGTTCATTATACACACCATTCATCTGTTATCCCTCAAGTGTAGGTCATAAAAGACCTCCACTTTTTGATAGTTCACTTTAACAGGTGTGAGGGATATCTTATTGTGCTTTTAATTTGAATTTCCCTGATGAGTAGTGATATTGAGTGTTTTTCATATATCTGGACATTTCTATGTCTTCTTTGGAGAAAGAGAACAAACGTTGGTGAGGATGTGAAGAAAAGGGAACCCTGGTACATTCATGGTGAGAATGTAAATTAATGCAGTCATTATGGAAAACAGTATGGAGATTCATGTAAAAACTAAACATAGAACTACCGTATGATCTAATAATCCCACTTGTGAATGTATATCCATAGTAATTAAAATTACTACGCCAAAGAAAAAGTTGCTCCCATGTTCACTAAGGCATTATTCACAATGGGCAAGACATGGATCAATCTAAGTGCTCATCAATAGATGGATGGATAAAGAAAATATGGATGTAGGCGGGTCACTTGAGAGTAGAAGTTCAAGACCAGCCTGGCCAACATAGCAAGACCCCATCAAAAATTAGCTGGGCATAGTGGCACACACCTGTAATCCCAGCTACCACTTGGTTGGCTCAGGTATGAGAATCATTTAAACCTGGGAGGTGGAGATTGCACTGAGCTGAGATTGCGCCACTGCCCTCCAGCCTGGGCGACAGAGCCAGACTCTGTCTCACAGAAAAAGGAAGAAAAGAAAAGGAAAAAGAAAAGAAAATGTATCTACATAGAGTGGAATGCTATAGGGACTTAAAAAGGAAATTCTGTCATTTGTAACATTATAGATGCACCTGGAGGTAATGATGCTAAGTGAAATAAGTCAGGCACAGAAAGATAAATATTGCATAATCTCACTTATATGTGGAATCTAAAAAGTTGAACTCACAGAAGTAGAGAGTAGAGTGGTGATTACCAGAGGCTGGAAGCCTGGGGGTTGGCATGGGGAAAAGGGAAAAGTTGGCCAAAAGGTTACAAAGTTTAGCAGAGAAGAGCAATAAACTTTAGTACTCTATTCATAGCTTAATGACCATAGTTAATAATAATGTGTTGTATATTTTCAAATTTCTAAAAGAATAGACTTTAATCTCACCACAAAAAAATGATGTGAGGGGATGGATATGTTAATTAGCTTGATTTAATCATTCCAAAATGTAGACCTGCACCAAAATATTACATTGTACCCCATAAATATATATAATTATTATTTGTTTATTTTAAAATACAATACCTCCACATCACTGGGCCCAGCAGTAATTTCATGGTTCTCATCTTAATTATCAGCAGCATTTGACATAGTTAATTGTGTGCTTCTTCTTTTTAAAAATATTTTATTTTTTAATTGACAAATAATAATTGCACATATTCATGGAGTACCTAGTGATGTTTCAATACATCTAATATATAGTTATCAGATCAGAGAAATTAGCATATCTGTCACCTCAAACATTTATCATTTCCTTGTGTTGGGGACATTATTCTCCTTCTAGCTACCTGAATCTATATATTATTATTAATTATAGTCATCCTGCAGGGTTATAAAACCCTAGAACTTATTCCTTCTATCTAGCTGTAATTTAGTATCCTTTAGCAACTCTCTCCCCATCTCCCTATCCCCCCTAATCTTTCCAGTTTCCATTTTACTTTTTACTTCTATGAAATCAATTTTGTTTAGCTTCCATATATGAGTGAAAACATGCAGCGTTTAACTCTGTTCCTGGCTTATTTCACTGAGCATAATATCCTCCAGTTCCATCCATGTGGCCATGAATGGCAATATTTCATTCTTTTCTATAGATGAATAGTATTCCATTGTACTCTCCTTGAATCATCAGAATCTTTTAGCTGCTGGATACCACTCTCTTCTGCTTCCTTCCCCACCCATTTCACTAACCTTCATCCAATTCTTCTTAATTTTCTTAGCTCTAAATGTTAGAGTACACCAGGGCACAGTCCTTAACTCTTTTCTCTTATATTTATGCTTACTCTATAAGCAATCTCATCTAAACCATTGCATGTAAATATACTTAATGTGCTTCTCAGTTCCACAATTATGTCTTTGAATCCAGCTGAACTCTTGAATGATATATCTCACTACTTTTCCTTGGTAAATACATCACCATTCACTAAGCTGCGCATTTCAAAAATCAAATGTACCCCTAACTTCACCCTTTCTCTTGCTTCTATTAAATTCATGAGCAAATCACCTTTGCTGTATGTCAATTACATCCTGACTTACTGTTTTCTAAAAATCATTTCTATCATAACATTAGTCCAAATTTCCATTGCAACCTCTTTTAACTTATTGTTTACCACCCATACTTGCGATGGCATACCCATCGTTACAAAATGGACCTTTAAAAATGTATCTCTGATTTTTTCTGCTCAGAATTCTACAGTGACTTCCCTACATACCTAAAATAACATGTAAACTTTTTTACAAGTGTGAGACCCTGCAGAGTCCAGACTCTAGCTACCACTCTTTTTTTTTTTTTTTCTCACTGCAAGCTCCGCCTCCCGGGTTCACACCATTCTCCTGCCTCAGCCTCCAGAGCAGCTGGGACCACAGGCGCCCACCACCATGCCCGGCTAATTTTTTGTATTTTTAGTGGAGACGGGGTTTCACTGTGTTAGCCAGGATGGTCTCGATCTCCTGACCTCGTGATCCGCCTCCCAAAGTGATGGGATTACAGGCGTGAGCCACCACGCCCGGCCGACTCTAGCTACCACTCTTAATTCACATCCAATGTCTTTCTTTTTCACACACCGAACTCCAGTTATCCAGGCCTCTTAATGTTCCGTGAATACACATGGCATGCCTCAGAGTCTTTGTATTTACTGGGCTGTCTTCCCAGAACACAAGTGTATGAGGTTTGTATGGTTTATTTATTCACTTCCATCAGGTCTCTTATGAAGTAGCATCACATGATAGAGGATTGCTTGGATTATTCTGTCTCAAATGTCATCCTCAGTCATACTATATCTAATGCCTTATATAATTTTATTTTGAAATTTTTGCAACCTGATAGTGTATTTTATTCTTAGTTCATTTAATGCCTCTCTCTAAGTAGGGGCTTTATCTGTTTTATTGACTGCTATATATCTGTCAACTAGAGGGAGCTTGACACATATTAAACACTGAATAAATATTTGTGAGTAAAGGAATAAATCAACTAATAATTTCCAAAAACATATTACATATTAATCATTTCAAAACTAGCATGTTATACTAACTTTGCTATTTGTATTGATTTGGTCTCTGTATATGCTGGTGGTAGGAATGAAGAAATTTAACAAACTCTTATGTAGTACTTAATATGTACCAGCCACTGTTCCAAGCATTTTATACAAATATTAACTCTCAGTAACTAGCACTTTGCTCCAGGAATCTGTGCCACAGGTCAGGAACTACTTAAGCTTTGCCCCTCCTATCACTTAATCTTATGCCTCATTCATTCATTCATTAGTTGATGTTTCTCTCTCCCCATAATCTTTTTACCTGTTTGGTTTTATATGGACTGTTTGATTCCTAACGTTTTGGTTGTACAGACTTGACATCTGTACTACTTACTCAGCCTGTTCTTGGCCTTCTTGTCTAATCGCTCCTATGCATGCTAAATCAGTGTTGGAACTGTCTACCTGATTTGAACCTGGAACTTCTCAAAGCATGGTCTCATTTCTTGATAGTTTGATGACATCACACAGGTAAGACACTTTTTACCCTTACATGATTTAAACAAGTTGAGTGCTCAGTCTGTTTGTGCCCCCTCTATTAGGAAGGTATTTGCTTATAGGTGTCTTTGAGAAGCTTATTTATTTATCTACATGGGGAGACAAATTGAGTGGTTTATAAATGAGACATATATATGGGTGATATATGAGTGCTGTATTTTTATTACATAGTAGATACAAGGAATGAGAGTTCTATGAAATTAGTCACTATTAAAAATAATGCCCTAAAATGTCAATACTATTGGAAAAGCAATGTTCTAATACTGCTTGTTGGAAGTATAAGTTAGCCCAACACTTGGGAAAAGCAATTTGGCATTATGAGTTAAATGTCCTTAAATTATTCATACACTACCTGGTAATTTTAATGTTAGAATTATATCCAAGAAAAGTAGTCTAAGTACAAGCTGTAGGCACAAATATGTTAATAATTGAATTATTTATGACTTGAAAAACTGCAAACAACTTACATGTCCCAAAGGAGGAATGTATGAGAATAGATATAAATCCCAAGAAATATTGTACTGCCGATTCAATTATATATGAATAAATTTTAATAGCATGTATATAGCTTCTGAATAATTAGAAAAATGAGTTTATCAATTAGTGTCCTGGGGTGAAATAGATGGCATACTCCAGGTGGATCATTTGCACTGGTGGAGGGATTATTCACAAAGGTGTAGGAAACTACAAGGCTTGGTGTGCCACCCTGAGGCTGTTAGACCTGAAGGAGCAATGGCTGGGAACAGTTACTGTGGAGACAGAACTATATGGAGAGATCTTCCTGTGGTTGGTTACCACACAGGGAGGAGAGGGTGGAATAAAAACCTTATTTTACTCTTCTTCCTCTCTCCCCTTGTGGCTTGCTCACCATTGGTTGAAGACTGGCTCACACAAGCTGCATGCAAGCTGGTCTTGTAGCTTGTGTACTGTCTGCCATGCACTTACAGGGAGAGACAGGCAGCTGATCCAGAGCTAAGCGCTGAAATTGACCAACATCAAGCATAATTTACTGTGCAAGCCTTCCCTTGGAGATTGCAATCCTTCAATATACTCCATATTTCCAAAATAGCTATGTTAGACAGATTCAGTCAGTGCAATTGCTCTCCAGAAGGAAAACTGATTCCTGGTGATACCCCACTATCTTTCCAGAATCTTCCTGAAGAACTTTAAGCAGGGTAGTAATACAATAATATTTATATTTTCAAAAAGTCAAAGTAGGTATGAAAAATGTGCAGATGCAGACTGGGCAAGAGGCTGAGAGAATAATTAGGAGGCTGTGCATAGTCTGGAAGAGAGTTGACTAAAGCCATTACTCAGACTGTACAAGTGAGGGTGGAGAAAATGAGGAAGCAGAATACACAGGAGCTGTTGATTGAGTAAATGTGAGGTTTGCGGGAGAAGGAAGAGGCTCACTCTCAGGTTTACGGCTTGGGCAATGGCAGCAGATAGTTGTAATGTACTATAGTGCAGCTGTCCCTAAATAAGTATAAGTACCAAAAACTTCCACACCCCTTACACACCTACTGTGTGTTTTTTTTTTTTTTTTGTCAGGGTTAAAAAAAAGAGAAATCAGAAAGGAATAATTGTGAAAACACTGCTTCTAATTTGAAAGAAAATTGTCCCTTTGCCATCCATTTGTGGACATGTAGATAGACTTAACAGCTGTAACTCCTTAAATGATCCCTATTCCTCACTACCCTGACCCCTCAGTTCCACTTGTTTGGCCAGTGGAGCAATTATTGTTTCATAATGGCCAGAATTTAAATTATTGATATTTCAGTTGCTTATTTAATCCCCCAAACTATTAGTAAACTTGGGTTGTTTTTAGAGGAAGGATTGAACATAGAATTGATAAAATATCCTTTAAATCCACTCCTTGTGGAAAATTACCAATTTCCCTGATTAAATTAAAATATATTCAATATCCTCACTATTTATTTTCATGTTCCATAAATGTGATTTTTTCATCTTAACAATTGTTTTAAGAATAACATACATATAGAAATAAGCCCATCAGAATGCTACACCTTGACAGAGTTTTGCAAAGTGAACACACCCACGTAGCCATGACTGAGCTGAAGAAGTGGGACATGGCCAACACCCCCAAAACCTCCCCAGCATCCCAGCTACTGTTCCCTAAAGGGCACCACCACACTGATTCTTACACTATAGATTGGATTGGCCAGTTTTACAAATTTGTGAAAAATGGAATCATCAATTACGTACTCTTTTTAAAAAGGCTCTTTTCACTCTTTAACTCAGATAGTATCTATGAGATTCAATCCAGGGAATGGTGTGCCAGAGTAATTTGTTCAATCAGATTGCTATTTACGTTTTTTTTTTGTGTGTGTGTGTGTGAATACATTACAAAGTGTTCATTGTACTCGTGATGGCCGTTTCTGTTGTTTCTGCATTGGGGCTATTAGAGATAATACTGCTAGTAATACTTAAGTACTTTTTCTGCCCCATACAGGTACATGTTTTGTTGGGTGTAGACATAGGGGGAGAAACTGCCTGGCCAGATTGAGTATATCCTCTATATCCTCTCAAACACGCTTTTTTCAAAATGGTTGTACTAATTTATACCTCCATCAGTAGAGTAAAACTACATTCTCCATTCTTGACAACAGTTGATATGATCAAAATTTTTAACAACACAGTGTCTGCATATAAAATCTTGTTATAATTTTGTCATTTGATGACAAATGATGTTTTCATATGCTTAGTAGTTCTTTAGATAGCCCTGTTTTTCTCCTTATTTTGGTAAAATGATTAATTATTTGACTGACTTGCAAACATTAAATCACCCTTATGTATGGCTAGATTTGATTTATTCATATACTTTCTTATGATTTTTGCATATATTTTTATAAAGGAAATGGGCCTATAACTTGACTCTTAGAAAACACCTGTGAGCTGTTAGAAAAAAATGATCATACTGATCTCATAAAATAACTTGGGAAGTGTTCACTCTTTTTCTACATTCTGAAAGATTTTGTGTTTGATGAAGCCATCTAGGTGTGAAGAGGTTTGCTTTTTGCTTTTTAATGTTTTAATTATAGATTCAAATGTATAATACATTTATAACTATGTAAATTTTATAGTTTTTTTGTTTGGTCATTTGTGTGTTTTTTTTCTCTATCCAAATTTTCACATTTATTTGCGTTCGCTTGTCTGTAATAGTCTTATTATATTTAAAAAATTTTTGATCTCTAGAGATATCCCCTTTTTCATTCTTGATGTTAGTAGATTTTTTCTACTCTCTTTGCTCCTAATAAGACTATTTAGGATATTAAAGTTTATTAGTTACTTAAAAGGATGACTTTTTAAAAATTCTCTATTATGTATTTGCTTCCTTATTACATTCTGATTTTTAAAATTATTTCCTTTCTACTCACTCAAGCTGTGTGCAAGCTGTTCCTACAACTTGAGCACTGCCTGTCATGGGTCTAGAGGTGAGAGATAACACAGAAGTTATTAAGAAATTATTTTAGGCAGTTAGGGAGGGTAAAAGAGTTTTCAGTGGAATTTTTCTTTAATAAAAAGCAGCCCCAGAATTTCTTTTCTAACAGAAAGCCTGAAAAGTCAAGCTGCAAGCAAACTGGGAAGCTTGCATATGTAAATACTGGCAGCTGTAATAAAAGCCAGGTGCACCCAATATGGCGATTCCCCCTCCCTCCTCATGGTCGTCACGTGTGCGGGTATCATGGCACAGGCCAGGTAAACCTACGTGTGCAGGTTTCATGACACTAGCCATGTAGAAGCCATATTTGCATAATAAAAGGTGCGGGTGTGAGGGTCAGTTTCTTCATGGGCTATGTAAATGGCACACCGGTGAAACCAATCCCCTGGGCCCTATGTAAATCAGTCACCTCCTCCTCAAGCCTGTCTACAAAATCAACCATATCCTGCCCCAAACCCAGAAACCCTCGTGGGCAATCCACTTTCTCTGTATGAGAAAGCTGTCTCTCTTGCTCTCTCTCTTTCTCTCCTTTTTTTCTGTTAAAGTTTCCGAATCTCCTTAACCCGCTCATGTGTGTGAGTCCGTGTCGTTAATCCTCTGGGCACCAGACGACGAACCCTGGGTATTTACCCCAGATACTGAAGCTGCTTCAGGATGGGCACCTGCTTCAGAGCTAAGAGCTGAAAAACTACCTATTTGGTATTATGTTCACTATTTGGGTCACGGGGTAAATAGAAGCCGAAACCTCAGCATCATGCAATATACCCTGGTCACAAACTTGCACATGAATCCCCTGAAACAAACAAACAAACAAACAAACAAACAAACAAATTGTGGCTGATCATTTTCTGATAATAAAATTCATATTTTTACATCAGTGGCTTAAACATTTCCCTACTTGTGGTAGCAGGGATGGCGGCGGTGGTGTGTATGTGTGTGGGTGATTTCACTGTATTTTGAAATAAAGCCAAAGAGAAGTTCTAGAAAATGAAACTTTTATTCCCCAGTGGTGATATTTTGTTATAAATAGCCCTTTGGCAGACACCTCTGAAAGTGTTCAAGCTATACATAAACTTAATGAATCTACAAAATTGTGAGTATTGATTCTGTGGGCTTTACCTTACCCATGACCTTCTCTTAAGATTGTTCTAACATAACTTTGAAGTAGAGATGAATGTGTCTTTCGCCCAGAAATTTCAGAGATTAAGATGCTCGGTGGGATCATTCTCCACTCCAGAGTATAATAAAAAGCTTGTGTCTCCACTATTTTATTATCCAGAACGTTGAGCACTACCACATATTTGGAGTACAATAAAAATTGATGTTTTTAGTAGTAACACTGAAATATGTGGTCTGGAGGTGCTTTATGAACCCTCAAACAAGATCAAATTATATTTCTGCAGAGACATTTACAAATCTAAAATAAATAAATAATAATTTAAATGAATACCTGATTAATAATTTTCCTCCGCTGTCTCTTCCTGAAAATTATAAGACATTTATTGAATACAATTTTAAGATATGGGGTTGATTTGTAAGATGAAAGAGTGAAAGTTTAAGTTCATTAAATTACCTTTAATATTTGGACCTAAACTATTTGCACTGAAATCCAAAATATATTCATGAAAGACTTACTGAAAAGACACAAATTATACTTAAATACAAAAGATTTTCTTATATTCTTTTTTGTTTTTATCTCAACTGAATTTACAAATGCTCTTTTCACATGAACTACCTAGCTGTTCCCAGCCAAAGGAATTAGAGACATAAAAATGAGAAAAGAGTTGGTCATTTCCTTCTTGTTCATCTCTCTGTCACTATAGTATTATTTTCCATTATTTATTTTCTAGAACTTAGGTCCATTTAGTTGTAATTCATTTAGTACATGAGAGGCTGTGTTAAATGTGTTAAGACTTTGACTTTCTTGAATTTGGTTAAGTATTTTTTAAAACTGTGCACATCCAGGATTTTTTTGCATTTTCGTTAAAACCTGTAGAAGCTATAATGAACATATATCAATTACTTATGTTGTTCTATTAAATTAATAATTATAGTATATGAAAAACATACTATAAAGTGTTTTCTCAAAAAAAATAACACCTTAAACTCTGCACAATTTTAATCCTTGGAACTAAAAATTATCAGGGGCTTTTAGCCTCTCTACTCTTAGCTCAGTCACTCAAAGCTAATGATGACAAAATCATCCTAAAAGATTTTGCTATGAATTATTTGTATAAAATAAGGATTCCTAAATGTAGATTATACTTCGTTTGTAATATAAACATCAATTTAATGTTCTTATTTGTACTGACTACACAATATATACTGTGGATAATAACTCTAGTATTGCTATTGAAACCACTTTTTGATAAACAATGGCAGATGAATAAAAATTTCATAGGAACATTCTTTCTACTGATGTGAAAATGGACCAAGCCTTCTCTGCTGAGCTCAACAGGGGGACAATTTCAACAGTAGCCAAAAAATTATCATCACAGGGAAGAGGAAAGAGAGAAAAATGGTCCGTGCTTAGCTGATTACAGAATGTTCACTTACAGCATCCTTACTGGAAGTATTTCAGCATCCTAAACCATGGATGCTATAAACCAGGAAAAACTACTGCTTTGCAATGAAAGACAAAGAACAAAGGAGGCAAGAATTAGTACATGTAGTAAGAAAGGCTCTGAAGAAAGTACGTAAAAGACCAAGTCAAGTAAATTTTTAAAAGTGTCTTAGACTCAAGAAAAATGGACACCAACCATCTATTGGTGAATTAGAAATTTATGACAAGTTTATGAAAGAAAGGTAAAAATCTGAGACACTCTCTATATAAATAAAAAGCATTTATAGCAATCACTTGATTTATGACTTGTCTGTCAGTCTAAGAAACAGTTCAGCTCAAAATTAGACAGTCTAAAAAGAACACAACACATGGGATAGCAGGTAGAGATAGTATTTTTTGGCTAGTAGCTGAAAAATGAATGTTCTATATATTCAAACCCCTTTTAATTTATAATTTGGTTGTTTTGTTTAGCCATTATGGTCAGGTAACAGAACTGATCACTGTTCCATTCTATAATAGTCACATGATTTAGGCCACTGCTACTTAATGATCTTTGAACCAGCAGCATTTACATCATTTACAAGCTTGTTAAAAATGCAGAAGCTCAGGTCCCACCATAGCTAAATCAGAATCTTCAAATTGACAAGGTATCTGGGTGATTTCTGTGCATTTTAAAGTTTGAGAAACACTGATGTATAACTGCAATTTTGCCAGTGATTCCCAAACGTGATTGCATATTAAAATCACCTGGGGAATTTCTTATAGGCAATAATCCCCAGGCTGCACACATTAGAGATTTTCATTCAACTGGGCTGGAGGTGAGTGTGTATAGATCATTTTAAATGCTCACCACTAAGTGTTTTCAATGTATAGCCATAGTCACTGTACAAGAGAAAAGATAAAGAACATTGATTTTCAAGACACCTGCACATAAGACTTATTTGGTTTAGTTGTTGAAATATCAGATCCACAAGATCATCTGGAGATTCTGATTCATGTTGTCAGAGTTTGAGATCATGGATTTTAGCATGTATTGTGACATGCTCTCCAAGTGATTCTTAACAACCACTGAAACAACTTTCTGGACTCTGCCTTTCCAATATAATATTCCCCTCTAAGTGCTGCTTTTTATTGACTTTGCTATCCCAGGCAGCATAGTTTTCCACTGTCATCACCTGCTTTGTATTCTGATTCTTAAAATCACTCTGCTTTTATTTATAGCCTGGAACGTGGCTCACTCGGAAGCCCAACCTTTCAGAAATAGAAAAAGCTAACTTACCCTCAAGTCTAAGTAACCTGGGGGAGGCATCCTTGATAAAGTACCCCTACATGATCATTCAAGCTCCTATTTGAGATAAAATAAATACAAATAGAAATAGTATGTTCATTCCTCTATTTTCCAGTCCTCAGTCTGAGGGCAAGACCTGCTCCCAGACCAATGACTCATTAGTTATCAATGGAATGTGTTGGCTTTCCTTAAACCACGGTTTGTCTTCCCATTGATCCCTAACACTAGGTTTAAGTTCATTGAACTAGGGAAAATTGAGGGTTACGCAATACAGCTCTAATATATGCTACATTTGCATAATCATAATCTTCTTCCATTCATCATACTTTCATTAAAAGAGGAGACATATCTAAGGGTTTTGTGGCTCCAAAAACTGGTATACATGAATGGAAGATAACTTATTGTGTTGAATTTTCCTATGCTGAAATGGTTAGAAGTAAAAATCATCTTAATGGTTCAATATATTATCCTTAAGAGAACGAAGTTCAAGAACACTAAAATAAAAATTTGAGAAAAGCATCCCCCATAGGAAACTGTAATTTATTGCCTTTCCAAAATTTGTGAATTCCAAATGTAATCATATGTTACTGTAAATCTTACTACCTTCTTAAGGCAAAGTAATCATATTGCTAGTAATTAATAAATTGCCATAGAAAACCATGAAGCAAATAGCTGGAAATTCTTGAAATATCAAACTCATTTTTTTATTCAGATAATAGAACTAAGACCAAGATAGAAGATATGGCTTGTACACCTAATTTTTAAGCTAGGCTCTAATTTCATATTGCCTGAATCCAAGTTAAACCTTCTTATGTTCCCTTTCTTCTTAGTCACTGCCTCTCATGTAGGGTGAATCCAGGTGATCCAGATTGGGTTTGCTAAGGATCATAGCTGAAGGGAACTGATTATATACAAACAATTCCATTTTTCACCTACTATGCCTTTTCAGTGACTGCCCAGGTTACTGTAGGTCATAACAAAATTCAACAGGACTAAAGATATGAACATTTTATTGAATATATTACCTGTAAAATGCAAATAAGTCCTCAAAGAATTACATATTTGGCAGTCAAGTATGAAGTTTTGTAAGGACTTCTGCGGTCATTGGACAATGGTTCTCCTTAGGTTATTTTAGATGTACCATCGTGTAGAGCCTTTGGTGCACTGAAACATGGAGAATAAACGTTCCTTATGTGTTGCCTTCATGTATAAAATGGTATATGCTGAATATATTTATGGACAGGGAAAAATTATCATTTCCTATCTGAAGCTTCTGAAACTTCATATGTAAAAATATAAAGGGGGCATTATTTAATTATTAATAGCAGCATTGCTTCTGAGGATGAATCTATATTTTAAAGAAAATAAGTTACATGAGTGGAAAACTTTGATGTAACCCTGGCTTTGAGAAAGCCTGGAAATAAAGTGATAACTATTTTTCATTGAAATGATGATAAAATTGAGGTAAGGGAGAGAAAAGAAGGACATCTTTGATGAAGAGGAGACCAGCATGTACATTAAGCATAGCTTGTACACTAGGAGAAGACAGAACCTTGATATGTATGAACTCAGCTAGTCAGGAGAATAAATATGAGATATATTTGTGTCCTTGAAAATAATGTTTAAATGCTTTAAATATAAACTTAGAATGCAGTTAAAATTGATGCTTATATGTAATTCTCATTCAGAATATACTCTTCATATTTACCCTTGAACATATATAACCAATTATTAGAGAAGAGTAGAAAAGAAAAAAAAATTACCTGAACAATTACATGTGACCATCATTTTTAGATAATAAAAATGAGATCCAGACAGGCAGAGTAACTCTCTCAAGGTCACATAATGTTAGAAGTTACTTTAAAGTCATATTACTTTTTTTTTTTTTGCTCTTAAAACTACCAATTAGTAACTACTGATGCTGATTTTTTTTAAATTTGAATACAATAAATGAAATATTTAATAATTTAAGATCTGGGAAAATATTAATTTTCTAGTAGTTGTGATCTACAATGAACAGATTAAACAGTGAGCACAACACGATTGGCATCAGTCATATTTCTAGAATTAATATTAAATTGATATTCTTAAATATTAGAAATTGTGTACTATGCCACAAGAATCAATAGAAAAAATAAATTTATGCTTTCCAATTTTTACAATTTTATTTGCTGTTTATACTGGCTGTTTTATGTAACCTAGACACAGGATAGTGAAGAATATTTTCCATAAATAAATGTATTCTTCCTAGATGAAATTTTTGATTTTTGACTGTATGTTTAATTAATAATTTGAGAAAAAAATAATGTGATTACACAGAACAGTGCAGACATACTCTATCTTGCTGTAGGTTTGAAATGCATTTATTCAAACTATGATAGAGTATATTAATATCTTTTCAGTACAGTTGGACATCCTTTGTGTTAGAGAGATTTTGAAAAGCCACAAATGATATGTGTTGAACATTTATACATTTTGTCGCTTAGAGTGCCATACTTGTGGCTTCTTATTGTTCCTGGTATAACAATGCACAAATTACATCTTTAATTTTTGTGACAGGTTTTGTGATTTATGATTAAATTTCTTTCAAGTTTGTAGAATTCTTATAATTTGGATAATTGATAATTAAAAGAACAATCATTTAAATTAAAGTAAAATTCTACTCTGATGAAGAAGAAATACAGAGAAACAGAACCAAATATAGAGATATTTATTGTAGGAATTGGCTCACATGATTATGGATATTGGCAACTCTTAAGATCTGCATGTGACTTAAGAAGCTGGAGACATAGGAGAGCTGAGGGCATAGTTCCAGTACAAGTTCAAAAGCCAGAAAACCAAGGGAGTGAATGGTATAGTTCCAGTCCAAAGCCAGTAGTCTCAAGACCCAGAAAGAGCTGATACCTCAGTGCCAGTCAAAAGGTAGGGGAAAAGCTGATGTCCCATTTCAACATCAGACAGAAAGTATTCTCTCCTACTCAAGGGGGGATGAACATTTTTGTTGTATTCAGGCCCTCAACTGATTGGGAGAGGCCCACATATATTAGCAAGAGCAATCTGCTTTAAATGTTAATTTCATCCAAAGACACACACACATAGAAACACCAAAAAAAAATGTTTAACCAAATATTTGGGCACCTCACGACCAGGTTAAAATTAACCATTGTAACCTACATACAAAATGAAAGTAGAACCGGATGTGGAAGAGGCAGTAACATTTTTGAGAGATGTGCAATATTTTCCAAAGAGCCACCCATAGGTTGCTAAAGCTTTAGAGATACTTTTAAGTTATTTTATGTTAGCCCTTTTATTTCCTCCTCTATTTCAGTATATTTTGCTGCTTGTTTTATTTCATAGAATGTGGACTTATAAAAAGTTATTTAAAAAATGTTTTTCATTATCAATAAAGTAATCCACATGATTTGGGAAAGGGGGTTTTGAAATTAAAGCAGATTTCAGACAGCAGCCTGTATTATACATACTTTTACACAAGATCTTCTCCGGTAATAATGGGAGATTTAGTGCCTCAGCATTTCTCAGTTGTGCAGTGCATAATAACTATGTGAATAAATACTATGAAGTCATACAGATATTACTTATTTGGATGAAATATTGTAGCAATTGATAGTACAGAGAATCACCTATGGAACACTAGGGTAAAATTAGATAGCAATTGAGAGACATTTTATAGTAGCTAGATACTAGTTTTAAAAGCAAGCAATTCAGTATTTACACTAACTTCCTTTTAGACCTAGGTCATATAAAATAACTAGTTATACTGGTAAGTAAAATTTAAGTAGTCTGGGGGGAAGAAGAGTTTATAGTTAATTAAATCAGGGAATGAGGCTTTTGAATGGCTGTGTGAGGAGTCTGGCAAATCCTTCCTTCCAAAGACAATAAAATGGGACACAATTGTTAAAAATAACCATTTTTTGAGGAAATTTGACTAAAATGGCATAGAATGCATTGATAAATATTTCTTCAAAAAATTTGCTGAATCTAAATAAAAACAATGGAAGTATGTGGTATTTTAGGTAAGGGGTGTTCCCATCTCCCCAGTTCTGTCATATGGGGCATCTATCTGGTTGGGCAGGGAAGGCCACCAGAGTAGAAGCTCCCACTGCACCTGCCACTCCACATTGTGAAAGTTCTATCCTGGGCTTATAGGATGGGCTCGAGGACTGGTAACTCTCATTACCCCTTTTTTCCATCACACTTACTACTATCAATTAATTATTCATCTAGTGTCTGCCTCTCTAATGAAATGTGAGTTCTAGGACAATGATTTTTTTCTGTTTTGTTCAATGCTGCAACACTTAGAAAATTTAATCCGCTGTAAGTGGTCAGTAAAGATTTATTAAATTAGTAGATCTTTTAACTAGTGGTTTCATTTTATGTTTGTTTTTTATCGTATACGTCTTTGGACTGATTTTAACCATCTTATTTTATGCTGTTTGTCCTGCTCTTTAAGTTTTCTTTTTTTTTTTTCTTTCCCTGACTTGATTGACTATTTCTTTGTGGGATGTTTTTTTATTACTCTACTTTTATGCCCTCTCCTAGATTTAGAAGTTACACATATTTCAATTTTACTAGCCTTTAAAACTACACTGAAAGACAAGAGCAAATATATTTGATTTGTGTATTCTTATTCTTGATACTAGATGTATATTATATATAATTTTTATTAACATTAAATTTAGTTTTTAAAAAATAAGAGAAAATATGTGATTGAGCCAAGCCAAAGTTAAAATCTTTGTTACTAAGAACTAGATGAGTAAAACCAAAAGAAAAACCTCCCCCCAAAAGCAGCAAAGTTTATTAAATAAGCCTTTTCTAAAATGACTTTGAAAGAAAAATGATATTTTATGTGAATACTTATTTTTACCTTCTCTGTTTTTAATTATAATTTTTTTGAATATTTTACACAAACATACATAATTCAGGGACATAAGGATGTGGCTTGAGGTGAAATAAAATGTTAAAAGCATTATTTATAAAATAAAAATAATAATACACTAGACGTCTTGTTTTGATTACATTTCTAGTCCCAAATCTACTATTATTTAATTTTGTAATTAAAAAATAGCTGTTGAATTAAAGTAAATGCCTTTAAACTTTTTTATTTCTTAAATATGTTATTCTTACTAACCAACTATACATTGTTATTGAAAGTAACGTATTATGTAATAAATATAAAAATAATTGAAAAATAAAATGTCCATAACATATAAAGTGTTTAAAAATGAACAGAAATTAGATATATTATAGCCTCTCACTCCTGATATCAATAAATTACATGTATAAAATAAACTACCTTCCATACACAGAAAATAGCCACCAAATATGTTTTAGAATTACTTATAAGTTGTGTGCAGAAAGGACATCCTTCATGTTTTCCTTTCTCATCCTTTTAAATAGCAACTTGAAACACAGTTGGTGAGGACCAGGGCTCAGTTTGGCTTCTGACAGAAATTTGGATACACAAATTGAGTATAGTCATTAATGGCTATGCTTACGTGGAAGGGTGTGTTCAGACCTAAGACAGGCTGAAAAATGTTTTCACAATTTCTATAACCTAAAACTTGCGGGAAGGCTGTGACAGGCAACAAATCTTTGCTAATAATTGGAAAGAAAAGGCCAATTCCTGAATTAATTGCTACTGTCTAAAGAGGATGTGAGTTGACCTCTGATGCCAACTAACATGGAAAAAGAGTAAAATATTTCATTATTTTCCTCAAAAATTAGTGTGTTATATGTGCTTGAACAGGAGTAAGAAAGTTCAAAAGTGTAGATTTTAAAATATTTTCTCTAGATCCTATGTATAAGCTCTACATTTATAATGTAGTCAGATACAATAGAAAAGAAGAATAAATGTGAAAGCCAACAACTAAGACAAAATCAAATGAACATAGATATTTAAAATATTTTGAAAGGGGAAATATTTTTAATATTTGAATTAACTGGCCTACTGTAAAGCTATAATAATGAAATGGCTCATACCATAAAGTGCTCATCAATTGTGAAAGAACTGTTCATAGATGAGGAGAAAATTAATGACAAGAAAGAGGTCTTTCCACACTAGCACCCATTTAGGCTGTAGATATATGTGTCAATCTCTACTAGGAACATTAGAGGACACAAACACATTTACCTATCAGATACAGTCTCCGTGACTTGCAATAAAAAAGAAAGCATTTTCAAAAAAACATTGCCACATCTGAGAAAATCTTAATTTACTGTTGACATAGGTCTCTGAGCAGATTTGGTTTTATTCTTTTTTTTTTTTTTTTTTTTTTTTTGAGATGGAATGTCACTCTGTTGCCCAGGCTGGAGTGCTGTGTGCTATGGTGTGATCTCGGCTCACTGAAACCTCCGCTTCCTGGGTTCAAGCAATTCTCCTGCCTCCGTCTCCCATATAGCTGGGATTACAGGCCCTTGCCACCATGCCTGGCTAATTTTTGTATTTTTAGTAGAGATAGGGTTTCACCATGTTGGCCAGGCTGGTCTCGAACTCCTGAACTCAGGTGATCTGCCCACCTCGGCTTCCCAAACTGCTGGGATTACAGGTGTAAGCCACTGCGCCCGGCCTCCAAGCAGATTTGAAAACCAGTATGTGAGAAGTACAGTTTTCATTAATTACCAGATAATGAACCTGTGACAGGGAAGTTTGAAAATTCAATCTTTAACAACAGGTAGAAAATAAAAAGGAAAAAAAAGTTTTAGTAAGGAACAAAGAATAAGTTTCCAGCACTATTACTTCAAGAAAAACAAAATGGGTCATGGCAATTATTATATTTTAAATAATGGTTATAAAAAATCATTTCTGCTAAGCTCTGATTGCTACCACCAATAAATATCTACTAAAAATGATCTGGCAGCTAAAAACATAAATGGATGTCTAATATTCAAAATATCACACTTTAAACAAACATCAAACAAAATAAAAAGCAATGCATTCAAAGAATGATAATATGTCTGTGCTGTATAATAACAGTTAAAATTTAAATATTAAGAAATGGTTGAATTAGCTTATTCACTTACAGGCACAATTTAATTGAAGTCACTTCTTCATAAATTACACGGACTATTTACATGGACAATGTGTACTCAAAGGATTAAACAGAGCATTATATTTGTTGTTCTGGGCTTAAGGGCATTCACTAAAGTGTAACGTGCAGTAAACCTGTGGTAATTTTAAAGAAATATTTAGGTATCTGACAATTTTAGGTTGTACAGGTGACAAACAAATAAATGGAAGGAGACTAAGATCTCATTAAGGTAAAAGGATCGAAAGCCATATCGTACATGTTTTTTTTTTTTTTTTCCTGCATGTTAAATCAAAGAGCTGGTTCATGGCAGTGCAGCGGTCTTTTACACAGTAATAAGGAAAAGACATTACATCCCAAGAAGAGGTTTGGCTAGTGTCTTAATCCGTTCCTGCTGCTATAACAAAATACCACGGACTAGGTAATTTACAAACAACAGCAATTTATTTCTCACAGTTCTGGAGGCTGCAAAGTAAAAGGTCAAGGTGCCAGCAGATGTAGTGTCTGGTGAAGATTTACTCTCTGCTACTAATATGGCATCTTGTTGCTACAGCCTCACATAGGGGAAGACAGAAGGGCACAAGGGACTAGGCACTCCCATCAACCTCTTCTATAAGAACACTAATCCTGTTCATAAGGGCGGGATGTTCAGAACCTACTCACTTCTCCAAAGGCCCCACCTCTTAATACCATTACATAGGATATTAAGTTCCAACATGTGAATTTTGGAGGGACACATACATTCGAACTACTACATACATTCGAACTACTACATATAGTCTCTGATAAATTCAGAGGGGTTACTTCTGCATTTTTATCTATGTGTGCACAGTTCCTCATGTAATAAACACAGTGCTTGAAGATGCTGTTTTTATTGGCATAGCCTTCCTTGATAACCAAAGGAAATACTTACCTTAATAAATCCATGGAGATAAATTTAATTAGGTGTTATTTTACGTCACCCTCAAATCGTGTCTAAATCTATAGTTGGTTAATCATCCAAGTTAACATCAGCAACTCTCTTGTCTTTGTTCTATATTTAGTGGAATTAAAATTTTTGGAAGTAAATATTGTGAAACTTCCTAGTATATCTGGTAGATGGTTAAATAAATTTCTCTCCTTATTCTACTTACAAAATCTTGTCTATTTATTAAGTTATATAACTAAAAATAATTTTAATATTAGCTTGTTTTGGTCCACTGCATTTATATATTAATTTGGAATTAATTGCCATCTTTAAAATAATGAGATTATCCATCCGTGAAGGTGATGTGGTTCTTTATTTATTCCAGTTTGATTTATGTCATCAAATAATGTTATCTAATTTTCTAAACAAGGTATTGTTGATATGTTACTTATATTAAGTAACTTCTAGGTCTATTTCTATTTTCATTGAGTTGCCTTGGATTTTTTATTTGATCATTAATGCTTAAAAAGAAACTCTATTGGTTTTTGACTAAATCTAGTAACCCTAATGTATTCTTTTACTTGTCTAATGGTTTTCTAAAACTACTCTTGGATTTTTAAATTTAGGCAACAAATGTCAATTTTTTTTCTGTAACTTTCCTATTTATTTATTTTCCCCAGTATGGAGTCTGTTGTGTTTTCATTTATTTCATTCATATCTATCTATCTATCTATATATATATATTTTTTTTTTGTTTTTTTTTTTGAGACAGGGTCTCACTCTGTCACCTAGGTTGGAGTGCAGCTGCATGATCTCGGCTCACTGCAACCTCTGTCTACCTGGTTCAAGTGATTCTCCTGCCTAAGCCTCCTGAGTAGCTTGGGTTACAGGTGCCTGCCACCACGCCTGGCTAATTTATTTTTAGTAGAGATGGGGTTTCACCAGGTTTGCCAGGCTAATCTGAAACTCCTGACCTCATGATCAGCCTGCCTCGGCCTCCCAAAGTGCTGGGATTACCAACATGAGCCACTGTGCCCGGCCTACTTTCCTATTTTCATATTTCTGATTTTTTATTTATTATCTACTATCTCTGCCTAGGGGCTTTGCCCTTATGTAAAATAAGAGCATCAGTAACTTGCATTCTTTTTCTTAATTCTTATTTCAATGGCCAGTGGCATTTATTTTCTAAAATATAAATCTTTAGTATCTTAACTTAGGTTTTTGGTAGAAACCTAAAACCAGATTACAGAAGTTTCCATCTGTTCTTCATTTTGCAAGTATCTTTTTCATGAGTAAAACTAGACATCAATTTTATTATCTTCATCTATTGAGTAGTTCATATTATTTTTTTCTCTTAAGGTGCTAATTTAGTAAATTATATTGATAGATTTTCTTCTGATTCTAGATTATTCTTGGATAAACTCTACATGGTTATGCTCTATTATTACTATAGATAGTGGAAGAATTTGCTATAACTTTAACTTTTCTCTCAATTTGTTTGGATCTGAAATTGGCCTATAATGCTGTATTGTACTCGTCCTATTTGCATATTAAATTTGTATTAACCTTATAAGATGAGTTGGTAAAATGCCTTAATTTTTTTTCTTTAGAACTTTGTACAAGTTAGGGATTATGTATTTCTTAAAAGTTTGGCAAAAATCACATGTAAAAAACATTTGGGGCTTGAGGTAGATAAAAGCAGAGGACTAATTATAGCCTCAATTTTTAAAAACAAGTATTTATATATTATTCAATTGTTGCTGATTTTCCATACATTCTGTGATTGATTTGGGTGTATAGAATTCCCTAGGTATTTTCCATGTTGTTAAATTTTCAGATTTAGTTTGAAATGTTGGCCATAACATTATCTTATTATTTTTTACTTTATAGATATATCTTCTTAGTAGTTCCTTATATATATCCTTTGTATCATCTTAAATATTTAATCACAATTTTATATAATTCTTATCTCGAATTCTTTTAAAGAATCATCTTTTACTTTATAGTTTTGTTATTTATTATTTGTTTTAATATTCTTTTGTGTTTTCTCCCTATAATTGTTTCTTTTATACTTTTCATTTGCACACTTTCCTCACTTACTTTTAATATTTAGTGTTTTAATAGATGTTTAATGCCTATGAATATTTTTGTTGATTTATTTCATCACCTGTGACGGATAATTGCCTTTTCCTCTTCATTTCCTTAATGAATGGGAGTGATTTTCTCTGTGATAATCCCCTTCCTGTCTTAATATGGTCTGCTGAGTGGATTAAAGGTTTTTAAACTATCTTTTTAGTTCACAGGTATCTAACTTATAAAAAGCTCTACCTAGGAAGCTGCACCTAAGGAAAAACATCTTAGGAGACATCACCATTAGAATAGGATTAGGTAATAAGATTCTGGACTTAGAACCTGAACTTTGTGCTGTAATTTGATGAAATTTTGTGAGGGTTTGGATGTATTTTGCACATGAAATAGATGTAAAATCTTTTAGCCACAGAACAAAGTTTTGCAGATTACTTGCAGTGATTGCACAAAAATCTCTCAGATCCCTTATGTCTCTTTAGAATGCAACTTTGCACCCTTTTCCATCAAGAGGTAGAGTCTAATTCCCTTCTTCTTGAATCTGAGATTACCTTGTAACTTGCTTTCAACAACCAAAGGTGACAACAGTAAATTAGCATGACTTTAGAGTATAGGCCTGAAGAGGAATAATGGCTTTTGCTTCCATCTGTGCAACCTGAGACTTGTTTTCTATTTGTGTCTAGGCTGCAGGAAACTGAGTGGCCCAGTAGAAAAGAACTGAGATTCTCCAACTTGCAGCCAGCACAACTGCCAAATATATGAGTAATTTTGGATCTTACTGTTTAAACCGCCACATTCCAACTAAAATGGAGCTACAAGAGTGACCTTAGACAAAACCAATCCACAGAGTCAAGAGATAATAATAATGTCATTAATGTGTATGCTACTAAACTGTGGATGGTTATATAGCAAGAGACAACTGAAATATTCATCATATTGTCCCCACTCCTGTTATAAAATCTTTATTCGGTCTCCACTGCAATTGAATCAAATTAAATTCTTCCTCATACCGAAAACACACATGCTTTATAATTTATCACATGTTGCTGCATCTTCCTTACTCCATCCATTATTACCAAAGTCGTCCAACTCACTTGAGATCACAGGTGACTCTACTGTGAGTTCCTTTTTGAGTTTTTCAGATGGAGGTAGTTTAAATCACTAGAGCCTGGATAACTCAATGTTGGGAATAATTAGATAATGAGGAAGACTTAGTTTCCCATATCTAGAGCTCAGTAGTTTCAGCCTATAATTTTCCCCACAGTTTAGATGGAATTCAGATTTTAAGATAGGGCGAGGAATGTACCTGGAAATAGACCATCCATGGCAACTTCCTGGTAAATTTCCATGGTAGAGTGACTTCTCCAGAAACTCAGTCTTTTCAAAGCAACCTGTGCTTTTTGGCTCCTAGGAAACAGAGTAGTCTCCAAATTCTTCAAAGACAAAATATGACAATTTATTAATTGCCAAGGATAAATTTAAATGTCAAGTGGATTTGGATATAATTGACAACTGTAAGCTCCTTTACTAATTGTAGGAAAACACATAGGAAGAAAAATTGTAATAGACATTTTCTTTGTGAGTGCAAAATTTTAAAAATGACAATTTAGCTCAAAGAAATTAGTTTGATGATTTCAATTGCTTATCATAAATAAATATGTATATTCACCCCCAAACTAAATGTACCAGTAGATCAAACTGAGCAATGTTTTCAAGTGCCTTTTTATTTGATGATGAATTATGGATATTGCTATTACTTTCTTCACTTAGGCATGTTGTATTAGGTTCTCATAATCACCATATTCCTTTACTGATATGACATTTTTCTTGTATATTATAAATGAGGTTTAGCTACCATTAGGACTTTTACATTAGTTTTAACTAGAGAAGCTATTTATGAGAGTTGGTGCTGGATTGCGGAAACCAGAAATCTTATACTTGCATCTGAAAGCTTCCAGATTTGATGTCTGAAGTTTTTTGTATGTGTTCTCTTTATCATTAAAAGAATATATATCTTTAAATATGACTGTTCACTTTTTTTTTTTTTTTTTTGGTCAATCTCATCACTCTGACCATTGTGACTAACACACAGGATTTTTTGACTAGGGATTGGCTAAGATTTCTTGCCAATGCTAGGCCGGGCACGGTGGCTCACACCTGTAATCCCAGCACTTTGGGAGGCTGAGGTGGGCAGATCACAAGGGCAGGAAATTGAGACCATCCTGGTTATCATGGTGAAACCCTGTCTCTACTAAAAATAGAAATTAGCTGGGCGTGGTGGCGGGCGCCTGTAGTCCCAGCTAGTCAGGAGTCTGAGGCAGGAGAATGGCATAAACCCAGGAGGCGGAGCTTGCAGTGAGCCGAGTGAGCCGAGATCATGCCACTGCACTCCAGCCTGGGTGACAGAGCAAGACTCCGTCTTAAAAAAAAAAAAAAAAAAAAAAAAAAAATTCTTACCAATGCTAAAGACTGCTATAGATCACCAATTAAAAATGTTGGTTTCTATACCCATTTAGGTGAATGGAATGATGGATTTTCGGATTGTAGTTTTAGCACAGACTGAGATGCAGCTGAGATAGATGGTAATCTTAATTATTCATTCTTTCTTTCTAATATTTATTGAATGGCTAGTACGTACCAGGAAATCTTGTGTGTGTCTGGGGTACATATGTGGTGAAAAGAATTTTCTGTCCTCATGACTGTGGCATTCAAGTGGGTATTCTCCATATTTTGGGGTGTTTCTATCATTTTGAAAATCTGAATAATCCTAGAATCAAGATTTAATAATGTAACACTGTGTTAGAGAAAGATATACAGGATCACAGCTGTGTGACTAAAGCATAGTAATCTTACTTACTTTTTAAAATCTTAGTACTTCAAGAAAATTAAACCCTGAAAGATTAGCATTTTATTTTTAGATCAAACCACTACTACATTCATAAGACATGAAATAGGGTCAAACAGTTTTAATGTTTAAAGAAATATTAGTTTTGTCTTAAAACATTTAAAAATACATTGTTTTGCTTTATAGTGTACAGTCTTTTGACAATGGCTATCTGAAAGCTTACGCATGCATAATGAGATGAAAAGCTTGTGTTATTATATAATACATGTCCACTTTTTAGTTAACATAGTTCTCAGAATGACAAAAATAAGACAGTTCATTAATAAGTTGCAGTAAATCAAAAAGCACAAAGGGAGAGCCATTTTAATGATTCTTAGGTAGCAAAAAATAATTTGATGTGCATATGAACTTAGTCTTCTCCCTATTTGTAAAATCCCCCTTACATTATTTGTAAGATCATTCAGTCTCATGGTTTTACATTTCTTCTGCCTGCTGTTGACATTCAAACCAAGGTCCCTATATAAGACTGTTCTACTGAACCCCGAAACTCAACTTCTCACTTTTCCTCTGAAGCCTGATTTATCTACTTCAGTTTGATGAGAACTTCCTCCTTCAAGATGCTAAGGGAAAATTCTGGAGTCATATTGGATCAATTGTTTTCTCTCATATCCCACATTTAATATTTCAGGAAATCTGTTGGTTCCTCCTTCAAAGTATATGCAAAATCTGACCACTCTTCTCTGCTGTCCCCCTGGGCTGAGTCATTAGCATCTCTCATTTTCATTAGAATAATAGCCTCCATATTGGTCTTAATACTTCTACCCTTCTAACCCACAGGATGTACCTTTGGGAATGAAAACTCATGTAGGAGCTCCCCTTTTTGCTTAGAAGTCCAACTGAAAGTCCTTATAATGATTCCCACTCTTTTCACTCTCCTTTCCTTTCTGACTTTATCTTCTGCTACCTCCCCATCACTCCCTTCTGCTAGGCACGCTGAATTCTCTTTCACGCTGGCCCTCACCATAGAGCATTCACACCTGCCAGTTCCCCTTCCCATCACACTCTCAGTGAGTTCAGCTCAGACCGTCCTCCTTGAAACTGTGGCTGTTCTCCTTTTCCCCTCCCCTGGCAAGCCTTATCCACTGTTCCTCCCCCAATTTTACCCAAAGGAATTGTCACCTAATATCCTATATAAAATATTTATTCTTGCTATTCATAGTTTATCTGAATATAATTAATGTAAGCTCCATAAGAATATTGCTTTTTGCTTGTTTTCTGACTAGATTATGACTGGCGCTTAGAAGGGCCCTCAATAAACAGTCATGTGCCTCATAACAAAGTTTCAGTCAGCAATGGACTGCATATCCAACAGTGGTCCTCTAGGATTTCAATACCGTATTTTTACTGTCCCTTTTCCATGTTTTCATATGTTTAGATACTTACCATTGTGCTAGAATTGCCTACAGTATTAAGTACAGCAACATGCTCTACAGCTTTCTAGCCAAGGAGCAATAGGCTATACCATATAGCCTAGGTGTATAGAAAGTGATACCCTCAGCCGGGCACAGTGGCTCATGCCTTTAATCCCAGCATTTCGAGAGGCGGAAGTGGGCAGATCACCTGAGGTCAGGAGTTTGAGAACAGCCTGGCCAACATGGTGAAACCTCTTCTCTACTAAAAATACAAAAATTAGCCAGGTGTGGTGGCGGGCGTCTGTAATCCCAGCTACTCAGGAGGCTGAGGCAGGAGAATTGCTTGACCCTGGGAGGTGGAAGTCACAGGGAGCCGAGATCCTGCCACTGCACTCCAACCTGAGCAACAGAGTGAGACTCTGTCTCAAAAAATAAATAAATAAATAAAGAGAAAAGAAGGTGATACCCTCTAGATTTGTGAAAGTACACTCTGTGATGTTCACATAATGATGAAATATCCTAACACATTTCTCAGAACGTATCCACGTCATTAAGCAAGGCATGACCGTATGTTCTAAATGAATGCATAAAACTCTTGTGGTTTTCAATAAACCTTATTGGATGGTTAGCAGAAGGGAAACAGGATCTTATTTGATGAATTGATAAACGTAGTGTAATATAACTAGAAAATATAAGAGTTTCAGACAACTATTCCTTTTACACTTTTACCATTGTAAAAGTGAAATGAAATAAAGTAAAAGTGAAATAAAAGTAATTTTCATTTAGTATCATTCACTGTTAAGTATGATGAGGAAGAAATTCAATAGATGTTTCTTTCTTGCTGGCTCTTGCCAACTGAAGTATAGAAACTATATATATATATATATATATATAGAGAGAGAGAGAGAGAGAGAGAGAGAGAGAGAGAGAGTTTCATGATTATATATGTATACACACACACACACACACACACACACACACACATACACTCGGTTTAAATGGAATACAGCCTTAGCCTTAGAGTGTTTGTGGCAGTTATATTAACTAAAGGCTCTCGATAAAGGACAAGCATTCTAAGGGGAAAAATATTCAGATAAACAAGCTTTAGAGTAAGTGTTCTTAAATTTTGGATCTCTTAGAGCTGAGGAGTTTTACATAATTTAATTTTTGAAAATTTTCTGGTAATTTATTTTATTATACTTTATATTTATTTTTATATTAAATATACTGTATTTATACTATATTTATTTTTATTACACTTTACAAAAGTATTGATCCACAAATGGATCTGCATTTCTTCATCACAAATATTTCAAAAGGCACTGGGGTAAAGGGAATAATAATAAAGAATAATAAGTATAATTCCAAGCTATATGTATTATCTTTATGTCTTAGGGTAATAATTGCATTCTCTTCTTTCTATATGTATATATAAAATAAGTATCATCAAAACTAACATGTAGGGTTGTTCAAATATCTACAATGTTATGCATTGTGTACCATGCACCGAATAAAAAATAAATATTATTAATGTATTTATTGTCATATCCTTTCTTATGATATCTGAAACAGTGTGTCACATTTTATTTTATTTTGTCATGTATTCATTTGCTATTTAACTTGGCTGTAAACTGCACATAAATTCACAGCCCTGGAGATAGTACTTTGTATATATCTAGCTGCTCAGTAAATGTATGTTTGATTTGTTCAGATTGCTGTAGAGTTCCAATCTGCTTGTTTTCAAACAGGATAATTGACATGGTGATATGTAAAATCATAAAGTTATTTCAATTCACATTAACATTGATCCTTTATTCACCAAAAGGAAAGACGTAATTATATTTCAAGAGAATGGCAGACATCTGTTTTGTTTTTCACAACAATCCCAGCCTAGAACAGTGCACAATACTATCAGTATGTCTTTTTTTTTTTTTATTATACTTTAAGTTTTAGGGTACATGTGCACATTGTGCAGGTTAGTTACATATGTATACATATGCCATGCTGGTGCACTGCACCCACTAACTCGTCATCTAGCATTAGGTATATCTCCCAATGCTATCCCTCCCCCCTCCCCACCCCACCACAGTCCCCAGAGTTTGATATTCCCCTTCCTGTGTCCATGTGATCTCATTGTTCAATTCCCACCTATGAGTGAGAATATGCGGTGTTTGGTTTTTTGTTCTTGTGATAGTTTACTGAGAATGATGATTTCCAATTTCATCCATGTCCCTACAAAGGACATGAACTCATCATTTTTTATGGCTGCATAGTATTCCATGGTGTATATGTGCCACATTTTCTTAATCCAGTCTATCATTGTTGGACATTTGGGTTGGTTCCAAGTCTTTGCTATTGTGAATAATGCCGCAATAAACATACGTGTGCATGTGTCTTTATAGCAGCATGATTTATGGTCCTTTGGGTATATACCCAGTAATGGGATGGCTGGGTCAAATGGTATTTCTAGTTCTAGATCCCTGAGGAATCGCCACACTGACTTCCACAAAGGTTGAACTAGTTTACAGTCCCACCAACAGTGTAAAAGTGTTCCTATTTCTTGAAAAAGTATTTGGGAAATGAATCAAATGTAATTCCTCCTTGTATTTGACTCACATTTTAAACACTTGTTTGATAGTTTAACAATATTCCAAATCCACTATAAAAATCTGATGTTTTTGTAAGAGAAATTTGCTAATTCAAAAACAATACTAATAAAAACACATAGTTACTGCAGGCCTATGTGACTGACCTTGCAACAAACACCCTAGAAACCAAGGCTTGGGTGAGCTTTCTTGATTGGAGACACTTGGCATGTGTTGTCACACGTCATTGCTGGTATAATTAGCTGTGTCTATTTGACTACACTAAGAGAGGACAACCAGAAGCCTGTGTCTGGATTCTTCTGGGTTTTGTCCCATGTACCTTTCCTTTTGATGATTTTAATCTCTATCCTTTTTCTGTAACCAACTGAAATCATGACTGTAACTGCTTTTTGAATCTTGTAGTCATTCCAGCGAATAATCAACCCTGAGAATGGTCTTGGAGACCCCCAACACAAGCCACTATGTGACGTTTTTTAAAATTTTAAAATTTGAATTCTCTCACTTGATTCTTTTAAATTCTCTGGTATAGAATTTTGATTTCAGAAGTAACTGCAATGCTTGCATCTTTTCTTTCTAGTTCTTGTTTGATCACACTGACCGTAAGTTTCAGAACAAGATTCAATTGCAGTGGTGATAGTGGGCACTCTTTTGTTGCTCCAGACCATAAAATGACAATGTTCTTGATCAGATTTGTAAAAGGAGCATAATGATATTGCTACTCAGAATTGCAACACAGATCAGATCAATACAAGGGCTTATGAAACTCCACAGGGTAAACTTCTGTAAAGTTTTAATGAAGGTAAAATATGAGACAGTAATGAGAGACCAAAAGCAGGCAGCCCACAGGTTTCTTTCTCAAATATGCAGGATGTACTTCATCTTTATATTTTGATAATGAAAACTCTGTGAGATATGCTGGTCTCAGGGAAGTCACACAATCATCTGAGGAGGGAATCTTTTAAAATTCCTCTTATTATGTGGTCAAAACCAGGCTGTCTGCTGATCAAATTCAATATTAGAAATCAGAGGAAGTTAACAGTAACCAGCTGTAAGCCAATGCAACACACATTTCTCCACAAATGGTGCTGAGAAGCTGACACGCTTGCCTCATGGTCTGTCTTGGACCCTGCCCTATATTAATCACTTAATATAATTCATTCGGGTAGGAATTTTTGTATAAATCATCTTGTTCTTGGCATGTCCAATTAATGCATAACAAGTGATAGCTATTATTACTAAGTTGTTAGTTGTCTTCATATGGCATTTTATCATGTTTAGGATATAATCCTCCATTCCACGTTTTCTTATGGTAGTTTTAAGGATTTTTAATGCATTAGTTTAGTTTATTTGATAAAATCATCTTTGTATTAGTATTTACATATGCTTATGAGATATCTACGATAATCACCAGGTCAGGTATAAACTTTTAAAAGTAGCATCACTCCAAAATACCATCATGAGCAATGATGGTATTTCTTCTCTCATTCATGATGGTATTCTTCTCTCATAAACCTCTTCTCTCAATCAAAAACAGTATATTAGGCCAGACACAGTGATTTATGCCTGTAATCCTAGCACTTTGGGAGGCCAAGGCAGAAAAATTGCTTGAGCAAGAAGAGCCTGGGCAATGTAGTGAGATCTTGTCTCCCCCAAAAATATTTTCAAATTTGCTAGGCATGGTGGTGAGCACCTAGTCCCAGTGACTCTGGAGGCTGAAGTGGGAGAATCTCTTGATCCTGGGAGGTAGGGGCTGCAGTGAGCCATGATCGCTCCATTGCACTCCAGCCTGAGTGACAGAGCAACTCAAAAAAACAAAAACAAAACTTCAAAACACAGAATTTTGAAAAGTCTCTATGTGGTCAGAGAGGTTTAATTTACATAAATCAAGGAATGATTAAAATTTAAGATCTTACTCTAAAGATTCAGATCTTAATGAAACAGTAAAAGTTCCTTTATCCCCCTTGCAGGGCATGTGACAGGGGGAGTGGCTCGCCTCTACAGTGCCCCACTGCTCAAACCTCCAGGGGGACCATGCAGATGGGCAGGTTGTAGGGCTTCAACCCCATGGCAACAGCATCTAGGATGGTGTGTTTACAACTCCTGAAGCCCCAGTGGGTGTGTGTTACAGGGTGTTCTTTTAGTTTAGCCATCTGTAGTTAGCTTGTGTTACTAAGCTCTATTAGGCCCTCTGCCTTATCACAAGGACAGAAGGCTTTCTGTATCCCAGGGTTCTTGCCTTGGTGGGCCTGTTTCTGCAAGTTCCTCCTGATATCAGGGGCTGCCTGAGTAATAAATGTATCCTTTAGGATTAGCTGTCCCTCAGCTGAATCAGGAGATGCAAAGGTGTGCTTTACCAAGGGCTCCCTCAGCCTTTCCAGGAAGGCAATGGGATTTTCGTCAAATCCCCGGTCAATCAAGGACACCTTAGTATAATTGAGAGGCTTGGTCTTAGTCTTGCATAAGTCCTCTGTTATGCTCACCTGAAAGTGTCTCCTCTTCCAGTCTTCCATCTGGTCATTGGGATACCATTTAAGTCCTTCACGGGTACTGCTTCTCCCCCAGTTAAATAATATGTGCTCCCTTTCCTGACGCCGTATGTGATGCAAAGCTCATCCCCAGATCTCCCTGCTGCTTGCAGAGTTGCCTGTTTCTCAGTGTCTGTCAGGGTCTGATGAAAGGGTAACATAACATCTCTCCAGGAGAGTTCACATATTTGGGTGAAATACTGCAGCCTCTATCTATCTATCAGAGTTATGTGAAAACTTGCCAAGATCCCCCTTGATCTGCCTTAAGTACTGTACAGAGAAGGGGCCCTGGACCTTACTGGGCCCAAATTCATTGGGCATCTGTTGGAAGGGCAAGAGCGAGACTGAGGCTTGTTGAGGGCAAGGATTTCTAGGAGGGAGAAGGGCTTGAGGGAGCTGGCTCCTCTGCTGGGAGTGCCTCTGGGATTTGTATCTTTAATTTCCTGGGCTTGCCCCTTGCAGCCTTCCCTGAGACGACAAACAGGAGGGCTGGATCAATCCCACATTGTTGGCAGAGGTCTGGGTTGCCTTGCAAGGTATAGAAAGCCTGCACATATGGGGCTTCAGACCATCTGTCCTCACATCTACAGAAAAAGCCCAACTACTGGATCGTATTGAAATGAATCGTTCCTTCCTGAGACCAAGCCAGTCCTTGCTATGAATGATAATTTGGCCAAACCTTTGGGTAGAGGGCTGTGAGGCATTTTTCCTCCAGATTCTAAGGATCAAAGCAGTCCCAATGGTTCAGGATACACTCCAGAGAAGTATAAGCTGGGGGTGGTGAAGAGAGCTGGTTGCCCATTCTGAAAGACAAGGGATACAGGCATCCCTCTTTCCATTCCTTCCTTTAGTGAATACTCAGTGTATGATGGAGAGAGAAAGTGAGTGTCCTCCCTTTCCCTTCCACGTCTTTTACCCCAAGTCCTGGCAACCTTGGCAGGCACCACCCATAGGTACCGATGCAGTGTGTACCAATGAAACAGGGAAAATCTGGAGAACAGGAATTAACAGCTCTCACCTATGCCTCCCTTTTTCCTGCTGTCTGCAACCTTTGAGGTCCAGTGGCCTGTTTATGCCATGAAGCATGGCCTCCTTTCATGGGGCAGGGGACTTACTTGCAGGAAATTGGTCCTGCCCATTTACATTGTGCCTATTGCCTGTCTTTGGATCCCTCAGACCTGGTTTTTCTTTATAGGGCCTCAGCCTGAGGCTTGGGATTGAGTTTGGGACTGAAAAGGTATTTTAGAGGCTGTTTGTAAACCCTGCCAAATTTGCAGTTATCAGCCAGCAGAGGTCGTTCCTCCATTAGCTTCCATATCAGAAACAGAGTTAAGAGGGTGAGCCTTTCACTTAGAAAAGGAATCAAGAGAACAACAGTTTAAGGGGCAAAAGGGGGAGATAATGGGGGGAGAAGCCTTTGCTCAGTGCAAGTGGGTCCCTCTAATCCTTGTATCTTTCCCCTGGTTCCCACTGTGCTTAATTCCTTGGCCAGGGCAAGAAAGGTTCCATTGGTACGGTGGGCGAGAAGTGTCCTGTAGGGTCCTGGCTACTGCCTGTTTTCTCCAGCCCCCTTGTCCCAGGCAGTGGAGGCAGAGTTGGTGGCCATGGCGCTGCTCTCCCCGCCCCCTCTTGGCTCAGCCTTTGCCTGCCATGGACATGCTCAGGCACCCAAGCTGGGAGGCGAAAGGATAAGGAGAGGTGCCCTGAGCCGTGTGTGCCTGTGGCCATCGAGATGAAGGCACAGATGGCACCTCTAGGAACCTTTGTCTGCTGAGCCAAATGCTTATTTTACTTAGTAACTTTGCCGCAGCCTGTAGCAAAACTCTTAACATATAAGGGAAGAGATAAGAGCCATTTCAAATTGTGAGGGAGAGAAAAGACGAAGTCTGGGGATTTTGACTGGCCAGGTTAGGGAGGTTAAAAACTTAATGAAGGGAAATAGAGCCTCTTACCCACATGAAAGAGAAACAGAGGTAGCAGGTTTTGGAAGAGACGCAGAGCCAAGTTTCACATTTGCTCACACTCACTTCCGGGATCCCAGATGAGTCCTCAGTTGAGGTGGGAAAAGTTCCCTTATCCCCCTCGCAGGGCATGTGACAGGGGAGTAGCTCACTTCTTCAGTGCCCCACTGCCCAAACCTCTAGGGGGAGCATGCAGACAGGCAGGTTGTGGGGCTCTGACCCCATGGCGGCAGTGTCTAGGGGGTTGTATTTATACCTCCTGAAGCCCCAGTGGGCATGTGTTACAGGGTGCTCTTTTAGTTTAGCCGTCTGTAGGTGGCTTGTGTTAATAAGCTCTATTAGACCCTCTTTCTTATCATAAGAACAGAGGGCTTTCTGCATCCCACGGTTCTTGCCTTGGTGTACTGCAGGAATCGGATCACACATAGGCTTGGAGAATGAGTGCAAGGTTTTTATTGAGTGGTAGCTTTCCGCAAGGTGAATGGGGAGGCCAGAAGGGGGATAGAATGGGAAGGGAGTTTTCACCTGGAGTTGGGCTGCCTAGTGGCCTAGCTCTCCTCCAACCACCTCAGCCAAACTCCAGGTCATTCCATTGGTCGATGGCCTGCTGGCATCTGCTGGTGACTGTCAGTGTGGTGTTAGGCCAATGTGTTCCTCTCAATGTCCAGCCACTTGTGTCTGTGCCCACTTAAGGTCTCAGGGTATTTTATAGACACAGGATGGGGATGTAGTGGGCCAAGGTGGTCTTGGGAAATGCAACATTTGGGCATGAAAACAGAAATGCCTGTCCTCACCTAGGTCCATGGGCACAAGCCCCGGGGGTGGAGCACTAGCCAGGGATCACACTCTTCCCGTCCCAGTACTTCCCTACCCACCTCTCATAACATTTATATTTCATATAATATTGGGAAAATCTAAATACATTAATTTCATCTGATTTTTATATTTTGTTACATATAGCCGTGACAAAAGGCGTTTAAAAAAGTATTATGTAATAACTAACTACATAAGGCTAACAGTAATTTCTTAAAATTGAACCCAAAAAGGGTATATCCTGAATTTCTCTATTTATGTTTATTAAAAGCAATCTCCTTGTAGGTATTTCAAACATTTGGCACAGTCTTATTTTTTTCTTTATATGTAGCTGCCTTTGTTATTAAGATATTTACCAATAATTTAAATAGATTAGTTTGCAAGGATCATGAAAAGTAAAATTTCCATAGAAATTTATTTATTCATAGTTATATGGAAATAATTGCTCTCTCACACCTATACTAATTTAACCACCTGTTTTAAAAGAGTATAATATTTGAGAAAAAATGTGCCTTTTTATTTTAATTTTTTAAATTTTAATTTGAAATTACAATGATAAAATATTAATTTTTCTCTATTTTTAAGGGTCCTAAGATACATATATTGCCTGTTTGCAAAGGCAAAAAAATTTTTTCCTAGCATTTTTTTTTTTATCACTAGTGCTTCCCATGATTTTGCTTGCTGCTGCTACTGTTTATGCTCAAGGGTCCCAATTTCATAATACATAATTTATATTTAGAATAATAATTTTATATATGTTGGGCAATTTATGACTGATAATATCTTGCAAGGAGGGCTGATCTTGCTAACTGAAATATCCTTTTGTGTGGTGAATACATTAGTGTGTTTGCTAGACAAATTTGTTACGAGATAAAAATACTTAAAATGTTGAACATAATAAATGGAGAAAACATTTGAAGTTCCCAGGGCAAACCAAGAAAAAGAAAAGGAAAGAGGGGGATATGATTTTGACCCACCAAGATATGCAAGACCAGCAGTAGCTGCAATATGAGGGGCATAGGCAGTGGGAAATCCTGGGTGGCAAATGAATAAAAGTACTTTGGGAACAGGAATACAATGTTATTTGTCTACTTGTCTATTTGTCACATTAGCATTGTGATGACTCCTTCTTGTCCCAAATATTAAATGTGCTTTATTACAGCACTCATCATTAAGTTATTCATTGTGTGGCCTTTCTTTCTTCCTGTCTTTCTTTCTCTCTCTCTCTCTCCCTTCCTCTCTCCCTTTTTTACTTTCTTTTCTCATTTTTTTTCTTTTATTTGGAATCCTGAAGAGGGAATATATCTCCACGTTGTTTGACACATTACACAGATAAAAGAATAGTCCCTAGATACATAAAATTCTAGAAAGCAGAAGCATATGTAAAAATATAATCTCACTGATGTGCCTTTTGCCTTAAGATTCATGAATATCTTAAAAAATAATTTGAATGTGCACAGCTAAGCCTAATGTTGTCTCCAAAAGCTTAGAGGTTTCAGGTAACATCTGTGTTAAAAAAAACTATAGAATCATATAGATGAAAGTTTATTTAATCATGATGTAGTTCAGGGGTCCCCAATCCCTAAGCATTGGACCAGTACCAGTCCATGGCCTATTAGGAACTGGGCCACACAGCAGGAGGTGAGTGGCTGGTGAGTGAGTGAAGCTTAATCTGTGTTTACAGCTGCTTCCTATGGCTTGCATTACTGCTTGAGCTCCACCTCCTTTCAGATCACTGGTGGCATTAAATTCTCGTAGGGGCATGAACCATACTTTAAACTACACATGTGAGGGATCTAGGTTGCAAGCTCCTTAGGAGAATCTAATGCCTGATGATCTGAAGTGGAACAGCTTCATTCAGAAACCATCCACTGCACCCCCATCCATGGAAAAATTGTATTCCATGAAACTGGCCCCTGATTCCAAAAAGGTTGGGGACTATTTATGTAGTCAATTCCCCCATCAAATAAGAGGGGGATCCTAAGCTCTCAAGGGGAAAGTAACGCCCCTTTCCCCTGCAAGATGATAAAGTCTGATGTGGTTTGGCAGTGTCCCCACCCAAATCTCATTCTTGAACTGTAGTTCCCATAATCCCCAAGTGTTATGGGAGGGACCTGGTGGGAGGTAATTGAATCATGGAGGTGGTTACCTCCATGCTGTTCTCATGATAATGAGTGAGTTCTCATGAGATCTGATGGCTTTATAAGGAGTTTTTCCACCACTTCACTCGGCACTTCTTCCTGCTGCCTTGTGAAGAAGGATGTGTTTGCTTCCCCTTCCACCATGATTGAAAGTTTCCTGAGGCCTTCCCAGCCTTGCTAAACTGTGAGTCAATTCCACCTCTTTCTTTTATAAATTATACAGTCTAGGGTATGTCCTTATACCAGTGTGAGAACGGACTAATACAAAGTCAGACAGGACTATAGTCAGAACATAATGCCTTCCCTCTAATTCCTGTAGTTAGTCAATAATTTCATGATAAATCTATTGAGGAGAAAACCCAGATCTTGCTTTATTGGATATTTAAAACATAAGTTTTAAATACTTCAATAGAGTAATTCTAGAGTTTACTTCTCAACACAGCAGAAAAAACAGGACTCCTTTTCAAGGCCTATCTATGTACATGAAGATTTTATGATAACTTAAAGAACAATTACTCAGGTTTATTAAAAAATTAAATGTTCCTTTGTTTATTATATTATGAGTTTGTGTTTCTATTAGTCACACTTTTTCGTCTCTTTTTATCTAGCTTTCTATTTCGTTATCTCTTTCAGTTTCTCATTAATTATTTATTTAGTTGGTTTTATTCCATGTTTAACTGAAAAGAACCTAAGACATCTGACAAGTGTACATACTCACGTGATGATGTACAACACCAAGATGCAAGGGTTCACTAATTATAGCTTATGTCAGAATCATATCAACAGCATGATTAATCATTTTTTGCTAAACAACATAATTTCCCTGTTTATAGTAATAGCACTGAATATCGTTTTCTATCATAGTCTTCTTCACATGTTTTTTTCATTGGCTTCTAGTACCATACACTCTTGTTTCTCTTTCCTCACTGGTAGAGTCTTCTCACTCTCCCTTGTTGATGCATGTTTATTTCTAGACTTCTGCAGAGTGGAGTACCCTGTAACCCATTCTAGGCCCTTCTCATTGTCCTCAATCTATGATACGTTGCAAGTGATATCTAGTCCCACAGCTTTAAAAATATTATTTTTATACCTGTGACTCCAAATTGTGTATCTATGATTCTAATCTTTCCAGATTTGTATTAGACTGCCAACTACTTTGGTATTTAGTAGCAGCTCATTATCTCTAAACTTATTCCTTACCAATTATTTCCGTCTTAATTATATTCCTTCCATACATTAAAAAAAATTGTTAGCTTCTTCAGAGCGATTAAAAATAGTGGCATTGAAAAAATAACAACAGAAAGGGTAAACTTTATGAGCAGTCTATTTTAGCTGTCACTTTTCTACTACTATAATCGTCTGCATTATTGCCTGTGTGCATTTGTAGTAGTTTTTACATTTTTATATAGTTATTTGTCATTTGGGATATATATTTGTAATGATTACCAAGGGGGAGGTTTATTTCTTTATTTAACAAATGTAAATATTACATTGAATGTTCATACATTTGGATAAATAGTGAATTTTGTCCTTTTTCTCATAAATAACTCTGTAATCACATGGGCAGTAAGCTCAAAAAAACAAACTTTAGATACAATCTTTATGCCTCACTAATACCTGTTTGAATAGAAAAATGGGGATTGACATTTTTTTCTTCCCACATACCTTCTATTTTTACACAGTTATGTTGGTTGGATATCTAGGTACCATGGTGACAGATACCACACAAATATATAGCCATATAAAAGTTTAGTGGTGGAGGACATCTTAAGTAAAAGTAATTATATGAACTTAGAGAGCAAAGCCAACGAATGGTACTTTAACAAGCAATAAATTAAATAATTAAATCGAAAGACTTTCAGTTTAAAAATGATTTTAAGTAAACTTTAATTTTAAACTGTGTTTACCTACAAAAAACCTGAAACCTTGGAAGATCATTTGATTTGGCTAAGGTTATGCTGCTAGATAGCAACATAGTTGGAAATGGAATTTGCTCTTCTTAACCCACTAAATAAAAACTGGAACCACATTAGCTTTGGCGTATCTTTACTATATTTCAGAGGCACAAACCTAAGCACCAGAATTTGGTTTTTGAATGTATGACTAATAGAAAAGTCAGATGCAAATTTTGATTCAGTGGGTAATATACATTAAATTGTTTCTAACAAATATATTCAAAATCATGCAAGAGATTATGATGAATGACATTAGTATTATCTCCATATTCATGTGGATGATCCATTCCAGGAGGAAGAGCCATGGCATCTTAGTCCCCAATCTCTTCACTTTGTGGTCCATTTTCTTGCCTCCATCTCAGCATTCTACTCCCATGATGCACTGAAGATATCATAATGAGAGATACAAAATTGTTTCTAAGCTTTCTATCTTAAACCATTTATTAATAATACGTCATGACCTTCTTGATCATTTTCTGTAGAAATCTCTTTGCAAGAATGCTTTCGTCCTATTAAAAACTTTAACCCATTGAATCCACTAGTTTATATCCATTTATTGGCCTCAATCTGTTTCTAATTGCTACCTATCTAGAGCACATTTAATGGTTCAAATACAAACCATTCCCTTACATACAGTCTTAACACCTTCAATCTTTGATTCTATCTCATCCATACTTGCCTTGCAAAAGACTGGAGTAAACCAGAATTTGCCTTCTCATTCTTTGCATATAAAAACCAAAGTGTTGCTGTAGAAAATCACAATACTCTGCTGACTGACCTTTCTTTGAATTACAATCATTAATGTCAAGTTAACACTTGTCTTTGTTTGGTATCTGTACTGTCATTTCGTAGAATATTCCCTTCACCATTTTCTGAGATAATGTGATTCATGTTTGTTTTGTATCTCCTCAAATCCATCAAATGACCACTCCTCCCAGACTTAAAGTCCCTCAGATTCTTACCACCAAATCTAAAAACATTCTTTTCAGTATAGTCATCATCTTCTTTGCTCCTCTTACATAGGAAACAGCACGATCATTCAATTTATGTTACAGAAGCCCAAAGACAGTGCAACAATATTTTCCAAGTGTCGTGTTTCTAGTAAAACTATTTTTTTTGTGTGGAAAAGGGCAAAATAAAGATATTTTCAGAAAAACCAACAAACACATACAAAAAGTTTATCACCTACAGACATTCATCAAAGGGGTTCAAAAGACATCATCTCAGGTAAAGAATAACCCCAGAAAGAGAGTTGTAGATGCAAGAGTAAATTATAAAGAACTTGATGAACATATCAATAAAAATAAATAAGTGGGGCCTATGTAAAATTGTCTAATTTATGAGGTAAACTGAAAGTTATATCTAAAATGCTAGATAAAATTGTATGTATGTCAGAGGAGTTATACAGTGTTCGAGTGATCAAGGTCATTTTATGGTTTGGAGTGAAGTTAACTACTAAGAAGCAGCAAATGTTTTTATGACTCACAAAGCAGTAGTGGTAAAATCAGAGAGAAAAAAATAAAATAAGTAGTCAAAAAAATCAAACAACCCAATAAAGGTATTATATGGTTTGGGTCTGTGTCCTTGCCCAAATCTTATGTCAAATTGTAATCGTGAATTGTATTAGTCCGTTCTCACACTATTGTGAAGAAATACCTGATACTAGATAATTTATAAAGAAAAGAGGTTTAATTGACTCACAGTTCTGTATAGCTTGGGAGGCCTCAGGAAACTTACAATCATAGCAGAAGACACTTTTTCACAGGACAGCAGGAGAGAGAACGAGTGCTAGCAGCAGAAGCTTATAAAAGCCAGAAGCTTATAAAACCATCAGATCTTGTGAGACTCACTCATTATCATGAGATCAGCATGGGGGAAACCATCTCATGATTCAATTACCTCCACCAGGTCTGGCTCTTGACACATGGGGACTATGGGGTTTAAAATTCAAGGTGAGATTTGGATGGGGACAAAGAGCCATGCCATATCTTTCTGCTTCTGGTCCATCCCAAATCTCATGTCAAATTGTAATTGCAAATTGTATAAGTCCATTCTCACACTACTGTAAAGAAATACCTGACACTAGATAATTTATAAAGAAAAGAGGTTTAATGGCCAGGTGCAGTGGCTCATGCCTGTAATCCCAGCATTTTGGGAGGTTGAGGTGGGCAGATCACCTGAGGTCAGGAGTTGGAGACTAGCCTGGCCAACATGGTGGAAACCCATCTCTACTAAAAATACAAACAAACAAACAAATTAGCTGGGCATAGTGGCAGGCTTCTGTAATCCCAGCTACCCAGGAGGCTGAGGCAGGAGAATAGCTTGAACCTGGGAGGCGGAGGTTGCAGTGAGCCGAGATTGCGCCATTGCACTGCAGCCTGGGCAACAAGAGTGAAACTTCATCTATAAAAAAGAGGTTTAATTGACTCAGTTCTGCATAGCTGGGGAGACCTCAGGAAACTTACAGTCATAACAGAAGGCACCTCTTCACAGGACAGCAAGAGAGAGCATGAGTGCTAGCAGTGGAAATGCCAGAAGCTTATAAAACCATTAGATCTTGTGAGACTCACTCATGACCATGAGAACAGCATGGGGGAAACCACCACCACGATTCAATTACCCTTACCTGTCCCACCCTTGACTTGTGAGGACTATGGGGATTACAATTCAAGGTGAGATTTGGGTGGGGACACAGAGCCAACCATATCACAAATGTTGAAGATGGGGCCTGGTGGGAGATGATTGAATCACGGGGGAGGATTTCCCCTTTGGTGCTGTTCTCATTATGGTGAGCTATCATGAGATCTCTTCTTTAAAAGCATGTGGTACTTCCTGGCTCTCTCCTATCCCTGTGCGCCAGCCATGTGAAGTGCTGCTTCCCCTGTGCCTTCCACCATGACTGCGAGATTCCTGAGGCCTCCCCAGAAGCCGTCATGCTTTTGCACATCCTGTGCAACCATGAGCTAATAAATTTTCCTTCATAAATTATCTTTCCTTTATAAATTATCCCGTCTCAGGTATTTCTTTATAGTAGTGAAAGAATGGACTAATATTATTGCACTACTATGAGGAGAAGAAAGAAACATAAAAACAGAACAACAAGAAACAAATTAAGAATAAAAAGGAAAACACAAAAAAGAAACTCAAAACGAGATTTCAAGCTCACATTTTCAACAAGTGGACAATATCAAACATAATAAATGTTAGATATACATCAAAATAATGTTGGCAGAAAATACTTAGATTCCACTTATAATATATATATACATCTTGATATATATACATATATGGGTATGTATAGAAAACAAAGATATAAAAAAGAGTTCTGTATATTTTTATTACTTTTAAATCTCATATTAACAAAGAAAAATGCTTTTGTAAAAGATTATGGTAACTATATTATGAAACTAAACATATTTTTTCACTGAATGTTCTTCCTTTTTTTTGAAAAAAAAAAAAAAAATCCTAACCTAATATTGTGAAGAAAATGGATTTGGCCATCTTTAATGTTGTGACTCTTAGAAAGTTCAGCAGCTGCTTGCTTATGACTCTATTTATTTTAAAAAATAAGAACATTTTGTTTTATCCCATAATGACTTTCTGGTTAAGTTGACCTGTATAGAAAAAAATTGACAAATAAGAAAAGGAGAAACAGATGTTTTACCCTAAATAAAAATAAGTGTTTTATTTTTTATCTGGATCATAAAAATCAAGTAATATTCATGTGTGTATTTAATCTTATCAAAAATGTCTCACAATAAGGAAAGAATGTATACAGAGGGCTATTTATTTATAGAACAGTGGAGGGCTAACTAGTCTCTCTTTTTATTCTACCTTACTGAAAGGATGATTAATAAGGATCGGGGTACAGCTATTTTCATAGACCAAGTGTTGATTCTGTACCAATACATGTAGCAATATCTAGGACAGAAAACTGAATAAAATAGTTATTTAAAATTGTGGTTTACTTCATTATAAACATTAGCAAAAAGAGAAATACGATGCATGCAATAGTAATAACATTTATTAAACATTTTTAATGTTTCAGGTACTCTACTTATAAAATTATGAGATGTAGCAGTACCTTTATTCACTAATTCATGCTTGATTGTGTGAATTGTATTACTTGATTTAATTTTGCAAAAAATGTGTATTCAACATGTACCATGTGTCAAGTATTCTGGTTGATGAATTAAATGGTTAAAGTTCCTATTTTCATGGAGATTACATTCTAACCAGACCAACAGGCAATAAACAGGAAATGATATACACTCATTAACACATATACATATACATACACAAATATATATACTAAGATGCTGGCAATATTGTGCAGGATCTGGAATTTATGAAAAAATGTTGGAAATAAATACCAAAGAGGAAAAAGTCAAGTCAAACAGAATAAAAGGATCGAAGTGGTGGGGTAGAGAGATGCTATGTTGTTATGTGGTGACCAGAATCAGTCTCTCTCAGGAGCCTCTGCAGGTCCAGATGTGAAGGAAGGGAAAGGAGTGCATTATGAGCATGTCTGGAGGAAGAGCATTTCAGGCTAGGAGGACAGCAAAGTGCAAATACCTTAATTGTTTGGAATGTTTTAGGTAAATTGTTTGAAATGCTTTAGGAAAATACAGCATGAATTAGATAAATTGGTGAAAATGGATCAGAAAGGTGGCAGGGATGAGATCATATTAAGCCTGGTAGGTCAAGAAAATGCCTCTAAGCCTAGGATAACTGAAAGATGTTTCTCAAAGTCCCATGGCTAACAGTACGGATTGGAGCCAGGATTTTAAACCAGACATTCTTTCTCCAAAGCAATTGCACCTAACTTCTACTTTATACCCTTCCCCTCAAACACATGAGTAACTTAATCTTTTATTTATCAAATGTACCAACTCGTTGGACAAATATTGATAGAGCTGTAATTATAACTTATTTTTTGTATTTTTGAAGCCCTATCTGTAGACCTATTGAGCATTTTTAGAGTTGCTTTTACATTGTATCATTTATTTTGTTTATTCTTTTCAACCCTATTTTTTAACACACACAAGGTGTTTTTGTTTTACATGTTTATAAATGTTAATTTTTAATAAGTTTCTGACATACAAATATGTTGAAAAAAATGAATTCCCATTGATCAAGACCTCTTGGATATTTGCCTCTGCTCTCATTGGTTGAACTCTTTTTCTTTCCTCCATCTTATTGGTTGACCTCTTTTCCTTCCCTTTCAGTTACTCTAGCAAAGAAATTTCTATGTGTAACTTAATTCCTTCTATCTATAGCTCTATAAGGCTTTTCTACAGAGAAACGTAGTGTGGAAAGGTTAAAAATAAAATATAAAACATATTGTGGTTACATAACAATCTTCTCTGACCCTAGTGGCAAGTATCCTATAATGCACAGAAAATCTCCCAAAATGATATGTTACTCTATCTGACTTCTGAATTAAAGTGTTAAAAGTCAGTCTCCCGTGCACTATCATCTTCTCCTCTAGATAACAATACATGAACTCTTTGCATCGGCTCTCTACCTTGCTGCCTATTCTGATAATCTTTATATTTGACAAGCTTCAACATTACCTGAAGCTTCTCAAGGCTAGAGTTAGTAAAACCATAGAAACTTGAGGCTGAAACAAACCACTGCCTTTGTCATGCTTATCTGGAATAAAATCAAGGCTGACTTTCCTACCAAAGGCAGACTCATGTTTAATCAGGAGTAAGACCCTGGGAGGACGCTACATTTCATTTCCCAACTCTTTCCAAGTGAATATCCACCTTATATTTGTATTCCAGATATTTTGGGTGGCATTAAATTTAATAAATGTTTTTAATGTAGAACATCGTATTAAAATAACGAGTTCTTTCGAATCGAGCTATTAAATGTCATGTGACAATTGGAATAAAATTATTTTTAATAAAATATCCCATAGACTTTTTCCAAGTTGATAAACCAAAACTCGGTAAAAATGTCTTTCAGACCAAAATAAAAATCAGATTAGCAAAAAGGTACTGTATAGGCTTAAACTCATTGAACAAATTTGATTCAGCAAATTTTCTCTTAAGAGAAAAGTCAAGACATTTTGAAAAAAAGAGAAAAGGAAAAATGAATTACCTAAAATTTGAGGAAAGTTGAAGAGAAAGTGATTTCAAAATTAGGGTAAAAATGATGCATAAACACAATACATATACACCACCTATTCAGGTAGGGAAATGCTAGAGGAATTCATGTATCTGTAGGAATGTAGGCTGCCTTGTTATTTCATCTATACATGAAATGAAGTATAAATGGCTATATGTAGGATCAAGTACACGCTCAGCTAGTATGACACAGATTCACACACATAATCACATGTGTACTACTGCCACTGGAATCATCATTTATCATTTCTCAAAGACAGTGAAAAGGAACATCAAATCACCTAGGCTCCAACATGTCATTCTTTCTTCTCAAAATGTCTTGTATTTCACACAGTCTTTTCTCAAGTGGCTTCCTTTCTCTGGGAAGAACTTACTCCTCACACAGCAGCCAAACATTAGAAATTTTTTTTCCATGATTCGCTTAAATATCAACTCCTCCTCAAAGTATTTTCAGATGTCAGTGACAGTTAACATTCTCTCTTAGAAAAAAAAAACTTATAGCATTAGAATATCTCCATTATTTATTTCAACCACTCTTTTATTAACATTATGATCCATATATCTCAACTTTTACCTGATTCTGATTTCAAATTGTGATTATACTCCCTGATTTTATATCATAGTTATTGAATCATGAGCACTTGTTACCTTCTTAATAGCAGTTAATGTCTCAAGTGTCTCATGTTTTTTCTTATATTTACTAGTCAGTTAGGTTACTTTGTCACAATCTTTTCATCATCCCATACCCCTGCTTCTTCTGTGAATGCTGATCTTGGGCTGTCATCACTTGACTGGGCACGGCAATCTTTGTTGCTAAACCTGCTGTTGTCTCTCTGCAGCCTCAAGTGAAAACATTGCTCTTCTCAGTAAGTTCTGCTGGCTGTATACTTATTAGTGGATCTGAGACTCATGCACATTTTTGCTCTAAATGCAAGCCACTCCACAATGTCACCACTGCAGTTATACACATTACTAGTAAAAAACAGAATCTCTATGATATGTGCAGTCTTGCTTTGTCTCTGCTTCATAGGAGCTGCTCATACACACCAAAGCAAAGCCAAGTATTTTTGTCTCTTTAAGTCCTTCCCTTAGACCTGTAGAGAAGATAATTTTGTTTTTTTGCTCAATTTAATACACCATTAAATTCTGTTTCAGGATTAACTATTTCTCAGAGAATTGATATGAGGAAATTATTTTTCTTTAAGAGGAAACCATATTCCAATAGTCATAATAATTCAACATTTAAAATCTACCAGTGGCACATTTCTCAGTGTTACTCATTGTCAACTTATTATGTGGTTACTTAACATTTGTGTCTCTCTTGCCTGATAAATTGTGAAGCATAAGAAGATAGAATTGTGCCTTAAAAAAATTGTATATCCCACAGTAGACTGTAGAAGTCCTCCAACAATGGAAATATACAATAAATAATTTTTTTGGTTACTCTTGGGCTAGAAAAGGAAGTATTCCATCTTCATATCCCTGAAATTTTGCATGTTGTATATTTATTAGTTAATTAATGTATAGGAGTTTTCAAAATAGAATCCAGATGCCTCGACATCAACTGAAATATCCAAGAGGAGGAAAATCAGGTTTTGAAGTGCAGGTTATGACCATGTATAGGTTGTGCTCAAATGGAAAACATGTGTTTTATTTGCGAGAATATACACTCGGTGTGGCTATATCTTTTTTTAATGAATACTACTATTTAAAGTTTTATATGAACCATCCCAATGTATATATTATAAATGAAATTAAATACACTGGGCCATCAAGCAAAAGAGCTATTTGGCTTGTCCCTGGTTAATAATTTATAACTTATATTCACTGGTAAGTTTCATTAGTGTTACATTTTCCTGTGTTACATGTTTTGAAATTATAGTGGTGGAATACTGCATTAAAATTTGACAAGACTTAATTCCTTCATCTCTTAAATAGTGATAGAACTCTAGGTCTCAAAGATGTAACTAAGAATAAATAAGCACAAACATTAAAGTATCTTTTAAATGATAAAAATTATCTACAAAAATTAAGTATTCTTATTCCAACTTAGTAAGACTCTTATCTTTGATTCAGCTATAGTATGTGTGATAAAAATAAATCACAAATCTTGGGTTATGTCCTTAGAAAATTTTTATATAGCTGGATATTTAAAATATATATTAAATTATACATGAATATATAAAGCATGATAAGAAATCTTAATAAAATGTAAAGACTGCATTGAAAACCAGAACACAATTAACTATAACTACTGAAATAAAATGATGGATACACAAGAAAACTAAACCTGCCATGACAACACTCATGTGTGATGACAAATTGCAGACATATATGCATATGTCAAAATTTAGAAAGCATAACATCCATGAACTTCCTTTAAGGAAAATACTTAACAAAATTAAATAATGAAATTAAAAGTGAGTTATAGCAGAAATATCAAGTTACAAAAGGTGAAGAGAAGGAATCATAGTGCATAATAATTTTTCCCATAATATGTAGTAAAATGCAAGATGACACTGTGAGTAGAAATTTATAATATAAAGGGGAAGTAAGGTTTCTGAAAACTAAGAAACATACAGTCACGTACTGCTTAATGACAGGGATACATTCTGAGAAATGTGTCATTGGGTGATTTCATCATTGTGTAAACATCATAAAGTGTACTTACACAAACCTAGATGGTGTAGCCTACTACACACCTAGGCTACATGGTATAGCCTATTACTCCTGGGCTAGAGACCTTTGTAGCATGTCATCGTACTAAATGTTGTAGGCAATTATAACTCAATGGTAAATGTTAATATTTGCATTTCTAAACACACTTTAATATAGAAAAGGTACAGTAAAAATATGGTATCAAAGATTTTAAAAAACTGTATACCTTTATAGGGCACTTACCATGAATGAAACTTTCAGGACTGAAAGTTACTCTGGGTGAGTCAGTGAGTGAGTTGTGAGTGAATGTGAAGGCCTAGGACATTATGGTACATTACTGTAGACTTTATAAATGCTGTACATTTAGGCTATACTAAATTTATTTAAAACATTTTCTTCAATTATAAATTAACCTTAGTTTACTGTAACATTTTTACTGTATAAACTCTTTAAATTTTAAACTTTTGATTGTTTTGTAACAGCAGAGGTTAACACACGTTTTAAAGCACTATAAAATATTTTTCTTTATATTTTTATTCTTTAAGCTCTTTTCTATTTTAATACACTTTTTAAACTTTTTATTATAATTTTAAAAAGTAGCAGCACAGTAGGTTTGCTCACACCAGAATCACCACAAACATGTAAGTAATTCATTGTACTAGGGTGCTGTGATGGCTCTGATGTCACTAACTGATAGGAATTTTCATCTCCATTAAAATCTACGGCAACTGTCTCCAACCTTTTTAGCGCCAGGGACTCGTTTTTGTGAAAGACAATTTTTCCACGAATGGGGCTGGTGTGGTGTGGTGGGGAGAATGGTTTCAGAATGAAACTCTTCCACCTCATATCATCAAGCCTTAGATGGAGCAGGCAACCTGGATCCTTCGCATGCACAGTTCACAACAGGGTTTGTGCACCTATGAGACTCTAGGCCAGGCGCAGTGGCTCACGTCTTTAATCTCAGCACTTTGGGAGGCCAAGGCAGGTGGATCACTTGAGGTCAGGAGTTCGAGACCAGCCTGGCCAGCATGGTGAAGCCCCATCTCTACTGAAAATACAAAAAACTTAGCCGGGTGTGGTGGCGCATGCTTATAGTCCCAGCTACCTGAGAGGCTGAGGTAGGAGAATGGCTTGAACCCGGGAGGCGGAGGTTGCAGTGAGCCGACATCGCGCCACTGCACTCCAGCCTAGGCGACAGAGCAAGACTCTTGTCAGAAAAAAAAAAAAAAAAAAGACCGGCAGTGGTGGTTCATGCCTGTAATTCCAGCACTTGGAAAGGCCGAGGTGGGCGGATCCCGAGGTCAGGAGATCAAGATCATCCTGGCTAACACGGTGAAACCCCGTCTCTACTAAAAATACAAAAAATTAGCCAGGTATGGTGGTGGGCCCCTGTAGTCCCAGCTACTCGGGAGGCTGAGGCAGGAGAATGGCGTGAACCCGGGAGGCGGAGCTTGCAGTGAGCCGAGATCACGCCACTACACTCCAGCCTGGGCGACAGAGGAGACTCCGTCTCAAAAACAAAAAAAAGAATCTAATGCTGCCGCTGATTTGACGGGAGGCAGAGCTCAGGTGGTAATGCTCACTTGGCCTGCCACTCACCACCTACTATGCGGCCCAGTCCTAACAGGCCATAGACCAGCACCCATCAGTGGCCTAGGGGTTGGGAGCCCCTGTCTTATGGGACCACTGGCTGTATATGTGGTTCATCCTTAACCCGAATGTTATGCAGTACATAATGCACGTTAAGAAAACGTCCAAAATAGACTAGAACGGAAAGTTCTAAATTATTACAATAAAAGCCAATATTTATAAAAGAAGGCCAAGAAAATGATGAGATAATAGTAATCCAAAGGTCTTGATTTATATGAGCAAATTATGCATTTCATTTGTATTAGTAAAAAGTATTGTGATTATTGTTTTATTTATATATAGATGTAACATTAAGGGCCTTGTTTTTGTAAAAAAATAAACACACATATATGTATGTATAATGTATTTATATGTATTTAATGTCTTTATGTGCCTGTGTGTATATGTATATAAAATATGTCTATATATACAGGAGAATGTATAGATACATTAGCCTGAGCTCATTGATAATTCTAGAGAGAACAAAGATGAAAAAAGGCAGAGAGGCTGTAGGAAAAACGCTGTATTTCTAAATACATTTCAGAGCTTGACATTCTTTTATTGGTTGTATTGAGCTTGTGTTTGTTTCTCCCAAATTCTAGAGAATTAAGAGTAGAATTTTAAAAACTGGTCCCACTACAAAATCAGTAAAAATTCTGTCTTCTTTTGAGTTAACTGTTGTTTGTAAGATATTTTTTAATTGATTATTACTCTGCTAAAGTATTTTATGGTCCCTTGACTTTGGGGGGAAATAATTTTTCTTTTCTATTACTGTCATGTACCTAATATTTTTGGAGACTTTGAGGAAAAAAACTTGGACAATCATTTCTTGTATGTAGCTTGGATAATAATTTTCCATTTAATTTACAAAGGCTCTACTTTGGAGAATTATTTTGACATTTTAATGTGTGCTTCTAAAATGTTAGCACATTTTAATATTTATGTCTTTGTATGGTATGAAATATTTCTTTGTCTTTTTTTTCAGTTTGTCAAGGATGTCTGTTCTGTAAGTCAAGGGAATTTTCTGAATGAATATTCAACTGAAAATATTTAAATAGAAAAGAAGATGAGTATGCTGTGTGTGTATGTACGAGGAGATGCAGGTATGGCTATATTTTTTAAATAAGTTACAATAATTTATTGTCCATATTATTATATAAAAACCTTAACCATAGTCAACACCCCTCACTTTGAAATATGTCTATTTTGAAAGTATACATTTTTTCTTTGTATTTTTTAATATATGAATAGCATTCTATTGTTGTGATCTACCGTAATACCCTTATTTACCTAGCATCATTGTTATTATTATTCACTGGTAATTTCTTTAAGGCTAATGAAAGAAACACACATAATAAAACACAAATAATAAAAAATTCAGAATGAGAATACTGTAAAGTAAGATAAGAATCGCCTATTATGATATGTTTTCTACTGGTAAATGTATAACATATTTTCTTTAATCTAATGATGAAATATTTCAAGACACTTAAACAGAAAGCACACATCAAAAGTATGGAAAGAATTAACTTATAATAAGTTTTATCATATCAGAAAGAATTAAAACAATATTTTAGGATGCATTTTTCTAGAGTAAATTCCAAGAGTTGGTATTTCTGAATATTTGACACAGTACTTGAGAAATATTGCAGTTAAAATATTGCGAATGCCACGTAAACATTCACTCAGGCATGCACCTGTAGTCCTAGCTACTTGGGAGGCCGAGGCAGGAGGATCACTTGAGCCCAAGAGTAGAAGGTTACAGTGAGCTCTACTCCACCCTGGATGAGTTGTTCATCAGGGTTCTCTAGAGGGACAGAACTAATAGGAGATATATAAATTAAATATATTTATTATTAACTCACACGATCACACGGTCCCACAATTGGCCATTTGCAAGCTGAGGAGCAAGGAAGCCAGTCTGAGTCCCAAAGCTGAAGAACTTGGAGTTCGATGTGTGAGGGCAGGAAGCATCCAGCATGGGAGAAAGATGTAGGCTGGGAGGCTAGGCCTGTCTAGTTTTTTCATGTTCTGCCTACTTTTTATTCTGGACATGCTGGCAGCTGATTAGGTTGTGCCCACCCAGAGTAAGGGTGGGTTTGCTTTTCCCAGTCCACTGACTCAAATGTTGATCTCCTTTGGCAAAACCCTCACAGACACACCCAGAATCAGTACTTTGCATCCTTCAATCCAATCAAGTTAAAACTCAATATTAACCATCACAATGAGAGAGTGAGAACCTGTCTCAAAAATAAAATAATTCACTTATGAATGGTCCAATGGTGTATTTCTTTTCAATTAATATACATTACAGTTTAAGAAAGCAATGTGCTTCTTTACAAATCATTATTGCATTTTGATTAATGTATTATTCAGCAATAAGATGGTTGAAATGCCTGATAATAGTATGATAGTTACTATATGAAACTATTTAGGACTAATTCTTCAAGAAAGAATTTGTGAGGACATAAAACTAGGATAAGCTTGAGCAAGCAGCTTACAGAAATGGTTCTTTAAATGAGGTCAGTGTATAATTAAGTTCAATAGGTTACTTCATGTCTTCTTGAGTTAGTCAGCCAACGTGATAATTAAACACTTAGGGACTTGTTGTGACCACTTTTCCTTTGTTTGGTATCATTTATAGACTAATTAAGTATTTTGTTCATACTAAGGTTAGAACACAGAAGACTGTCTTTGTAGGTGGAGTGAATCAAGAGAATATTAAAAACTTTATTATTATAGAATGTAGAGTAGGTAATGCCTGTAGTCTTTGGCTTTGTTGACCCTTATGAAATTAAATTACTTGGTTGATAGTTAATAAAAATTGAGATGTTTTTATTTTCTGTTAGTTATATTTTAATCTGCATAAAGAAATTTGTGTTTAGCATTTGTTATCACCAATTTTAGATTTTACATTGAAAGATAACTCAGTGGTATCTTCTCTGTAGCCATATATACATGTGATCTCAGCAAAAACGGCAGACATTTCCATTTATCCAACGTTTTCTCATTCTGTTGCACTCTGTTGGATATCCTAAAAATATGTTACCAGGCTGATTTCCATGTCTTATCTTTGCACTATAATTTCCTTGTTCTTTAACTAACATATTAAAATAAAACTTCAGTGAGGCTTTAAAATTTTTCTTCATTTTAGTTTATTGCAGGAGGCAGTAAATAGGAAAGTTCCTTATACAGTCATTTGCAAATTGTAGGTGACATGGTCACAATAAAAATATTACTATATTCATCCTGCTGATACACATCAGACTAAATGTTCTTGCTGTTCTGTGTCCTGTCAGATGACACATTATCTCTCGGAATATCAATGGTCATAATGTTGCCAAACACAATGATAAAATAGCCTCAGGAAGTTGCTGTTCAGCTCTTGCATCTTTGGGGTCTAAAAACTGTCATTAGTGAATAAAGGCTGTTTATTCGTATCACATTAAAGATTACAATATTTTCAAGTTTCAAATTTTTCAAGGTTTAGTTTCAAAAGCAATATTGTCCTTCCTAAATTTATATGCAGTTTAACCTATCTTCACATTGTTGAGTATTAAATTATTCAAACCTATGAATAGTACATTTAGTTTGTGAGACTAAGCCTACACAAAAATTAATCATAAATAGTGGCAACTTGACCTAAGAAAGGACAAAATTAATAGGTCGATCAGATAAGAATGTTTTACAGATTCACTAAAGTTCATCTTTAAACTAATTATAACTTAATTACAGACAGTGACAAGATTAAACTGTCATGCAGACCATAATATGTTAGGTGAGTCTAATCAAGAAATAGAAAAGACTTTGAGGCAAAAACAATAGATAAATAATACTAGCTTTCTTAGTAAAAGCTGAATCTCAAATCAAAATGTTATTTAAATGTAAGCAGTGTGGGAAAATCTTTCAGTTATATAATTTTTATGTAGAAATAGTCTCTGGCAGAGAGATTATCTGATGTACCCCTAGGACTATCTGTAAATAAATTTTATGTTATGATATTGCAATTAAAATCACAATTATTTGTTGATATATATCTATGAGCCAAGTTACAAAGATCCACATCTTGGTATTATTGCACTTAAAGATTTATCCTTCTGGCCAGGGGTTCCCAACCTTTTTGGCACCAGAGACCAGTTTCATGGAAGACAATTTTCCCACGAATGGGGAGCAGAGGCGGGTGAGAGTTAGCAGATGGGTGGTTTGGGGATGAAACTGTCCCACTTCACATCATCAGGCATTAGATTCTCATAAGGAGCGGGCAACCTACCTGCCTTGCATGCTCAGTTCACAATAGGGTTCCTGCTCCTATGAAAATCTAATGGCTCTGCTAATCTGACAGTAGGCAGAGCTCAGCTCATTTGCCCACTGCTCATGTCCCATTGTGTGGCCCGGTTCCTAACAGGCCACGGACCGCTACTGTTTCGCAGCCTGGGGGTTGGGGACCCCTGCTTTAGGACATAGTGAATGCACTTTTTAAAACAAATGAAAATGTATTTTGCCATTTATGATTTGTTAAAGTGACATAATATTTTATCAGAAATTAGACTTAAGAGGTGGAAGAACACTTCACATTAATCTGATTAGGCAGTTTCCAAACATGGCTGGTATAAAAACATCATCTGGTCATAGTACAGATTTCTGGTGTCCATTCTAGACCTACTTGTCCAGAGGAATGGGCTGACAATTTTTTAAATATAAATAAATAATAGCATCACCTCGAAAGTCTTTTTAAAACCAATGATATATTGCCACCAAATATATCATTAGAACATTGAAAAGACAAGAAAGACTCTTACTCCAAAGGGGTAGAATCTCCACCCTTTTCTGCTAGTACCAGTTAAGGTGAAATTTATATTCTTTTAACTTTTGGCCATTTTCACATCAGGCTTTGTTATTCTTTGCCTCCATAGCCTTTCTTTCTTTACCCTCCATTTCCTGCTTCATACTGCTTTAGAATGATGCACTGAAAATATGGCTTCCATCATGCAACCTGCTTGTTCATAAAATTACAACAGCATTCTGATACCTGTAATTGGCATATATAAATCCTTAGTTTGTCATACAAGACATCTACAATTTAAAAGCTCATGTCTGTATCGTATTACTTCAAATCATTCCACAAGTCAATTTTTTTGGAGACAAATTCTGAATATGTCCACTCTTACGATTTTGATAATACTTTTCTGATTTTTTCAGAATAAAGCTTTTGTATCTTTTATCTAAATCCTATACATAATGTACTACTGTAATTAGAGTTTCTTCATGAAGTGTATCTTGCTCACCTCCTTCCAAAAGATTGTTTTTTCATCTTTGAACTTTAACAATGTTAGCTTATTCTGTTTAACCCTGTAGCTCTATAACCTGCTAGTCTGTGAAGAGGGAACTTACTGATGGATCTGCTGATGGCCTCAACACACAGTATTCTGTATCTGTCTATCAACCCCTCATGTTCATAGCTCAGCACAAACATAGGTCATGAATCAAAATTTTAAGGAGATAGAATGCCAAGATCTAGATTGCTGATTCCCTACTAATTCCACTAGGCTGAGATGATTTTCAATATGGTTTGATTTATTTTGAATTATAAAAATAAACTATAATGAATATTCTATGAGAATTAACAAATTATTTTTATACCTTACAATCCCACAACAAAAACTCTGTATCAGTTATGTCTGTTTCCTACAATCCCTTCTCTGTCAAATTATAGCTGGAGCTTTTCTCTTTCTCTCTTTCCCAAAAGCATTAAAATGTGTTTTTAACCAACTTTTCAATAAGGAAAAACGATGTATGAGGAATGACAGAGGTTTTATATATCTAAATCATCTTGTAGCACTCCTAGAATATCAGCCTATTTTAAACTCTTAAAACATGTTTTTTATATGTAATTGTATTTATTTTAGCATTTGTTGTACACTGAATAAAATATGCTACATAATTTTCTAAGTTCTTTCAAATTATTATCATAATAATGGCATTATGAGATAGGTACTGTAAATAGTCCCATTATACAAATAAATAAACTAAGGCTTAGAAAGCTTAAATAATGTGACAAAGGTTATACAGCCAGTTAGGAGAAGAACCAGGGCTTAAACCTGCAAGTTGAATCCTTCTTCATATCATCACTAACTTCCAGAATATTTGGGTCAGTATATGACTATCCAGAATGAAATCTATAGTCTCCAAACACCCTTGCAGTTTGATTTGGCTGGTCATGAAACTACATCCTTGTAATGAGATACAAGTGCAAGTGGCCTGTAGTAGCATTTAGCTGACTTTCTTAAAAGATAGCTGGTATGTGTGCTTTGCTGTTTTTTCCTTTATTTCTTCAAGCTGATGCTTGGAACAGGAATATAACAGCTGGAATTCCACATTGGGGCATAGTGATGATGAGTTCTATACCATAAGCTTGGCCTGGTACATGCAGTCTTTAACAATTGTGGGGCTGTTATATAATTCTCTCAATTGTCTACATAACCAATTTTTAATGAAAGAGAAATTAACTTCTAACTTGTTTAAGCCACTACTTTTCAGTTTGATATATATATATATCTCAATATATTTTGCCATATACATCAATATATCTATATATTGCCATCTAATTTAATGATTGAAATATATGAAGACAAAAACAGTCTCACAGAGACATGTGTTCACAAAAGAGGAAGGATTTTAATAATATTTTCAGATAATTATAGATATCTTCTCAGGTACTATTCTCAAACTCAATGCGTGGTAGTCTCTTAAACGTTATTTGCAATCAAGGAAACTAACTGAAATCATACCAATAATTGGTTTATACACCACTACCTTAATATCTATTGGTAAACCTTGAATTTTGGATACTTATTTTACCAATTTGGAAAATATCAGTTCACTGAGTAGTGCAGAACTTCCACATTTCACATATCTCAATATAACAATTTAAAAATCACATTGTTTAATTTCACAACATTCTCATCAGAAGAGATATTAGTGTTAGAGGACATCACCTTCACAATGGTGGTTCCACATTTTGCAAAATTTTAATTTTCACTTAAAAACTGAAATTTTATCATTAACAAAAATTGCTGTCAGTTTTTGTCCTTGAGGTTACATGTTAACTTTGTTCATTTTTTAAATCATACATCTGACAAATAATTTAGAGTATGAATAGCTATATTTGGTTGGTCGTTCTTTCAAGTAAAACTTTTCATTCTGTGAAAAAAGTAGATAATTCAGCTTGTAATTCAATCCATTACAAATTATTTTATGTCAGATGAACATTATATTTTAGTATTCAGCAGAACTGTTTTATGCAATCTGCCCATTTTATCACACAGAATAATAAATGATGTGTATCCAAGAACAAATATTTAATAAAATTAATACATTGTATTAACTTCATCAATAACATTCTTAAATGAGACTGACATAAAAAAAATTCTGAGTGAGTCACCCCATTATGTAAAGATTCCAAACAGAGATGAAGCATAGGACATTAAGGTGAGACTATGAGTGAACTAGAAAATAAATAAGCATTATCCAGAGATACAGATAATGACAAAGGAAATATTTGATCTTTCCTTTTCAGGTAGTTGAAACTTTTGAGGAAAAAAAATGTGTTTTTACTTTTATGAAAATAATTGCATTAAATTAGTAGATGGCTTGTTGCAATTGGTTTTAATGTGGAAGTTTATGTCTGAATAGATAGATGTGTATAATTTTTAAATAGCATGGGTTTTAAGAGGCAGTTTTATTGGTAGCTGCTATTCAATCTTCCAATTTCAGCAATTTTAACATTATTGAATTTAAGTGTTTTAACAGCACCTTCCTGGTTCCCCACTGTGCTAGACAATTTTATGTGTCAACTTGGCTGGGCCACAGGTGCCCAGATTATTTGGTCAAACACTTTCTGGGTATGTCTATGAGGGTGTTATGGGATGAGATGAACATTTGACTTGGTAGACTGAGTAAAGCGTATAGTCCTCTCAATTATGGGTAGGCCTCAACCACTCAGTTGAAAACCTAAACAGAACAAAAAGACTGACCCTCTGTCTATAAGAGGAAACGTCTGCCTGAGTGCCTGAGTTGAAATATTGGTCTTTTCCTGCTTTCACACTCAAACAGAAACATTAGCTCTCTTTGGATGTCAAGTGTGCTGGCTTTTGGATTGAAACTTATACTATCAGCTCTCCTGATTCTACAGCTTGCTGAGTACATATGTTGTATTGGGGCTGCTCAACCTCCATAAGATTTTATAATAAATCTATCATCTATCTGTCTGTCTGTCTGTCTGTCTATCTATCTATCTACCTGCCTATCCTGTTGAGTCTGTTTCTCTGACGTCATACTGCCACATTCATGGTTATGAAAGACAAATAACAAATAACCTTTTGGTAATTTCAGAATCAAGCCTAGATTCTGTTTTTTCAGCCCTTTCTGTGAATTTTGCAATTAACTGATTCCCACTAGTAAATTTTCCCTTTTAAAACAGAAAGAGAATTTATTCTTTCTCTCAACTGAAATTAGAATGATAGAAATATTAGCTATAATTGCATTGTAGTTATTTCCTCTGTGATGGTTTTTAGTTAACATATTTTTTTATGCTCCTCTAGCCCTAGTCAAATAATTGTTTGATTTGTTAATAGAATAATCACTTCTTTTTAAAAATTTATGAAACAAGCTTACAGAAAAATATAAAGATTTCATGTAAAACATGTATCTCCTACCACATTTCCATTACATTTTCACATTTTACATTTCTACATGTTTTCATATTTCTAAATAAATGAAGGTTGGAGGTAGCTGAATTTCCAGAGTACCTTTCACTAACCCTTCACCTACTTCATTCCATCACACTGACCTCTGCATTTTCAGAAGTAACTAATATTAATAATTTCATGTTGTTCTTCTTTGATATATGGGTGTATACCAAGAAGAAAAATATTGCCTTGGTTGCATATTTTCAAATTTTATATAAATATCAAAATATCATACAAATTATTGGCAACTTGATTTTTCACACAATGTCATTTCATTTAGCCTCATTGCTACATACACCTCTGATTTATTTACTCAATTTGCTGTTTAGTAGTAAATTATATGACTATCACAAATTTGTATATTTTCTTCCAAATTTGCCTAACATATGCACAGGGGTTTATCTAGTATATACAGAATTAGAATAGCCAGGTGATAGTAAATCTCAGCTATTAATTTTGATAGCTATTGTTAAAATAACAATACAAAATAGTTGTGCCAAATCAAACTTTTAGCAATAGCATATGTAAATTTCCTTTCTCCACATTTGTTCCCCAAACTTACAGATAATGTTCTAATAGATTGTATATCTTTCTTATTCATAAACAGGAATGCTTTTCATAGTCTCAATAATATTAATTTAATCTCTGCAAATACTTTATCCTAGTCTGAGACTAACTTTAAATTTTATGGTGTGTCTACTTGAACACACAGAGCTAATTTAACATAGTCTAATTTATACATCTTTACCTTCATAGGCAATATCTTTTTAAAGAAATGCTTTCATTCTTTAATCAATCAGATATTCACTCTTTTTATTTTGAACAAGATTTTTAATTCTTTCTTTTTTTAATTTGAAATTTAAACCTTTAATTTGCCAGGAATTGATTTTATGTACAGTCTTAGGGACAATTCTATTTTTCTTTCATTTTCTTACCTATTTTTCTTTCATTTTCTTTTCTATTTTTCTTTTAGATGAACGTTTAAGTATCCCACCATCATGTATTAAATATCTTATATTTGAGTTGTTTACTGTTTTTGGCTTTAATGGATAGTACTGACATGAACAGTCATGTGCATGTCTTTTTTTGTGAATCCACATTTTCAATGGGGATATATCCAGGATTACTAGGTCCAACTTGTGAGATACACTGTCAAATATTTTTATAGGGTGGTTATAACCATTTACCATTCTCCCAATGTTTCTGTACAAGATTCCAGTTTCTCTCTTCATTGGTTTTTAATGTAAATAACAAGCCAATTTATGATTGTCATTAATACTGATTTATAATAAACCCTTTTTTATTTTTAAAAATATTTTCTATTCTTTAAACCTCCAACTTAGCTTTTAGAATGTGTCTGGTCTTTTAATGTAGAAATTCATATAAGCTGCACTTCATGGCAGTTTTTATATTTGCTCCTTATTTCCAGTTTTTGCTTCTTCTCAATCTATTTCATCTGTTCCTTCAAATAAGAAGTTTAATATAAATGGTGACAGAGATAATTTTTGACTTACTCAGGATTTCAATGTGAATACTTCTAAAAACTCATATTTTAAATAATATTAAATCATAAGCCACCCGAAGATATCCATTATTGAGTTAAGAACATTTCCTTTTATTGCTAACTGGCTAAGAAATTGTTTTTGTTGAGAATAGAGCTTAAATGTTATAAAATTCTTTCTCTGCATCTACTGAAGTGAACATGTGTTTTACCTTCTTCAATCTGGTAAGATATATTTTATTAATAATTTTTTTGATATTAAGATATCCTTGCTTTTTAAAGATGAACCACTTTATGAAAATGCTGTTTCCCCTATACTGAATTTGATATATTTATTTGTGATGAATTTGCATCAATCTCTGTAAGTGAAGTCAGTTTAATTTTTTCTTGAATTGTTCTTGGCCAGTTTTTACTAGACCTATAATACTAGTTAAGTACCATTTCCTTTATTTTTGTTCAATAAAATGCTTCCTGCTTGTTAATAATAGAGATATGTTTCATAAAGTTCAGCACTCAACAGTTTATCTTTTGGGACTACTATCTATTTTGGCAAAAGGTAGGGCAAACAGTAATTTTGATATTAACTCAACTTTGTCAATTTTATTTTTAACTTTACAGTGTTATTTTTACATATATTTACTCAAAATGACACATTGTATCTAAATTTCTTGGAAATTTTTTCCACAGCCTCTATTTATAGTGTTTAAAATCTCTTCTCTGCTGTATTTATGGCAGTATCACAATTTTTCTTAACAAATCTTTTACTACGTCTTTTATCTCTTTTCGTTTATGTTTCCGGAGATTTGCCTATTAATTATGCTTTTGTAAGGAACATATTTTCATAATCTTGGTTCTATTTATTTGACATCCATTCTGTTAATATTTGCTCTTATTATTTTCTGCTTAAGTTCCCACAGATTTGCTTTTCTGTTTTTTTGTTTGTTTGTTTTTAGCCCGGCATTTTTAGGCCAGTATTTCAGTCCTTTACGTAAAGTAGTAATTGGGCCTAGAGCAGTGGCTCACTCCGGTAATCCCAGCACTTTGGAAGGCTGAGGTAGGCCGATTGCTTGAGCCCAGGAGATCGAGACCAGCCTGGCCAACATGGCAAAACCCCATCTCTACTAAAGATACAAAAATTAGCCTGGAGTGGTGGCATGTGATACCAGCTACTCGGGAGGCTGAGGCGCCAAGACTTCTTTCAACCTGGGGGGCAGAGGTTGCAGTGAGCCAAGATAGCACTATTGAACTCCAGCCTGGGTAAAAGTTTAGGCTTTGGAATAAGAACTGGATTTAAATTTCCGCGCTACCTATCTAGTAACTGCATGACTGTAAGGATGAAATTTAACCTCCTTAAACTTGTTTTCTTACTTGCAATAGAAGGGAGATAACTGCTTTCCCATGGGCCATTGTGAAGATTAAATGAGACAGTTTATGTAAACAGATTCACAAAGAGCAGGCATATAGTAAATGCTCTTAAATGGTAGCGCTTGTCATTCATCTCGCTACTAAATGAAACAATAATTCTGTTCATGTTCATGTTGAAAATGTTCATAATATTTAGAGACATTCACACAATCCTACGGGTTGTGTGTCTTTTTTTATTATTCAGAAATATAAATCTAGTACATTCAGAAGAGATTCACAATGATGTGAAAACATATCATTCCAGTTTATCTTATTTAAAAGTTAAAGTTTATCGTGTTTAAGTTGACTGAGACTTGAATGCTTGGAACCAAGTCTTAAAATACATTTTTCCAGGATAAAAACAAACCAGTTGTTGAGTCTATTTACTTCTTTTGCAAATTTTGAATATTCATTTTTTTGTTTTAAAATAAACTAATATGTTCTTATAGGCATTCTGAGATGCATCCCTCTTTCAATTTCTTAATGTCAAGATTATATAAGTAATAGAGAACTATTTTGAATTTGTTACTTGGTAATGACTAGATTATTAAATGACTAGCTTATTAACTTATTAAATTTGAGAGTATAATAATATGGGCATTAGTATGAAAAAGATTTTTAAAAAATTGTTAAGGTTGTAAAGTTTATGAAGAGGTTGTGAAATAAAATAAAATATTGTAGAAAGCTTCAAAAGAAAAGATATTTAGAATGGATCCAACAAGAGATAGAATAATACTGTAAATTATTTTCAGTAATTCTTTATGCTATTTTAAAATTATAACTCCATCTGTTCTAATTTCAGTTGCTTTCCTATAAATACATCAGTTTCAAAAAGTAACAATCTTCAAATAAACTCTGGCACTTTAGTTATATAATTAAACCTGTGAGTAATTGTTGCTACTAAATTATAAATAAGATTTTACGTTTACATTTCTACCAAAGACAGGGTGAACCATAGGCCCTTTAAAAATCACTGCTCAGAAAAGCCTTCAGAAAACGGCAATATTTTCTAAAATTTCAAGATACGATCCCTGATCTCCTCTTTAGGTATATGCTGGATAAATATACATTATATGCATGTATGTGTATATGTATGTGTGTGTGTGTGTATATACATATATATATACACCCACATATACACATGCATCTATAATCTACTTGTTGTAACTAAAATAATTTTTATATTTTTTATCTCAAGTCATATTTCACTGGGGATAATAACCTTATTTTGTGAATCTCACCAATTTATGATTATGTCTTCCCAGAAATCATTTCTTTGACCTATTAAATTTTACAACATAAAATGGCAAAAATCAATATATCTAAACCTCAATGTGATCTCCTAATAGACTAATTCAAGTTGAATTAATCTAGGAAATAATGCCCATGAACTATTTATTTAAACAAAGCCTTAAAAGATTATTTTATGGTAACTTTTCTTACTAAGCCTCATGCAATTATTGCTATTTATCAAAACTCAATTAAAATTGGAAATGTTGTTTAAAAAGCTGGAATTCATTATATTGAATTGTTGCTCAATGATATTAGAACTGGAGCATTTCAGTGTTCCAGAAGCACAGTTTAAACTTTAAACACAAAAATGTGATTACTTATTAAAGCAGAATTTTTTACAACTCTTTGAATATCTACCCTTAGTATATACTTCAATATTCTATTAGAACATAGGTATCTATTTTTACTTGTCCTAGATTTTCTTATATTAAGTACTGCTCTAGTCTGAGTTATGTAACATTGCAGGGTATAGCCTGTATTATGTTGTTTTTGTAATGCTAAAAATGTTATGTTTTAAATATTTCATAATGTATATTGATTTTCTTTTTGATATTAAGCTTCAGCTATCTAGTACTCTTGGTGTTACATATATTAAGCTAGCTCCCTTCTCTACAGTCAACTACATATATAAAGGTCATTCAGTTTATTTATACAGTATTCAGATATGTCAGTGGAAATTTATCTAGAGTTATCTGTTTAGCTGTCAAAGCAATAATGTTATATCATTAATCTCTGCATTACTTACACGTTAAAACTGTGTAACTTTCTAAGTTGCAGTTTCAGACGATTATATATGCAATGAATCACAGTTTAGTGCATGCCATTCTTTTTTTTTTCTGTTTTTAGTTCCCTTGAAAAGCTAGACAACTGCATTCTTACTCTGTAAACCCTCACATAATTAAAACTAAGTGAGCGAATTAGGCTTAATATTTGAAAACCCATTTGTAACTCTTTGTGACAGGCTGTAACTACAGGGATTTGGAACATCCATATTCTTTATTTCATAACCCTTAGAATTGTATTTATTTCAAAATAATTTCCATTCTTAGCCCCAGCTCTTTACTGCAACATTCTGGTAGACATGTGCAGAATGCAAGGAGGGAATTAATAAGAAATTATTGCAATAATTCTGGAAGAAAGCAATATATTTATTATTTTTCATTCACTCATTTGACAATAATTGAGTTCCTAATATATTCCAGACAAAATTCTAGGATCTGAGGATTTAGAAGTGGGAAAAGTGTACGTGATGTTTTTCCTGAAGCACAGTGGATGCTTAATAAATATTGGTTCTCCTCACCCTCATATCCTTCCTATCCATTATCATATCTCTCTGCACAGCAATTTTTGTGATTTTATTCATCACTGAGGAGAATTTCGATAGACTTGGGAATACTATCTACAGTTTTATAGTATGTAAAACTTAGGTAGGTCTGGTTTCCAGTTGCTTTTTCTAGTTTATATTCTGCATAACTTTTGTCATGGATTTTTCTTAATATAGGGTGTTGGTCTATGTAGATAGTTACCTAGGCACTCAGAATTCCTCCAGAAGTTAGGTTGGGGACCTGATCCATGTGTCTTAATGAAGAAAAGTAGAAGGAGACAAAAAAGAGAAAAGTCCTTAGTCAAATACAGTTAAATCCCTTTTCCGGTTTTATCAGTTCAGTAATTTCTTTCTTCTCCTTTGCACATGAGTAAGTAAAAGGTTGACAAAATGGATAAAAATGCTCCTTTCATAACTTTCCCTCTTTAGAGTACAGCAAAATGTCCTCTAACCTCTAAAAACCTGAGAAATGAAACTTAAGGTTTTTTTCCCTATTAAATGGTTTACTCAGATGAAATCACGGTAACCTTTCGATGTTGAATATCTCCATGTTCTTTCAAACATTGTTTGTAGCTACATATTTATTTAACGTATGTTCAAGTTTTGAATATAGAATTGTGAATTTATTCTCATGCTTCAGATAATTATCAATTTAAATAAAATCTCAGATTATAGTGAGTAATACTCTTGCATACTTGAAATTTGCTAAGAGTAGATCTCATCACATGTCCAAAAAATTGTAACAATGGAAAGTGATGTGGGTATGTTAACTCACTTGATCTTGATAATCATTTTACATTGCATATGCAATCAAATCATCATATGGTACACTTGAAGTATACAAAATTTATGTCAATTATATTTCCATAAAGCTGAAAAATAGTCTCAGCACTGTGCTTTCATTAACTATATCTATTCTCTTACCAAGAGGATGCCAGATATTCTTATGACACTTTTATAAGAAAAATAATAGAAAGTTTAAAAAATGTTTAAATTAATAAATGGTTTTTCAGATTTTATATATGTCCTTTAAAAATAATTTTGCACATATACAAGGGTATAATCTGAATAGATATAACATATTATATGAACACTGCGAATAGCAATTGGTTATCTAACATATAGTGCTAAGCAGGTTTAGGAAATACAAATGCAAACATTTAAGTTTAAGTATAAATTTAAGCATTATTGGGATCAGTGAACCATCTTGAATGAGATATATATATTTTTGGTTGTTATTGATGTGTATATTTAGAGATATACACATATTTAAAGATATATTTGCAAATATTTTTCTATAAACTTTCCTGTGAAGAAAAACTTGGCATTTCCTTCCTGGATAAAATAATATACTTTATTAAATTAAAAAAATAAGTAAGCATCAAAATAAAAACCAGATAAGTACAACATTTGCCTGTATAATCTTCAGTATTTTGACTTTCAAGTAACAAAAATATATAAAAACTTATTATACCCTGAACATCCTAAACAGTAGGCTTACCTGATCTACTAGTTCACAGCTGCGTTTCAACATGTCATTCTAACTATAAATGTGATTTGCTTACATGTCTTCCTATACTTGGTGGACTTTTGAATAAATCAAAGATCCTTTATCAAAGTAAAGAGGAATCATTTTTATATGTCTTGAGTTTAAGGGAACTCCTCGCAAATACTCATAAAATGTTTTTATGTGTGTAAAATATTTTTATGAGTGTTTTATGTTATGTAAAAGTCCTGGGAAGCTATATTTGCATTTGAAAAGATGAAGAGTATTTGGTTTTAAAATATTTCCCAAAGGAAAGAAGACCATGTTTTAAAAATATGTGTGTGGTCATCAGCTTTTTTATATACTCAAATGAAACAGTAAAGGCAAATGTGGGACATACACATTTATACCCTTTTTGAAGTGTCCTTGACAGAGGCCACTGAACAATCTTGACTTAATTCTTGGAAGTGCTCTCAATATGCTGTTCCAGACAATATTCAGATTGACAATAATTAGCTCTCCCCTGGTCTCAGAACCCTGTATTCTTCATGGCTAACCAACAGTGGTGGTCTCTTTTACTTGTGTCACTATAGGGTTTTTGAGGTCTCAGAAGAACTTAATGCTCATGACAGCCAAACATAAGTTAGTCCCTCCCTTGGGTTGAAGCAAACTGCTATAGTAGCAGTGATTGGCTAACAAAGCATAATAATAGGGCAGGTGATATAGCAAAAACATAGATTTTTGGAATCAGAAATTAGTTTCTCAATAGTGTTATCTTCTGCTAGCATCCATGAGACTTTGGCCAACTTGTCATTTCCCAATAGTAATATTAAGAAAACAATGGTGAAACCCTATCTCTACTAAAAATACAAAAAAATTAGCCATGAATGGTGGCTCATGCCTGTAGTCTGAGCTACTTGGGAGGCTGAGGCGGGAGAATCGCTTGAACCTGAGAGGTGGAGGTTGCAGTGAGTCAAGATTGCGCCACTGCACTCCAGCCCAGGTGACAAATCGAGAATCCATCTTCAAAAAAAAAAAAGGATTTTTTTTTAAAAAAAGGAAAGAAAACTATGGGTCAATATGGCTGATAAACATTAATGCAAAATTCTTCAATAAAATATTTGCAAACTGAATTCAACAACATATCAAGAAGATTATACATCATGATCTAGTGGGATTGATCCCTGGCATGCAAGTCTGTTTTCACATATGCAAATCAATTAAAGTGATATATCACGTTAATAGAATGAGAGATGAAAACCATATGATTATCTCAGTTGATGCAGAAGAAACATTTGACAAGGTTCGGCATACTTTCTTGTTAAAAAATACTTTTAGTGGTTTAAGTATGGAAGGAAAATTTCTCAACATAATTAGAGCCATTTATGAAAATGATACAGCTAACATTATAATTGATGAGAAACAACTAAAACTTTCCTACTAAGGTCTGGTACAAGGCAAGGATGCCCACTCTCGCTATTTATATTCAACATAGTACTGAAGGTACTAGCAAGAGCAATCATAAAACAAAAAAATAAGTAAAATAAAATAAAAAGCATCCAAATTGGAAAGGAAGAAGTAAAATTATCTTTATTACAGATAGCATACTCCTAAATGTAGAAAACCTCAAAGATTCTATTAAAAATATTTAGCACTAATAAATGGCTTCAGTAAAGTTGCAGAATACAAAATCAACATACGCAAATCTATAGTATTTTTATACAAAAATAACAACAAGTCTGAAAAAGCAATTAAGGGAATGATCCCATTAGTGATAGTATCAAAAAGTAAAGTAGGAATGAATTTAACCAAGGAGGTGAAAGATTTGTACACTGGAAACTATAAAGCAATGATGAAAGGAATTGAAGAAGACACAAAAATTGAATGATATTCCTTGTTCGTAGACCGGTAAAATAAATATTGTTAAAATGTCCATACTAAGCAAAGTAATATGTAGATTTAATGCAATCCCTATCAAAATTCCAATGGTATTCTTCACAGAAGTAGGAAAAACAATGCAGAAATTTGTACGGAACCACTAAAAATCCTGAATAGCAATAGCAATACTGAGAAAGAAAAAGAAAGCTGGAGGCATCACAATTCCCGATTTAAAATTATATGCAAGGTTTCAGTAATCAAAATACTATCATACTGGCTTAAAAACAAAAACACAAACCAATGGAACAAAATAGAGATTGCAGAAATAAATCCAAGCATATATTATCAGCTAATCTTCCACCAGGTCATCAAGAAGACACATGGGGAGAGACACTTCAATAAATGGTGCTGGGAAAACTGGATTTCCACATGCAAAAAAATTAAACTGACCCTTATCTTATACAATACACAAAAATAAACTCAAAATAGATAAAAGATGTAAGACTTTAAACCATAAAATTCCTGGGAGAGAACACAGGGGGAAAGCTCCTTCACATTGGCCTTGGCAAAGATTTTTCTTTTTTAATTTCACAGCAAAACCCTAGGCTACAAAAGCAAAAATAAATAAATGATTCCACATGAGACTTAAAAACTTCTGGACAGCGAAGGAAATGATCAACAAATGATAGGGCAAACTATAGACTGGAAAAATTATAAACTACATATCTGATATAGGGTTAATACCTAAAAGTTATAAAGAACTCATACCACTCAATAGCAGAAAACAACATGATTAAAAAATGAGCAAAGGATCTGAATGGACACTTCTTCAATGAAAAATATAATAATTGCCAGATAATATATGAAAAGGTTCTCAACATCATTAATCGGCAGGAAAATACAAATTAAAACTACTATAAGACATCATTTCACACTTATTATGACTTTTATCTAACAGATAAGAGATAAATATTGGTGAGGTTATGGAGAAAAGAGAACCTTAGCACACTGTTGGTGGGAATGCAGATAGGTACATCTATAATATAAAACAGTATGTCAGTTCCTTAACAAATTAAAAATAGAATTACCACACATCCCAGCAATTCCTCTTCTAGGTATATACCCAAAGGAAGTGAAATCACCACCACCTTCTAAAAATATTTTCATTGCAGCATTATTCACAATAGCCAAACATGGAAACAACCTAAGTGTCTATGGACAGACAAATGAATAAAGAAACTGTGAGATATAGATACATAGAGATATATGACGGAATATTATTCAGTCATTAAAAGAATAAAATCCTGCCATTTGCCACAACATAGATGAACCTGTAGGACATTACACTAAGTGAAACAAACCACAGAAAGAAAAATATTGCATTTTCTCACTTATTTGTGGAATCCAAAACAAAGTAAATTAAACAAAGATGAAAAATAAAACCATGCTTACTATGGGCTAGAGGTGGAGAAGAAAATGGGAAGATGTAAGACAAAGGATAAAAGTGGAAAATGTAGGATGAACAAGTCTATATATCTCATGTACAACATGCGGACTATAGTTAATAACATTGGTCTGTATTAGGGATTTTTGTTAAATAAGTAGACTTGAGCTACTCTTGTCACAGAAAGGAAATATGTGAGTGAGATGATCTGCTTCACTATAGTAACCATTTTAATATCTATACGTATCCCATAACACCGTGTGGTAAAATTTCAAATCTATACAATGAAATTTATTTTTTTAAAGTAAATTTTCTGGAAAAATTTCAAGAAATTCTTTGCAGAATTTTCCCTCTTTAAAATCCGAATTTTGTTCCCCTCAAAAAGAGCTAGTACTTTTAATATTTATTATATGCTAAGGAGCTAATATAAATTAGCTTAATCAATCTTCAAAATAGTTCCAGTAAGTAGGAACTTTTATTTTGTACAATTGCAAATATGAAATTAAATTTTTAAAGATACCAAATCCATTGTTATTAAAAGTTAAGAAGAGACTTGAATCAATGCTGTTGTCTCTAAAACCCACACACTTAATGATATTTTACCTTCTTCCATTTTCAACTGTGTAACTCTAAAAGTATGTAATTGTTTAATCATCTAATATGATTAATACTAATCATATTAACTGATCATATCATAATATGATCTAATACTATACTGTATTACAAGCATTATGAAAGAAGAGCACATTTGTTTCTTGTTCACAAATATAATCCCAATACCCAAAACACTGTCTGCCAAATACTTGAATTTACATGAATATTGAATAACTTGGTCTTTGAAAGATTAAACATGTAAGAGCTTCTCAATGATTCCAGATAATATTACAAAAACCATGGGTTCACAATTCACCAAATACTTGATGATATGTGTTCACCGAATTATTTATTTTTCAAATTCTGTTTTATTAATTAATCAAAATATATAGTATATTATAATTGTGTGATTTATTTAAAATTGATTATGACTCCATAATTTCAATGCCTGTATTTTTACCTCTATTAATAATTGCAGATTGTATCATGTTTATTATGTGAGCCTATGAAGAAAAGGGCAGAGCAAAATTAAATTATATAAATTTAACATTTGTTCAAAGTGAAAACTAAATGTGTAAGTGCTTATGCTGCAAAAGGAATTTTCACGTTAATTGTAGTAGAGAAAAATGATTTAGTATTGAGTTACCATAAGGATCTCATAAGTTACATACTTTTAATTCAAAACATTTGGTATCACATTTGTTCCTATCAAATTCGTATTTAATGTACTCATTAGTCAGGCAAGCAACCTCAGTGGTAACATTAAAAAAGTGTAGTTAATTTTACTTGTATTAGTTTCTTAGACTGATTTACAATTTATTATTAAACTACTGTCTTTCTATAATATGTAAAGATATAAACAAAATGAGTTAAAATAACTTTATTCAGTAAATATTTTCCAAGGAGTCTGTCTATTGTAGGGGTTCAGTCAGGATGGTGGGAAAAACTGTAAAATAAATACAAACTTTCTTGGAAGGCCAGAAGGTTTTTGCAAAAGCCTCAGGATTGAGTTATGGCTGAAGGCAGCCTAATCCTCTTTGAGCTATACCAAGGGTAATTAACTTAAGAATGTAGAGGAGTCTATCTAAATAGCTTGTTTACTCATGTGATACTAAGACTAACCTTTGACCATCTTCAGGTGCATGATTACTCTCTACTCGGTGGGGGGGGGGGGTGGCCAGCAATGGTAATTACCTTCTAATCGTGTTTTCTTGAGACTTTTGTCATTTAATGCATGCTGAATAAATGCCAGGAGGGCCAACAAATCTAGGCCATGGCTGCTGACTCTTTACAGCACCTTCCTTGGTGTCTGTGAGAGGTCCGAACACTCAGCTGCACTGACAAGCAGAATATCTGTGTCAGTGTACGTTATTCATCCATCATTGGGTCAGGGTCTGCAGGATGAACCCCCACAATCCGTAACTTTTTAAGAAACACTTATCTAAAATGCAATAATTTGGAAGTCAAATGATGTATTTGCCAAAGAAAATTGACTTTTCACTTCAGACTTTCCCACCTTCCTCCTTTCAACCTCTAGAATCACCCAGGGCTCTTGGATTATAATGGCAGTCTGAGCCTTTGGAGCCAGGAAAAGGAGCCCCATGACACATCAGTCCTGCTTGAGCATTTGTGACGCTGGCTGTGGACCTGGTGACTGTGCCTCCAGGGACAGTCTACATGTCAGTTGTCCGCAACACAGGTTGGACAGGGTCAAGGTAGCTTCCTTTTGCTTCCTGGGAAATCCTTCTTAATGTGCCCTGGTTTGCCATAGTTGTGGCAATTAGCAGGTGCACCTCAGGAATCCTGGGTTTCATAGGCCTGCAGAGTGGCCACTACAGCCTCTGCCTTTTTCTTGTGCTTCCTCTCTTTCTCCTGAGCCTCCTCCTGATTGCTATTGTAAAAGGCTGAGGTGGCCACCTTCAGGTTTTCCAAAGTGCTATCTGGTCCTGTGGCCTGTTTTTGCAACTTCCTCCACATATCAGGGGCTGCCTGAGTAATAAACTTGTCTTTCAAAATTAGTCATCCTTCAATTGAATCAAGAGCCAGGGCAGTGTGTTTTACCAAGGCTTCTTTCAGTCTTTTCAAAAAGGCTGAGTAATTTTTATCTGATTTCTTCACCCATGAATCCAGAGGAGCTAGTTGGCAGGAGTAATCATGCTCACTTGTGCTGTACTCTAGTCCTCTCCTGCTGACTGCCTCTGCGTCTCCCAGATCTAATTGTCCTTTTGGGTTTCCAAACTGGAGCTTGGAAGATGCTTTGAAGCAACTGAACTTGGGTGAGAACTTTTAATGGTGGGGGGTTCCTCAGTCAATCTCTTAACTGATGTGGGAGTTCAGTCAGGCTGGTGGGAAAAATTTTAAAGATAGTTATATGAAATAGGCACAAACCTTCTTGGAAGGCCAGGGGGTTTGCATAAGCTCCAGTAATAGATCTGGCTGAATGCAGCCTGATCTTTACCTTGAGTAGATAAATTAGGTATAAAGGGATGTAAGGGAGTTTATCTAAATAGCTTGTTTACTCATGCGGTCCTAAGACCAACCTTTGATTACCTGCGGGTATATAATTGCTCTCTACTCGGGAGGTCGGCAATGTCAATTACCCTCTGGTGGTGTTTACTCAAGACCTTTGTTATTTAATCTATACTGAATAAATGCGAGCTTCGCTGGCTGATTGGGGTCACAGCTGCGACTCCTTACAGCACCCTTCTTGGTGTCTGTGAGTGGCCCAGACCCTCAGCCAAACCAAAAGACAAAATATCTGTGTCAGTGTACATTATTCATCCATCGTTGGGTCAGGGTCTGTGGGACAGATCCCTGCATTAACTCACTCCTTCATAGGCAGATAATGTCTTGAGTCAAACCATGGCACCCAAGAAAATGAGAATGGTTAACTTCCAAACATATTTCCATCTTTCTATCTAAATATTACCCTAACTGGATGCAGAATAAGTGTCTTTGAAAAATGTGAGGGTATGATTGACCCCTTCCCCGCAGTGGTGATCACATGAGAGTTAACAGCCATCTGGGTAGGGTTTTTTTTTTTTTTTTGTGGCTTCCTCATCATACACTCAATTTTCTTATTTACAGATGGGGCAGGCGATTTGGTCCTTATTAGGCTGCCTCAGGAGAATAAGTGGCCAGAGAACTAAAGCCCCTGGGTAGAGGGTTGATAAGGCCCCCTATGGAAAAATTCCAATTTTATTGAGTGGCTTGACAGAGTTTGGAATGTTAATCTGTAACTCTGCCCAGATACTTTTCAGGCAAAAGTTTGCAAGAGAAGTCTGGGGCTTGACAGGCTGCTCCCACAGCAAGACTCCCAGGAGGAGAAAATTAACTTGCCTCATTGGAGGGTTGTACAAATTCACTGCAAAGTGCTGAGTTCTTACATAGAAAAAGAAACAGTTTAAATGGAGAGGAGGATAGTCACTCAGGGAGAAATAACCTCCAGTGCAATGCCATTGGGTGCTGTCATTAGGGGATAAGGAGACATTCAGGTCTAGATCTTGAAATCCTCTTTTCTCTAGGAAATCACAAAACAAAAACCCTTTGAGTTGCATTCCTGATTGCTAAGGCACTTGCTTATTTTATCCAAGAAAATTGTATCTCTGGGTTGCAAAAACACCCACAACATTGTATACCTAGAATAGATAGGAGCCATACAGCTGCAAAAGAAAGAAGAAAAATGCAATAGGAAAAGACCAGAAGTTCTCTTGCTAACACCCTAACAGGCTGTCAGGGACTGAAGTTAGTCCAGGGGTCTTTGGGTAACCGAAGTGTAGCGTCAAGCAGATACCCTCAGTTGCTTCAGGACCACCTTCCAATCCTACACGGCACCTAGACTTCCATGAAAAGAAACCAGATTGGCACAGAGTCAACATTCCCAACACCCAAGGGCAATGGGGGATTGACAAAGTCTTCCCTAGCAAGCCAGTCCTCTGAGTCTTAAGTCTGGAAGCCACACTAGTCACTCTTAGCTGGCCAACAGAAGCCCAGTGTTTTATTTGATCTTGAGAAAATTACTGAGGACAAGTAGCCTCAGAAATGAAAATAATGAGTGAGAGGTCTGCTCCTACTCACCCTTCTGATGATCCTGGATAAGCTCCCAAAATGTTGCAGCCTGCTTAGGCCACAGTTCAGCTAGGTCTGAGTTCTTGTCCCATGACCAAGAAGAATAAGGCATGAGGACACCAGAGAGTGAGTAGAGTAGGATTTATTAAGCAAAAGGAAAGTTCTCAGCAATGAGAGGAGACCTAAACGCAGGTTGTCAGAAATGGGACTGAGTACTGGGTCTTTTAGGTGGCAAAGACAAGAAAGTCTGTGGGTTCTGCCCAAATGGGAGGAGTAAATTTCTCTCTTATTAGTGCCTCATGTTGCATCTGTGCATGCCTGGGTTTGGCCAGAGTGACTCCATCTTGGTAATTATCCATGAGTGCCTAAGTGAAACCTATGGAGGGGCTAAAACCACAGTGCTAATATCATATTGATGTATTGTGCCTGCACCTAAGTTGGAACAGTCCCTTCTGAGCAACCTTTTAACATAAGGGTGAGTTCTTAACCACATTTCTTTCTGCTAGCTCTAGGGGTGGTGCAGGGACAGCAGTTGCTATCCCATGGGTATTTTTCCACTCCCGAGACCCTCTCTCTCCATCTGCCTAAACAGCCTCTAACTGCCTCCTCTCTCACTGGGATTACAGGTGTGAGCTATTGTGCTCAGCCTGATCTAAGTATTACTAACCTTCATCTATCTGCCTACAAACATTCTGGCAAACATGCTGCTTTTACAGATCTGTGTTCCAGATAGGACATTTCTTAATTTAGTTTAATAAAATACTTAGTCAAAAATATTTTACTGTCTTTATATTTGAATCTCAAAGCTATGGTACAAATCTTTAAGATTATGAGATTTCTGCTTTTGATTATAAATCTTGTATTTTCCATGTATTAAATAATTCTGTAAGAAAGTTAGTTGTATTCCCATATCATGTATGAAGAACTGAGCTTCCCAGGAGTCCTTAATCCTAGGCCACTTATAGAGTAAGCAGCATGGCTAGGATAAAACCCCAAGCTTTCTAAATCCAGAGATATTTTTCCTCCAAAAAACACGTCTTTTCATTATCATTGCTTAATTATTCACTGACTGTGTGTGTTTTAATAAAAACTTTTACAAATGTTATGAAATTGGGTGTATTCACTTTCTATCACTGCCATAGCAAATGACCACAAACTTAGTTTGGTAAAACAACACAAATTTATTACATTATACCCCAGTAGGTCAAAAGTCTGAAATGATTATTTTGGGTCTTACTGGCATGAAATCAAGGTGTCAGCAGGGCTGCATTTGTTTCTGGAGGCCCTAAAAGAGAAACAGATTCTCTTTTCTTTACTTATCTAAATTCTAGAGGCCTCCTGCATGTCTTAGCTCATGCCCTCTTTCTCTACCTTCATAACTAGTAGCATAGGATCTTCAAATCCCCTGATAACATCCTGGAAAGGTCTTCTAATTTCAGTAATATGTAAGTAGACTAGAGCCATGGAAAACACAGGATAATTTTAAGGTCCTCAGCCTTAATCACATCTGCAAAGTCCCTTTGCCACATAAACTAACATACTCGCAAGTTTTAAAATTGGGATATGGGCATCAGTAGAGATCATTATTCTGCCTATCACAAAAAAATAGCACATTACATGTTTTCCTCATTATTATTTCATTAATATTATGAAATATAAGTAAATCATTAAATAAGTTAATAGAGTATACATGTGTTATCTTGAGACCAAAGAAAGTCATACGAAGCAATCTCTGCTTAGTAGAAACAAGTCTGTAGTCTTAATATTTAAACATATTTTCCTCTAAATAAGCATCCTTATGCACAACATATCATGATAACCACAAAAAGAATTGAGTCTCATCTGTTAATCAGTTTTATATGTGTTTCTCTGTGTGCATCTAGGTATATGTGTTTCTTTCGACACATATCATATATTTTTACATGAACAAAAGGTTAAACAATGATAATCATTCTACCTATTTAAACTAAATGCAGGGATTTTTACTTGTCTTTGTTACTTTTATAAAATATGTATTTTAAAAATAGGTTTTACAAAATTTTCTTATCTGCTTGTAGGAAATGAGATACACAGAAAGCTACCACAGAGTAGGAGAAATTAATTGATTATTAAGACAAAATGCAAATTAAAACTTTGGACATAAGGCAATTTTTAATTTTCTCTTGTCTAAAATCTCACAGTAATTTATTTTTCCTTTTTTAGCACAGATTAAATCATTACAAACTCATTGAGACATTAGAAATGAGCAGGTTTAGTCAATTTGCTAATAGTCAGAGCTACATTTACAGTAACATTAAAATGATGATGTGGGAAGTTTGATTTTGGGATCATTACAAATGACCTTAGCATCGCCCACATTCTGCTTTTCATTTGGCTACATTTGCTGCCCGTAAGCAACTATTAGTGTTTAATTCCTTTCAAAAAGGATTTGGTGATTTTTGAACAGATGTACTTTGCACAGAGACAGTATTTTTATGTTGTTCTTAATCCTATATGCCTAAAAGAAAATGTAGGATTTGAAAGAAGTAATCTGAGGTAGGTTCTGGACACAATGGTAGACAGAGGAATGTTTTGGACAAGCATAACCTTGACCCATTTTTATTCATTTATTCAATCAATAGTGAGTAAACATAGAATATTGGGATAGAATTCAAAATTTAGCATAACAACAGTTGCTATGCACCATGTTTACCTGCAAGAGTTATGTATGTTTTAAACTGGGTTTAAAACATTTAACAAGATAAACACTGTCTGCCCTCACAGATCTCATGGACTAATATTAAAAGATGTATAGGCTATTATGTCACCATATTGTATATCTAATAAGTACTTTGTGGGATTTTTCCCTCCTTTTTCTTCTTTTGGGGGTATTGAAACAGTTATTTTCATGTAAGCAAAGCTGTCCATTTAACTTCTACTGTTTTAAGGTCAAAGTAATAAGATTATCATCTTTGTGAATGGCAGTAGAGATAACATTGTTCCTTAATACATCAGGCTCCCATTAAGAGAATTTGTTCTTGGAATTGAATATGTGACATGGTATTAAACAAAAACTAGGACACCTGAATTTTTAGGGTATGGTGGTGCTAAAGGTTCTGAAGAAAGTTATTGATCTTCTTTGGCCTCCATAATTCAACTTTTATGAAGTAAGGTATAATAATAGTGTTACGTGCTACCAAGTTTTAAAAATAAATAGAAAACATTCAGGAAAATAATGCTTTAATTATATATGAAAGTAGATTTCACACCAGCACGTTTTGAGAAAAAAATGTTGCATATGACAGAGATCAACAACTAGATAGCAAGAAAATCAAAATGAAGCCATGTAAACATGATCTTATCATGTTGATCCTGTTTATAGCACAAGTAGAAAACTGTAATTCGTTCTTTATTGTTATCAGTCTATCTATCTTGATCATATACATGCAAATGTTTTATTCTAGCTTCTCCTTTACAGGTAGAATGATGACTTGTTAATATTTATGTTATCTGTTTTTAACACAGTGTTTGATATGTGGTAGTCATTGGCATATTTTGATAAAGTGAACTACCGCCCTGCCTCATAGCTTGTTTGCCATTCCACACATGACAATACATATTCACCATTTCCTATGATCCTTCTCACATCTATAATGGTAGTTGATGCTATTTTGTTGGTATGGAATGCCTCTAATTCCTTTTCCTATCCGGGTACTTCTTCATCTGGTTTAATGCTTCCACATACTTCAATACACTACTCAAATCTTGCTTTCCATCAAAAGGAAGATCTTTTTCAATTCTCAACCCCATTATGTTCCCAAGGCATCTTCACAGAGTTTTTAGTATTACAATTATGTTACTGTATGCGAGTTATTATTTAGTTTGACTTTCTCTCCACTGATCACAGTACCTGCAAGACATCTTTCTTTATGTGAATTGGGTAATCAATTATCAGCCATAACTTGCCATAACTGGTTATCACTATGAGCAACTATTTTTTTATCTCTGGACTTCAATTTCCTCACTTATATAATATTAATGTTGGAATAGTTAATAGTCACAGTATTCTTAACATGTTAAAAATTTACAGTAATAGTCTCCAATGATAATAAAAAGCAAAAAATTCTGATTAAAAAAACCCTGAATATGGAGATCTGTAGTACTCTCTAGTTTTTCCAAGAAGAAAAAAAAATTCAAACTCATCAACAACAAATAACATTTATATATCTATATATGTGTATCTATTTATCTATCTATATATGTTTACAGATGCGTGTACATTATATATATATATATAATCCTTTTAGAAATAACTTTCTGAATTGCTGAGATTATGTTTTTTATATTTCTGCATAAAAAGAAGAGTTGTCCCAAATATTTGGGAGTTTCCTCCTATTTTCCTAATGAAAGGATGAAATGTTTATAATGGCACATTCAGAATGCTACAGAGAGATTTATTTATTATTACTTACAAGTTTACATCAAACCTAATTCCAATTTTTACTTTGTAAAATGTGTTCCCATTTACTTTTCTAATAAAAATCTGCTCTAAAGAACTCAAGTAAATATAATTTTGTAATATTAATTCCTCACAATATTGATTATCATATTTTCAATCATCCTGATGCTCTACTATTCATTAAGATAAATCATGTAATTCAAATGAAAGCAGTAACTCATTCTTTTAACTTTCATAATCCAAAATTCGAAACTATTTTGTGCTTCAGGCTCTGCACATGTCACAGATATATGTTATTTTGGAGCTGAAGGAGTTAAGGATACACTATGCCAAAATATGCTGCTTTGCCAAATTTATCATTTTGTGTTGAAGGCACTTAAGAAACAGCAGATGCAGGAAGGGCTTTCTGACCTACTATTTTTTACTCAAAAGAGGCCATAAAAATTCCCATGAGAAAGGTGCTCTCCCTGTACCAGGAAGAGAACCTTATCACCAGAGACTGGGAATTGACATTAAAATAGATCTGTCAAAGGCTTTTTCTGCATCTATTGAGATAATCATGTGGTTTTTGTCTTTGGCTCTGTTTATATGCTGGATTACATTTATTGATTTGCGTATATTGAACCAGCCTTGCATCCCAGGGATGAAGCCCACTTGATCATGGTGGATAAGCTTTTTGATGTGCTGCTGGATTCGGTTTGCCAGTATTTTATTGAGGATTTTTGCATCAATGTTCATCAAGGATATTGGTCTAAAATTCTCTTTTTTGGTTGTGTCTCTGCCCGGCTTTGGTATCAGAATGATGCTGGCCTCATAAAATGAGTTAGGGAGGATTCTCTCTTTTTCTATTGATTGGAATAGTTTCAGGAGGAATGGTACCAGTTCCTCCTTGTACCTCTGGTAGAATTCGGCTGTGAATCCATCTGGTCCTGGACTCTTTTTGGTTGGTAAGCTATTGATTATTGCCACAGTTTCAGATCCTGTTATTGGTCTATTCAGAGATTCAACTTCTTCCTGGTTTAGTCTTGGGAGAATGTATGTGTCGAGGAATTTATCCATTTCTTCTAGATTTTCTAGTTTATTTGCGTAGAGGTGTTTGTAGTATTCTCTGATGGTAGTTTGTATTTCTGTGGGATCGGTGGTGATATCCCCTTTATCATTTTTTATTGTGTCTATTTGATTCTTCTCTCTTTTTTTCTTTATTAGTCTTGCTAGCGGTCTATCAATTTTGTTGATCCTTTCAAAAAACCAGCTCCTGGATTCATTGATTTTTTAAAGGGTTTTTTGTGTCTCTATTTCCTTCAGTTCTGCTCTGATTTTAGTTATTTCTTGCCTTCTGCTAGCTTTTGACAAAATTCAACAACGCTTCATGCTAAAAACTCTCAATAAATTAGGTATTGATGGGACGTATTTCAAAATAATAAGAGCTATCTATGAAAAACCCACAGCCAATATCATACTGAATGGGCAAAAACTGGAAGCATTCCCTTTGAAAACTGGCACAAGACAGGGATGCCCTCTCTCACCACTCCTATTCAACATAGTGTTGGAAGTTCTGGCCAGGGCAATTAGGCAGGAGAAGGAAATAAAGGGTATTCAATTAGGAAAAGAGGAAGTCAAATTGTCCCTGTTTGCAGACGACATGATTGTATATCTAGAAAACCCCATTGTCTCAGCCCAAAATCTCCTTAAGCTGATAAGCAACTTCAGCAAAGTCTCAGGATACAAAATCAATGTACAAAAATCACAAGCATTCTTATACACCAACAACAGACAAACAGAGAGCCAAATCATGAGTGAACTCCCATTCACAATTGCTTCAAAGAGAATAAAATACCTAGGAATCCAACTTACAAGGGATGTGAAGGACCTCTTCAAAGAGAACTACAAACCACTGCTCAAGGAAATAAAAGAGGATACAAACAAATGGAAGAACATTCCATGCTCATGGGTAGGAAGAATCAATATCGTGAAAATGGCCATACTGCCCAAGGTAATTTACAGATTCAATGCCATCCCCATCAAGCTACCAATGCCTTTCTTCACAGAATTGGAAAAAACTACTTTAAAGTTCATATGGAACCAAAAAAGAGCCCGCATTGCCAAGTCAATCCTAAGCCAAAAGAACAAAGCTGGAGGAATCCCACTACCTGACTTCAAACTATACTACAAGGCTACAGTAACCAAAACAGCATGGTACTGGTACCAAAACAGAGATATAGATCAATGGAACAGAACAGAGCCCTCAGAAATAACGCCGCATTTCTACAACTATCGGATCTTTGACAAACCTGAGAAAAACAAGCAATGGGGAAAGGATTCCGTATTTAATAAATGGTGCTGGGAAAACTGGCTAGCCATATGTAGGAAGCTGAAACTGGATCCCTTCCTTACACCTTATACAAAAATCAATTCAAGATGGATTAAAGATTTAAACGTTAGACCTAAAACCATAAAAACCCTAGAAGAAAACCTAGGCATTACCATTCAGGACATAGGCATGGGCAAGGACTTCATGTCCAAAACACCAAAAGCAATGGCAACAAAAGACAAAATTGACAAATGGGATCTAATTAAACTAAAGAGCTTCTGCACAGCAAAACAAACTACCATCAGAGTGAAAAGGCAACCTACAAAATGGGAGAAAATTTTCGCAACCTACTCATCTGACAAAGGGCTAATATCCAGAATCTACAATGAACTCAAACAAATTTACAAGAAAAAAACAAACAACCCCATCAAAAAGTGGGCGAAGGACATGAACAGACACTTCTCAAAAGAAGACATTTATGCAGCCAAGAAACACATGAAAAAATGCTCATCATCACTGGCCATCAGAGAAATGCAAATCAAAACCACTATGAGATACCATCTCACACCAGTTAGAATGGCAATCATTAAAAAGTCAGGAAACAACAGGTGCTGGAGAGGATGTGGAGAAATAGGAACACTTTTACACTGTTGGTGGGACTGTAAACTAGTTCAACCATTGTGGAAGTCAGTGTGGCGATTCCTCAGGGATCTAGAACTAGAAATACCATTTGACCCAGCCATCCCATTACTGGGTATATACCCAAAGGACTATAAATCATGCTGCTATAAAGACACATGCACACATATGTTTATTGCGGCATTATTCACAATAGCAAAGACTTGAAACCAACCCAAATGTCCAACAATGATAGACTGGATTAAGAAAATGTGGCACATATACACCATGGAATACTATGCAGCCATAAAAAATGATGAGTTCATGTCCTTTGTAGGGACATGGATGAAATTGGAAATCGTCATTCTCAGTAAACTATCGCAAGATCAAAAAACCAAACACCACATATTCTCACTCATAGGTGGGAACTGAACAATGAGATCACATGGACACAGGAAGGGGAATATCACACTCTGGGGACTGTGGTGGGGTGGGGGGAGGGGGGAGGGATAGCATTAGGAGATATACCTAATGCTAGATGACGAGTTAGTGGGTGCAGCGCACCAGCATGGCACATGTATACATATGTAACTAACCTGCACAATGCGCACATGTACCCTAAAACTTACAGTATAATAAAAAAAAATAGATCTGTATGAATGAATGTTCTAAAATGATCCTCATCTTCCACTAGTTTTCTCCACCCCCCTGCCCACCACAATTATCTCCTATTCACTTCGCCACAATTTATTGCCTCTAGCCCAAACCCCTTTGTCTTGTCATTTCCTCACAAATGTATTATTTTGTTGTCAAAAAAGTATAAAAGCTTTCTGCTGTGGCCATTTCTCTGGGTCTTCATTCTCCCATGAAGGTTCCCATATACTTGTAAAAATTTTACTGAAACTTGCATGATTTTCTCCTGTTAAGCTGTCTTATGTTGGTCTAACTCTGAGGCCCAGCCAGGAAACCTAAGTGGGTACGGGAGAATTTTTCTTTTCTCCCCAGCAGAGTCTGTGTATTTTTTGTGCTATCGTAATTTTTCACCCTGCCTTGTTCCCTTTTGACCTCTTTTTCTTCCTTTACTCTTTCATCAATTTCACACAGTCCTCCTTATGTTGCTTCTGTATTCATCATTTCTCTACTTCTGAAGTAGCAAGCAAGGCTGGACTCTGGAGGTGGGGCTCAGACACCAAACCAAAATGAGGACTGATGGGCAGAAGTACCTTTTTATAAGACGCACCCACCACTGTGCCATGTCACTTTACCATTGCCATGGCAACATTGAGGCATACCTGCCCCTTTCCATGGCAATGACCTGATGATCCAGATGTTACTTCCTCTTCCCTAGAAATTTCTGCGTTAACAATCCCTTAATCTACATGTAAATAAAAGTAGGAATAAATATGACTGCAAAACTGCACTGAGCTGCTACTGTCAGCATATTGCCTATGGGGTAGCCCTGTTCTGCAGAGCAGAATGCAGTCACATCGCTGTAACACTGCTGGAGCTGTAATACCTCTTCAGTAAAGCTGTTTTTGGCCGGGCGCTGTGGCTCACACCTGTAATAACAGCACTTTGGGAGGCTGAGGCAGGCAGATCACTTGAGGTCAGGAGTTCAAAACCAGCCTGGCCAACATGGTGAAACCCTGTCTCTACTAAAAATACAAAAAAATAGCCATGCGTGGTGGTGTGCGCCTGTAATCCCAGCTACTTGGGAGGCTGAGGCAGGAGAATTGCTTGAGCCTGGAAGGTGGAGGTTGCAGTGAGCCGAGATCACACCACTGCACTCCAGCCTGGGTGACAGAATGAGACTGTCTCAAAAGAAAAGCTGTTTTCTTCTACCACCAGCTTGCCCTTGAATTATTTCCTGGGCAAAGCCAAGACCCTCTTGGGCTGAGCCCCACTTTGGGACTTGCCAGTACTGCCTTTTTTTTTCATAATCTATTTATTATGCATTTAAGTCTTTCAGGCCACGTACAGTGACTCACATCTATAATGTCAGCACTTTAGGAGGCCAAGGCGGGAGGAGTGCTTCAGCCCAGGGGTTCAAGACTGGCCTGGGCAACATAGCAGCCACGTATACAGAAAGTAAAAAAAAAAAAAAATAGCCAAGCTTGGTGGCATACACCTGTAGTCATAGCTACTCGGAAGCTGGAGGCAGGAGGATGGCTTGAGGGGGAATTGAGGTGGCAGTGAACCATGATAGTGCCACTGCACTCCAGCCTCAGTGACAGAGCCAGACCCTGTCTCAAAAAAAAAGTCCTTCAGTTTAACCATTGAAAAGTTATAGCCAGCTACTGAGGCTTGAGGGGAAAACAGACCACGTATTTAGAGAATTATTAATTGCAAAGACGGTGAGGAAATAAAGTTAAAAACATTCTCATTTTCTCATTAAATATTGTTTTTCCATATATATAAAAATATAAAATGATCTAAAAATTCTCTGTTGCGACAACTTTTTTATTGCTTTGTCACTCACCTGCTGCTCTCCCTGAATAAATTTACATTTCAAATAAGAGTGAAATACAACAAAGATGTAATTTCTGAACACAGTAGGAATAGAGTAGGAAATGGGGATAAACAAGCACAAATAATTAAGAAAATATTGCATTTATTATGATGATTATTATATAACTATAAATTAATATATTACTGAAGTAATCAAATTCTAAAGATAAGTTGAAAGATCATAATAAAAACATTTTAATTGTAGTTATTTTAACAATATCCTACCAGTACATAAATGAAGCTTTGTCAAGCCAAAGTTTAGAAAGAATAAGTTTCACTAAAATAAAAATTAAATTGTATGATTGCATCATTGTTTTTAGAGATTCTTTGCAAAGGAAGTCACAAAAAACTTCGCTGCAACAATTTTTCTTATAAAAGAGCCATTTAATTGAATAAATTTAGATGATAAAAAGCCTTTTTGTAAATAACTAAATTAAGCAAGAAAATAGAAATAACTTTTGTGGAAGTCATTAAATTACATAGTCATAACACTAAAAATAAAAGCCAAAGAAATCTAATAATTCCTCCTTGCCTTACTGCAGATACTATCCAATAACACAGATTTATGAATTCACCAATTTTTTTGCTTAGCCAGATTTTAGAAATTTATTTCTTTACATATTCTCACATTAATTTCTCTTGTATTGCCAAATGCAATAGAACTTCTGGAAGCAAACAGGAAAGCTGATTCTGAAATCATTTTTTGACACTTTTAGAAAAGAAAGATTATCTCAGAAGGGTAAAGAGAATTTAAAGAGAACAGCAATGTATAAAATTAGAATTGATCATTTCACATAAAGGAGGACATTTATTATTTTGTTTTCTAACTGTGTCCCGTTGAAGACTTTGCATCCCAAGGTGCCTATTTTAAATCACAATCACATGGTAAGAATGTATATTCACAATTATATTCTAAATAAGTCTATAATAAAAAGATAATTAAAAAGATAACTTCTTGAGATATTCATTATTTCTCTCTTGTTTTATTTATTTTTCTAGTCATTTTCTATATGTAACAATTCTTTGGTTCTCTTTACTTAAGATTTTTCAAATACCTGTTTTGTGCTAGACATTTTGATAGATGCTAAGGGCACAAAACACAAATAAAAGGTCATTCTGCTTCATAGAAGCTTACAGTTAAGTATGACTGGCAGATATAAAATGGCTATTTCAATAAAACCTACAAAGGACATGAAAGATACATGCTGGTTACATGCATGCAAATTGGAGCACAAGTGAAGAACTCACTACTCCAATAATAGGAAATTTTAAGAAGTCTTCCTAGATGGTGTTAAAAGAGAAAATTCAGCTGAATTAAATTTAAAAGAGTTTCATTGAACAAAGAAGGACTCACAAATTGGGCAGTCTCCCAAGACAGAGTAGATTCAGACTCCAGCACAGCCACGTGGCTGAGAGGATTTATGGACAGAAAAATGAACGGGACCTACAGAAAACGGAAGTGAGGTACATAAACAGCTGGATTGGTTATAGCTCCACGTTGCCTTCCTTATTTGAACACAGTTTGAACAGTTGGCAACATTTGATTGGCCCAAACTCAGTGATTGCCACAAGAGTAGCCTACAGTCTGTTTACAATTCCATTTAGATTAAGTTCATGATGTACAAAGAAACCTTTAGGCTAAACTTAAAATACATAAGGAGGCAGCTTTAGACTAAACTTGATTTAGCAACGGCCATGTTTGAGGCTGTAAACTGTTAAGTGGAGATTTTGCTACAGGCAAAAAGGAGATCATGAGCAAAGGGAGGAGGTGTCCTTGAGCTTCACAGTGTATGAAGCACTGAATTACTGAACCAAATGGCAATAGATCAGACGGAAGACACAGGAGTCTGATCATGGATGTTTATACCGTTTTATGGGAACTTGCCTTTATTCTGGAGGTCATGGAAAGCCAGTGAAGTTTTTGAAATACTTCTTTATTCATTCCATAATTATTTATCACATAGCTACATATTCTAGGCACTGAGTACACTGATACACAAAATGGAAATTGCCCCTGTGCCCACAGAGTTTACAGAACAGTATGGAAAATGTTAATTAAATTAAAAAAGTATGATTATGAAAATGCACAGGAAAACGATAATATTGAATTGCATTTTGAAGAAATCTGTCTTGTGTCAGGATTCAGAATAGATTTGATGATTGTAAATCTAGAGGAAGAAAGGCTCAATAGCACCCAGTTATAATACTCCTGTGAAGGAAACCGAAATATCCCTCTGGAAATACTGAAAATTGCTGAGCTGCAGAAGGTTAAGAAAAGATGCGGGGATCGCTGGGCCTGTACTTGCCTGATGGCAAGGCAGCAATTTACAAAGACCAAAAGTCTTCCTGCTCTCCTGTCTGCCTTTTCAAGCCTAAAGACAGTCTTTTATTATTATTATTTTCTTATTTTTACAAGGCTTGCTTATCAGCTCAGAGACAGGGTTGCCAGAGGATCTAGGAGCAGACTTCACTCTTCCCATAAATTTACCTTCCCATAGTTTCCCACCTTTTGGAAACCTGAAACTACTCTCTTCCCTGCTTTGTTGCTATAAGATTTATGGCTGTTTTTAAAATACTATTTAAGCAAGGCCCCTAAGCCACTGCACTGGGAGATAGAGACTCTGGCCTCTCCCAAGTGATGGGTTACAGCACATGTCAATAAACTTCTGCTGGTTTTCTCTTCTAATCTGACTTTCGTTTTCAGGAGAGTGTCTCAACTACAAACCTATGACAGAAACAAAAGAAATTATATTTCCCATACTGGAAAAAGATGATAAGAAACTTGTTATATGCTAATAATGGTGCACATAGACTTGAGATTTATGTAAAGAGATAAGATTATAGTATATGTGGTGATTGCTATTATATGGGATATATGATAATTATAGAGAGGTTCTTGGAAAACCTACAGGCTTCTGCTTTGATCAACTTGATGAACAGCAAAATCTTTAACTGACACATAGAAATATCTTTTAAAAATGGTAGTAAGACTGGATGTGGTGGCTCACACCTGTAATCCCAGCACTTTGAGAGGCTGAGGCAGGTGGATCACCTAAGGTCAGGAGCTCAAGAACAGCCTGGTCAACATGGTGAAACCCCGTCTCTACTAAAAATACAAAATTATCCAGGCATGATGGCGCACACCTGTAATCACAGCTACTGAGGAGGCTGAGGCAGGAGAATCTCTTAGAATCCGGGAAGCAGAGGTTGCAGTGAGCCAAGATCACGCCACTGTGCCCCAGCCTGGGCAACAGAGTGAGACTCTGTCTCAAAAAAAAAAAATCATAGTAAGACTGTGTGCTCTAATGATTAATACAGTTAATTACTGTTAAACATATGTGTGCTATTTAGCAGCATGTGTTACTATTTCTTATTAACAGGAATAATTTTTCTTCTCAAGTTTTTATCACAAAGCATATGTGATTTAAGCCTTCAGTTATCAAAATAGGGTAAATATTTTCTTACCAGAAGTACAGAGGAATAATTAATAATCAAGTATCAAGGCAGGAGAATGGTGTGAACCCGGGAGGTGGAGCTTGTAGTGAGCCAAGATCACGCCACTGCACTCCAGCCTGGGCAATAGAGCAAGACTCTGTCTGAAAAAAAAAAATAATAATAGTAATCAAGTATCTGGAAAGGGAGATTGTCTAAGTAAAAAATAATGGAATAAAACACAAAATGAATGATTGAAAGATTTAACTTTATGAATTATACAAAACTTTAGGTACTTAATGGCTTTAAAAGTTTATCTGATTTCTGGCTGAATGTGGTGGCTCATGCCAGTAATTCCAGCAATTTGAGAGGCTGAGGTGGGTGGATTGCTTGAGCTCAGAGTTCAAGATCATACTGGTCGACATGGTGAAATCTCGCCTCTACAAAAACACAAAAATTAGCCAGGCATGGTGGTGGACACCTGTAGTTCTGGCTACTTGGGAGGCTGTGGTGGTAGGGTCACTTTAACCCAGGAGGTGGGGTTGCAATGAGCCGAGATCGTGCCACTGCACTCCAGCCTGGTGACAGAGTGAGATTCTCAAAAAAGAAAAGTGTATTTGATTTTTATTATATGCAGCAGCCTGCAAGGTTTTGCATGATTATTTTTCTCCATAAGTCTTGAGCTTCACCTCACACTAGTGTCTTTAAATTTTCTTTGGACAACCTCATTTAAGTGTCCTGCCTACTTTGGTTATTTCTTACTTATTTCAAGCCATTATTTGCTTGGAAAAACTCCATAGAAACTTTAGCAACACATAATTATTACACACTCTATAAAACATGTATTTTTTCCTTCATAGTGCCTTCCCAAGCTGCAATTTTAGATTCATTTGTTGACAGCTTTGTAAGAGCAATGTCTATGCCCACCTGAGCCTATTTTTGTTCAGTCTTCTATCTCCAAAGTATTGTCTTACCATCTCTAGAATATAATGGGTGTGCAGGAATGGATAACAAATGATAAAAACAAATAAAAATTGATTTGAACAATGAAAAAAAATTCAGTGGCAAAAACAAATCCAAAAATATGTGTAGCTGAAAAAGTAATAATTACTTCTTCATGTGAGAAGGACAAAATCGAAAAACTAAACAAAAAATGTGAAGAAATCCAAAGACCAAATAGTCCTTTCAACAAATGAGAAATATATTTTGAAAAAACACAAGAATAAAAATAATCACACAGTGTTCATAGTAGGGTCGTGATTCATCACGAATGTCACAAAATAGATTTTATGGAGGTAGCTATATCTCATAGATGTGATGGAATCCCTGCAGTCAACACTAATAGCTATGGCCTCCCAAAGTTCCACCTGCCTGATAATGTCACCTAGTAACTAAATTTTCTGTTGATTATTCTGGGTTAACCCTGGAGCCTCAGTCTGAAGCTTGTACATCTAGCCCTTCCAAATATTTTGTAAGCGGCAGAGTTTTAAAGTGGATTGTTTGAAAATAAAAATTACTATTTACAATACAAAAACGTGACAAGGCAAATCAATTGGGAAAGGATAGATTTTTAAACAAATGGTGCTGGGACAAATATCCATACAGAACAAAATGAATTTGCATCCTTACCTCATACCATTAAAAAAAAAAAAAAAAAAAAAACTAAAAGTGGCTTTTAGGCCAAAACGTAAGAACTAAAGCTATAAAATTTCTAGAGGAAACCTAGAAAAGAACAACTTTGTAACCCTGAATTAGACATGAATTATAAACAAGTAGGCTTTGATACTTTTGACTTTATGGAAAAACTTTTGCCTTTCAAAATCCACAGTGGGTAAAATATTTGAGATGTTTAAAATATATATAATATCTATCTATCATCTGTCTATTTGATTGAGGAGCTGTATCTAGAACATACAAAGAACATTTTCAACCTATTAATAAAAAGACAATCTCAAAAAGAAACGAAAATTTGAGAAGACACTTCACAAAATACTATAGTCATATCCCTCAGTATCTGTGGGGTATTAGTTCTAGGATCTGCCATGGATACCAAAATCTGGGATGTTCAAGTCACTTATATAAAATAATGTCATATTTGTGTATACCATACTGTCAATCTAAATTATTAGAAACGATTAGAGCAATAAATTCTAATACAGTGATTTTATTTGGGAGCAAGCAGAAACAATTATAATCTAGGATGTACAACATTAGCAAGCCACGTATGCATCCAAAGAGGCAAGGATAAAGAGAATCTTTTTTTGGAAAAAGGAGAGGTCCATGTAAGCTGCTTGGAAACAGAGTTCATTGGTTCTGGAGGCTCAAAGCCAGAGTTGGCATCATTTCATTGGTGAAGATATCATCACTGAGTAAGTGTTCTTTTGAAAGTGTCTTATTTGAATTGCTGCAGTCCTAAAGAATGTCTAGTAATGAACCTTGTCATAGAAATATGTGCATGCATGTAAAATGCATAAGCCATGGAAAAAATATTTATGCATGAAGGATGTGAGATTATTTCTTGTGGGGTTATTTTTAAATGTTCTTGAAACAGTTTTTATCTTCAGACTTGCAAGCATGAGCTCCTCTCCTTCATGCTCTCCCATCCCCACTTTGCCTGGGTCTGACTAGTGTGACTTATCCTAATAGCTGCAACTTTCACACTGTTAACATCTCCAGTATACTATAAATGATCTCTAGATTACTTATAATATCTAGTGCAATATAAATGCTATGTAAATAGTTATTATACCGTATTGTTTAGGGAATAATGGCAAGGAAAAAAGTGTGTACATGTTCGGTATAGATGCAATATTTTTTTCCCAGAGTATTTTCTTTTCTTCTTCTTTTTTTTTTTTTTTTTTTTTTTTTTGAGACGGAATCTCGCTCTGTCCCCAAGGCTGGAGTGCAGTGGCGCGATCTCGGCTCACTGCAAGCTTCACCTCCTGGGTTTCACGCCATTCTCCTGCCTCAGCCTCCTGAGCAGCTGAGACTACAGGCACCCGCCACCACGCCCGGCTAATTTTTTTGTATTTTTAGTAGAGACGGGGTTTCACGGTGTTAGCCAGGATGGTCTCGTTCTCCTGACCTCGTGATCCACTCGCCTCGGCCTCCCAAAGTGCTGGGAATTCAGGGGTGAGGCACCGCGCCCGGCCCCCAGAGTATTTTCTATCCATGGCTGGTTGAATTCAGGAATGTGAAACCCATGCATAGGGAGGCCCGACTGCATATTTGTTGACTTACCTAGTATTTGCAGTTGTCAATTAGGATAACAAGGCAAACTGAAAGTAATAATGAAGTCTGTATTTACTGTGACTGTGAATACTAGAAGTAAAGAAAAAGTTCCAGGTCTGCATGTTCTATTTTTTCCCACAGAGTGGTATCAGGCAAGGGTCAAAGGACACACAGCACAGATGGGAGAGAAACATCCCTTTGCCAAGGAAGTCCTAACAAAAGTGTCCTGCTTTTTTTTTTTTTTTTTTTTTTGAGATGGAGTCTCGCTTTGTCGCCAGGCTGGAGTGCAGTGGCACGATCACGGCTCACGACAATCTCCGCCTCCCAAGTTCAAGCGATTCTCCTGCCTCAGCCTCCCGAGTAGCTGGGATTACAGATATGCACCACCATGCCCAGCTAATTGCTGTATTTTCAGTCAAGACGGGGTTTCACCAAGTTGGCCAGGCTGTTCTCGAACTCCTGACCTCCGATGATCCACCCACATTGGTCTCCCAAAGTACTGGGATTACAGGCGTGAGCCACCCCACCTAGCCAGTGTCCTGCCTTTTTATGGACCTGAGGGGGCTAGGAAGAAGGAAACTGGAAGGGTGTGGAGTGGAAAACTGCGAGTCAGAGTGGCAAAAAGTGCCCTAGCCAACCTAATTAGGAGGTCTCATGTAGGCAAAAGGAGGCATCTGAGCTAGAGATGTAGATATGCATATAATGCAAGGCCAGCTAGAGTGGCCCGAGTTCTTCACTGCAGCTTTTTCTAGAAAACTACAATATACTGACTGTGCACCAGCACCAAGTCTGATTTGGGAGGGCAGCTTTCTCCCCATAAGGCTTGATAGGCAAAGCTTTGCAATTACCTATGGTTGAGCTTATAAAATTGTGTATAGTATTTTAACCTGGAGCCAGGATACTAATACAAATAACAAATATGCACAGAAAAACAGTGCTCGATTCTAATACTCCTTCATAAGTGCAATTTAAAATGAAATTATTCTATTGATATTGCCTCATTAAAATGGAAATGTTAAGTGTGGCAGTACTAGGTGCATTGTAATGTAAGGATGTGGAGCAACTAAAACTCACAAGTTGCTTGATGGGAATTCAAAATGCTATGGTTTCTATGAAAGACAGTGGCAATTTCTTATCATGTTAATAGTTTACTCAATGTATGACTCATTAATGAAACTTCTATGTATTTAACTAAGATAAAGAAAATTTAAATCTACAGAAATATTTGTACGTGAATGTTCACAGCAGTTGTAAACATAATAGACTGAAATTTAAAACAATGCAAATATTAATTTAATTTCTTTATCTTGGGAAATAAGCATATCATAAGTCATGCTTCCACAAATAACTTAAGAGTCTCTCTTGACACTAATATGCAGGTGAGTGATTTAGGATGTATTAGAGCTTTAGAAATAGAAGAATTTGATCCAGAAAAAAAAACTGACATGTAATCTGTTTTTTCAGGCATAAGTGGTAGGAATGTCATTTGGTTTTAGGGAGTCAGTGGTGGTTGGGAAGACCACTAAAGCATTTTTGGTGAACCATCATTATCATTAGTACCATCGCAGCTAAGTTAGGTTCTGACACTTAATATTTGGTAATTCTAAGAGCAACCCTTTCTTCATAAGGTCAGTTCTATTCCATTTGTTTAGGACAACATCATGGGAATTAGACATGCGCAGTCCCACAAGACACTGTGCTTAGAAGGACCCCACTCCTGGTTTAACGTCCTGCTCTTACCATTTTGAATTCTTAATGATTTTTATCTTTGAACCTGTATTTCATAACTGAAGTATAATGAGATAATGGAACATGCATGCGAGCAGAGTAGATATGTGCAATATTCACTTCTACCACTGTTTCTTGTTTCCCCATTCACGTAGAGTGTTTGCAATGCCCCTATTAGCACAGAACCCTAATAGAACACAGATGATTTGGTGTTCAGAGAGACTCAAAGGGAGTACAAGGTAAGCGTGTTTAGCTTCACAACTGAATACGCGTTGTTGGTAACAGTCCCAAGAGGCCGCACTTCCCATTTGAACCAGAACTTACTTCAAACATTAAAAGATGAAAATGGGATTTTAAGAAACAAGAGCAACCAGGGAACATCACCTTAACTTGTTTTACTCCCCTGCACCCATCAACTATTTACACCTAAAATAATGACGTAAAAGGAAAGGGAAAGATAGTGAAACCTGTCGTTCCTTATCCTTAAGTCCTTCCCTCACTCAGCAATAAATCAAAAGTAGAGAGTATTGGAAGAATGTGTGTCAACCAAAAATTTTACTAAAAAGCCAACAGTTTGCTCTAGGTCCTGCTGCCTGCTGCACAGAAAGCCAGTCAGTGAGACAGCAAGTATTGCCAGGAAAGAAGTGTGACAGCCAAGGAGAACAGGAAATCAGTTTCAAATCCATTTATCTGACCAACTAAAATGACAGGTTTATATAGCAGGAAAGACATATAACTACATATGGGAAAACCAGAATTAGGGAGGGGTAAGGAAGGGGAATTAGTCAATACAAAACAAGGGGTCAGTCAGGCAATCATGATGGGTAAGGGATCTGGTGTCTCATTATCCATATGTGATAATCTGGTGAGTTTCACTTCTTGATACTACCTGGGAGGCCTGATGGTTGGTTTCCTGAGAAAGAAACTCATATAAGACAAATGTAACAAGATCAAGTTTTAAGACTGGAGGGTCAAGTTCTATGTTTACTCAAAAGAAACTGTAAAGATCAGTTCTATGAGACAAAATTGGGCTGATTTCAAAAACAGTTGAGTAAGTGTTGTGCAGTATTTCCATTTCTCTGCTAAGAACAAAATACACATGTAGAAGCTATAAAATAGAGATTGTGTAACTTTAATGCCTCTGCCTACTAATGAAATATTCTTACATTTGCACCTAAAATTGCTATTGGATGTTATAAAGATAAATGTTAAAATGTATGTTCATGTATTCCATTTTAATTTTTATTTATTCAGAGTGACACGAAGTAACAAGTAAAGAACAATATGAGAAGAGAGACCACTGAAGAATGAAAAAACTTTGTATTTTATCTTTTTAACAGCACATTTTTTTCATGCTATTTGAACAAGGGGCTGCACATGATAATTTTGCCCTGGGCCCTGCAATTTGGACTACTAGCCCTGATTTGGGGGGACATTTTTGTAAACTTAACAGTCTATTTCCATAGGCCTTATAAATTCTGTGAAGTACCTAAAATTCCTTTATTAATCCCTTTCATTTAAAAATAAATAGAGTGACATCACTTGTTTTGGCAGCTAAGAACTCTCATTGCATATATAAAGTAAAATACAAATCTGGTATATAAATATCTATTTTAAACTGTATGAGTATGAGAGAATTTTGGAAAAAATGATATAAAATGTTCAGTGTTGGTGTTATATAAAATGAAAGGATCATATTTTAGTTACTAATTAAATTGGTTTTTATTTTTTCACCCCTCATTATAGCACTTTAACATCAATATAACTTCAGCTAAACATTCAAAAGATCCACAATTATAATTTTAACAACATATAAGTACATTGCAAATATAAATTTCTCTTACTGAAGGCTTCTATAAAAGTGCTAATTTCTAAATCAATTATGTCATCTTTCTCTCTTTTAAACTTCCCACTATGGAATGCAAATATTGAATAATGTTCTATTATTAAAAATGTTAGCACAATAGGTTCATGATGCTTTATCATTTGTTGCTTTTAATAATATGATGGCATTATCTTTATGTATAAAAATTAAAAGGGAAATTCTAAGAAAATAATTAACATTTCAACTTTGACAAAACTATGCATTATATTTATCTCATTTTTCTGCAAATCTTTAAAAGGCACTATTCTCTGATAACATTTCTCCAGCGATACCTATAGATTTGAGAGAAAAAAACTCACACAAATTCTTTTTACAAAGCTATTCTCAGATAATTAATTATATTATCTGGTACTAATTGGTAGAGATTGAAAGTATTTAATAGCAGAATCTAACAAATGACCAAAACGCAGACAATTTGACTGGTCTCATATCTATATCTTGCCGTTATAGTTACTTTAAAAATGTATTTTCTTGCTTTGTTCATGATTTCAAAATCAGTTTTATGACAAAGTGGTCTCTTTTAAAGTCAGTTTGCTATGAGCAGCATTCACATAAATTATGTGTTTGATTTGACAATATTATTGAGGCTCTTGTATTTTGAAAGTCTTTTGAGACTATATTGATTTGAAATACGTTCTCAAGAATAGACAGTAAAGGTAATAAACAATTACATACCTAAGTGAAAAACAAGGTAGAAACTTATAAATATCATGAAAGGAAATTATTTACCTCTCGGGACTTTTTTGCTTTAAATACCAATTTATATAAAAATTTCATAAATTACACTTTTTTGCGTAAGTTGATTAAAAAGCTTCTACTTAAATTTTTGTCTTTTTAAGTTGATTTGTAATACTCTAAAATTTGATTTAATGAACCATTGGGTCTATGCATAGAAAGTTTTTAACTATATAGTTCATAATAATTACAGTTTCCAACTTACGATTCAATTTATAATTTTTCAACTTTATGATGTTGCAAAAGTTATACGCATTCAGTAGAAACCAAACTTTGAGTACCCATAAAACCATTCTGTTTTTTACTTTCAATATAGTATTCAATAAGTTGCCTGAGCTATTCAACACTTTATTATAAAATAGGATTTTTGTTCATGATTTGGCCCATGTAAGTGTTCTGAGCGTGTTTAAGTTAGGCTAGGCTAAGCTATTATGTTCTGTAGGTTAAGTGTATTAAATGCATTTTCAACTTACAATATTTTCAATTGGTGATGTTTATTAGAATGTAACCCTATTACAAGTCAAGGAGCATCTGTATATGTAGAAAATTCTCTCTCAATGTCTTTAAAATATATCTGTAACAAAATTCTTTTAAAATCATATGTTAAACCATTTATATTGATATTTCTTTTAATATCATTTATAATTTGGAGTTTTTATATGCTGTAGCAAATAATTTGAATATAAAAGATGATCTAAGCTAAAAAATACATACTATATATTTCTATATTTTCCTAGAAACATTTCAATACCTTAAACAGAAACAAGTATAAATTGAAACCACACAATTATATAACATTTAAGTGAAAAATACAATGTTCACCTTGGAAAATAACAATGGAGATGTTTTTCAATCCATTTAAAATTCGTAAAATATTTCCTGAAACACCTGAAAAGCTAATCCAAGTGGACAATGACCTCAGGTCTTTCTTTTCAACTAGTAGGAAGGTCATTCATGTGTAGTTCTTGTGTTCTCTTTTTTGTTGAATTGCATAAGTTCAAGGGAGGCAAACAATTTGATTTAGTCTTTCCTATTTTTAGAATTAACATTATTTCCCAGTTTGGAAATTTCACTTTGCTGCTGGAAATAAAAAGAAGAAGAGTTTTCAGCAACCTGTTTTCATGGTTATCCAACTCTTCAATTTACTCCCTTCATGCAGCCTTATGTAACTGCCATTTTCTTCCTCAAAAGTCAGACTTTCACTCACATTTGATTGCATAGTTACCAATTTAATAGGTACTAATTGAACATTTACTTGGAGGAATTTTAAAACAATGTAAAAGAGTATTTCTATCCTTAGTAATCTTGTACCATGACTGAAAACAAAAAGAGTAGACTAACATTTTACCTAGCATGGTTCTAATATTTAGGAACATAACTGTCTCTACAAATTATGTTAGGTTTTAAAAGAAAGGGTAGATAACAAAGTTACATAGTTATTAAAGATACTACAATTAGATCATTTTATTGTCTTAGATCTACACTCAATAGATTTTGAAGTGTACAATAAAAAATTGTTTTCTACAGGCACAATGTTTGTACAGCAGATATCTAAAATTTATGCATCTTGCATAATGTAAATTTTATATAAATTAATTGGCAAGTCCCCATTTTCTTCTCCACTGTCCCCTACAATCACCATTCTACTCCTTGCTTCTATGAGTTTGACTATTTTAGATAGGTCACATAACTGGAATCTTTCAGTATTTGTCCTTTTGTGACTGACATTTCACTTAGCATAAAGTCCTAATTTTTATCCATGTTGTTGCATATTGTAGGATTTTATTCTTCTTTAAGGCTAAATAATATTCCATTTTATATATTTACCATACCTTTATCAATTTATCTGTCAATGAACATTTAGATTGTTTCTACATCTTAGCTGTTGTGAATAGCACCACAATGAACATGGGATTGTTTCTACATCTTAGCTGTTGTGAATAGCACCACAATGAACATGGGAGTGTTAATATTTATTTGAGATACATATTTCAATTACTTTGAATCAACACCCAGAAGTGAAATTGCTAGGCCATTTGGTAGTTCCATTTTTAAATTATTTTTAGGAACCTCCATACCATTTTCCATAGCAGGTGCACCATTTTGCATTCCCACCAACAGTGTACAAGAGTTCCCTTTTCTCCATATAATCGCTAGCATTTGTTTTTTCACTCTAATATCCATTCTAATAGGTGTGACATGATGTCTCATTGTGGTTTTCAGTTTCATTTCTCTGTTGGTTAAAACACCTAAATATATAAAACAAACAAAGACAGAACTGAAGGGAAAAATAATAATATAATGCCAGGGGCTTCAATAAGCTACTATTAATAATAGATAGATTCACCCGACAAATAATCAATAAAGAAACACTGGACTTGAAAATACTATAGACCGAATGGGCATGACAGACAGACAAAACTTTTAACCCAACAACCACAGAATACACATTCTTCTCAAGGGTGCATGAAACATTCTCCAGGATAGATAGCATGTTATATCACAAAGCAAGTCTTACCAAATTGAAATCATACCAGGTATCTTTTCTAGCCACAATGGAATGAAATTAGAAATCAATTGCAGAAGGAAAACTAGAGAATTCACAAATGGGTTAAAGTTAAACAACATATTTTTGAACAACCATTGAGTCAAACAAAAAATCGAAAGAGAATTAAGAAATAAATTAAGACAAAAAAAAAAAAAAAACCCAAACAGAATATACAAAATGCCTGGGATGCAACAAAAGCAATACTAAATGATTATGTTATAGCGATCAATGCCTACATTAAAAAATAAGAAAAATCTTACATAAACAACCTCACCTTACATTCCAAGGAACTAACAAAAGAACAAACTAAATACGAAGTTAGCAGAAGGAAGAAAATAATAAAGATTAATAAATACAACAATAGAAAAACAATAGAAAAAAGAAGCAAAACTAAGAGGGTTTTGTTGTTGTTGTTTTATCTTTTTAATTTTTTTGGGGGGGACAGGATCTTGCTCTGTCACCCAGACTGGCATGCAGTGGCACCATCATGGCCCACTGCAGCCTTGAACTCCTGGACTCAAATGATCTTCCCACCTGAGTCCCCCAGTAGTTGGGACTACAGGCATGCACTGCCATACCCAGCTAATGGTTTTTAAAGTTTTTTGTGGAGACAGGGTCTGCCTATGTTGCCCAGGCTGGTCTCAAACTCTTAGCCTCAAGTGATTCTCCTGCCTTGGCCTCCCAAAGTGCTGGAACTACACGACAATCTCCCTGGTAGACATGCAAAATTCCTTAACCAAATAGTAATAAATCAAATTCAATAGCACATTAAAAGGATCACACTACGGCTAAATGGGATTTATCCTTAGGACACAAGGGTGGTTTACCATACAAAAATCTATTAATTTGCTACACCATTTTAACAGAGTGAAAGGTGACAATTACCTACTCAAACCACTTCTATTCAGCATAGGAATCAGGAAAGGAAAAGAAATAAAAGGCACCCAAATAAATAAGCAAGAAGTAAAATTGTCCCTGTTGGCAGATTATATGATCTTATATATAGAAACCCCTAAGGAATCCACAGAAAAACTGCCAAAACTATATACTTTCAAATAACAGGTAAAAATGTATAAAATAATAGATACTTTATTGGTTTAAACATGTATAGTTTTTGATGTATAGTCACACTTTCTATAGAATTTGAATTCATCTTTTCTATTTATCCTCTTGTATTCTTGATATTATAAGTTAATTGGCATTTAAATATTAAACTTCGATGATTATTGATGTTGGACTACATTATCAATTTCTGAGAGCTTTGACTGCCAGTATAGTAAAAACAAAAGTGGAATTCGTCATGTCAGCATTGACTTATTTGAAATTAGATGCTGGTCATTTGGGGCTTTTTATGCCAATTACCTAGCACCAGACCTAAATGACTCAAAACATGTTTGTTGAATTAGACTTAACACTCAGAAATGTATAGTGTTTAAAATATAAATTTATAAGTTTATACATGTTAAAATATCCATGATGACAATAAATTTTCCACAAGTATTAAATATATTTTGCTAAAAATACAACTACTACTATAAACTTCAAACAACTTTATAAAATATTTACATTATAAAGTATAAAGAAGTATTTTTCAGTTGCTATTCTATTGACTAAAAATAAAAAATGAAAACCTTCAGAAACTGATGCTATTAGAGAACTGATAATATTTCAAAGTACATATTTTTAACTATGAAACCTTCAACTTGAGAAAATAGTGTCAATGTTAAAATATTTGCTAAATAGGATAATATTTTTAGATTATGTATAGTTTACCCAACCTTGGAATATATACCTTTAACTTTATTTTGTCCAATTTCCCTAAGTTTAATTTAGTAATATCAGGTTGTAGAACAATAAAATTTTTCAAAATAATGCCCATTGTTAAAGATTTTTCCTAGTACTTGAATTAATTTTTGAGTAGACTTCTGTCCCACCAGAATAAAATTTGTATTTCTCAGCCCCTCTTTTCCCCATAGGAAAGAATTTAGGTCTCCCCTGCCTTGTTAACGGTTTGCATATTATTTAGAAAAAGGCATATCTTCTTCTGGCTTTATATAGCTGGCTCACCTGTATATGAGCCTTTATTTTTCTTTTGCCCAATTGTATTATTCAGAGTTTTTCAGAGGGGGAAAAAATGGTTTTATTTATTTATTTATTTGTATTAATTGTGAGGAATTTGCTCATGCAGTTATGGAGATGAAGTCTCACAATCTACTGTCTTCAAGCTGGAGGCTCAGGGAAACTGGTGTATTATTCCAGTTGGAGTCCCAAGGTTTGAGGACCGTGGGAGCTCGTAGTATAAATCCCAGACCAAGGGCATAGCCAATATTCCAGGTGATGCAGACAGGCAGGAAGAAAAAGACACAAATTTCTCCTTCCTCAGTAGTTTTGCTATGCTCAAGCCTTCAACAGATTGGATATGCTCACCCACACTGTGCAGGGCCATCTACTTCACTGAGTCCAGCGATTCAAAGGCTAATCTCATTCAGAAATGTCGTCACAGACATGACCAGAAATAATGCTTAATCTGCACACCTCATGGTGTTGTCAGGTTGATGTATAAAATTAATCATCTACCAACCCTGTTTTTGCCATGCATAAGCTACACAACCATACATTTTGTCCTGGCAATTTTTATGCTAAGTAAGGAATGACTGCATGAAGTTGCACATATTTCTATAGGATAAATTCCTAGACAAGGGTGACTTGAGCCAAATGGACAGTGAATTGTTATTTTTGGGGATTGCCTTTAGAAGATATTACACACATTTTTAATACTATGTGCAGTGTTTTGAGTGAAAATTTTTTCATCTGCTTGTCAACATATTTCCATAATTTACGGTTATCACAGTAACACAATTCAGCATAATAATTTTTGCCAGTCTGAGGGACAAAGCAGGACATGTTTCTGAAAATTTAATTTGTCTTCTTGTACATAATACTGAGAATTAATTTTTATACCAAAGAGCCATATCTATTTCTGTTCTCTGTAAACCTGTTTTTGTTCTTGCTTTTAGATCATTATTTGAATTAATTTGTAGGATTTTCTTTATAAAAATATATCAGGTCCTTCTATGAAATAAGGACTGAATTTTTCTCACTTTTCGTTTGACTTTTGACATTACTATATTTTTGCCATGTGACATTATCATGTCATATTTTAATGTAATCACATATATATATATACATTTTTTGATGTTTTCTTAGTTTTATTCTAATGTAGCTTTTTTGGCTTTGAAATTATAAATACATTACTTTTGGTAATATTTTTGTTTCAGATTTACATTTAAATATTTGGAAGTTACAGTGATAAAATATTTTAATTTTAGATAGCTACTTAGTTGGTGCATCTATATTTATCTTAGTCCCAATGATTTATTATACAATGTACCATCATTATGCTACCTATATGCTTTCTATCTACTTTTGCAAATTTTAGGTACCTTTAATCTCTCTTAACTCACACGTAAACCAGTGCTACACTCTTATTTGTAGTTTTAGTTTACCTTTGAATACCTGATAAGGCAATTTTGATTTCATTACTTCCCTTTCTAGAATTTTTTTAATAGACAGGGTGTCTCTCTATCACCTAAGCTGGAGTGCAGTGGCATAATCATAGCTAACTGCAACCTGGAACTTCTGGGCTCAAGGGGTCTTCCTACTTCAGTATCCTGAGTAGTTAGGATTACAGGTGTGTGCCACCATGCTCAGCTGATTTTTAAAAAAATTTTAGTAGAGACTGGGTTATGTTGCCTAGGCTGGTGTCAAACTCCTATTCTCCAGTAATCCTCCTGCCCCTGCCTCCCAAAGTGCTGAGTTTACAGGCATGAGCCACTGCATCTAGCCCATTTTTTTTTACACTTCTCAAAACACATAATTAAGGTTTAGCTAATTTATCCCTTGCTTTTTAAAAAAATCACCTTAGTATAATTATCTGATTAATAATTTGATAAACACAATATGAACACATATTTATTATTCTTTTTTAAAATTTATTTTTAGATATTTTATAAATTTTTATTTTTGCATATGTGCAAACCAAATTTCATACTTAAAAAAAGAGACGAAGAGTACTCCATCCAACAGCCACAAAAAATACATTATTCTCATCTGCATACAGAACAAACTCTACAATCAACCACATGCCCAGCCATAAAGCAAGTCTCAATAAATATTTAAAAAATGAAAATCATGCCAGCCATACCTATTATTGGACCATAGGGGAATAAAACTATAAACCAATATCAAGAAGACCTCTCAAAACCACAAAGTTGCATTGAAATAAAACAACTTGCTCCTGAATGACTTTTGGGTATACAATGAAATTAAGGCAGAAATCAAAAAATTCTTAGAAATAAATGAAAATAGAGACACAACATACCAAAATCTATCCATGAATAACGATCAAGATGAAAGCCAAATCAGGAATGCAATAGGCATTTCCAGTAGCCACACACACACACACACACACACACACACACACAAAATACCTAGGAATACATCTAATCAAGGAGGCAAAAGATGTTTACAAAAATGACTACAAAACACTGCCAAAATAAATCATAGATGCCGCAAAATTGGAAAAAAGATTCCATGCTCATGGATTAGAATAATCAGTATCATTAAAATAGCCACATTGCCTAAAGCAACCTAAAGATTCAACACTATTCCTATCAAAATAATAATGTCATTTTCCACAGAATTAGAAAAAAAAATAACTTCTCTAAAATCCATATGGATACCAAAGAACAGCTTGAATAGCCAAAGCAATCCTAAGGAAAAAGAACAAAGCTAGAGGCATCACATCTCCTGACTTCAAACTATATTATAAGGCTATGGTAACCAAAACAGCATGGTACTGCTACAAAAACCCATGCACCAATGGAACAGAATAGAGAAGCCAGAAATAAAACCACACACCTACAACCATCTCTTCTTTGACAAAGCTAACAAGTAATGGGGAAAGGACTCCCTATTCAATAAATGGTGCTGTGATAACTGGCTAGCTATGTGCAGAAGAATGAAACTGGACCCCTGTCTTTCTCCATATACAAAACTTACCTCAAAATGGATAAAAGATTTAAATATAAGACCTCAAACTATAAAAATTCTAGAAGAAAACCTTGGAAATGCCATTCTGCACACAGCCTTGGGAAAGAATTTATGACTAAGCCTTTAAAAGCAATTGCAACCAAAATGAAAATTGACAAGTGGAATCTAATTAAACTAAGGAGCTTCTGCACAGCAAAATAAACAATCAACAGAGTAAACAGGCAACCTACAGAATGGGAGCAAATATTCACAAACTATACATAAGACAAAGGTCTTATTATCAGAATCTGTACGTGACTTAAATCAACAAGCAAAAACCAAATAACCTCATGAAAAACTTGGCAAAGAACATAAACAGACATGTTTCAAAACAAGAAATACAAGCAACCAATAAGCATATGAAAACATGCTTAATATCACTAATCATCAGATAAATGGAAATCAAAACCATAAGGAGATACCATCTCACAACAGCCAGAATGGTTATTATTAAAAAGTGAAGAAAATAACAGATGTTGACAAGGTTATGGAACCTTATACACTGAAAAAGGAACACTTATACACTCTTGACAGAAATGTAAATTAGTTCAGCCGCTATGGAGAGCAGTTTGGAAATTTCTCAAAGAACTTAGAACTACAATTCGCCCAGCAATCCCATCACTGGATACATACCCAAAGGAAAATGAATCATTCTACCAAAAGGACACATGCCCTCATATGTTCATTTCAGCACTATTCACAATAACAGTTACGTGAAATCAACCTAGGTGCCCATCAGCAATGAACTGGATCAAGAAAATGTGGTACATATACACCATGAAATACTATGCAGTCACAAAAACAAACAAAATATTGTCCTTTGCAGCAACATATATAAAACTGGAGGCCACTATCTAAAGCAAATTAATTGAGGAACAGAAAATAAATACTGTATGGTCTCACTTATAAGTGGGAGCTGAACATCAGGTATAAAAACAGACATAAAGATGGAAACAATAGACACTGGGTACTACTAGAAGAGGGAGAGAAGGAGGGGAGGCAAGAACTGAAAAACTACCTATTGGGTGCTGTGGTCACTATCTGGGTGAAGGTATAATTTGTACCCCAAACCTCAGTGCCATACGATATACCCTTGTAACAAGCCTGCACATGTGCCCCCTGAATCTAAAATAGAAGTTGAAATTATTTAAAAAATCATTATTTTCCTCTAGATCAATATTAGCATAAACTTTTATTGTTTTCGCAGATGGTTCTTTCTGCAATTAATATTTATTGTCCTGTTTTGTGTAATATTTTAAACAAATACTGGTATTTGTTTAATAAAATGCCTTATGAAGATAATGTTTACTATCACAAAATATGCAAAAGTTAAGAGCATTTGTATGGAAACTAAACATGATTTGGGCTGACTACAAATTTGTAACCACTGGCTCTTGCAGGCTCTTATTGTATGCAATTAGAGCAAGTCTTAAGTTTATAAAGATGGAATATGTCAATTACACATACACAAAATACAAAAAAAGTTCAAGGCATTTGTATGAAAAATATATTTAAAATGTGTTAAGATATTTTTACCCCAGACTTTATTGTGTTAGGTTAGTAAGATGAATTATATTCTAAAATTCACCTCCAATATTTGATTTTAAAATGATACAACAGTGTTTGTTTTCCATTGCCTAGCTGTGGAACTTGAACTCTTTCCTCTTGCTTACAGATTAAAGCAGGTTCTTGAAATGTATTTCAAGCTTTCAATTATTTGCTCATGTTATAGGTGATCTGTTTTCTATACAAATGTTTCATGATAGTATGAGCAAGCAGTGGACTATAGGGAACAGATTTTAGAGTTAAAATGTAATAAAGGAATATCAATACATTGTGTTTTTGAAATATGTAATTAGGAATCTGAAGGGAAATCAATGTGTTTAGAAATTATATAACAATCTTATACATTTGTGGTTATCTGTTTTATGTTTATATTACTTATGATGATGATGAATAGACAGGTTACAGAAAAAAGCAAACTGAAATGAAAGGAACAATGATAAATATTTCAAATTATTTTGTTAAATTAGAAACATTCTGAATTATTCTGAGATAATACACTATACTCAAGAAATTATAAACATTTTATATATGTACCATAATTATAAAGACTTCTTCTGAATTGTTACCCCAGTATCTCCAACACATCAAAAACCTATTTGAGCAATAATTTCTGCACTCAAGAATGATACATTCAACTTTCAAATGAATACATATAAATACATGGTACTGTTGACTATTAACACGTACCTTAACCCTAAGTTCCTGAAGGAAGTACTTCAAAGTTCCTGAAGGAAGCCTTGCAAGAGTTCCTGAAGGAGGTACTAAATATGGAAGAAAAACAACAACAACCACCACAGAAAACATTATCAGCCCCTACAAAAAAAAAAAAAAAGAAAACACTGAATGACACACACCAATGATACTATGAAACAACTACATTAACAAGTCCACAAAATAACTAGCCAGTATCATGATGACAGCATCAAATTCACATATAACAATATTACCCTTAAATGCAAATGGATTAAATGCCCCAATTAAAAGACACAGAATGGCAAGCTGTATAAAAAGAGAAGACCCATCAGTGTGCTGTATTCAAGAGACCCATCTCACATGCATAAACACACATAGGCTCAAAATAAAGGGATGGAGGAAAATTTACCAAGCAAATGGAAAGCAGAAAAAAGCAGGAGTTGCAGTCCTAGTTTCTGAGAAAATAGACTAAACAAACAAAGATCAAAAAAGACAAAGAAGGGCATTACATAATGGTAAAGTGTTCAATTCAACAAGAAGAGCCAACTATCCTGAATATATATGCACCCAATACATGGAACACCCAGTTTCACAAAACAAGTTCTTAGAGAACTACCACATCATAATAGTGGGAGAATTTCACACCCCATTGTCAGTATTTGACAGATCATTGAGACAAAAAGTTAACAAAAATATTTAGGACTTGAACTCAGCTCTGAATTAAGTGGACCTGATAGATATCTACAGAACTCTCCACCAAAGCACAACAGAATATACATTCTTATTGGCACCACATGGCACTTACTCTAAAATTGATCACATAATTGGAAGTAATACACTCCTCAGCAAATGCAAAAGAACTGAAATAATAAGAAACAGTCTCTCAGACCACAGTGTAATCGAATTTGAACTCAAGATTAAGAAACTCACTCAAAACCACATAACTACATGGAAATTGAAAAACCTGCTCCTGAATGACTCCTAGGGAAATAATGAAATAAGGGCAAAAATCAAGAAGTTCTTTGAAACCAGTGAGAACAAAGAGACAAAGTACCAGAATCTCTGTGATGCAGCTAAAGCAGTGTTCAGAGGGAAATTTATAGTACTAAGTACCCACATCAAAAAGATAGAAAGATCTCAAATTGACATCCTAACATCACAACTAAAAGAACTAGCGATCCAAGAGCAAACAAACCCCAAAGCTAGCAGAAGACAAGAAATAAGCAGGATCAGAGTGTAACTGAAGGAGATATAGACGCAAAAAAACCCTTCTAAAAATAAATGAATCCAGGGGCTGATTTTTTGAAAAAAAAATAACAGATGGACCACTAGCTAGACTAATAAGAGAGAAGAATAAAATAGAAACAATAAAAAATGATAAATGGGATATCACCACTGATCCCACAGAAATATAAATGACCATCAGAGAATACTATAACCACCTCTGTGCAAATAAACTAGAAAATCTAGAATAAATGGACAAATTTTTGGACACATACATCCTCCCAAGACTGAACCGAGAAGAAGTTGAATCACTGAATAGACCAATAATGCGTTCTGAAATTGAGGCAGTAATAAATAGCCAACCAACCAATAAAAGAAGCCCAGGGCCAGATGGATTTAAAGTTGAGTTCTACCAGAGGTACAAAGAGGAGCTGGTACCATTTATTCTGAAACTATTTCAAACAATTGAAAAGGAGGGACTCCTCCCTAAATCATTTTGGTATCATCCTGATACAAAAACCTGGCAGAGATATAACAAAAAATGAAAACTTCAAACCACTGATGAATATTGTAAAAATGAAAACTTCATCGCTGATGAATATTAATGCAAAAATCCTCAGTAAAATACTGGCAGATGAAATCCAGCAGCACATCAAAAAGCTTATCACTCACAATCAAGTTGGCTTCATCCCCAAGATGCAAGGTTAGTTCAACAAACCACAGATCGATAAATATAATTCATCACATATTGAGAACTAAGGACAAAAACCACATGATTATCTCAATAGACCCAGAAAAGGCCTTTGATAATATTCAACATCCCTTAATGTTAAAAACTCTCAATAAACTAGGTATTGAAGGAACATACGATAATATTCAACATCCCTTCGTGTTAAAAACTCTCAATAAACTAGGTATTGAAGGAAAATACCACAAAATAATAAGAGTCATCTATGACAAACCTACAGCAATATCATACTGAATGGGCAAAAACTGGAAGCATTTCACTTGGAAACTGGCACAAGACAAGAATGCCCTCCTTCATCACTCCTATTCAACATAGTAATGGAAGTTCTGGCCAGGGCAGTCAGGCAAGATAAATAAATAAAGGGTATCCAAATTGGAAGAGAGGAAGTCAAATTGTGTATGTTTCAGATGACATGATCCTGTATCTAGAAAACTCCATTATCTCAGTCCAAAAGCTTCTTAAGCTGATAAAAAACTTCCGCAAAGTCTCAGGATACAAAATCAATGTGCAAAAATTTCTAGCCTTCCTATACACCACCAATAGACTAGCAGAGAGCCAAATCATGAATGAACTCCCATTCACAATTGCTACAAAGAGAATAAAATACCTAGGAATACAGATAACAAGGGAGGTGAAGGACCTCTCTAAGGAAAATTACAAACCACTACTCAAAGAAGTCAGAGAGGACACAAACAAATCAAAAAACATTCCATGCTCATGGATAGGAAGATTCAATATCATGAAAATGGCCATACTGCCCAATGCAATTTATAGATTCAATTCTATTCCCCTTAAACTACCATTGACATTATTCACAGAATTAGAAAAAAACTATTCACATGGAACTAAAATTCACATGGAACTAAAAAGGAGCCCATATAGCCAAGACAATCCTAAGCAAAAAGAACAAAACTGGAGGAATCACTCTACCTGACTTTATACTGCAAGGCTACAGTAACCAAAGCAGCATGGTACTAGTACAAAAACAGACATATGACCAATGGAACAGAACAGAGAACTCAGATATAATACTACACATCTACAACCATCTGATCTTTGACAAATCTGACAAAAACAAGCAATGGGGAAAGGGCTCCCTATTTAATAAATGGTGCTGGGAGGACTGCCTAGTCATATGCAGAAAAGTGAATCTGGATTCCTTCATTACATCTTCTATAAAAATTAACTCAAGATGGATTACAGACTTAAACATAAGACCTAAAACCATAAAAACCCTAGACGAAAACCTAGGCAATACCATTCAGGACATAGGCATGGGCAGACTTCATGACTAAAACACCAAAAACAATTGCAACAAAAGCCAAAATTGACAGCTGGGATCTAAACTAAAGAGCTTAAATGTAAAATCCCAAACTATAAAAACTCTAGAAGAAAAATATAGGCAATACCATTCTGGACATAGGCATGGGCAAAGATTTCTTGACAAAAACAGCAAAGCAATTGCAATAAAAGCAAAAATTGACAAACTGGATCTAATTAAACTAAAGAGCTTCTGCACAGCAAAAGAAACTATCATTAGAACAAACAAACAACCTACAGAATAAGAGAAAATTTTTGCAATCTATCCATCTGACAAAGTTCTAATATCCAGAGTTTACAAGGAACTTAAAGTTACAAGAAAAAACAAACAATCTTATTAAAAAGTGGGCAAAGAACATGAACAAATACTCCTCAAAAGAAGACATTTATGCAGCCAACAAACATGAAAAACGGTATCACTGATCATTGGAGAAATGCAAATCAAAACCACAATGAGATACCATCTCATGCCAGTCAGAATGGAGATTATTTAAAAAGTCAAGAAACAACAGATACTCACAAGGCTGTAGAGAGATAGTAACACTTTTACACTGTTGGGAATGTAAATTAGTTCAACTATTGTGGAAGACAATGTGGCAATTCCTCAAAGACCTAGAACCAGAAATACCATTTGACCCAGCAGTCTCATTACTGGGTATATACACAACAGAGTAGAAATCATTCTATTATAAAGATACATGCACACATTTTTATTTCAGCACTATTCACAGTAGCAAAGACATGGAATCAACCCAAATGCCCATCAATGATAGACTGGATAAAGACAATGTGGTACATATACACCATGGAATACTATGCAGCCATAAAAAGGAATGAAATAATGTCCTTTCCAGGAACATGGATGGGACTGGACGCCATTATCCTCAGCAAACTAATGCAGGAACAGACAGCCAAACACTGCGTGTTCTCACTTATAAGTGGTAGCTGAACAAATGAGAACACATGGACACGGGGAGGGAAACAACACACACTGGAGCCTGTTGGGTGGTGGGGAGTGGGAGGAAAGCATCAGGAAGAATAGTTAATGCATGCTGGGCTTAATACTTAGGTGATGGGTTGATAGGTGCGGTAAACCATCATGGCACACGTTTTCCTATGTAACAAACCTTCACATCCTGCACATGTACCCTGGAACTTAAAATAAAATTAAATTTTTAAAAACCCCACACCTCTGGGTGGAGAATTAAAATGCTAATGAGACATGCAATGTACGTACTAGCATGTACAGCAGTAGCGCATGTGCATCCAGGAGACCACCCACAACATACTTAACAGCAATGCTCATTCCCATCCCTTCATGAATAATTATGTAAGACTCTCATAAAGAGAGTTTCCCCATGTCAGTGCTCTTTCACTTTTGAGAAGCCCGCTTAGATAAGCTGTCAGAGTGTACTTTCACTTTGTGATAAACTTCTTTACCTACTTTCACTTTGGACCCGCTCTCAAATACTTTTATGCAGCCGTCAAGAACCTGAACTGCCCCACTGACAACAAACTAAATTTGTTGTGAGGAATAATGAAAAAAATATATTCAAAGCATATAGCACAAGGCTTCATTCAAGGTAAGAACTCAACTGTTATTGGCCAGTCAGCCAAGAGAATTATAAATACTTTTAAAAATAGTAATTTGTCTAAGGTCTTAATATGTTTTTCAGATATACTTAAAATATTTAATTATTAATTTATAGATATTTTATTCTAAATTGATGCATTTGATAAATAAGCATTTGTATAGAAGTCCTTAATAGAAAAACACGAGTGAAGCACCAGGGTCTGAAGTAAGATATGTCAGAGAAACTAAATGTTTCAGATTTTAGGATATCAGAAACTTTATTATAAGTTTCAGTTGAAGTGCTATTAATTGGTCCAGCACAGTGGCTCACTTCTGTAATCACAGCACTTTGCAAGACTGAGGCAGGCAGATCACTTGAGAACAGTAGTTCAAGGCAAGCCTGGCAAACATGGCAAAACCCCATCTCTACTAAAAATATAAAAATTAGCCAGGTGTGGTGGCATGCACCTGCAGTCCCAGCTACTCAGGAAGCAGAGGCATGAGAATCGCTTGATCCTTGGAGGCGGAGGTTGCAGTGAGCTGAGATCACGTCACTGCCCTCCAGCCTGAGTGAGAGAGCTAGACCCTGTCTCAGAAAAAAAAAAAAAAAAGAGAAAAAAGAAAAAAAAAGAAAAGAAATGCTACTAATTAACATACTTAGAATACATTATAAGATAGAAAAAATTAAAAATAAATACAAGTAAAAGAGTATAACTTTCTTCTGTCACACAGATTCTTAAATATTTAACATAAATATACACTAAATTAACTACATTTCACATTATTTCAAATTCTAAGATGCATAAATACTACTCATAGAAGAAATCTCATGCACATGGAATATTATTTTTCTCAATTTTAGTTTTGAAAGATTTCTGTTAGTAAAGAGAGACCACTGAAGAATTGCCATGAACTCAATATAGATGCTTAGAAGACTGTTCTGACTCAAAATGTGTGTATCTTTCTTATTTTCAAAGGTGTAGCCTTTCCAGTACCAGTTTCACTGACTAAGGTCCAATGGAATATTTTTCTCAGAAAGAATTAGATATTTTAATGTCCTACAGATTGAGGTATCTTATGTACCAAATACTTTGGCCCCTATACTTTGTTTAGTCAATTTCTACTTCTGTGCTTTCACAATCCTGAGTAATAATTCTCTAAAATTATTTAGCTATGTTTAATGTTGATAGCAGTACGTTATTCTGTTAAACTAAATTTGGCCTGAGGATGCCTTCATATTGTGAGTTCTTATGTAAAAACTGCAACCTAACTTAGTACATAAACTAACTGAAAGCGTACTTTAGGACTACACTTTTGTAACAAATAGCTGAGCCTCAGCCAATCACAGTAGTTAAGCTTAGGTCAAGCACAGGTGGCCAACTGATCAGACCATGTTCAAATTAGGCAAACGTGGAGCTGTAACTAACCAAATTGTTTCTCTACCTCATGTTTTGTTTTCTGTTCATGAATGCTGCCAGCCCATGTTGTGGAGCAGAATTCTCTGAACCTCTTCCGGTTCTGAGGACTGCCTGATTGACAAATTGTTCTTTGCTCAATTAAACTCTTAAATTTAATTCATCTAAAGTTTTTCTTTTAATGATTTCCTATGTATTAACACAATAAAGATCAACTGGTTTGGGATTCAATATTTGTTATTTGGTTAAATAGGGTTTTAAATGATAAAGTAAAATAAGCATATGTAAGAACAATAAGGTATGAAAAGGAAAGTAAATCATTCTTTTCTTCCAGATTTCTAACTGCTTTCTCACGGAGGTAGCCATTAATGTCTACGTATCTTTTCAAAATAATTATAATTACTTAAGGTCTATAAATATTCTCTTCTCCACATAATTCAAATAGTGTTATTTATGTCATGATGCAGTCTTATGCATATATTAGACATTTAATTAAAAATGAAGATTGATTTTTGTCTCATAATCTTGCCTGATTTTTTCCAAAAACACATGGAATATATATTTTTTAACTTACTCTCCTTAGATAACATACACAGTCTGTCTTTGAGATTTTAGAGCAAAAGTAAATACACTTTTTTAAAGCTAAGAAAATAATGACAAATTACTTCACTACTTTGATTGATTTCCAGAGTTTTTATGTAACGTCTTGCTTGGACCATTTTTCTTAAAGCAATCACAGCTTTGTGTGCTGCTGTGCTTGCGACAATCCACCGCTGGCACATCTTTAAGGAAAACACTATCCATTACAGAGCCGAGATTAAATGTAAGAATGTGTAATTGGTTTTCTAGCAGACCAAGATCATTAATGTGAAACACACTTGAATAAGCATTACTGGAAAGGTTTCGGACTACTGGACATTGATCAAAAGCAAAATGATCACTGGAAATGGTAGAATGAGTGTGAAGGAAAGTGGAAAATGGCTAAAGTTGTTTGAGTATGCTAAGCGATTAACTTAAGAAACTTTTGTTATAAAGATGTCTTCACTATCAGCTATAGAATTGACTAACTTATCTTTGTGCCCTTTGGTTAAACAAACAAACAAAAATATTTTCATTACCCAGATATTTTACACCTCAGCACAAAAGTAACTATATAGCTAAAATCTACATGAACACATTTATTAACATTTTTATTTGCTAGAGATTATTGGCCAGGAGATGAAGGTAATGACCATGTAATTTCCATGAAATTCAAATATTAGAGTGAAAAATAATTTCAGTGAAATTATATTTGGAGTTCATAATGTGACAGTCATGTACAAATTTAGTTATTTTTAAATAAATTTACATGATTAAATACATTAATTGGCATTAAGAAAAGCTGGTACTATACAAAGAAGTGAAAGATTTCATAATGTTATTATATTGTGATTTTACCAAAAGCTATAATTAATAAAATGGTCACAATTTAAATGCAGATAGTGCTAGATGACATTCATGTCTTGCACTTCAGGTTAAGAAAAATTAGGACACAGAAAGAATAAAATAAAATTCATAGGAAAGCAAAACTTCTCATTACAATAGCCTTAAAATATATTTTAAAAAATGATTATTCCTGTCTTTCAAGGAAAAGCAGTTTATTATAGCATAGTCAATTTAGTATGGGATTACAACCAATTAAGGAAGATTCTTCCTGATGCTGATGGTAGTTCTATACTATAATTTTATAAAATGTTCCTAGTTATATAACTCTTCCGGATATAGTTTCTCATTTCATCTCCAATACATTGGTGTCCTAACATCCCAAGATGAAAGATTGATAAGAAACTGGGACACACTTCACTCAATTTTCTAAATTTTCAAAATAAATAATGTAATATTTTACTTACTTTTTAATCAAGCTAACTTAGATATTCTAACTTATCTACAATCTGAATTAAGTCTGCAAAAAAAATTGAAAACAAAATTAAATTTTCATGGCATGGACATTCTAAATATATTTGCAAATTCTTTGGCCCTTCACTTGTACATAATTGAAGTTTTAGTCCTCTTTCCTAGAATAAGAACTGATCTTATTGACTCACTACTGATGAATAGAATGTTATTAAACAATAGAGCTTCTAGGAATCATAAGGTGGTTGTCTCCCAGCAGTCTCACCATGAACCCAAGAGAATAGTCAGTATGGCTTTTGTTTAATGAAACAGATTAAAAATAGGTACATCAGAAGCCAATACTTTTGTTTTAAGCATTGATATCATTTTGTACTGAAAGAGTGAGCAAATACACAATGAAAACAGACAATTATACCAGCAAACGTCCATGGGTAGAGACAGGCTGGAAAGTCTACAGTATGGAAAACATGGCATATGTTTTATAGAACAGGAAGAATGACTCAGAAGGGGAAATCAATGCTCAACCAATATTTATTGAGCATCTATCATGGAAGTAGCCTCAAATTTGAGCATGAAAAGATTTATAGTTCATGCATTTTAAATCCTAACTATAGCAATCCTTTATATGTCTTATACTGTCTCATTTTATGTGTCCTAAGACTACTGTAATACAATTTCTGCATGATAAATTTCAAATTATTTTCTCTTTATGAGAAAGTCTAAGAAACAGAAGCCATTGCAATAAAATGTAGTTTATAAGATTACTTAGAAAACTGTTTCTGGAAATTCAGCTCCGAAATGCATTCATGTACATTGACCATAGAGTTCATTGATAATATATGTGTATTAATCTTCCAGAAAAACCCTTAGAATACAGTTGAAAAGCACTTTTAATTCAATGAGAATGAAAATGTTTTAGAAGATCTTCAAGAGGAGAAGCTGAGTAACTCTGGGTCCCTCAAAAGTGTTTTCCATTGCCCACAAGCTGTTAGAAAAACTTAATATGCAAAATAAATTCAAAGACCAAGAATGCAGCTTAGGAAGAAGCTCTGTGTAATAAGACTCCCTATTATTACATCCCAATGCTTAGTTCCACATTAAGAGTACTGAGACAAAAGAAGTAAATACATAAAAATCAAACCTCAATGGAAATAAGCCTAAATACTGATCCTTATGACTGTCAAATGACAGGAACGTTCTATACATACCAACTCACCCATACTCACCCTCCTACACTTCCTCCAAGATTAAATGCATAATAATAGGACAGCAAAGTAAGAGTTTCAGAAATATAAAGAGGACTTGACTGGACAAGGTCTCCTATTGCCCACAGTGTCTATTCTGGCACTACAAAAATAGTTGGGATCCATGACCAAAGGAACTTGCTCTCACAGGTACAAAATAGATGATATATTTTTTTTCACTAGCACACATTTTAAAAATAAATGTATATATTTGTGGAATACAATGTGATGTTTTGATATATTTGTATACAGGGTGGTATGATTAATCAAACAAATTAACATACCCATCACTTTGTATGCTTTTCATTTTTTTGTGGTGAGAACATTTAAAAGATATTCTTCTAGCAAAATACACAATACATTTTTATTAAGTATAATCACCATGCTGTGCAATAGACCTCAATAATTTATTTTTCCTGTCTATCTGAAATTTTGTACCATTTGGTCAATATTTCCCCAACCTTTGATAACTACTATTCTACTCTCCAGTTCTATAAGTTTGACTTTTTTCAATTACACACATAAGTGGGATAAACCATACAGTTGGTAAAGGGTTAATATCCAAACTAAGGAACTCATACAACTCAATAGCAAGGAAAATAATCCAATTAAGAAATTAGCAAAGGTTTAAATAGACATTCCTCAAAAGAAAACATACAGCTGGGTGCGGTGGCTCACACCTGTAATCCCAGCACTTTGGGAGGCCAAGGCGGGTGGTCAGGAGTTCGAGACCAGCCTCACCAACGTGGAGAAACTCTGTCCCTACTAAAAATAGAAAATTAGCCAGGCATGGTGGCACATGCCTGTAATCCCAGCTACTCAGGAGGCTGAGGCAGGAGAATCACCTGAACCAAGGAGGTGGAGGTTGCAGTGAGCCAAGATGGCACCATTGCACTCCAGCCTGGGCAATAAGAGCAAAACTCCATCTCCAAAAAAAAAAGGCAACATACAAGTGACCAAAGTTTATTAAAAAATGCTTACCATCACTAATCACCAGGGACAAGCAAATTAAAGTTGCAAAACAAGGTATCACTTCACACCTGTTAGAATGGCTCCTAGCAAAAAGATGAAAGTTAACAAGTGTTGGTGAGGATGTGAAGAAAAGGGAACCCTGATACACTGTTGGTGAGAATGCAACTGTAAAATTGTTATGGTGAACATTGTGCAGGTTTCTCAAAAAACTAAAAATACAATTAGCCAGTAATCTAGCAGTACCACTTCTGGATATTTATCTAAAAGAATTAAAATCAGTATGTCAAAGAGATACCTGCACTCCCATGTTCATTGTGGCATTATTCACATTAGCCAAGATACGGAAACAAACTAAGGGCTTATCAGTCAATGAATGCATAAAGAGAATGTGGTATGTGTATATAATTTACGATTCAGTCTTGATAAAGAAGGAAATTCTGTCACTTGCAACCACATGAATGAACTTGGAGAACACTATGCTAAGTGAAATAAGTCAGGCACAGATATACATGTACATTTTCTTGTCCTTTCTTATCATACTCATTATTCTTTTTTCTCTGGCAGGACCCGTTCTCTTGTCAGTTACCCACTTCTATTCCAAAGTTCCACACTTGCATACAATTGAGCACGTTAGTACACATCAGCGACAGTCTTTCTTACTATAAATGGTATTTTTCAGAAAGGCTTCCAACAATATGTAGGAAAAACCTGTGAGTTCCATACACTCCCAATTTAAAGCAATTTAAAGTGATTTAAAGGCATAGGAAGAGAACTGTAATTTCCTGTATGTTTTATTCTATTAGTCACAGAAGTCAAAAATCAGTAGGAAGAAGCTTGTAGAGTAAGTAGATTAAATGAATTTAATTTAATTGTCTCAACAAAATAACTTGATCCTGGAACTCCATACACCCAGTTAATATTTGTATGAATCACTTCAGAGAGAAAAAATTTTAGAATGAAATATAGAGAAAGAATATTTTCAAAACTGTTAAATATATGATGTTAAACACAAATGAGCGCTTCCCGTAGAAAGCTAGCTTCCACAAACAAAGCAAAACGGGGCTATGTCAAACATGTATAATCATTCCTCCTGAGATTACAAATGAGAAGTTTCTCCTGCTCTCTTGGAGAAAAGTGGTTCAGAAAGTTGAGAGAAGACATGGGTGTTGTCCTAATCAATGTTCTTCCATGTAAATATATGAATAGACAAGAAGGATGGTTTCCCCAGCTGTTTGCAATTAAGTGTGCCTTTATAGCATTAGTTGTGAAATTGTAAAGAAAAGAAAAGGAAATAAATTAAGAAGTGTTGTATGGCTACCTGGTTCAAGCAAGAAAATGATAAGAGTAGAGGTATGTTTTGGGAAGATGAATTTGTCACTGGTAAAAAAAA